>NC_000003.12:174955574-176205574 GCF_000001405.40 Homo sapiens
GTGACTCATACATATCTTTGCTAGAGGGAGTGGTATGTAGACAAAGGATTAAATAGTATTAAAGTTAACTAAAGACAAATAGAGATATCAGAGCCTGAGGCTACTGGCTTCTGCAGCAGATTGCCCCCATAGGTAATAGTTCATTTGTTTTGTACAGTGTTTTTATAACTTTAGTGAAGATTAGAATCACCTGCAGGACTTTTTAAAAGACAGATGATCAGGCTCTACCAACAGAGTGTCTGATTTATTAGGCCTCGCTGGGGTGGGGCCCCTGAATTTGGATTGCTCAGAAGTTTTCCCAGATGACACTAGTGATACTGTTTAAGAAACCACACTTTGAAAACTTGTGATTTGTTCCAGTTATTCCGGGTGTTGGTGCCAATCTTATTGGATTGGTTTAAATACTCTCTTTTGTAATTTCACTTAAGTCAATCAGTTTCTTGGAGATTATTGCCCAGTGATGATATTCACAAAATATGATATGGAAAACAAAAACACTAGGTTGTTAATTTCTAAACCCTGCTGGGATCACTTTCTTCAAACCTCTTAGCAGTTTAAAGGGAGTCACATGAAGTCAGTTGCAGAAGATCACAACTGGATAGACAGCACTCAACAGCCAGGAAATAACTAGGATAAATTTGCAGATCTCATTTTCTTTCCACGATTAGAAGTAATTTTGTCATGGTAATCTTGTAGTCTCTTATGGACTCACTAAAGTAAGCATAATAGGTGATGTTGACAATTTGGTTTTTATTTGGCAGAATGATGTCTAAAAAAGATAAAGGAATATTGTCATTGGATGAAACAAATATTTATCTATGAGAGGCAGAGTCCTGTAGACTTTCTAGGTTCTGCTTCTTTCATCGTTGGACATGGGCAATTTATTTAGCCCCTATGGGCCTCACTTTTATCTCCTATAAAATAATAAAAATAAAAGTACATATATTATATAGGGTTTAGTGAGATAAAGTTAAAAACTCCTGTAAATCACATAACAAATTGCCTGCCACATATAAGTACTCAATTAATATTAGCCATTAGGCTTTATGTATAATCCATAGATAAATGGACTAGCTGACTCTATCTCTTGGAGGATCTAAAAACACTTCTTTGGGCCTGCCAGTTCTGGAGAAGGGTGGAATGGGGAGACACAGTGAAGTTAGATCAAGATGATGGAGTGGAGGTCCTTTTGCACTGGAGATTGTAACAAGAATGTGGGATGAGAGGAGCGTCAGCAGGCATAGGTGCATAACAGAAGTAGTTTCTAATGAGGATTACAAAGGAGAAACAGAACAGTATTTTGCAGAAAGTCTCTATAACTGAAGGAAATGATGAAAGAGAACTTAAACCTTTTTTTCCTTGACACAAGCCATTCTCCTCCTTTTCAGGGATGTAGCTTTCTCTATCAGTACTCACCGCTTTTACTTTCCTTCTGTCTGTAGCTTCAGTCACTCTGCTGTGGGTCTCCCTGTTCTGTTATGGTACATACAAGCTACAAGGGATGCTTATTTTTTTTGTTCCCTGATAGAGTCAGTTTAGGCCCCAGAACTGATAACAAAAGGCGACAAGCATCTTTTCCTCATTCTAAGCATCTGGGCATACTAACAGGGCTCTAAAGCAATCCCGAGACTTCCTTGATAGCCAGGAGAGAACTGCATCTGCCTTTCCTCATTCTTTTTCTCACCTCCCTACTGCAAGAAGGGGAGACAGCACAATGAGTCAGAAGGAAGAAAGGAGAATAGGAGTAAAACAACAAATCAAGCCCCTCTTCCTCACTGCAGGCTAGTTAGCCTAGGCCAGGCCTGAACTACAGAAAGGTGACAAGCTTGTTATCATTTGTGAGATATGAGATACCTGTTTTGATTTTGATTAGATTGGATTTTGAGTAGTATTTTTGTTATTAATACTTAAAAAGAGCTGGTTATACAATTCCAAAGCAACCTAAGCTGTGGGGGTATATCCCGGATAGCTTCTAGAGGCTGAGAAGGAAGACCCAATAGAAAAAGTTTTAAACTGTGGTAGGAGAATTTTTTTTTTTTTGTAGTTGTTGATTTCATTCCAAGAAACATTCCATTGACCAGTGTAATATTTGCCTCTTTGATTTATTTTTAGGCTTGGAATAGAATCTTTAAATGAATAGCATATTAACTCTCAGAGATGACAGATTCATAGTTCATTCTACTGGCTGTTTTCAAGAGAATAAGATAGTTCAATGAATTGAATAAAGAAGCTTTGAGGCTCAGTGTGTCTAAATTAGATCAGAGGGGAAGGATGAGCTAAACAGGAAGACCAGGATTCCATTTTTGTCTAATTAATTCCTGCCTCAACTTGCAAACTCTGCATCATCCTTGGCAAACTCATTTTTCCCCATTGCCAATGTAGTTTGTTAATGTAGTTTCCTTTCTCTGGGACATCTTTTCTTTCTCTGACAGATAAAAAACACATACTCATCCTATGCATCGCCTCTTCCATGTAACCTTTCACCATAACATAGTCCATCCTCCCCTCCGGAAGGAACTGACAGCTTGCTTTCTGTTTAAGCATTGAACAATATCCAGACTTTTTTTTTTTCAGTTTCTTTATTCCTTTATTATAATTACTTATTTACAAGTCTATCTTTGCCTAATCAATTTATATATATAAATAATCAATTATATATATAATATGGCAGGGAACTTACCATATTTCTATTTGTATTCCTAAAATGTAATAGCATGCTTAGACTATATTAGATGCCCAATAGCTATTTATTGAATAAGTAAATGAAGATATTGAAAGAGTGGCTTTGTCTCCAAGTGGAAAAAAGATCAGGTAGGTGGTCCAAAGTGTCAGGAATGGGAAGCACAGATAATAAGATAACATCTGTTTCCCCAGAGAGTCCAGTGTTTGTTACATCACCACTTTTATCCATCCCCAAGGGTTTATACTCTATTACTCCAATAGTTATTGAAATTGAATTTTAAGTGGAGTGATTCAATAACTGATTACACGTGCAGTTCAAATCTCTGTTTTAGTTTTTCTTTGTGAATCTTCTACGTGAAACAAGTGCCAGCACAAGGAGAGTTATGTAGTTGAAATAGCAAAACTGCCACATTTGCATAACATTGGTTTCATTTTTTCTTCTTACATTACAAATAGGTTAATACATTTGTTGAATTTGTGATAAATTTTAATTCTTGATGAATTCTTTCTATATTTAGACTGCTTACATTCAATCAGTGCGAAGTTGGAAAAGACTGTCTTGTACAGTCATAAGAAATTTAATTATATCTGTTGTTGCTTGTAGATAATATGATTGCTTATATTAGGTTTGTTTTATGAGGCATTTATAAGCACTTAGCAGTGCAATCAATTGTTTATGTAATAACTATCATTCAAAAAGTAATTATTTCCGAAGTGTTGGCATGTTCTCTTGAAGTTTAACGCAACAGTTTTCTATTGGTGTTTTGATGCTGGAGAAGTCTAATTCAGGAAATTGTGAAATGAATTTGGTGGACATCTGCTTTGAGAGTAACTGTGACAACAGTTCCTTAAACATTGTTTTATGGTAGTGTACTTAGAGACATTAGAATGCTGCAAGTTTTAGTTTGTAAAAACCAGGCCAATTTTCAACTGCTTTTGCGGTAGCATATGTTTGTTTGGCACTCTTAGGGACTCAGCTGACATGATGTTACTGGTAAACTGTTGGATAACTATTCACGGGGCTATGTCAGAGTATAGGCAACCTGAAAATAGGAATTGTTCATACCTTAAAATCAAGTAAAAATAGACCCTAATCTTGGAGATTATTATTTTGTTGGCAAAACAGATACTTTGTGCCATTGTGCTGCCTGCTGCCCACAGGCTCTGGAAACATACAATTGGTGATTGTTCTGAGGAGTTATATCACAGAGGGGCACTAGTGCGGTGAGTTCACAAAATTTAACAAGATTGCTGAGCACAATACATAGGGGAATCAGTGAGGTCCCTGGGAAAGATTCTAAAGTATGCACAGTGAATGTGTTCATTAAATGATGATCTGGGAAAAGCAAAGAAATTGCAAAGATTAACATGTTTTTCTGGAAGTGTATCTATTGCATGGGAAATAGTAATTTCTTATCTCTAGGCAAAGTAAGGTTGCATAAGCATTGAGAATGAAGAGTCTAAATTTCGGTTATCACATGCCCAAAGTAATGCCTTTTATCCAAGTGACTTAACTGAATACAGGCTTAAGCACTCATCTTCTAGTTAGATTATGTCATTTTAATACGCAAGGCAATCACTTAGATTTGTTAGCAGTATCTTGTGCTATTTTATTTATGAGTTGACATCCATTGCTTTTGACAAGATTTGTCCTTATCTTATATGAAAGTATCGAATTCTTAAAGTTAATTGTCCCTTAAAGGTCCTGTTCACTCTAAGTGAGTTTCCTGGCCAGCTGGCAATAGACTTTAGGTCTGCAGATATGATGATGGGAGTCTTGTGGGGGCAAAGTTGGCTGCAGACCCCGTAGTTAATGCTTTGGAGTAGCAGAAGCTGTTTTAACAAGGTCTATTAGAAATGGCATGAACTGGCCTTACTATCAGGCAATAAGTGGTAAAGTCTAGATTCTACATTAACCTTATTGTTGACTTTAATAAGGTGCTAAACTATTCCAGTCATCATCATCCTCATCTATAAAATTAGGTGCTTAGAAGATTGTTGAAGTTCTTTTTAGCTCTATTATTGGGTATGTCAGAATTAGTATAGAAAATATCATAGTTGATAAACAACTCTGTCCTTTTTCTGGAAACACTTTCTAGAATATAGTTTCCAGTTTTCCTGGTATTAAGTGTGATCATATGACTGAGTTCTGGCGATGGAATGTCAATCACCATTTGGAGAAAAAGCTGCTCTTTAATCAAGAACATTCATCTTGGACTTACTATGAATAAGAAGCAATTGAGATTTGAGTGTTTATCTAGAATTATTACCCTACTAATAATCTGGGACTATCTAATTATAAGAAAATGTGCCAATAGAATGTGTTCTCTGCTTTACCCCTTCATCTAGATATCGATAGCTTTTTTGGGATAATATAATAGCCTGTGTATAGGCAGAAGTTTGGAAACAAAATCTTTGATGGTATTGAGAAATAAAACACTATTTTATTCCAAAAGCTACTTTTTCTAAAATACTTAATGGATTTTCTGAAAACCAGTGCAGGGTATTATAAGTACTTCCAACTAATCTAGATAGAAGGACTTGCCTTTTAAAAGAATAAAATCAAATGCTCTAGGTTACCATGTGTTTCAGTTTCATAAGTATGCATTTTAGTATACAAACACAAAAAAATTTGCTGTGTGTCACTGTGCCTGCATATAGTTCCAGCTACTTAAGAGGCTGAAGCAGGAGGGTTGCTTGAGCCCAGGAGGTTGAAACTGCATTCAGCTATGATCATGCCATTCCACTCCAGAGTGGGCTACAGAACAAGACCTTGTTTCTAAAAATATATATATATATTAAATATATCATATGTATTATATCATTAAATAATATTAATATAATATATAACATAATGATATATAATATTAATAAAATATATAATAATACAATGATTTTCTCATTGTTTGTAGAGATAAGGTCTCACTATGTTGCCCAGACTGGTCTCAAACTTCTGTCTTCAAGTGATCCTCCCACCTTGACCTTCCAAAGCGCACTGGGATTACAGATGTGAGCCACCACCCACACCTGGTTGAGAAAATCATTTTAACTTAGATTTCTATGTAAGATATATATACTTTATCTATACAAAATTCAGAATACAATCTTGATTCTTTATAATATTGCTAAAAAAATCTTAAAAGCAAGAATTTCAAGGGAGTTCTGAAAATAGTAAGTTAATAATTTGATTCAAAGTTTTGAGTGAGATGGGGAACGTGTATTTTTCTTCTTTAAATTAATTTATAAAACACCGGGCAGGGGAAGGAAAAAATGATTGAATCATTGGATATTTGAACTAGAGGAGATAGTGTAGATTTTATTTTAATTCAAGTACCTTATCTTCAAGATAGGAAACTGAGGGGAAAAGAGATTAAATAGCATGCTCAAGTCTCATAATTAGCGGCACTACTAGGATTATAGTCTTGTGTATTATTAGCCATTTGAGGGGAGTAGAAGACGTCTGGCAGGCTCGTGTCCCATCTCACAGTTATATAATTACATCCTGACTCTATAGCCGATGATAATGAGAAAGATACATATGTTAAACTTATATAACATTTGTTATGAGACAGACATGGTTCTACATGTTTTACAGATATTAACTCATCTCATTCTCACAGCAACCCTGATGTAACCAGACTCTAATTTGGTCCCAGTAATCCTGGGACCTTTGTCTACTCCCCTGCAACACTGTAGCAGGGTTGGTCTGTGTAATGTGTGATGGCATGTCACTTCTGATATTAGGTTACAAAAGACCATGAAGATTTTGTCTTGGATTTCTACTCTCACTCTCTACCTCTCTTCATTTCTCTCTTGGATAATTCATTGTGTGGGAAGCCAATAGCCATGTCATGAGTAGCCCTATGGAGAGAGCCATTTAGTGAGATCTCTCGCCAACAGCCAGGTGCTGTGCAGATCCTAGGGCCACAGTCAAGCCTTCAGATGATGGCAGCCTCAGCCAATAGGCTGACTGAAACATCACAGGCTATCCTGAATCAGAACCACCCAGCTAAGTTGTTCATAGATTCCTACATTGTATTTAAGTCACTCTTTTCAGCTGTATTAACACCAAAGTATTGTTGTTTAATGGCATTCATTGTCATAGTGACTATGACATATATATATATATATATATATATGTCATAGTGACTATGACATATATATATATATATATATGTATATTTTTAAGTCTGCAGTTTAGACTTAACTGTGAAAAGTTTGCTCTTGTGTATAATTTCAAATTAGTGAAGTTTCACAAGTGGACCATACATAATAAAAGGCAGAAGAGAGTTGTGATATAAGTCACTGGTGCACAAAAGTTAAAGAAAGGTGAAGGAGTGGGATGCATTAGCTGAGAAGAAGGGTACCGAGGACGGACTCTTACCTCAGAGAGATAACTGCCTTCTGTCTGTTAAACTGGGAGCTGAAACTTGTTATCTCGATTATGAGGGACTTGATGCTCAATAGTCAAAAGTGAAATGATTTGAAGAGTGTTTGTTTCATTGCTAAGTGGGCTAAGAGAAAAGTTTTCCTTGGACAAATACAGTTGTCCCTCTGTATCTGTGGGAGATTTTTTTCAGGATCCCTTGCTGATACCAAAATCTACTAATGCTATATTTCCTTATATAAAATGGCATTATATTTGCATATAACCTACACATATCTTCCTGTATACTTTACCTCTAGAATACATATATTACCTAATACAGTGTAAATGCTATGTAAATAGTTGGCACACTATGTTTGATTTGTATTATTTTTCATTGTGGCCTTGTTACTTTTTATTTTATGCGTCCAATTATTTTTTATCTGCTGTCATTTGAATCCATAAATGCAGGGCCTGCAGATATGGGAGGTCAAATATACATTCTGTTTAGATGGCTCTGGTGATACCAAGCTTAACATATCTGGCTGGAATCACTGATACTGAACAAAACAACTGAAGGTATTAGAAAACTTGGTGTGTTTCATGTAACAGATATTTTTAAAAAGGTACAATGGATGACTGTGAAGAATAATTCATGGTAAACTTTTATAGGATTACTATAAATACTTTAGTAACATACCTGTGGTTATTTAAAAAAAATAAGAAATTGTATCATGGATATTGGCATAAAAAATGTGAATATTATAGATTGTCTGAATGTTTTATCAAGACAGGAAATGGGGGACAAGTAGAAAAACATTGAAAAATTATGACTGATTAGATGCATGTTTCACTCTTTTGGGGAAAACCTTATAGTAACTAGACTATTTTTAGAAATACTGTGACTCTGCGGAATATCCCCAGACTTTGTTGACCTATCATCTTCATCCCCATGTACATGACTTCAAGTTTCACACGGCGTTGTGATGATTTGTTTCATGCCTGTGTCCGCCATGGTTTTCTTCACTGGTGAGAATTAAGTATTATTTATTTTGATATCACTGTGTATGTGTAGTACTTGGCACATATTACGAGCTCAACAAAATGTTAGACAACTGAAAAAGACAGCTTAAAATCATGTTTAGAAAATGCAGTGGTTTGTAAATTTTTCTTTCAAATATAGATACTGTTAAGGACTGCTAAGTTTGGTAGAAATCTTAACAATGACAGGAAAATATTATTTGATCATAATTTTTCAATTATTTACATGAAGAAAGAAGATAATCATTTGTTGCATTTTCTGACAATGTAAATAATGTTGAAGGTCAAAATTATCATAAGGAATCTAAGCATGGAATGTACCATAATAATTTATTTCTCCATACTTTTTCGCATGTTATTAAATCTTTTGGGAAAAAAAACTACCTGTATGAGACTTTAAAATGAGATTTTAAAAATATTTATATTTTTCAAGATGTTTTAAATGATTCAACCTTTCTTTCTTCACATGTAATGAAATAGTTATTCATTTACAAAAATTTCTAATGTACTTATTTGCCTGGCACCATTTAAAGCACATAATCCCCTTTACCTAGCGCTGGTATGGAAAATGGTCTCTATTCATAGAGCTTACATTTTAGTGGCAGGAGTGATAAAATTAAAGTATACAGGCAATCAAGAGTTCTTTGGACATGCTAAATTTAAGAAGCCTAACAGATATCTACATGGGAATGTTGGGAAGGAAATGAATATGACTAGAGCCTATGGGAGAGATCAGGACAGAAGATAAAGATTTAGAATATAGAATAATAATGATATATGAAGCCCTGATATTGGATAAAATCACCTTTGGAGTTTGTATAAATAAAAAAGAGAGGAGAACAGAGGACAGATTCATGGACATTTCAATATTTAGAGGTCTTGCAGAGCAGAATAATCCATGAAAAAGACTATAAGGGAGGATGATATCTAGAAGCCTAAAGGAAAAATGTCTTTCAATAAGAAGGGAATAGCTACTTATATCTGGTACTGTGAGAGGTAAAGAAAACAAGAACAGACAATTAACTACTGGGTTTTACAAGATGGCAGTCCTCAGTGGCTCATATATTCCTCCTGCTGCTTGTAATAATAGTAGTAATAGTAATTTTAATAACGTAGCACCTCTCAGGGCCAGATACTGTTCTATGTGCTTAACAGGTATTAAACAATTTATATATATTTGTGTTTGTGTGTGTATATATATGTATATATGTAATTTATATATATATAATTTTATTGACATGAAAATTGAAAATATCTAGTTGGATTGAGCTGAAATGAAAATGGGAGGAGGTGGTTGTATTACTTATGTATTGCTACATCAAAAAAAATGTAGTGGCTTAAAAAGAGCAAACATTTATTTTCTCATTATTCCTACAAATTAGAAATTCTAATTTAGTTGGCTGGTTCTAGCTCAGGGTTTCTCATGAGGTAGCAGTTAGGACAGTGGGTGGGGCTGCAGTCACCTAAAGGTTGCATGGGCCTGAATGATTCTCCTGTAAGATGGCTTAGTCACAAGGCTATTGGCTGGAGATCTCAGTTCCTCACTGGCCATTGGCGGGAGGCCACAATTCCTTGCACCTAAGCCTTTCCACAGTGCTGGTACCAACAGGGAAGCAGCTTTTCCTACAAAGCAAGAAATCAAGGTCAAATGAGGACAGACTGTGATGCTTTTGATGACTTATTCTCAGAAGTTACATACTGTCACTTCTGTCCTATTCTATTCGTTAACATTATGTCACTAAGGCGATTTCTATGGAAAATTAGTTCCCACCTTTTGAAGTGAGTGTCAAATAATCTGTTAACTATTTTAAGCCACTACTTCAGTGGTGAAGTGTAAAGATTTCAAATATATGCAAGTATTGTGAGAATTTTTTTGATAAGGGTAGCAGAGAGATGGGAAGTTAATTGAAATTAGATATACAATGAAATATTTTTAAAGACAATATTTAGGCATATTTTGTGCTTATATGAAGGAAAAAAACAACATGAAGAAGAGAAAGAGGACATGGAGGTCCTCAAGGAGGCTTGGTACGGGAAAGGATCGATATAAAAATAAAGAAGCAGTGAATGTGTCTTTCAGCGAAATCAGAGGAAGTTAGAGAATGGTGGGTACACAGTCACATAGAGTGGAAAATTTTACGGAGGGAAGTTGGGGTAATTTTTACAGTATGGTCTATTTTCCCTGGAAAATATTAGGTGAGAATAGCAGTAGAGAAGGAGAGGCAAGGAGAGGGGTCCTGGGGATTTGATGATAGAGGAAGTAAGAACTATAGGTTAGCTTGGAGAGTAGGACAATGAATTTGCTATGGAAGTTAAGTAGGATTGTCTGGCTTTTGTGAGTGCCCATTTGAGATTCATGATCATAAATATAAGTGAATCCAGTCAGCACATTTATAAGATTATGACTATCTTAGACCAGATCATTATTACCATGTACCTGAATTATTATAATAGTTACCCCACTGGTCTTCCTTTCCTCAGGTTTCCCCTACTACTGCCACATCAATCTTCTTAAAACACTTTTCTGCATAAATTAAGCTCTAGGTCAAAAACTTTGTTTCTCCTTGATCTTGAAGGCCAAGCACTTAGATTTTCTCCCTCGGCCTGTCATAATATGGCCATAGGCTACATCCCCAATGATGGCAAACCACAAAATATTTTCCATGGTGCATTCACATGATCTGTTTTGTATTTTGAAATGGTTATTCTGGAGGTTGTATGGAAACCTATTGGAATAAGGCATTACCAGATTCACAGAGACCAGCAAGGAGGTTGTGTCTGTGGCAAAATGTGTTAGTGGTCCCAAAGCATTAGCAGTAGGAAGAGAAGTGAGCTGATGGGTATGAGAGATATAAGGAAGGTAAATCTCTTGACTTCGATGTAAGGATAAAGTGATAGGGAGGTATCTAGAGTGACAAACAGATTTTTCACTTATGTGATTGTTAGATGGCGGTAACAGAGAATAGGAAAGGAAGAAACAAGATGAAGAGAAAGAGAAGTCCAGCTTAATACATATGAAATTTGACATACCCAAGTAACATACATTTGTAGATGTCCAGTAGGCAACTGGAATGTTTAAGTTTGAGGTCTGAGTTCTAGACTGGGGATCAAAATTTGGGAATCATTAGCAATGAAATCATAGATTGGTTTGTTATCAAGTATTGATTGTAGGTATAGGGTTAGAGAAATTGAGACGATCTGAATCCCTGGAAAAAACTTTCCGGATAGAGTAAGAGATTCCCCCAGAAAGGAAAATAAGTGACATAAAGGTGGAAAAAATAAAATAATAAGTGTTATCACAGAAAGTATAGGAAAAAGCTTCTTAAGTCCACTAATGTTTATATTTAAAAAGAACTAGGATAAGATAGACAATAGTGCTATTTGAACAATAATTCACAACCATATCTGTTAGTATCATCTGGAGACCTTCTTTAAAAATCAAGTAATAACTGGATTATGTCTAATAAATCGGAATGCCTGAGTAGCAGGTAATAGTGGTCCCTTTTTTAAAGCTCTCTGATGATTCTGATGCAGAGTAAAAGTAAAGATCTACTGAGATAGAGTTATTTGACCGTTTGTTTCATATATTATATGCAATAGGATAAGCATAAATGAAGTAAGATTAAGTTGCATGTGGCAATAAAATTTAGATAGTGCCATTACTATGCAAGTGTAGGGAATATCAGCCAGCTATATGTGGTGGATTGCAAAAAAAAAAAAAAAAGAAAAAAGGAATTTATTTTAGAAATCCCACTTAACTCTGTATGTACTCTCATTTGCAATTTGACTTTGTTGCTCCTGTCTCAAGAGGTACAGTCTGTTTCTCTACCTCCATAATTTGGGCTGGCTCTGTGACTTGCCTTGACCAATGCTATTTCAGAATTTCTGAGCCTAGGCCTAAAGAGAGCTTGCAGCTTTTGTTCTCATTTTCTTGCTTCCCTGAGATCACAGACTCTAAAGAAACCAAGGTTACTTTCCTTAAGGGTGAGAGGCTGTGTAAAGAGAGAAAGGGGACTTGCTGACAGCCAGTACCATGTGATTGAGGCGACCTTGGACAATCTAGCACTAATTGAACAATCAGATAACTGTGAACACATCACTGACCCCAAGAAAGATAAGCAGAGAAGCCTCCTTTCTTAGCACAGCCCACCTAAACCCACAGAATTGTGAACAAATAAAATGGTTGTTGTTTAAACCACCAAGTCTTGGGGTGGTTGTTATGCAGCAATACACAGCTGACATACTGACATAAGAAACAATTACCCATCTTTAGATGTAACTGATGAAGCAGTCAATTATAAATGCTTTTGTCTATAGATAATTTTGACATTTCCTGAGAAATCTATTTTAAGTCTCCCTTCACCACATAAACCTTTTATAAGCACTGTATCTGAAACATAGGAGTATTGTAGACTACTGTTTAGAAATATTTAATTATTCAATTTGGTGCACTATCTAATGATTTGTCCTCCCAACTTCATTTCCCACCTCTTACTTTGGGTATGTTATTCAAAGAAAACAGCCAGAGATGGTCTGTTACTCTTGCTGCTGCTATTGTTACCATTCCTTTTGCTACCAGTATAGTAATTGAAACAACTAACTTTTATTAAGCATTACTATTTGTCAGAAGCCCTCCCATGAACTTGGCTTTCTGTATCTCATTTTCTGCCAACGCTGTGTGACCTAGAGACTGTTATATCCTCAGTTTACAGATGAGGAAGCCAAGGCTCAAATACAACAAAATAAGGAAATACAACAAAATAAGGAAACACAACTAGTAAGTAGCTGGAAAGTGACTCGATACAGGTTTGAATGACTCCACAGCCTGTTTTTCTAACTATTTTTTTTTTCTATCACCCAGGCTGCAGTGTAGTGACATGATCTCAGCTCACTGCAACCTCTGCCTCCCAGGTTTAAGCAATTCTCCTGCCTCAGCCTCCCGAGTAGCTGGGATTACAGGTGCACGCCACCACGCCCAGCTAATTTTTGTATTTTTATTAGAGACGGGGTTTCACCAAGTTGACCAGGCTTGTCTTGAACTCCTGACCTCGTGATCCGCCGCCTCGGCCTCCCAAAGTGCTGAGACTACAGATGTGAGCCACTGCGCCCAGCCCTAACTAGTTTTAAAAGTCCTTTAGGTCTATATTGAAAGCATTTTCATAACATGCTCCCAAAGTTTTCATTTGTGAATTTTCTCAAAGAAAGAGACCTTTGGGCCACTGGTTTTTAAATAAGGAAAGAAAATTACTATTCTTTGAGGGCCTGCTAATGTGCCCAGCAATTCATCCGTATCATCTAAAATAATCCTCACAGTCCTCCTACATGATACATATCATCTCCACTTTTATGCCACATAAAATAGGGAGATTAAATAATTTCCCGAAGGTTATATGACCTGGAACTGGTATGGCTCTGACTGTAACACAGGTCTATGGGGCCCTAAGCCTCAAATTCTTTTTATTATGCTACTTTGGCTTTTTCTTTGAATTTATATCCAGTGGTGAACTTCATTTTATTTCCCAGAGACCTAGTTCTCCCATCCAGGAGAAACTGCTAGCAGGTATTCCATCCTTCATGTTATCTTAAATGTCATTGTCTCAGGTAAGTCTTTTCTGATCTCCTAGATTAGCGTACTTTCCTGTTATACAGATCCAAGGGACCTCTTTTTTCCCTTCTGTAACACTCCTCTTACTTTTAATATTTTCTATTTTTATCTCCTCAACTAAGTGCGAATTCCCATAAAGATGAGGATATTTTGTAATCTGCACCATTAAAATTTCAGCCCTAGTACAGAGGCTGATAAAGAGCAATCTCTCAATAAATAATTTTGTGAATTAATTCATGAACTTTTAGGCTATGGACAAGCCTGGGGAAATGACATTTGTATATTTAAATTTATTGTAACTAAAATCCCATAATACAGTAAGAAAATTTTGATAATAAGAGCAGAATAAATACAGCTTTGAGATAGGACAACACCTTCAGGATACGGAGGCCATGATAATGTAAAATTCTCCCTGCTTCATTAAAAGTCTGTGATGGAGCCCATTGAAATCTTACCCTTGATGGCTTTTTCCTCATTGTGCTCTCAAAGTGGAGTCTTAGGCCACTGCACTCTAGGAGTCTAGCATTGATTACAGGTTTGTTTCCATGGACACCAATCAGTAGCAGAAGACAGAAAATAAAGAAGACCTAAACATAAAGCATTGATATCATATTATACTCTTCATAAAATAGAATCAAGGAAAAGTACATAATTGAAATCAAGGTAAGAAAAATATGTCATGTGTCTTGGATCAAAACAGCAAGTCAGATGTTGAGCTGATTAAAATCAACTTGAGTTCTTTTGTCATTTCTTTCTCTTCAAGCTTTTTGGAAAGTTCTAATATTTAAATAAATAGGTGAGATTTATGTCTCTTAATGGTTAATTCTAGTGACCATATAGATGAATAATTTTTTTTGGAGGAGATAACCCTTAAAGGATGACTTAGAACCAGGTAGATAAAAAATGAGATTGATTGTATTATTCAGTTTCATACAGGAACATTAACACAGCATAAAGCCAATCCCAAGACTACATTTCAATGCACTTGGAAATAATTATTTCAAATAAATACATACATGTGAAAATAAAATCTATGTAAATCTATGTAAATGGATGGTTATAGTGAATTAGTATGTAACATTACTGAGTAGATTGCTCAGGGTTTCATTAAATAAAAACAGACTAAAGACCTGGATTAGCAAGAAAAAGCTCTTTTGCTCTATTTCAGTTGCTTTAGGTTGTTAATCTGGTCCAAGATGATCAACTTCTCATTAATTATAATAATTAGAAGTAGATTTACTGAGCATTAGTGTAATTTTCAATCATGCTAATAGTTGTGCTATCCTCTATTCATTAATATAAATGAGGTAAATTAGAACCATGACATTATAAAGAAGAGACAGAAGCTGTGGGAAGTTCAGTGGATCCTCCCTAAACCCCATTAATTTAATTGTAATATGTTGTTCTTCAATACATCTTTCACTCTATTTTCCGTTGCTAATGGTTCTTCAGATTGGTTAATGAGCATACTAGGCTCTTAATTTAAGTGACTGCTATGATATGGTCTAAATCATACATATTTATATGGTCTCATTAACCCTTTCTCACATGTTCAATCAATAAGCATTTATGGAGTAGTCACTCAGGCAATTTGAAATTATACATATCAGCACAACACATAAGAAAGGAGTGGCATTGTATTAGTCTGTATTCATGCAGCAGATGAGGCATACCTGAGACTGGAAAGAAAAAGAGGTTTAATTGGACTTACAGGTCCACATGGCTGGGGAGGGCTTAGAATCGTGGTGGGAGGTGAAAGGCATTTCTTACATGGTGGTGGCAAGAGAAAAATGAGGAAGAAGGAAAAGCAGCAAGCCCGATAAACCCATCAGATCTCGTGAGACTTAATCACTATCACGAGAATAGCAGGGGGAAAGACTGGCCCCCATAATTCAATTACCTCCTCCTGGGTTCCTCCCAAAACGTGGGAATTCTGGGAGATACAATCCAAGTTGAGATTTGGATGGGGAGACAGCCAAACCATATTGGGCATCTCCTGTTTTCCAAGAGATCACAGTCCAGAAGATATTGTGGATTGGATTGATATTGTTAAAAGTATGAAAGCAATTTCAAAGTAAAAATTTCTTTCTTCGTGGTGTCCTTAAGCATTTGCTTTCTATCTTAAAGATGCCAAAATAAGTTCCCTTCTTCACCTTTTATATTTGTTTAGACATTCCCAGAAAGGCCTTTCCTGAAAACACTACCTAAATTAGGTACCCCTTTTATGGTCTTTACAGATTTCCTTCAGTCTCAACTTCCTGTCCTTCTGGTATTGGGCAGAAATCTTTCTCAAATTAAATTTTATGTCTTGCTTTTAAGAAACTGCACAAAGAGCAGGGGCTTCTTGTACCTTCCCTTTTTTAGGTGCCTTCAACTCAAACAGTCAGTATGCTAGACTGTGTGTGTGTGTGTGTGTGTGTGTGTGTGTGTGTGTTTAGTTTGTTTTTGAGACGGAGTCTCGCTCTTTTACCCAGGCTAGAGTGCAGTGGTGGGATGTCGGCTTACTGCAACCTCTGCCTCCTGGTTTCAAGCAATTCTCCTGTCTCAGCTTCCCGGGTAGCTGCAATTACAGGCACATGCCACGACGCCCAGCTAATTTTTGTATTTTTAGTAGAGATGGATTTTCACCATATTGGTCAGGCTGGTCTTGAACTCCTGACCTCAGGTGATCCACCTGCCTCGGCCTCCCAAAGTGCTGGGATTACAGGCATGAGCCACCGCGTCCAGCCGTGTTTTCTTTCACCTACATAACATACTAAATTTGAGTGGTGTCAGCCTCTTTATCCTGCCCATGAACACCCTACCTCATTGGTCACAGTCACCGCCCCTCCATATTTTCTTACTCACAGAAACTTTTCATTGATTGAACTGTCTAGCCCCATAGGCCTTAAGTTTGTGATGCCTAATCTAGAGACCAGTTCAGTATTATAAGTTAATCAGTTTTATGAGGGAAATAGAATCTAAGGTTCAAGATTTATTGTCTTTCAGTTTGTTAAACCTACCATTATTTTTTCTTGTGCTAAAGAATGTATTAGTTTGCTAATGCTGCCATAACAAAAACCATTGACTGGGTGGCTTAAGCAACATAAATTTGTTTTCTCACAGTTCTGAAGGCTAAAAGTCCAAAATCTAAGTATCAGTAGGTTTTGTTTCTCCTGAGTCCCTTCCTCGGCTTACAGATGACCACCTTCTCTCTGCGCTCTCTAGTCTTTTCTCTACACCTGCATCCTTGATATCTCTTTCTTTTATTATAGAGACATTAGTCAACTGTATTAGGGCTCACCCTTATGATCTTATTTATCCTTAATTACCTCTTTAAAAGCTGTATCCCCAAATACAATGCTATTTTAAAGTACTGAGTGTTAGGACTGCAACATGTAAATTTCGATGGGGACCTAGTTCAATCTATAACAAAGGGTTTTGGTTGAATAAATAATCCCACTTAGGCCTGGGGCAGTGTCTCACACCTGTTATCCCAACACTTTGGGAGGCCGAGGTGGGCGGGTCACCTGAGGTCAGGAGTTCGAGACCAGACTCAACATGGAGAAACCCTGTCTCTACTAAAAAAAAATACAAAATTAGCCAGGCGTGGTGATGCATGCCCATAATCCCAGCTAGTCGGGAGGCTGAGGGAGGAGAGTTGCTTGAACCTGGGAGGCGGAGGTTGTGGTGAGCTGAGATCGTGCCATTGCACTCCAGCTTGGGCAACAAGAGTGAAACTCTGTCTCAAAAAAAAAAAAAAAAAATCCCACTTAATTTAAACTGGTTGTGACTGCTCCTTTGCTAGAAGGCATATAGCACTGTTTTTAACCTCCATTATGGCACTGTTTTGTAGTTTGGTAATTTACACACTGGCTTTATCTTCATTATAAAGGTATAAGTATCTTTAGGGCAAAAATTATAGCTCAGTGTCCTTTATGGCATACGTTTTTAAAGAAGTAATTATTTGATAACACAAAACCAAAACATTTTCAATTTTAAAACACTCACTGGTTCATTCTGCTTGTATTTCAACATGAAAGAAGAATGAGTGAAACAATTATTTTTGTTTTAGAAGAAAGAATTTTGGTTAAATTAAGATGTTGCGATAAACACTATATGGTTTAGTCAGTCTTATTAAAATTGAGGTTAATCTCAGATTCCAATGAGTTGCATGTGTTTATATCCATTTTATTTTTATGTGGTTATTTTATATAAGATAATATTATAGCTCTAATTGATATTTGTTATTAAGATATCTAGATGTTGAAAGTTTATTTCATTGTATTTATAGGAACAAATGTTATTAAGTTAACACAAAGTCATGCCTTGTTTAACAACAGAGATATTTTCCGAGAAATGCATTGTTAGGCAGTTCCGTCATTGTGCAAACATCATAGAGTGTACTTTCCGAAACCTAGATGGCATAGCCTACTACATACCTAAGGTATGCGGTATAGCCTGTTCCTCCTGTGGTACAGACCTGTACAGCATGTTATGGCACTGAATACTGTAGACAATTTTAATATAATGGTAACTATTTATGTATCTAGACATAGAAAAGTTACAGTAAAAATAGGATATTACAATTTTATGGGACCGCCATCAAATATGTGGTCCATTGAAACATCATCATGTGGCATATGATTGTATATCTCTTTTGCCAAGTTGAAAAACTTGTTTCAGGTTTAATTTTGCACTGCACAAACCAAAATAGAAATGATATAACCTGTATCTATGTAAATTGGACCACCCAGTGGATTTTTCTACAGTGACACATTAAAAATAGTATTGAAACTTTGTAAGTATTAACATACATTTGATTTTTGTCACTGATCCAACTTTGCTGAAGCATTGCTTTAAGAGCATAGCAATAACTATTGAATTTCATGTCAATCAAGTGTATACATTTTCATTACTGGTATTTTGCAGGGTTATTTATAAAATAACTTTCCCACAGCTGAAGGTGTCAGTGTTTTAAAACTGTCCGGTTAAACTCGCAGCACTTGAAGGATAAACACCCTTTAGTGGTGTGCTGTAAGGAAAACTCTATGACTTTTAGAGTGAGACTTATACAATTTTCTTTTAATTGTTTTAATTTGCTCATTTGTCCAATAAATTTTTTGAAATTTATCAAGGCATCCCAGGTACAAGCAATGCTTCTTATTTGCTGTGGAACTTAGGTAAGTCACCGAACATTTAATGGGCCTTGGTTTTACCTATTAAGTAGACATGTTAATACTTTTCATGTCAACTAAGGATATTAAATGAGATAGTGTTGTGAAAGCTCTTAAAACAGGGACAGGCACATAGTAGGAATTCCACCAATGATTATTTTTCCTTCCATTCTGGCTCCTAGAATGTATGCTACTACATGGTGATTGTTTGGAATTTAAATTATAGTAACAGAAAAGTTGGAAGATGCTTGAAAATGGAGCTGATATAATCAGGAGATATAATTGTTCAATTGTATAACATTTATTTAATTTTACTCACAGGCTTTCCTCGGTCATTGCAGCTATTGATAGGGTGGGTGGTGGGAGACAGAGAGAAAGAGAAAGAGGGAGAGAGAGGCAAAATATTGGAAGTATATTGGCATTATTTTTCTTGTGATTTTTATGATGTGGTTATATGTCTAATCAGGTTTCAGGGATGATAGTTTTTTGCTTTTTTTAAAGACAATTCAATTTTCAAAAAAGACTATTTTTGAAATTTTGCTAATTTGGGGAATTACAGAAACTTTTCTTTACAGTCAATTTGTTTTTAATGAATTAATTGCCCTTTAAAGTAAAATTATTTGCCAGTTTCTTTCAGAGCTGATGCACTAGCATCAGGTTGCCATCTGTCTTTACTTAATATAGGAATTATGCCATAGTACAGAGCTAGGGAAACAGACTGTGCACCAGCATATTGGATCCTGTTCCCACTGTCTTCCCTGAGTGACTTAACAACTCTGTAAAGCTGACTTGACATCTTTCTGCTTCTGTCATTCCCTTGGCTATATTAGATTAATAATGATTCTTGACTATGATAGTAATTATGTTATTAGGAGAACTAATAACTTCCATTAAGTGTTCATTGGGAAGAAGTCCTAAAAGACATCCATAATAGCTACACTACTTCCAGTCATATTACAAATAAGACAGAATTGTCATGGCAGGCAGAATTCTAAAGTGGTTCCCAAGATTTCCATCTCCTGGTGTGCATACCTTGTATAGGTTGATGCAAAAATAATTTTTTTCCATTATTTTTAATGACAAAAACCACAATTACTTTTGCACCAACCTAAAATAATAACCCCGCCGCCCCCCCACCTACCTTGAGTGTGGGCAGAACTTGTGAATTTGGTGGGATAGTTATGCCTTTTATTAAATTATTGTGTATAACAAATGGTGATGGGCTAGTTGCTGTGATTGTATTATATTACCTGGAAAGAGTCTTTCCTTCTGTCCTGGAAGAACACGTTCAACCATGTTATGAGTTGACTCTTGGAGCCATGTGGTAAGAAACTGTGGGTGACTACTTACTGAGAGCAATCACTGGCTGACAGCTAGCAAAACATTGAAGACCTCAGTCCTACAACCACAAGGAACTAAATTCTGCCAATAAGCTGAATGAGCTTAGAAGAGGACTCCTAAGTCCAAATGAGAAACTTAGTGTGTCTAACACCTTGATTTTAAATTTGTGAGCTTCTGAGGGATCAGGCTATACAAAGCTTAAACTTTTGACTCACTGAAACTGAGATAATAAGTGTTTGTTGTTTTATGCTGCTAAGTCTGTGGTAATGTGTTATGCAACAACAACAAAAAACCCAAATACAATTATGTACTATAAATGCAATAGACATAGGTAATTCCATATTTTCATACTTAATTTGATTCATTATTTTACAATTAATATACTATAAAATATGAAAAGAAGAACTTTTTTTTCTGTTTAGAAAGATTTGAAAGCAGTTTTGCAAAATGATTAGTTACATTTCCTTAAAACTATCTTATAGATTTTAATCATAATTTAATCAGGATGTTTAAATATTTTATGAAGTACTGGAAAAAATTGTCTATAGTCCTCATAGTATTGAACTTATATGCCATTTTTAAGCTATTTTAAGTACACATAAGTAAAACAAGTATTTGTTTTAGTAGAAGTCCAATTTGTTTAATGTGTCTTCTTGTATGTATTTATTATGTTTCTGGAAGAGAGCTATGAGGAAGTAGCATTTCCTATGTGTTTGCCTTGATTCAGTGACTGAAGTACCACTGGTTATAAAAGCAGCTTCTTAAGCTGAAAATTACCATACAGTTTAATTTAATAGAATATGATACTAATACAATCAAGCCTTGAAGTGTGTGCCAGTTATATTTGCTGCACTCTGCAGGATGCAAGTGCTTGGGTAGATACACCCAAACTCATTCTCTGCTTTAGAGAAACTACCATCAAATACATTCATCAAACAGCATGTCAGGAGAATAGTCCATAGTAAAGTATAGCAAAATATTGTTAGAGACCCACAGAAATTCATTATGTGATACTGAAACATTTTAATTTCTTTTCCAGTACCAATGATGACATAAATATAAGTAGATATTAAGATTTTCAGCTTCTCACTTCAATCAAATTCTAGGATGTGGCAAGGGTCCTTGAAGGGCCCATTACATATTGCTTCCGTATGTTTGGAGATTTCATCTAGTTCCCAGATGTGAAAATTACCAGAATCTTGGGGCAGCTAGCCAGAAAATGTCTGCATTAATAATTATATTCTGGAGATCAAGTAGGTATGTGTGAGATGGTGGGCAATTTTATAGACAACCCAGTGGATTCTAAGGCCAAATAGGATGTAAAAATATGACATTTTGGAGGACACTGTGCTAAATGAAATAAGCCAGGCCCAGAAAGGCAAGTACTACATGACCTCCCATGTCTGTGAAATCCAAAAATGTTGAACTCATAGAAGTAGAGTAGAATGGTGGTTTCCGGGGGCTGGAGGCAGGCATTAGAAAAATAGAGAGATGCTGGTTAGGCACCCCACACCACGCCCAGCTAATTTTTGTATTTTTAGTAGAGACAGGGTTGTGCCATGTTGGCCAGGCTGGTCTCAAACTCCTGACCTCAGGTGATCCACCCACCTCGGCCTCCCAAAGTACTGCGATTACAGGCATGAGCCACTGCGGCCGACCTAGATGTGTAACCTTTTTAAAGTGACTTCACCTTTTTCTGCTTCAAATTCTTCACTATAAATTAGTGTGGTTGAAAAGATTTGTAAAAATTTTGTACAAAATGCTTTTCCAAAGTAATTTCCAGTGCAGAGAATTTCAGCTTGATTTAAGGCTATTAGGTCTTCTTTTAAGATGATGTCTTTTAGTTAACTCCAATATATAATATAAAAGGCCTGTTACCTGCCCCAGCTTTCTTCCTTCCATACCAGGATGGAACCCCAGGGGATCTAAGGAAGGTAGTTGAAAAATAGTGGCCCTGGATAATCCAGTTTTACAAAGATAATACTTATCACCTATAAACAGGGATGACATTTAAAAATATTGAACCACAAATTGAGCATAAACACTGACTACACAGAATATGTGCCAGCTCTAAATATCCCAGAAAACTGTCCTGGGGACTGGGGCCAAAATTCAATGCTGCCTATAATCAAGGATTTCACTTTTGGAATATTATAATCTTTTTATAATATATGTTCAAAATGTTAGATTTCTAAAAATATTGAGGTTCAAAGAAAGTTTATTTAACAGTTATACAGTCTAAGTGTGTGCCAAACCCTGTTCTAAATGCTTTCTGTGCACCTCACAACCAGGAGGAAACAAGCGTAGAAAAATCTGAAGCACAGAGAGGTGAATAAACTCAGACAAGGACACACTGGCAGGTGGGGAGTCAAGATTCTAACCAGGAAGTTTGCTCTTAAGTCTGGGCTCTTAGCACTATGCCAACCTAGGCCTTACTATCAAGCGTGACAATGTGTTTAGAAAACATGGTGGAGTTGAAACATTTTAAGTTGATATTTTCTTTCTTTCTCTTCAGTGTACATATGATTTTAAGTTATTTAGTTGGTTTTAATGTCAGTTTTTAATTTATGTATTCATGGTTGAAAGGCTTGAAGAAAGGCCTAGAGGCTAGCTGGTGAATCTCAACAGAAGCATAATAATTTGTTCAGTCCTCACTCTTTTTTATAATATAATTTATTAAAAGAGATGTTTGCTGTTAGAGATTCACAGCTAACAGAATGCCTATCACAAGGTATGGAATGTCATTTCCTAATTGCCACTCTATAGATATACTTGGTACTTGGCAATGGACAGGAGAAATCTGTTAATTTTGATTAATCATGCCCTTTTAATACTTACTATATGTTTTCCGAATAATAACAAAATATTCATTATCGTGAAAAACTTTGGAAGGTGAATTTATTTTCCAAATGTGGCTGAGGTAAAACTCTGAACAATTATTAGTAGTACTTAAATGTGATTAAACATAAATTATAAATCGTCCTAGAATATTGTTAAAACATATTATATCAACTAATTCAAATTACATTTTAGAGTCCAAGAGAATTAAGAAGAGCCCAAGAAATGATATAGTAGTTTCCTTGGAGGCACTTGTGTTTAATGTATTTTATGTAGGCAAATATCTAATTTATTTTAAAAAGCAATATTAACCAGAAAATATCTGGTGATAAATAATTTCACAGGAAATAATTCACAAGGATGACTGGAATATTTTTTCTCTTTTTTAAATTTATTTTTGGGTGAAAGGAGCCAGGAAGGAGTGATTATTGTCTCTCAGAAAAGATGTTGCCTATTTAATCCATAAAAGAAAAGGAAAGCTTTAAGACAGTTTCTAAAATATTCTTCAGAATTTCTTAGTAAATTGGTTTTGGCTCTCTTAACCTTTTCTTGTAGTTCTTATTTTCTTCAGAGTTTTCATGCTCTCTTCTGGAGTCCTCTAAATTTTTCTTATTTGTTCAAATCTGTATATTCTTCAACTGATCACAGTATTGTAATAAAAGACTTACCAATATCTAGTATAATTTTCTTTCTTTCTTTTCTTTTTTTTTTTTTTTTTTTGAGACGGAGTCTCGCTCTGTTGCCCAGGCTGGAGTGCAGTGGCACAGTCTCGGCTCACTGCAAGCTCCGCCTCCTGGGTTCACGCCATTCTCCTGCCTCAGTCTCCCAAGTAGCTGGGACTACAGGCTCCTGCCACCACGCCCGGCTAATTTTTTGTATTTTTAGTAGAGATGGGGTTTCACCGTGTTAGCCAGGATGGTCTCCATCTGCTGGCCTCGTGATCCGCCCGCCTCGGCCTCCCAAAGTGCTGGGATTACAGGCGTGAACCACCACACCCAGCCCATTTTGTTTCTTTCTTATATAAGCATTTCTTTTCTAATTATCTAAAATACAGAATTATTTACTAATCAATTTTAGTCAATTTAAATATATTTTTATTACCTAAAAAACAGAAAAATATTGCAAATTAACTGAATAGGAATAGTATTATAGAGTATTATCTATATAATTTTGTCAAAAATGCTTCTCTTACTATTAAATAGAAATATTTCTGGCATTTGGGATTCTATAAATCTTAAGCAATGTTCTGCCTTTGATTTTCAACCATATCGATCACTTTACATCCCTGATGAAAATCTTTCAATGACTCCCCATTACCACCATGATAATGTCTAAACTCTTCACATCCCCAAAAGCCCTTTATGATTTGACTTCTTGTGACCACTTTGACCTTCTGTATTGTCACTCTCATGTTGCTTGGGCCAGGCCTACTCTCTCTTACCTGAGCCCACAGCCTACAATGCCTCTCTCACCTTTTCACCTCTTTCTCCGTTTACATGCTGCCTCCTTCTGGAGGCCACCTCTGATCTCCCTATCTTAGAATGTCCTTTGCATAGCACATATTACGCCATGTTATAATTCCTATTTAATTATCTGCCTCTTCAGCAGATCTGTAAAATTTTTGAAGGCAGAGACTATTTTATTCATCATTATATTCCCATAACCTGCTATGATACATGCCTCCCATATTGGAGGCATTTGATGAGTATTTGTTGATTGAATGCATGAATATTAAAATGGTAATTATAGAGGAAGGTGGAGTGGTATGCCCCTATAGTCCCAGCTGCTGCAGAGGCTGAGCCAGGAAGATCACTTGAACCCAGGAGTTTGAGGCTGCAGTCTGCTATGATCAAGCCTGTGAATACCCATTGCACTGCATCCTGGGAAACATAGTGAGAATTGGCCTCTATAAAAATAATTATAATAGTAACCCAAAGCATTCAGGAATCATGAAATATTTTCCGAATCAAAAAGAAAGATCAAGGTATTATAAGTATAATTTTAATATGTGTATCATTCGTCTATTCATAAATATACTAATTAATGTTTATGCTAAATTTAATGACTTTTTAAATTAGAATATTTGTTTTATGAAATAAGAGATTTTTAATTATAATACATAGGGCTAACAAATATATTGATAGGGACCTATTTTTCTGTGTATTATACTTGTTCGATATGCTATAAATAACTGTTCCTCACTTGATTATTGATTTAGTATGATATATGTCTTATATTCTCAAATTATTTATTTGAACAGTTCTAATTACATCTATTGTATCTTCAAAATTGCATTTTTAAGAAGCTGCAGTTCTGACAGCTTAGTGGAAAATGTGCTGATATGAAAATATATTCAAAACTGAAGATTTGTTTGAACATTGTATTTATTAGCTCATAAAAGATAAAAATAAAGCCCTAGGGTAAATTCTAGTTTCTGTAAACAAACCTTAAATTATGAAAATAAAACCTTACTTTTCTCTTAAAATATTCAAAACATTAAAATAGTAAGAGAAAGTTAAGTCGGTTTTCCCCCTACTCGTTGAGACTACACAATTCACTTGCTTTTCCTCTAAATTAATACATTATTATTTTAAAATACTGCTGCATTTAAGTATACTCATGAATCATATTATTCTTCAAGTAATTCAGAAGTCAGAAGAGAACTCTAAGCTTAGTCACTGAGCATTATAAATACGGACATACTCATAATTAAGTATGTGAGTGTAATCTTTATAAACCCCAACATTTTTAAAAGTATTTTAAGTGGCTTCAGAACAGTTAAAAAGTTAATATGTGGCCATGTAATTCATAGTAACAAATCAAACATGGGCCAAAGATTTTGTGTCATGTTTTCTGGTAGCATACATGGGAAAATTTCTATTTCTTCAAAGAGAAACCGCCAAAAGGTGGTACTTGGTTCTGAAAGAGTATTTTGCAGAAGTGTTCATATAGAGTTTAATAAATAATGTAATAAATAATGTTCTCTACATATATCAAATGTAAATATACTATCAGTTTTTAGGCTTTTAATAATGAAAGCTGAGAGTCTGCGTCGCTTCGGATCATGATAAAAAAACCCCAAAATGACCATGACTTAAAATATTTTTTTTCTTATCTGTAAAAAGTTCTGAAATTAGGCAGTACAGTGTCAGTTGGTGACTCCATAAATATTTCCAGTACTCACCTACCTTTTGTTTCTTTCCATACCATGCCTAAGATGTGGCCCTCATCCTCATAGCCCAATATGACTACTAGAGCACCAGCCATCAGATCTAATTTCCAGGTAAAATGGTGAAAGAAAGGCCGAAAAGAGCGGCTCCTCCCTGCTTCCTTTACGGACACTTTCTGAAGTCACAAAAGCACTTTTATTTAACATCATTTGCTGAAACTTAAGAATACGGTCACAACTAACTTCAAGGAAAGCTAGCAAGTCTAGATTTTTAGTCAAAATTTTGTCAATAGAAAGGAAAGGGGGAATGTGCTCCGATAGTGACTGGCAGTGTCTACAACATACAACCAGAACCCACTTCAACAACATCAGTTCCATGGGGGACAAATGTGTTTGAAGGAGGCAGTTTTTAGATAGTCTGGTTGAATCCAGAGATAAAAGCTATGTCTAGATCAGCAATTTTCAGGTCAACAACAATTTACTGAGTATCTACCTTGTGCTAGATAGTTGGGAACACAACAGGGAGCTGAGGTCATGATTTCTGACCTTCTAGGACTTATAATCAATTTTTAGCAGTATAACTTAAAAAAAAAAGCTAATCAAGAAACTCAGTACTCAATATGTAGACTTTAGAGAGAGGCCTCTGATGATTTGAGGATTCATTATTGAAGATTTTGCCACTATGAGTTATATATGGAAACAACTATTATTCCATAAAAATATTCATCTATGAACTGATTATATATTTAATCCCTACACAAACATTTCTCCAAGTTTAACATTAATATCTGTATCTCCATTTAACAAAGCAATGCCTTTATCAATTTCCCCTGCCTAATGTTATTTACATCTTACTATATAACGTAAGTAAATTGAAAAGTGTAACATCGAAGCCTTGCAATAAATGCTAGATTTCATGAATTTTATGTAGGTGCTGTTGGAGAATTGATCAAATTATATGCAAAGCTATTGGCAAATGATGACGTGTTAGATAATGCTTCTGCTACGTTTCATAGTAACCAGGTTAAAATTTTTTTTTTTTTGAGACGGAGTCTCGCTCTGTTGCCCAGGCTGAAGTACAGTGGCATGATCTCCGCTCACTGCAAGCTCCGCCTCCTGGGTTCACGCCATTCTCCTGCCTCAGCCTCCTGAGTAGCTGGGACTACAGGTGCCCGCCACCACGCCTGGCTAATTTTTTTGTATTTTTAGTAGAGACGGGGTTTCAACATGTTAGCCAGGATGGTCTCGATCTCCTGACCTCGTGATCCGCCTGCCTCGGCCTCCCAAAGTGCTGGGATTACAGGCGTGAGCCACCGCGCCCAGCCAAAAGAACTTTTATTACTCCTAGTTTCCAAGAGGAGGCCCACCATCCTACACAGGGTCACATATGAAATTACAAAGTTTGGTCAGGAAGTAAAAGGAAAGAGGGGACAGTATGACCCAGAGATTCTGTATTATATTTTCTGAGAAAAATACAAGGCACTGCAGGGTAAACAGCTTAGGATGAGTTATTTTGAATAATTTTGGTGGGCTCTTGGCTATAGGGGTGGTCTCTGATACCTGGTCCTGGTGATTTATGGCAGGGGAAATATTGGCTTGGCATGTGAAAGTTAGATAAAGAAGGTAGTTGAGGATATGAGCTTTGGCTTGGTTGTATCTTAGTCCCAATGGGCTGCTATAACAAAATATCGTCAAGTGAGTACCTTATAAACGATGGAAATATATTTCTCATAGTTCTGGAGGCTGAGAAGTTCAAGATCAAGGAGCCAGCTGATTAGGAGTCTAGTAAATATTTGCTCTCTGCTTCATAGATGGGGCCCTCTGGCTGTGTCCTCACATGGTGGAAGGGGCAGGCCAGCTCTCTGAGGACCTCTTTTTTAAGGGCACTAATCGCACTCAAGGTGATTCTGCCCTCATGATATAATCATCTCCCAAAGGCCCCGACTCCTAATACCATTACCTTGGTAATCAGGTTTCAACATATTAATTTTAAGAGAACATAAATATTTAGACCATAGCAATTGACTTGCATGTGAAAGTGGTACTGGCTGACAAGTTGTTTACTATCTCCATGAATTAGCTAGCCCTGAGAAGGGTAGTTTCTTCAAGATGAGCAAGGCCCAAAGATGTCAAAATATAAAAACATACACAAAATAAAAAACTTGATGAATACATACTACCACATCACACAGTCTCAATAGCTTTCCTCTCCACTTCACCCCAACATTTAGTCTCAATTCTCATCCATGTCTGCATCTTCAGACCTTTATTTGTAGATAAGATGTCCCACAATGATTATGATTAGTAAAACAAATTATAAAGAAGCGCTTGAGATG
Source organism: Homo sapiens (assembly GCF_000001405.40). Classification (NCBI taxonomy): domain Eukaryota; kingdom Metazoa; phylum Chordata; class Mammalia; order Primates; family Hominidae; genus Homo; species Homo sapiens. The sequence continues at coordinate 174,984,109 of NC_000003.12, forward strand.
TTTTAAAAAAACACACACACAATAACAACGTATTTCAAATGCAACTCTGTAAACAAATAAATTACAAAATATAAAAACATAAAAGGTTGGTCTAAAACCATGTATATTAAATCACTGTCATATAAAACTATATTTTAGATTTAATCATGGCAATTTACATTGAAAAATTGTAGCACTTTTTTTGCTCAGGGATCAGATGGTAGCAAAAGTGTGCCTGAATGTGTATATTTGTAGGTGGTCTTCCAGTTGCACCAAAACTGGGTTGCTAGTCTACCACATTTGGACTGATTCATGAATGTAGCTTGTTTAATTTTTTTTTTTCAACACTACGCAGTAGAGTAGTGTTTCTGAAAGCATGGTTCTAGTAACAGCAGCATTCGCATCACTTGGGATCTTATTGTCAGTGCAAAACCCAATGGATCAGAAACTCAAGGACAGGACCTAGGAATCTGTTTTAAAAATCTTTAGCTGATTCTGATGCATGCCAAAATTTGAACACATCTGAAATGGGGAAAGAGAAATACAGATTGATATCAATTTTTTTTTCATGTAATAAGAAATCACAAATAAACTTTAAGCTCCTGAAATTATGTTATGTAAGGTATTTGAGAAATTTGAAGTAAACTTGAAGAAGGTAAATGAACTCATCATAGGGAAGGCACATACAATTGAAGGGAGAAGATAGTTTGTTCAAGAACCAAGTGAAGGCTAGTGTTTTCAGATTCCATACATTATTCCTCTGTAGAGTTACAAGCTACATTGTAATGGAAGAAGAAATCTTTTTGCCTGTACCTCTAACCCATCAATAGGTTGTGAATATTCAGAAAATATTTAGATATGTGATTTAACTTAGCATTTTGGTAAGATGTTAGAAACTTGCAGAAGGTATATACTGAGGTGCTTCCTAAGGTCATGATGAAAGTGTTTTGAGAAATCTAACTCACCTAACACCAATGGTTCAGATCATACTTCCATACAGATGTGTCCTGACATCTGAGCACATAGAATTTGGAACGTAGGGAAAAAGCAAAACAAACCACAAACATTGTTTGATATTCATACTCAAACTAAAATGCTAAATAATATTATGAGAATTAGATGATGTGTTCACTGTTGATCAGATCTGAGTATAATAGAATCTTAGATTCCGAAGTGTAGAGATATTTGGCGGAAATGATGTGAAAATGTAACGATTTTAGAAGTGATTCACAGATGTTGGTGAATAAGAATCATACTTTAACTACCTCTGGCCATCTTTGAGTGAAAATATAAGAATATGTCAGAATTATTCTTTTCTCTATCAATGTATCTCTGTTTCAAGAAAAATCTTTTGAGGTAGATGTGAACTGTGACTGTTAAATGGGCACAATCTCCCTGGAATCTTGGAAACAAAATGTGACCTTAAAATTTCTACCTGTATATCTAAATTCTGGATAACATGTCTGTGTGAACGTTGGCTGCTTTTTAGTGCTGCCATAATAAAAGCAGAAGGCCATCAAAAGTGGTATTATATTGGATGAGATTTGAAACAAGGTATATTTTCTGAGTTCTTAAAAAGGGTAGGTTGGGCGCAATGGCTCACACCTGTAATCCCAACACTTTGGGAGTCTGAGGCGGGATGGTCACCTGAGGTCGGGAGTTCGAGACCAGCCTGACCAACATGGAGAAACCTCGTCTATACTAAACATACAAAATTAGCTGTGTGTGGTGGTGCATGCCTGTAATCCCAGCGACTTGGGAGGCTGGGGCAGGAGAATTGCTTGAACCTGGGAGGCGGAGGTTGTGATGAGCTGAGATCACGCCATTGCACTCCAGCCTGGGCAACGAGAGCGAAACTCCGTCTCAAAAAAAACAAAATAAAACAAAAAAAAGCATGCTAAACAAGAGTATTTGTACTGAATTGCTGATAATTGGTGACGATGACATCTATAAGTTTGTCATTGTCTACATGAGATTAATTTAAGTCCTTTTTAGGCAATAAAAATTATATGTTTGAAATCTTAGCAGGTTATATATCAACATTAGCAATCAAGATTGCACCTCTCTGCATCATATATACAAATTTCTGATTACATGTAGATTACTATTAGAAAATACCTAGCACCCACTGCTCAACATGTAGATGTGTGTATATATATATTCAATATATATACACAATATATATATATAAAATATATACACAATATATATAATATATATACACAATATATATATACAATATATATATTCCATAAGGATTATTGTTATATTTTGTTATGTTTAGTTGCTGTAGTTTGTTATATTTTATGTTTGTATATGTTGTTATATTTTGTTATGTTTAGTTGCTATAAGGTTTGCAAAGCTACATTCTTTCATTTATTTCTCATAGTATTATTTCTCATTAGCATATTAGTTTTTCCGTTAAATGGTGGAAACTAGACCATAGTTAGAAGATAACTAGTTCTGTACTCAAAATTAAGTAGTAGTTATTTGTTAATGCTAGGTAGCATATCTTAATTAATATGGACAATCAAAGTTTGAGTATTATAAGGTGGCTCTCTAAAGTTTTCTGAGCTAGATGTATTCCAATTGCTGATTAATTCCTGAAACTGTGCTTCTCTTAAGTGTTTCAAGATGGTTTAGAATGATAACTTCATGAATATTGGGTAGTAAATTACTTACTAATTAAATGGTGTTAGAATTACTTTTGAATAGTGGTAGACAAGGGTTAGTAGGAGGGTATTTATTTCTCCATGGACAAATTTGGCCACTGTAGGGAGACATCAAACTAAAGTAAGGCTCTGCAGAGAGGGATGATTCATACATTTTGTGCTTTCTGATGATAGGAGTTGGCAGTTTTTTAATGCTTAAAGAGGAATTACAGAGTTTACTCTTTCAGACCAAACACTTGATAATCTGGTTAAAAATTTACAAACTAAATGCACTGCCCACTTCCCATTGACCATTTGGCAGTGAGTGGGATAAATTTGTTAAGAGTATTTTGATCAATATAAATCCATTCATTAATGGTCTTTCATTTCAGCAATGTAAGTGCTGAAATTTAGGGTTTAAAGGATATCTGTTGATTATGATAAAATAACCAAAAATATGTACATGCTTAATAAAAAACGAGTGTAAATCTGCACTTTTAGAATTCTTGTAAAATACCTATATTTTTCCTACCATCAAAACCAATACTCGGCCGGGCGCGGTGGCTCACGCCTGTAATCCCAGCACTTTGGGAGGCCGAGGCGGGCGGATCACGAGGTCAGGAGATCGAGACCATCCCGGCTAAAACGGTGAAACCCCGTCTCTACTAAAAATACAAAAAATTAGCCGGGCGTAGTGGCGGGCGCCTGTAGTCCCAGCTACTTGGGAGGCTGAGGCAGGAGAATGGCGTGAACCCGGGAGGCGGAGCTTGCAGTGAGCCGAGATTGCGCCACTGCACTCCAGCCTGGGCGACAGAGCGAGACTCCGTCTCAAAAAAAAAAAAAAAAAAAAAAAAAAAAAACAATACTCATCAGAGAGCATTATTAGAATTTATTTTTTTTGAAGTTATAGACAGGGTGTCACTCTGTCACCAGTCTGGAGTGTAGTGACGTGATCATAGCTCACTGTAACCTGGAACTCCTGGGCTCAAGTGATCCTCCTCCCTCAGCCTTCTGAGTAGCTAGGACCCCAGGCATGCACTACCATACCTGGTTAATTATATATATATATATAATTATATATATATATATAATGAGACCTTGTCTCTCCAAGGTCCTAAAGACAAGGTCTCTTTAGGTTGCCCAGGCTTGTCTTGAACTCCTGGCCTTAATGGGTCATCCCACCTTTGCCTCCCAAAGTGCTGGAGTTACATGAGCCACTGTGTCTGGCCCTATTAGAATTTTTTAGACCATAGCAATGTATTTGATAAACTGTAAAATAAGTTAAGAGTTAACATGTGATGAACAAAATATGGTAGTATCAGTCATGGTTCAAGTTATGTGATCTCCGAGGATCCGAAAAATAAACTATCAGTGGAGATCAGCAGTTAAGACAAGATCAAGGAATTGAGTTCTGCTCATGAATCAAAGAACTCTGAGCTAGAAGGAGCCACAAGAAACTCTGTGGTATAGGTTACTGTCAGGAGAAGCATTTATTTTTACTATTTTACAGTTGAAGTAACTAACATCCAGTTAAGCTTTAATTTACCCAGGTACCTGTACTTCATATACAGTAGAAGCAGTGAAGAATGAAGAGGAAGGAAAATAACTTATAGTCAGGACTTATATTACTTAACAAATAGTGTTTCATAATCCTAACGGTAACCATGTAATATAGATGTCATAATCCCTACTTTTTGAAATGAACAAAAAAATGAACTAAAAGTTTAAAATAATCATTCAGCCAATGTATTAGTTTTCTGGTCTGCCACAACCACATGCCACAAACTGAGTGCCTTAAACAACATAAATTTATTTTCTCACTGTTCTTGAGGGTAGAAGCCCATGATCAAGGTGTTGGCAGAGCCATATTCCCTCTGAAGGCACTAGGAAAGATTTATTTCAAGCCTCTCTCCTAGCTTCTAGTAGTTTCTTGGCTTGTGACAGCATAACTCTGATCTCCACATAGTGTTCTCCTGTGTGCATGTTTGTGTCCAAATGTCCCCTCCTTATAAGAAAATCAGTCAAATTGCATTAGGAACTGACCTTTTTGCAGTATGACCTCATCTTAACTAATTAGATCTGTAATGACCCTATTTCCAAGTAAAGTCACTGGCTTAGTCCATTTGTGTTGCTATAAAAACTACCTGAGGCTGGGTAATTTATAAAGAAAAGAGATTTATTTGGCTCATGGTTCTGCAGACTGTGCAAAAAGCATGGCACTTGCATCTGCGTCTAGTGAGAGCCTCAAGCTCTTTTCACTCACAGTGGAAAGTGAAGAGGAACTGATGTGTACAGACATCACATGGCCAAAGAAGTAGGAGAGAGAGGGAAGGGAGATACCCTGTTCTTTTTAAGAACCAGCTCTCATAGGAACTAATACAGTGAGAACTCACTCATGACCGTGAGGACAGCACCAAGCCATTCATGAAAGACCTGTCCCCATGACTCAAATACCTCCCATCGGGCCCCACCTCCAACACTGGATACCAAATTTCAAAATGAGATTTGGGACACAAACATCCAAACAATAGCAGTCACATTGTGAGGTACTGTCAGGATTTCAGACAGATAAGTTTTTAGGGAACGTAGTGCAATTAGCATGTAATTGTAAATTTTTCTGGCTCCACACTTTACATTTAATGGTAGAAAGAAACTTACATTTTGTTTCGTAAAAGGCCATTGAATATGGTGTTTCAATTTTTTCATAAATTAGTAAAGAGAAGGAAGAAAATATTGTAATGAACAATTAGTTGGAAAAAATCACATATGTTTTATAATGTCAAATGAGGGATTTTGGTTTTTATGTTGTTGGTAGGTAGGGACAAATTTTAGTAGGACAAGGTGATAAGAATGAGCTCTTAAAAATATTAAACTGCTAGAATATGTAATATGGACTAAAGGAAAGAAGAAATGATTATAAAGAAGATGAGTTTAAAGGCTATAACTAAAATATAAGCCTGAGTCTATAAGCCCTGAAAGAGGCAGTGCAGTAAGAAATTGAACCCGAGTCAGGCAAGACTACTTTGGTAATATGTATTTTATAAGATCTGGTCATTAATTGCATATGGATATAGAAGAACCAGGAATGATAGAGTTTCATGCATGGAAAACTAAGCAAAATGGTAATCTGCATATATAGTAAGGAGATAGTACTTTTTGTTTTAATTTTTGACCTCATTTCTGGATCTCCCCTCATTGTTTTAATATAATAAATTTATTTGCTGCTTCACTTGGTCTTCATAAGTAGCATTGGTTATAAATTCCTCATGAAAACCGTAAAAAGAGATTTCCTATTGAAAAAAAATATGGTGTTTTGTGTAAGTAAATCAATATGCATGAGGATAGACAAAGCTTTATCCATATGATGTATCTTGAAATAGCGTTAGAGAATTAAATTTCCGCAAATGCCACACTACATCCTTTGATAAACACCTCCATTAGATCCTCATACCCACGTTGGTTCTAAGTCGAAACTATTGATATAATGTTTCTTAAGTTACTGGAAACCTAGGATATTTTTGCTGTTTTATCTGATCATGTTGGCATGACTGACAGCTAGTCTGCTGTCACATCATCACATCTGAAACATATTTTATCAGTCTCTTACACAGTATACAATTTACATGGTATCCATTACCAATCCTGAGCCGAAAAAATGAAGCCAAGCCTTGCGTCTCGTAGGAAATAAGGTTTTCTAAATCAATTCAGAGATTTCAGTTCCAAAAATATTAGATATAGTTGGAGGGTTTTTATAGAAGTTCTATAAAACAAATTGAAGTGAGGGATTGATTTTTTTGAAGGTGGTTTTAAATAAGCATAGCTTTTTAAAAGTTGTATATATGGAAAGCCGGGAGGAACTTTTCAAAAGTCGATAAAAACCAAAAAAAGCTGGGTCGTACATAGGAAAAATTTCTAAAGCTCGAAACAGATATAGGTATCATATTCTGCATATACAAGTATATTTTCATTGCTGTCCTAGATTAGTGGCTCTCAACACTCTCTGCACATTTGAATCACTTGGGGAGCTTTTAAAAACAATACTGATGGCTGGCTCTATTTCCAGTAGATTTGATTTGATTGGTCTGGGGTACATGGGACCGAGGTATCAGTATTGTTGACCTCTCTACAAGTGAATCTATTTGCAGTCAGAAGTGAAAGGCACTCCCCTAGAGCTTTGTTAGCTTTGAAATTGCCTTGTTAGAGCCATTACAGAATCCTGTTCACTGTCAAAAATTCATATATTACAGTGAATAAAAATATAAGCATTTATGTATGCATTATACGTAAATACCACTTTCTATAATATTTTACACAACCCTTCTTTTCCTTGTAATTAACAGAAACTAATTTAAAAAAAACCTTGATATTTAGCTTTGTGGCACAAAGAAGCACAAAAATGATGAATATTTTCAATTGACATTCCTGTATATTTAGTCTTCATTCATTCAATAAGTTATTATTGAGTACCGCTGTATGCCAGCCACTAGTGTTATTGCTGTTGTAGAACAGTAAATACAAGAGACAATTTTCCTTGCTTTCATGGAGCTTACATTCTAGTAATAGAGATTTAAAATTCATTTGTCTTTTAATATTCTTTAGAGGCATTTTCTTTGTTTTCTTGGAGGTTACCTACTGATTTTTCATTTTCTCTAATGATAGAAATCTCTGTCATGTCAAAATTATGAAAATGTTACAAAAATGATTTATAAAAACATATTTTTAGAGACATTTAATTTTTTATTTGATATATGTTTTATTTAAATTTTATATAACAACGTTAGCTACCATTCAAGTACAATCAGATGTGTCCTGCATCTTATTCTGAAACTCATCGCCCTATGTACAGAACAACAAAAAGCTGGAAGACAGATAAAGGAGAAAGAAGCCAGAAGAGAATAAGCAATTAAAATATGCTTCTGTATGGAGATGGAAGTGATAAAAGCTGTCCTTGAGAATATGGAACAGAATATGGAACACAAGCCTTATTGTTCACTTGAGAGAATAGGCATATAATGATCTTTACTATTAGTATTATGTTTGAAAACATTAACATTCAGTTAAAGTTGCATGTGTTAACATTATTGTCTGTGTTTGCACATGACTGAATGAAACTTTTAGGAAAGGTAACGTTTGTATGAATAGAATATTCTTGTCTTGATTGAAAATCCATAGGAGTTTTCAGAGGAGATGTGGATCAGTCAAAAGCAATTAATATTAAAATTGACCTTAATAAATATAAATTATAAAATAAATCATAATTTACTGTTTTATTCTACTAAGCAATAACTCCATGATTTAAATGGCATAGTGAGCCATTAGAGCAATTACTTTTGGTATCTAGTGACCCATTAAAATGTAGCTGAAGGTTTAACAAAATACACAGGTGACTCTGAGATATTGCAATGAATATGGTCCAAATTAAGAACAATCAGGATTTAGGATTTTATTGTTTCTATATTTAGTACTCTGAGAACCACCTTTAAACTCTTTGAGTTTTACCTACACACAGTTGAAGATTGAATTTTCTGTTACTGTAGAATAAGTTCTGGGAGAAAAGTGAGGATCAGTTGTGATAAGATCATTGTTGATTTGAAGCAACGTAATTTCTTGAGTTTACTAACAATGAATCTCTCAGGAACGTTTTCTTGTCTGTTTCCAAGTCCAGTAAATATTTTAAACTCACAAGGTAATATTCTTTTGTGAGGGTATAGATAATATCTATTATTAGGTAAGATGTTCTTTTTGTGCATTTTTATTTACTACATTTCCATTCATACTAACTCAACATGTTTTTACAGTTATTTTAGCAGAAATAGAATTTATTTCAGAGACCTGATTTTATCATTTCTGTTTAATTTCTTTCAGATTATTCCTTGACTTTATAATACCTTCATCAGTTTTCTAATGACCCTAAAATAATAATCAACTTTTTCAAAATTTTCTTTTCTTGGAAAAAAATGATATTAAAGTGTGGAAATTTATGATAATTTGCTATTTAAAAACTGAATAAAATGTACCGATTGAATATACTATTAGTCAATTTTGGAATACAGTTAAATATATCAAATCTAGTCATCCGTGCATCTAAGTATTACATTACAGAGAAATATATTTTTAAACACAGAACTGTGTGAATAACAGTGTTTTTTTAGATGGAAATGTAGAGAAGCAGTAAATGAACCATTCTATCTTATTTTGTTGACTAGAAAGTGTTGGAGCTCTGGGGCTTGATACCTTGTCTTCTGCTGTCTTTTAGTCTTCTTTACCAGAGCGGGAGATAAGAATAGAGCATATCGAGAATATGGAGGAGCTTCACAAAATGAAAACATCTGTGTTCCCTACCTATAGAAAAATCAATATCTGGGGTCATTGAGGGTGGAGTTCAAACAAACTTATTTTGGAAAATATGAATGCTCTCTCACCTTTCTTGGTGAGAATTCCTATGAAATGGAATAGTAAGAGCCGTAGAAAAGAAACAATAAGTAAATTAAGAGAAGTTCAGAGAAAGAGTTATAAGGATTCAAAGGGGGAAAATGAGGATTTATAATTGGAAACATAGAAAGATAACATTCATTCATTCCTTCACCATGTTCCCCCTGGTTATGAGCCAGGAAGAGTGTTCGATGCTGGGAACACAGGGGTGAGCAAAACCAGATTGAGTACCTGTACTCATGGAGCCTCTCTTCAAGCAAGTGAGACATTCTTTACCCAAATAACTAACAAGTATAAAATTGTAATTAAAATAAATATTATCAAAGGAAGGTATACAAGGTGAGAAACTAAGACAGGGGAATTGCCCAAGTCATGGAGATGACAGGAAGCTTCTTAGGGGCGGTGGCTCAAGTGGCCTATGTGGAGAAGACATTTTTGCTAAAAATGTTTGTCTCTACAGGTAATTATTAGGACATAGAAAAGATGTAAGCCATGCTATTAAGAGTTAGAAAAATGAGGAGTTAAAAAAATAATATGTATAGTAGCTTCCCAGGATTGTGAAAACACAGTACCACAAACTAAGTGGCTTAAAACACAGAAAATGATTCTGTCACAGTCCTTCAGGATAGAAGTGTGAAATCAAGGTGTTCACAGGTCCATGCTCTTTGAAGACTCTAGGGAAGACTTCCATGCCTTTCTCTTAACTTGCAGTGTTACCTGCAATCCGTGGCATTCCTTGGATCATGTCAGTCTCTGGGATCCATGATCACATTTGCATTCTCCCTGTGTGTCTATGTCCCAATTTCTCTCTTCTTATAGGGCATCAATCATTTTAGATCAAGGGCCCACCCTACTGCACTATGACCTCATCTTAACTTGCTTGCATCTGCAAAGACCCTATTTCCAAATTCGATCACATTCACAGCTTCTGGATAGACATGAATTTCCAGGTGTGTTGGGGGAAGGTGACACTATTCAACTCAATACAGTGTGAAACAGAAAGTGACTAAAATAGCAGGTCAGTATCCAGTCTGTTATCTGAGTGTCATTGTAACTGAAAATAGTATTGGCTTGATATTTGTAAAGACTTGATTCCAATCATGTATGGATTAATAAAGTGTGGCAGAGGGATGTGAGGGTTCTCAGAGAAAGAGGGAAAAAATGTCCTGGGCATAAAACCAGAAGCCACAGTTCACTTACTATTCATGTCTCCATGGCATTTCAAATCTTTAAACATTCTTAACACTTTAAATATAGCAAACACAAATCCAAATATATAACTTATTTTTAGTCAGCAGTAATGATTATTTTTTTGAATAATTACCTCATACACAGGTACACATTGATCACATTTTTCCCACCACTTAAATTTCCAAATTTTATTAGCATTGTATGTCTTGTTGCTTCTACAAATTAAACTCTTTTATTCTTTTAGCGGTCAACAAAACAGAGTGTAATAAAATTCAAATGACCACAGAGCAATATGTAAGAGAATAGTAAAAACGACTGGTAATGGAGACCAGTTAACTAGAATTTCTTCTATAAAGAAGAAAATCTGTGATTTCACTAATCTTAGTCTATTTCCGTTTGGAAATTCTCAAATTTTTAATTTAGAGGTAGACATTATTTTTAATATATTTTTCAAAGAATTAGATTTGCAATTTATCTTGTTTACAACATATTTCTTTTATTATCTGCTTAAGTTGGTCAACTGCTCTCTTCAGAGTTTCTTTGTAACAGTCATCCCTTGTCAATGGTAAGCACGATATAAAAGTTGTTTTTGTAGTAATGGAAAACTCATCAGAAATGGAAAGATCATTGTGAATGGTGATTCTTTGCCTATTAGTGCTTCAGGGTTTAGAAGGCCATGTTTACCCTATGTTATCCCATTTATTTATTCTGGCCATTTAGAGACAGTAAAAAGGCAGAAGAGATAAAATAAAAAACAACTAGAAAAATAATAGCAAAAAAAAAAGATGAGAAAACATGATACTTGAGACTATATAATTTGGTTTTTAAATAATACTTCCCAGATAATTTTAGAGTAATTTACACAATGTAGACTAATCTACACAGCTACACCAATTGGTCAAAAAGCAAAGGCATCGGGTAGATTATTATTTCTTTCTCCAATGCTGTAATGGAAATAATTTCCTTAATGTCATAAACCCATTTATTTGTTTAATTAATTTAAAAAATTTAAAACTTATAGCACAAAAATCAAACTGATAGCTTTAAAGAATTCAGCCTTTTTCTCTATAAACAGGAAAACTTCTGCCAGCCATTTCTCCTATTGAACAAGCATATCATTCACTTAGGGAGAGGTATTTGGGTTTGCTTTTCTGTTCTTTTGTGTTGATGAATTGCAGGTTTTTCAGACCCCATACTTTCATCACATAATTTTCTGACCTCAATTATGCTTCTCAGAATACAACAGGTAATGAGTAACGGAATTGTTCATAGTGCTTTTAAAGTTGCTTTTAAATAATGAGATAAAAATATATTATAGAATTTTCTACCAGAACATCTTGCATTCATCAAGGTTGGATATCAATTGGAATTTCTTAAATCTATGCCTTAAACCTTAACCTTTGAATTGCTTTTACGCTATTACTGAAAAAAAAAAAAAGATAGTGAAATTATAGAAATTCAGTGATTTATTCCAAAAACGAATAACACCCTCCCTCTGGATTGAGTAAGTAAACCAGAAAAGAGACAGTAATATATGATTATTACTAATGTATAAAAAATATTGAACTGGAGACAGTTTCACTTACTATGTGTCCAAGGATAAGGAGAGTCAGGAAATCAGGGAAAGAGGAACACAGGTAATGGAGTTGTTCCTCACACCAGGTTACATAGCAAGTAATTTTCTTCGAGTTAAGGTCTACTGAATTTTAAGAAAGCTAGATGTTATATTATAGATTAAAGAAAGATTTGCCAACGGACTTATGTTGTATACAAATATAACATGGCAAATCTTTCTTTAATCTACTAGTTCTATTTACCTATAGTTCCATTATTTTTCTAAAAATGTACTGAATTGGCTGGGCGCGGTGGCTCACGCCTGTAATCCCAGCACTTTGGGAGGCTGAGGCAGGCAGATCACGAGGTCAGGAGATCGAGACCATCCTGGCTAACACGGTGAAACCCCGTCTCTGCTAAAAATAAAAAAAATTAGCTGGGCGTGGTGGCAGGTGCCTGTAGTCTCAGCTACTCGGGAGGCTGAGGCAGGAGAATGGCATGAACTGGGGAGGCTGAGCTTGCAGTGAGCCGAGATCATGCAACTGCACTCCAGCCTGGGCAACAGAGCAAGACTCTGTCTCAAAAAAAAAAAAAAAGTACTGAATTAAGGTCAGGTCACATTGAATGCTTTCAGAGTTGCCTACTTGAGCACTGCTGCTCCTACTTCTTGAGTTGTATGCCTACCAAATACCCACCTTATTGAAAACCAGCAGAGCCTTGATAATTTTCTTTTATTTCAACAGTTTTGGGGGTTCAAGTGGTTTTTGGTTACATGGTTAAGTTCTTTTGTGGTGACGTCTGAGATCTTTGTGCACCAGTCACCCAAGAAGTGCACACTGTACCCAATATGTAGTCTTTATCCCTCAACCCCCTCCTAACTTTTCCCTCCAAGTCCCCAAAGTTTATTATGTTATTCTTATGCCTTTGTGTCCTCATAACTTAGCTTCCACTGATAAATGAGAACATACAATATTTGGTTTTCCATTCATGAGCTACTTAGAATAATGGCCTCCATCTCCATCTAAGTTGCTCAAAAAGACATTTTGCTTCTTTTTATGGCTGAGTAGTATTCCAAGGGGTGTGTGTGTGTGTGTGTGTGTGTGTGTGTGTGTGTGTGTGTGTGTATGTGTATATATATATATATTTTTTTTTTTAATCCACTCGTTGGTCCATGAGCACTTAGATTGGTTTCATAGCTTTGCAATTGAGAATTGTGCAGCTATAAATGTGTGTGCATGTGTCTTTTTCATATAATGACTTTTTTTCCTTTGGATAGATATCCAGTAGTGGGATTGCTGGATTGGTAGTTCTACTTTTAGTTCTTTAAGAAATCTCCATACTGTTTTCCATAGTGGTACTAATTTACATTCCCACCAGCAGTGTAACAGTGTTCCCTTTCATTACATCCACACCAACATCTATTGTTTTTTGACTTTTTAATTATGAGTCTTCATTATTAAGAGAGTTCATTCCAAGGTCTTTTTTATTTATTGTTTTGATTTGTGCCCTCAAGCTGTAATGGCAGACAGGTAAAGACTGCAAATCCTTAAAGAAGAAAACAAATGGATATTAAAACAGAAAAAAGAGAAAATGCTAAATTGTGAAGAAGGTTAAAAGACAAGAGAGGGGCCGGGCACGGTGGCTCATGCCTGTAATCCTAGCACTTTGGGAGGCCAAGGCGGGTGGATCACCTGAGATCAGGGGTTCAAGACCAGCCTGGTGAAACATTGTTTCTACTAAAAATACAAAAATTAGCTGGGTGTGGTGGTGGACACGTATAATCCTAGTTACTTAGGAGGCTGAGGCAGGAGAATCTCTTGAACCCGGGGAAGAGGAGGTTGCAGTGAGCCAAGATTGTTCCACTTTACTCCAGCCTGGGCAGAAGAGCAAAACTCTGTCTCAAAAAAACCAAAAAGCAAACAACAACAACAACAACAACAACAACAACAACAGAAAGAGGGTGATATAAATAGAAACCAAAGAAGAAATAAAAGAGTAAAACAAAAAAGATTGGTGACAACAGGAACAGTGTATTTAACCATGTTTCCTTAGATTAAGATTTCCTTCGTGTTTTTTACTCTTGCATCATTAAAGTTCTAGTCAATGAGAATGGCATTATCCTGACACTTCTTTTATTGTAATTTCTAATCTTCTACAAAGGTGAATGGGTATCTGGATATAGCAAATTACTTAATTTGTTTTCTATAATTATAATAGCTAACATTTATTTAGCACTACCTCTATGTTAGGCATTATGCTTTGTGCATTATGTATGAATTCATTTGATCCTCACGACAGTGTACAAGGATACCCTATTATAATCTCATTTTACCATTAGGGAAACTGAGGCAGCCAAACATTTGTGATCTATTCACTGGAAACTCATATTCCCATCCCACCAAACACTTACAGATATCTGGTTTTATTGTAAGCCTCAAATTGCAGAGAACACATTATTTTAGATTTTATTTGCCTTTTGGGCCAAACACTTCTTAAACTCAAGTTCGAGAAGAGAAGACTCCCTCAAGGGTCTGCAGTAGATAGACTGATGGAAAATAAATCCTGGAGCTTAATTTAGGTTTTCTGATCTGCAGTTCATTGCCCTCCATCACTAAATTTTGGGGCAGGTCAATAGAACCTTAATCATAACCTTGATACATTTTACATTAATGTTCAAATCCATGTAACCATTGCACATTTTCAGCTTTCAAATTTTCACGTGAATCCTGGAAGTAATCTGCATGTTGAGTCAGATTCTTTTATAGTACCTAAAAGTGAGCCATTGTTTCAGCACATAGGAAACTCATCTTAGGCCAGAATTTTTCCCATGTCTGAGAGACCACAAATGTATATTTTTAAGAATGATTTGCTCCATTCCAGGCAAAACCTATATTTTAATCTATTTGCATATGTAGGTCATGGCTAAAACCCAGTTTATAGTGGTATCATTAAATTGTATCTGTATCTGTTAGCAGTAGTGAAGAATAATCATCTATTAGAAGAATTAAAACTATCAACCTTAAAAATATTGAACTTTTATCAGAAAATCTCATATCTGTGGCATTATCCTGCCTGAGAAATATAAAGACATTATGATGACTGCAAAAGACTAAAACATGCAATTAAAAATTTAAAAATAAAAATGTAAACACAATTGTTATTGATACATTTACTACTGGTTTTCCAGTATTTAGGGGGCACTGTTAATATTTCTTTACTTAGAAGTGGAACAAAATAACATTGTTAATAATGCATCTGCTCTATTTTGTATCTAGGAATTTAACATAAATGTAAAGTATTTTTCCCCAGTCCATTGGTCTTGCATTATAAAAGTTTTCCAAAATTAAGTTTACTTTTTTAACATTTAAAAGCAGGCTAATGATAGCAGCTAATAGGGGGAAAATTGTATGTTTAAAAGGTGAATATTTTTCAATTTCTTCTATAAATATTTATTTTTAGAATTGTCTTTCTGTAATGTACATGCTTTTCTTAAGAAACCTTGGCCTTGACATTTATTAGATTTATTTGAACTGTATTAGCTTTTGTGTACTCCAATTTACTGAAGAAAGCATATTTCTTACGGTGCTTTTCATAAATCCATCAGTTATTCATAGGCTAACCCCTTAATTAGTGCCACTGTCCACATTATTCTCTGATATTAAAACAGTATGGTAGCTTTATCAAAATAGCAAAGAATTTAATTGAGGGTAAGAGATGTTTGTGGAATGCTAAATACAGTTGTAAGTCCTGAATTGTACCTGATAAGTAGTTGCAGTAGCATTGGCTAATTAACTACTGAAAGTGCATATGTAATGTTAACTGAGACTGTTCAAACTTTGGACACAGACATTTTTCAATATTAAAGTTATTAAACTTCTCAATATTAAAGTTATTAAACTACATAAACATAGATAAACATATATATAAAAATTTTGCTTTGTGGGCTTTATTAGACTTTGCAGGCGGATACAACAATACTTTCTTACTCCAAATGGAGAACTTCTAGTTTTAGTCTTAATTACCTTTTCTTGGTGTGCCAGATAGGTATATTTGAAAAAAGTAATAATAGTAAATTAGCTTTTAACTAAGAAATCAGAAGGATCTAGTGTCTATTAAAAGAAATGTAAATTAATTCTCCAGTTCACTGATCTGCCTTAAATCTAAAATATAAATAAACTTCAGCTAGTAGCTCAGTTCAATTTAACATTCATTTATTGACCACCTTTTATGAACCAGGTTCTTTGTTAGGCTCTGGAGACAAAAAGAGAAATAAGACATGATTCTTGTCCTTGAGGAACATTCAGTTCACCTAAGAAAGACCGATCAATAATTGCATAATGTCAGTACAGTGTGCTACTGCAATAGAAGTATATGCAAGTCTATGCTCAGCCTGAATAAACCATATGATTCTTTTTGAAGCTTTGCTAATATTCTATAGAGCAGGGGTTGGCAAACTTTTCTGTGAAGGGCCAGATAGTAAATATTTTCAACTTTGCTGGGCATACAATTTCTGTCACGAGTACTCAAGTCTTTCAGGGTGGCTCAAGAGTAGCCATACATGATAAATAAAAGAATTAACGTGGTGAAGCCATACCAACCTCCAGTGTATGCCAACCAAGTAACTGGTGCCTGCTACTGGGACTGGACCTTTAACCTATTTACCCTTTCCATCACACATACTTTATTCTTTCTTCCTTACTCTCTGTTTTCTTCTCGTTATTTTTTCTTTCCTATACTGATTTGAAGCTGGAATCCATAATCTTAATTAGTCATGCTTAAAGTACTAAAATCAGATTTCAGTCACTTATTTTATAAGAACTGTGCATCAATATTAACACCAACCATTTAAAAATGTTTTTGTATGCAGAGCATGCTCAAGTATATTATAACTCACTTAATCCTTAAAACTACCATGAGAGGTAAATATTATTTTCTTTTTACATATATAGAAACTTGACCTTAGAGAGGCCAAGTGGTTTGTTGAAGACTGCACAGCTAGCAGAAGACAGGAAGCAATATGTTAATTGTACTATATCACAGAAATGACCTTTAAAACACTGCGGCATGCGCAGAAAACTCCAGTCCCATTTATGGGATCCATAGCTAGGGTGGCCAATTAACCTGTCATGGTTTGTTTGGAAGTGAGGGGTTTCCCAGACAGGAGACTTTCAGTGCTAAAATGAGGAAGGTTCCAGTCCAACCCGGACAATTTGGCCACTATGTCAGTAGCCCCCAGTTCCTTGATTCCAGTGCTTTTCAAATTTCAATGTTCATAAGAATTACTTGCAGATCATGTGAGCAAAATCCTGATTCAGACTCTGATTCAGTAGGTCTAGAGCCTGGGAATCTGTATTTCTGACAAGCTCTTAGGTAATGCTAGTGCTGCTCATCTGTTTACATTTTGAGTAGCAAAGTATCCTTGCCCCATCTTGGGGCTCACTCCAGATCTCATGAATCAGAATCTACATTTTAATATAATTTCCCAGGTGATTCACACATTCAGATTTAAGGAGCTCTATTCTGCTCCACTTCTGATTGGTGTAAAGGATTCTCATTTGGGCATATTTTTCTTGGTTTAAATAGGCTTTCCTAATATGAAGGTAAAGCTGAATAACTCCTTTTGCCAATCTGAGTTATTTCATTCTTTTGGGAGTCCAGATAACTCTTTTCTTGACCATTTACTTATCTGTTCATTCCTTGTTTTTCGTAATACCCTGGAACTTTCTTAAACTCAATTATGTAAGCTCAGTCTTGGGTGTTCATTTCTGTGCCTATTATTCTGCAAAAGAAAATTATTCCACGTGAAAAAAAAATCAGATGCTCAGCAATTTATTTTCAACTGTAAATTTGTTCATCAGAATATAGTACAGGTTGAGCATCCTAAGCTGAAAACCCCAAATCTAAAACTTTTTTAGTGCCAATCTGATGCCACAAGTGGAAAATTAAACACCTGCCCTCATGTATTATGTTACAGTCAAAACACATGCCTACAACAGTTTCTTTAGTGGGTGGCCAAGGAAAACAATAGACTCTTCCAGTCTCCTTCAGCTACAATGTATCTTTTCTGTGCACACTTAAATTTCCCTATGCAAGCATGCCCAAAATAGGTAATAAAATGGCATGTGTGCAGGCCACATGCACTAAGGGCAAGTTTCCCATGATACGTCCCATGTGGAGCCAAGACCTATGTGCATTGCCCATTACCTAAAAAAAATTTAGGTACTTTTTTTTGTTATTGTTGTTTTTGCTTATTCCCTGCTCTATGTGTAAAGATATTGTTGAAAAGGTCACAAAGACTTGCAGATACCCCTATGGGTAACAGTGTCAAGAAAAAGAAGAAGCATTTGTTTTATGTATAGCGCAGAAAGTCAGAAACTAGACAGTGGTGGAGCAAGTGAGAAACATCTTATAGAAGATTATATTGTTCGAATGACCACTATATATGACCTAAAAAGCAAAAGGATGAACCGTTGAAGTTCCATAATAAAAGTGATGAAGAGAAGTTAATGAAAAATAGAAAAACACTCCTTAAAGCTAAAAATGAAGATCTCGATCGTGTATTGAAAGAGCAAATCCATCACCGTTGCAGTGAACCCATGCCACTTAATGATATGCTGGTCATGAAACAAGCAAAGATCTCTCACAATGAGCTGAAAATGGAAGGGAACTGTGAATATTCAACAGGCTGGTTGCAGAAATTTAAGAAAAGACACAGCATTACATATTTAAAGATTTGTTGTAATAAAGAATCTCTGCTGATCATGAAGCAGCAGAGAAATTCATCGACAAGTTTGCCAGGGTCATCACTGATGAAAATCTGATGCAAGAACATGTCTACAATGCTAAAGAAACATCACTGTTTTGGTATTATTGCCCTGGAAAGACACTAACTACAGCTGATGAAACAGTTTCCTACAGGAATTAAGGATGCCAAGGACAGAATAACTGTGCTGGGATGTGGTAATGCAGCAGGCATGTATAAGTATAAACTTGCGTGACAGGCAAAACCTTGCATCCTCACTCTTTCCATGGAGTGAATGTTTTATGAGTCTACTGTTATGCTCACAAAAATGCAAAGATTACAAGGGACATCTTTTCTGATTAGTTTCATAAACATTTGTATTAGTCACCAGTGCTCACTGTAGAGAAGCTGTACTGGATGATATCTGCAAGACTTTTTTACCTCTTGACACTTTTCTGCTCATCCTCCAGCTGAAATTCTCATTAAAAAATGTTTATGCCATGTACTTTCCTCCAAATGTGACTTCATTAATTCAACGATGTGTCCAGGGTATACTTACAGCAGTAAGAGTAGATCTAGGTTGGGCACTGTGGTTCACACATGTAATCCCTGTGCTTCAAGAGACTGAGGCAGGATAATCACTGGAGGCCAGGAGTTCGAGACCTGCCTGAGTTGTGTGGTGAGACCATGTCTCTACAAAAAACAACAAAAAAGTAAATACTTAATATAAAAGCACTTTCTTGAGCAGCATGCTAGCAGCAATAAACAGAGGCATAGGTGTGAGAGGTTTTCAAAAGGCATTTAGCATGAAGAATGTTATGTATGAAATTGACATTCAGAAACAGTGACTAAAGATGCAGTTGTATAATACATGCCACGTACAACCTCTGGCCTACCACTACGCTCAGTGGTAATGATGACTTTGAGGCATTCCATAAGTTAAATAAGAAAAAAATTGTGTCTGATCTCATTACATATGAAAAAAAATATACCTTCAGAGTCCTTCAGTAAACTGGAAGAAATAGATATGGAAGAAGCAATTAGGCTGCAGTTGTTCATTCACCGATCAGTAGTGAAATAGTTCTGAATCAAAGTTATCATAATAGTGACTATGAAGATGACATCATTAACACTGCAGAAGAAGTGCCTATAGACAACATGGTGAAAATGTGTAATGGGCTTGCTGAAGGACTAGAGCAGTGTGCATTCACAACAGAACAAGCCATCTGTCAGCTTATAAAGTTCAAAAGAGACTTCGAAGACAGAAAACAACAATGAGACAGATGACTGGAGGAAACATTTTAAAAAGCCATCCAGCAGGATGCTTACTCCTCCCTAGTGGACCCAGTTCCAGGACCCTCACCTGCTTCTCATGTTTCTTCTCACCTAAGAAACACACAGAGTGTACAGTAACCTTTTAATCGAAACATAGCATTGGCCAGGAATGGTAGCTAATGCCTGTAATCCCAGCACTGGGAGGCCAAGGCAGGAGGCTCATTTGAGCCCAGGTGTTTGAGAACATCCTGGGAAACAAAGTGAGATGCTATCTCTATTAAAAATAAGTAAGTAAGTAAATAAATAAATAAATAATTAGCTGGGTGTGGTGATGCATGCTTGTGGTCTCAGCCACATGGGAGCTTGAGCTTAGGAGGTCGAGGCCACAGTGAGCCATGTTCACGCCTCTACACTCCAGCCTGGGTGACAGAGTGAGACTATTTCAAAAAAAAAAAAAAAAAAAAAAAAAAAAAGCCAAAAACAGTATCATAGGTAGAGACTGAAAAGCTACCAGTTTTTGCGAGTGTGTGGCGTTTGTTTAACAGCTAATTCAGGTATTGTGGGGATGCTACTGTGCTAGTTACCTCAAACACATTATTTTTTCTTATTTTTTATTGGTATTAATGGTATGTCATATTTTTACGTGTGAGGAAGTATAAGAAAATAATTGCTTATCGGTAGTATATGAATTCAGAGTCATGAATGATGGTAATGCCAAACAACCACAAGTTGTCCACGTAAGTGGCTCAGATAGTGACACTTTTGATTTCTGATGGTTCAATGTATAATAACTTTGTTTCATGCATAAAATTATTTAAAATATTGATATCATTATCTTCAGGTTATGTGTATAAGGTATATATGAAACATAAATGCAGTTCTTGTTTAGACTTGGATCCCATCTATCTCTATTGTGTATATGCAAATATTCCAAAATCAAAAAAAAAAAATCCAAAATCCAAAACGTTTTTGGTCCCAAGCACTTCAGATAAGAGATACTCAATCTGTATATAAAATTGTGACAATGGTAAATTACTGTTTCAAAATTCCTCCTCTGTGGCACCTGAAAAACAGAAAACGAGTAAAATGAAATGTATTTGGAATAGGTACTTCCTCTTGCTAAAGTATTGCTTGAGTGTAATGAAAAGGTTATAGAAATTATACTGTCAGTTGTTATTTCTATGTTTTCACTATATGCCCGGCATTGTTCTAAGTAATTTACATTTTAAATCATTTAATATTCAGAAAAATCCTATGGGATAGATACTATTATTATCCCCAATTTTCAAGTGAAGCAGCTGAGCAGATAAAGGTTAATAACTTATTCAAGGTCAAATAAGCTAGAAAGTGGTCAAGCCAGGAATATAAATGACAGCAATTCAGGTCCAGTGCAAACAGCACCTCACTAAGTGTTGACTGTATTTCACCCCTATGCTGGTTTCCTTCATACTGCTGACTACACTTTATAATAACCTATTTTTATTTTTACTTTCAATCTGCCTTCCTCTCAATGTCGAACCTCCTTGTGAAAAGGGATCACATTTGTCTGGCTCCCTGATGTGTTTTAAGTCCCTGAAACATACTAGGAGCTCAGTAAATATTTGTTAAAGGAATAAATAAACAATAAAATATTGTAAGGTCTGTAGTCTACACAAATGCAAAGTATAAGGGGCATAGAAGAGAAGAAGAGAAACTCTCTTCCAAAACACTCCTATATTATGAAATGTGACTGAATGTTGAGTGGATACTTTCACAGCATCTATTGATTAAACATCCATCTGAGACAAATATAACAATTTGGAAAATATTTTTTAAAAAGTTATAAATAAATTAATCGGGGTGTACATACTTTGTTTTATTTTAGATTTAAGAGATCAAAAAGTTGCTTTTTTGCTTTGGCTTTAAAGCAGACTTTGGGCTTATTTGGAAATAATATTGCTGCTATCAGCCATCTTCAGAATATTTAAAAATCATGCTTCCTAAGTTAATTTGTAAGATGTTGCAACAGCGTTTGTCTAAAAGCAGTAAATATGTTTCCAATATACTTTGAAATATTTACTGTGGTTACGATGTGCGCGGTAACAGCCTTAAATACCTCCTATTGAACTGAAATGAAATCTGTGCTTCAAGCTTGCCAGGTTCCTGATCATTATCACCTGTTCCTTATGGTTCCCACCTGGAATGCCTTTTCCCTTGACTAGGCCTGTTTGAGACCTTGAAGCTCTTAAAGGCCCACCTAAAATCCCCCATTTCTATGAAGCTTTCCAAGAGGACTCCAGTCATTCTGATAATTATCTCCTCTGTCGTCTGGCACTTTCACCACTCTCACAACCTCAGATGCCTTATTTTGGAGGTGGAGTGTTCTTTTGTTATTCCCTTTCTTTGTAAGTAATTCTTGTTTCTATATACTATACTTTCCTTAATGCAGCCAATATATTTTATATGTCTTACCATACCCAGAACTGTACAAATAACAGATGTGCAGTAAATACTCTTTGAATGATTCATTTGATTGGAACATTATCTAAAGTTACCTGTGTGTCTTTCTGTCAAAGTTATGCAGAATGTTGTTTACTCCAGAACCTTTTCAAGCTCTTTAAACCTACTTCTAAATGCAGTTATAGCTGGTGCAAGTATTTTTTTTTCTTGTTTCTTTTTTTTCTTCTTATACAACATAGTTTCTTGTGATAGGGAGTTCGAGGTAGGAGGAAAGCAGAAAAAAAAAATTGTTTTTCTGCTAAGTGTATAGGGCCCTTGAGGTTTTTAACAGCCACCTCTAAGTCAGTTGAACAGATATTTTCACTGAAAGATAGGATGTAGTTTCTGAAATATTGAAAAGTTCCTTTGTCAAATTATTATTATATTTACATTCAGTAAAACCCAACACATATTTGGACATACTTTTGTTGAGCCTT
This sequence comes from Homo sapiens, assembly GCF_000001405.40. Lineage (NCBI taxonomy): Eukaryota > Metazoa > Chordata > Mammalia > Primates > Hominidae > Homo > Homo sapiens. The sequence continues at coordinate 175,006,848 of NC_000003.12, forward strand.
TTCTTTTTGGATGTTGTGAGCGTATGACTTATGCATTCTTATACGTATATAGCTTTGTAAGGAGGAGTATACAAGTTCCTTTATAAGTCTTTGATTTTTGACACTTAATTTTGTCATTGTAAAATTCCTATTTCAATTTAATCACAATAATTGCAAAATTAACCTTATTCATAGCTCATTATCTTAATAGAAAACTAGATTCTAAAGGTAAGTAAATAATCTATGAATGCAAATTAAACATTCTGTGATGGTTCTTCCCTTTCCCAAGCCTTGCACATGCCTAATTAATTTCTTTTATAGGATAAAAAAAAAAAAAAAAAAAAAGCTACTCTAAAGGCCAGAAAAGGAAGTGATGTGTATATAACCTATTGTAGTGCTAGTAAATTTTGGGTTAATTAACAAGTATCAGATGGAGACTTTAGAAGTAAGTAGGATTTTTTAAGCCAGAATAGCTGGGAGAAATGGTTGCAGTTGTGTTGAAAATAGATTTACCAGTAGGCTATAGGAGAATATGTGAGGCTGACTTAGGTAGAAAACCCTGAAGGAAGAACAACCACATGGGCTATCTTCAGGCATGGGAGTAGAGTTGGGAAGATAAAGAGATCTCTGGTGAATATCCTAGTTCATTTTTTGTGAGGTCTAAAAATGGTTTCTGGCTAACCATCAGAAAGAAGGCCCCTGGGGCTATAGATTTAGTATGTCTGGAATGAAATTTGAGAAACTTCATTTTAGAAACATTTCCTAAAGACTTTCAGATTATTGGCTAAACTTGAGAAGTAGCGTATGTCCTGCTTATCCTTGGGGGATACATTCCAAGACCCCAGTGGATGCCTGAAACCTCAGATAGGATGGAACCCAAATATATACTGTTTCTTCTTTATAGGTACATACCTACAAAAATATTTAATTTATACTACGAAAAGGTTTAATTTATAAATTAGGCATAGAAAGAGATGAACAACAGTACTATAATAAAATAGAATAATTATGACAATATACCATCGTCACTACTGTTATGCTTTGGGTCCATTGTTAAATAAAGATTACTTGAACTCAAGCACCGCACCACAGCCACCATCGATCTGATAACTGAGAGGGCTTCTAAGTAACTAGCGACGGGGTAGCATATACAATGTAGATACATTGGGCAAAGAGATGATTCATTTCCCGGGTAGGATTGGACAGGATGGCTTGAGATTTCATTACACTATTCAGAATAACACAGAATTTAAAATTTACAAATGCTTGCCCTGGGTGCAGTCTCTCATGCCTATAATCCCAGCATTTTGGGAAGCTGAGGTGAGAGGATCAATTAAGGCCAGGAGTTTGAGACCAGCCTAGCCAACATAGTGAGAACACTTCTATACAAAAAAAATTGAAAAATAAATAAGCCTGCCATGGTGGTGCACATCTTTCCTCCTGGCTACTCGGGAGGCTAAGGCAGGATTGCTTGAGCGCAGGAGTTCGAGACTGCAGTGAGCTATGATCATGCCACTGCACCTCAGCCTGGGTGGCCGAGTGAGACCTCGTTTCTAAAAAACAAAATAAAATTTACAAATTGATTTCTGGAGTTTTCCATTTAATATTTCTGGACTGTGTTCTACCACACTTAACTAAAACTGTGGGAAAGGAAACGGAGGATAAGGAGGGACTCCTGTAATGAGTCCTCAGATTTCAAGAGGCCTGACCCCAGGCCAACTTTGGGACCAGTAATTCAGGCAGAAGTTTCTTATACTAAGTAAAGAGAATCACATAAGCTCCCAATTTACCACTGGCCCAGGCAAAACCAGATCTTGCAGTGGTGGTGGCTTTGTGTTCAATTTTGAGGAACTTGACCTTCATGTTCTAGGCTATAGGGTAATATACCCTACAACGTTATAGGGTAAGGCAGGTTATAGGGTAGGCTAGGGTTTGGAGGTAATCAACCTTCTAGGATTCCTTGCAGTTCCATGTTTGGTCCAGCCATCATTTTTTGTAAAGAGATACTAGAAAATTATATTCCATACAGTGAGCAAACCGAGTACCCTAAGTTCAGTAAGATGCAAAGGAAAGGTTGTTTTGTTTTAAATAAATGCTGTATGTTTATCTTATTCCTTAAAAATAAGTCTTTTGTGAAAAAAGACAAATCTAAATGTAACATTTTAATCATATTCATCTAATATGTAAAATCAATCTGATGATGACCATTTGCTAATGATAAATTTTATCTTTCTAGAGCAGTAGTTTTAAACTTTGGCTGTTTCAGAACCACGTGGAGAGCTTATTAAAATATAGCTTGTTGGGCCTCACTCCCAAATCTCTGATTCAGATTGGGATAGGGGATAAGAATTTTCATTTCTAACACGTTCTCAGATGATGCTAATGCTGCTGGTCCACATTAATCTGAGAACCACTATCCTAGAGGGTAGAGTAAGGACAGAGGAGCAAACAATTTTCATTAGTGTTTATCAGTGTATAGTAAATTTAGTACTTAATTATTGTGAGACAATTGCCCAAAGGATGAAAATGCCACATACAATCATTATATATATTAAAATGTTAACATGGTTAACACGCCACCATAAACGAAAGCCATGTTTTCTAATCCAAAGAAGTAAAAACAGGGACCAAGTGATGTAATCATTGAGCAGTAAGAGTATATGCTGATTTGACAAATTATGTATTATTACCCATGTAACTATTTTGATCTTTCTAAAGAAAAGAATTTACTCTGCTGCCTTTGGAAGAAGTTAAAATGATATCTGCAGATGCTATATGAAAATATCAATTAACTCTTATTTACCTCTAGACTGTTGGTTAGTAACATGGGTTTATGTTATTTTGATTAAGTTTCCTTGCTTCTAGATGAAGACATTGGACCCTCACTGGATAGTCACAAAATACTTTCTTAGTTATTTAATTCATATATGCCAAAAATTCAATAGGAATATTGATTAGCTAATTTTTAAATGCAAAATCTAGGTCTGGTTACAACATAAGCAGCATTTCTTGATTTTTACATTTATGCCGAGTTTACTTATTAGTTTTTATCAAAATAATATATTTATATAATATTATGTAATGAAAGAAATGAAACAAATAAATGTTAACAAAATCACGCTGAAGTAATTGACTTGCTTGCTATGATGTTTCTTGACTATGAGCTTAATCACACAAGGATGAGCATGTTTAATTGACTGGAATTTAATACCACTCCCAATGGCAAAGAGCAGTGATTCAAATTGGTGTGTTTATAATTGTGGGGTGGATCTTGATTAACTCCACACAAAATATTATTATAATCTAATATTATATAACACACAGTTTTAACTTGGCCAATAATGTTGCTTTTAATTTTCATTCCCTCAGATAAACTAAGGGAGTGAAGGAATGATCTTTTTGGCTATCTATAGTCCAAATCAAGTAAAATTTAAATAACAGCCATATGGCCTAAAAGTATTTAGCTTTATTTTTATTTACTCAAAGCCAATTATGGCACATCTTTCAAAGGGATAAGTGTACACTGGGAAATATTTTGCTTAGAGAACATCACTTTCTAAGAGCCTTAAAGCACTTGACCTTCATTTGGCATCTCTAGTCTGTTCTCATCACAGGTTCAGGGATCACCATCTTGCTTCTGTGTTACTGCTTCCAAATGTTTGTTTTGGCAGCAAAATTATCTTAATATAACTTTGTTAAGTGGTCTATTTTCTCTCTGAAATTAAGGAATGTTTATCTCACAGGGTAAAAATGGAGAAACACAATGGTTTTTGTTTGTTTGTTTGAAGTCATGGATTCACCCATCAAACAGTTTTGGGCCAACTGAAAGAGAAATGTGAAATAGTTTTGCTGATGAGATCTTCTTGCCTATGTCTTTTAGTGAAATGATTTGGTGCTTCCATTGGCATCCTTTATCTGAGCTGTCTATTCTAGCCTTAGCAGGACCTTGTCTGCTTGTATAGTCTAGTATCATAAAGCGAGAGTATAGTCTGTACAGGATAGTTCATAGCTCTCAGACAGTTCATAGCTGTAACATTCTACTAGATTCTGCATTTTTTACTTGTTTCTCACATATAATCTACATGATCAACACTTTCCAAATTATGGACAATTACATTGCACAATGTTTGGTATAAAGTAATAAAGAGATTACCATCTTTAAAAAATAAATCTAGGTACTCCTATCAGAATTACTAGATTTTGACTTCTACCAAAATGTCTTGGCTCTTGGGATTTGCACTGTTTTATAATTTACTGCATAACTCACCTCTCATTCTTCCAGAAACTGACTTTTTTCCTCCTTGATCCATAATTTGGGGCAGCCATATTTGTACATAGCTCTATTCTCTTGGCCATAGTTGAGGGGCCCACAGAAGGGCTTCTAACATGATCTTACAGATTCAGCCACAGAGAGAGGGAGAGAGACAGAGAGAGAGGGAGAGAGACAGAGAGACAGAGAGAGAGAGAGAGAGAGAGAGAGAGAGAGAGAGAGAGACTAATTCTGATTATTCCAAGTTTTGAAGCTTGAAGTTGTAATATAATGTGTAATCATTGACCCAGCTTGTTGGTCACTGGACCACTTTCCATGTAAAAATTCAGAGTCTCAGCAACTTTCTTTTCTATCGTCTACAGACAAATGTGATATATAGCAAAAGAGAATAGTAAAGCCAATATTCAGGTAAGCAGAGAAGAGAGTTGGAGAAATGATGGTGTTCAAGTTTGTAGCTCCAGTTGAGTCTGAAGCCTTATTCCATTCTGGCCTATAGCTCAGCTTAATTGTTCACTGAAACACCTCAGTATCCTTCTAAAAGTTTTCTCTTTGGCTTTTTGAGGTCTGAGTTGGCTGGATGGTAGTTGTAGACAAGAAGGTCCTAACTAATACATGAGGACAGCAGAGGCCCCAAGGCGTGCTATGTGCCAAGAGACCCAAATCTCAAGCCATTTTGAGTGTATTACTAAGTTATGTTCCCTCCAGTTTTCTCCCAGCAGACTATCTTGATATCCTAAGACTCTTCTGTGAATCAGGGTGGGATTATTAAGGATTGTTAATTTAATAAAATTAAGTAGTATTATAATTGGGAAACATGTTAAAGCATGCAAAAACTGTAAAAAGCTATCGCCATTACAGTCAATAAGAAGGTTATCAGTTTCATTGCAAAAACCTAATCTTTAGGAAAAGCACAAGAGAAAGAATGTATGGCAATGCCAGCAAAATTAATGAATGTGTTAAGTTTGGGCATGCTGAGTTTCTCCAAGCAAAATTCCCTATACGGGAGACAACTGAGAGAACGTGGACAGTATTGTAAGCTAAGATTCTTTGAGGCATTGTGAATTATTTTATTTATTTATTTATCTGAGATGGAGATTTGCTCCTGTTGCCCAAACTGGAGTGCAATGGCCCAGTCTGGGCTCACTGCAACCTCCACCTCCCGGGTTCAAGGGATTCTCCTGCCTCAGCCTCCTGAGTAGGTGGGATTACAGGTATATGCCACCAGGCCTGGCTAATATTTTTTTTATTTTTAGTAGAGACGGAGTTTCACCGTGTTAGCCAGGCTGGTCTCGAACTCCTGACCTCAGGTGATCCGCCCACAACGGCCTCCCAAATTGTTGGGATTACAGGTGTGAGCCACCGTGCCTGGCCCATAAATTAATTGAGAAATGAAAATGTTTACTCCTGAATTGTCATTGCATGTAGTTACTATCTTCAGTAAAATAATTTTTTTATTTTTGATATTAACGTGTTACGGACATTATATTTTTATCCTTCTAGAATAATGTTGAAAAATTACAGCCCTCAGGCCAAATCTGGCCCACCACCTGTTTTTGTAAGTAAAGTGCACAGCCATGCCTATGCATTTAGTATTGTCCATGGCTGCTTTCACACTACAGTGGAAATTGAGTAGTTGTGACGGGGAACACTTGCCTTGCAAAGCCTCAAAGCATAAGTACCCAGCCCTTTACAGGAAAGTTTGCCAAGCTCTATTCTAAAGATGTTCTTCCTGTTAAATATAAGAAAATCGGTTTTCATTTAAACATATTTGTATAATCTCCAACATTTCAGAAACAAAACCACTTTGTAAATGTAGAAACAGATGTATACATTTTATATTACTTTTGTCCAATATAGCCTAGATGTGTGTGTATATATATATACACAAAAATATATATACATATATATGTACATATATAATATATAAATATATATAAATATATAATATATACATAAATATATACACATATATATAAATATGTAATACATATTTATATATAAATATACATATTTATATATAAATATACATATTTATATATAAATATGTAATACATATTTATATATAAATATGTAATACATATTTATATATAAATATATATACATAAATATATAATATATATTTATATATAAATATAAACACATATATAAAATATATAATATACATATATTTTTATATATATACATATATATATATATATATATATATTTTTTTTTTTTTTTGAGACAGGGTCTTGCTCTGTTGTCCAGGCTGGAGTGCAGTGGTGTGATCTCGGCTCATTGAAACCTCCACCTCCTGGGTTCAAGTGATTCTTATGCCTAAGCCTCTCAGGTAGCTGGGATTACAGGCATGCACCACCACGCCCAGCTAATTTTTATAGTTTTAGTAGAGAAAAGATTTTGCCATGTTGTCCATGCTGCTCTTGAACTCCTGGCCTCATGTGATTTGTCCTCCTCAGCCTCCCAAAGGGCTGGGATTATAGGAATGAACCACTGTACCAGGCCACAAATTTGTTTGATTAATGAATTAATAAATTGCCTAATTCTTATGATAGCTCTCTTGATTAAATGTTCCATTTGAGAAAATTCTTCAAGAATTTGAACCACACCCCTGAATGTTTTCTGACTTTCTAGTCCATCCAGAAGCGGCCCTTCTTTATATACAACTCTCCTGGTCTCGTAAGACCCAGCTCTTTGGGACCAGGGGAGGTTTTCTTAAATTCCTTCCTCTCGCATGTGCTGATTTTCATTCCTTAAGTTTTGATTGGTCCTCAGAACCAAATGTATAATAATAATTTGTCAGAAGCTGAGGCATAGCAGCATTTAAACCTCGATCTTAGGATATTTAAGGTGCATGCATTGCATCAGTCATAGGGTCACACTCTAATAAAACTGGATCAGAAACTAACATCCAGGTTAAAATCCGACCTCTGTCATTTGCCAGGGGTGCTATTAAGCAAGTCATTTAACTTTTACAGTAGCCACCAGGGCTGTACATGATTACAAACACACACACAAACGTGTAATGGCGGGTGTCCATATTATCTTTCCAACCTCATCTTCTATGATTATTCTTCCTACTGCTCCTCACACAGGACAGGTATGCCGTCACCTCTAGGTCTTTGCCCGTGATGTTGCTTCTGCCAGTGATGCGTTCTGTTAGGTATCTGTATGGGTTACTCTCTTATATCCTTGCTTCCTTCCCTGGCAACTATACTGAAAACTACAACACCTACCTGCACCCCCATCCCTAAACACAATCCTTACTCCCTATTCTTAATCATTTTTAACATAATTTGATGTTAAATAGAACACATTTTACTGCTTCATATTGTCTGACTGCTAGACATTAGCCTCTTTTAGCTCAAAATGTTTTTGACTATTTTGTTCCATAATGTATTCCCAGTACATAGAACAAAAGTTTGTCATAAAATATAGGTTGAACAAATGAATAATTGATGCAAACCATTTGGACATGAGTGAATGACACATACCATTTTAAAAGGATTTGGATGCTATAATTAAATGTGGGTAAATTATAATATACCAGAATATAATATTCACCTGAAACTCCTTCTATTCCATTTATTGCAAATGTTTCAAAGTTACTTGTATTTTACAGGATTACAAAATTATTTCTGCATCCCAAACACTATCTAATTAGATTTGAAATCCATAACACTTAAATAATGGAAGTGTAAAATTCATATTGCACATTCTATTTCTCTCTTTCTTTTCCTTCTCTCTCCCTCCCTTCATCCATCCTCCATTCCTTTTGTTTTATTCCCTCTTTCTCTCTTCTCTTTCGTAAGGGGACTGGATCTCTTGCTTTTCACATATGGCTTAGGAATGCTACTTTCAAATTTAAAAGACTACTTTTTATGGCTTTATTCATTTAACATTAGATGTGTATTAGATTTTCTCAATAGAAAGCATGTCAATTCAGCTAACATTATGTGGGATTACAAACAAGTCAATTGTGCATCATTTCATGGAAGCGTAGACATATAAAGGTCATAACTTGGCAAAAAGAAAACTGAATTTAAAAATTATAATATTATAATTTGAGACTAGGCTTAAAAACACAGCATTTGGTGAACTTAACACTTCAGTATCACGTTTAGCTCTACTGTTTACTATGTGAAAGGAAACCATGACAACAACATTTGGAGGCATTTTTCCAGATTTTTCAATTAACCTATGTATATGTATATGTGTGCATGCATTTTTGAAAAGCTCCTAAAGGAACAGGAGAAGCACATTCAAGATAAAAGTACTTGAACATTAGGGAAAAGCCTGTTCTGCCATTAGAGAAGTGCATTAAGCAGTCGCCGTTTGAGTGGTCACTCTCATGTCACGCTTTAGGACTGACTTTTTTTTATCTTCTTGCCTGAGACCTGATAAAGCATAAAGATACTTAATTTTAGGAAGCACTTGTGCTGGTATCAATTCATCACAGTTCAATCACTAAGAAACGTCTTTGCCTTTTCCTGTCTTACTGAAATGATATTAAATATGATGTGTTTCAGAAAACAGAAGAAGGAAATTGAAAATATATCATTTAGTTTCACAGCAGCAGTTAAAAGTCAACTTAGATCTAAATTTTCTAACTTTTGGTAACATACTAAAATAGTTTTACTAATTAAATAGAATAACTTATTTTGAAGAAAAGCTTGTTCATGTTATTGCAATAAAATTATTTTGCAAAATATTTTGGCATCAAAATTTATAAAAATAAGTAATTTATGAGGGTCTATGTGTTTTAAAACACCATATCAAAATATCATTGTAACATTAAAAATATGAAAAATCATGTGTTTAACTTAATTGTTAGTTTGTTGACATAAATACCTGATAATCAGTCCTCTAATTATTTTTCTACTGTTTTGGGGGGAGGAACCTTTTCTTTGCATTATAAATCCCTCATTTTCAGGAACTCATCTACATTTTAGAGAGGGGAAACATTGATATTCTGAATAGTACAATATTCACCTGAAACTCCTTCAGTATTTCTCAAGCTGAAGCAAGTTATTGTATCATGTATTATATATTTTAATAAATAAAAAGACCAAATCATACTATTTTCCACTCATTCTTTCATTTACTAAATATATAGAGTTCTTACCATATGTAAGTTTGATTTAGGCCTATCTCAGATAAATTATTTATATATATATATATATAAAAAACAATAGCAATTTTAGTAATAAAATGTAGTATATCCATATATGAGAATATTACGTGACTCATTACAACATTACAACAGTAGCATATCTATTGACAAGGAAAGATGCTTAGGATATATTGCTCATTGAAAAAATACTGATTATAAAACAATACACACCATAAGATTCCAGTTTTTTATATGAGTATATATGGTAAGATTAACCCCTGCTAAAGGGGTTATCACTGAGGTATTGATAAAAGTGGTTATCTCTGAGGTTTCTTTTGGTCTTTCTGAAATGTGCTTTATTAAAAAAAATTTAATTTGTGTATATACATATACGCAAATTAAAGAAATCTTCTTAAATAAGAGAAGTAGAATTTTTAGTATTATTAAGCCATGCATTTTTAATATTTAAATGCTACACTTGATCTCCTAGAAAAGGAAAATAGCTATTTTTGTATGAATGATCATAGGAATCATAATGAATTATATTTTTTCCTTAGAATATTTTCTTTTCTTTTTATCTTTTATTGATACATAATAAATGCACCTACTTTCAGGGTACATGGTGATATTTTGGCACATTCATATTATGTGTAATAATCAATTCAGGGTGATCGGGTTATCTATCACTTGAAACATTTTCTTTTGTTGGGAACATTCATGTTATTGTCTACTAGCTATTTTGAAATGTACAATAGATTATTTTTTACTATAGTCACACTAATGCTTTATCAAACACTACGTCTCATTTCTTCCATCTACCTGCGTTTTTGTACCAATTAATCATCTACTTGCTTAGAGTATTTTAGTTGACAATGCAATACAACTAGTTACCCATAGAATGGGTGTGGTAGAAATAATAACTTAATTGGATGATTTAAAATAATTTGCTCACATTGCTTTTCTTTTTTTTTTCCCTCACATTGCTTTTCATAGATATATAACTTAATACCGTATATCTTATATAGCAGATTTGTGCCCTAGTGGGATTAAACTAAATAAAATAGCCAGACACTATTTTCGAAGTTCCTGTTATGTTGTAAGCATCAAACTAAATACTTTATATATTCTGTTGCGAATCTTCACAACCATCCTTCAAGGTGGATGGAGATAATTTGCTGAAGGTTGCTCACTAAGTGGCAGACCAGGGATTTGAATCTGTCCAGCCAATTCTGGCACCATTTGGATGTCAGTATAAACAGGGAGAAGGTCATACAATTCTGTACGTACAAGGAATCCTTCTTCCTGGAACCTTATTGTATTGTCAGTGTGCCCTGGTTGATCCTCCAAAGTTCTCAGGAGTCAGCAGGCCTGTTTTTATGTGATTGGTAGTCCGATTTTCCCAAAAAATGAAATGATTTCAAAGCCCTGCATGAAGACTCAGACTAAAAATAGAAATATGCCAGTCTCTTCCCAGAATAATTTTCTCTTTCAATGATCTTTGTTTCCCCACCTTGGGTAATATCCAATTATCACTAAATAATATTTCTGAATATTATTTTTGGGGGGCACTGAAGCATTTTTCTACTGTCTTCTCTGCTTCAGAAGAAAGAAAAAATCAGATTAGGGCGTTGGCCAGTCCCTTCTGTCTTCTGTGGGCAGCTTTTGAGACACATTTGCATTTTTTAAGTATCATGGCTTTTGCTGCTAAGCGGAGACCCTGAAGTTCATTACTGCAGGAAATCAGAGTGGCAAGCATATGAAAGGTGGTGCTGCAACCCCATCCTTCACTGGCTTAGGGTCGCATAAAACCTGTCAAAAATGATATTAGCATCCAGCACAGCCATGCCACCTTTTGGATAAGAGGTCTCCATGTTTATATTCAAAATATCAATCATTGTAAATACTGACTAAAGCTTGTCTTTTAGTAGCAATATTTCCATTTGCAGTAAAGATGTACAGGGATGACTCTTCCATGTTCACGGCTCTTATATCAATGTCAAAATTAGTATGTAAAACATCCATCAAATACGTACACAAGGTGAATTGGTCATATCTTTTATAAAGTCCTGTATATTTGAGATTTTAGTCGGCTCTTGCAGACATCTCTGAAAGCAGGCAAATTAACAGGTGCCAGGGCATTTTTTTCATTAAGCAAAATAGAGAAGGCAACAAGAGATGGCTTAAGAATTCTATTATTATATATGTCCAGAAATCTGAGTTATTAATTTTTTATTTATACTGCAAATGTTTATAAGTGTCAGAAAAAACATTCATTTTGTTTTCAGACATAGTAAATATAACAGGCTGCTTGTAAACAGATGGGAAATACTTGCTGGTTGATGACCAACTGAAAATGAGGAGTTAGGCAAGCTTAATTCTAGTTTCCCCCAGCTCACCGCATACACATCTACCATGATTACAAAAATAATTTATGAGCTGGGGTATATTTACACTACCACAGTTTAAATGGCATTCAACGTATTAAAAGTGGCAAGTATCACATTGTTCTGTGGTCTTCCATGTAAATACAAAACTGATTCTTCACACTGAAGAGCCACAACACTGCAAAAGAGCATGCAAAGTTTACATAGTGCCTCCATACCAAATAACGTAACCGGTGTTTTCTATCTATTGGTATAGTTAGCTTTACTGTGACATAGAAAAAACAGCATAAAGGCTGACCACTAAAACTTTAGTATCTTCACGGAAGCTTACTTTCTTTTGGTAAGTGTTCATAGTGAAGCATGTAACTTTTTTGCCATTTTATCTTCTTGAAAGAAACCACCTCCTGCTTTCTTCATTTTGTGAAATATCATACTTGAATTATTATACCACCATGCCCTTAATCATTACTGATGATTCCTGTAGGCATAATATTATACCACTCCTGCTGAGCTGACTGGCATTTATTTTGTGATTCATACTTTCAAAATAATTTTTACGTCAGTTATGTGGACTATGCTGCTGTTTCTGGGTCACATTTCTTCTTGAAGTTGTTCATGTAAAATTGCCCCAAAGTTCATACTTGTTTCATCTACAGCTCAGCACAGTGTCTGCCTATACCTGGTAAGCCCCTCAATGCCTTGAATCAATTATTAAGAAAATTATAATCCGCTAAGAAATTAATATTTAAGTAAATAACTCTGTGTACTAATTTTGTTTTAATTATTTTTATTGTCAGCAGCTGCATATTCATCTGTCTATTCATAGCGGAACTATAACATATATAAAGTAATTTTGTTTTCATTGCTCATAAGCTTCAGCTAGACATGGCTTTGGCAGATTCTAATCAGTAATATGACACAGTACATTGAACATGTACTTATCCTTGCTCCCAGGAAACTAATTGAATCATTAAGTTATGGCCATTCAAAAACTGACCAAATGGTACAAACCTAAGTTATGAGTTTACCAGTGATCTAATTTCACTTCGTTGACCATTTTCAGCTTCTTTCCTCCTTCCTTTTCCCCTCTGGAATGCCGTTAAGCAGTTGCTGAGCCTAACTACATCCTACTTAAGAATGACATTAATCTGGTCTCCCTAATACTAAGCTTGCAGTATATTATGCCGTATCAAATGTCACTCAGTATATTTGTAAATGTCATTCTCTTATGCAAATTATTTAGTTGCATCCAAAAGTTACATATCTGATAAAATTCTTCAGTGTCAGCCTGAGATATCTGTAGTTAGAAGCTCCAAGCATATGCTATTGGGAAGAAGGAGTTTGTTTTTCATTCCAGAAATAATATGTGATCTTTATGACAACAGGAACCAGATCTCTCCCATTTTTTGACTGAATCCCAGAACCCATCACAGTATGTTACACATAATAAGCACACAATTAACAAACAGGAGCAAATGAATTAATGAATATTGGAAATCCACAGATTCTGTTGGGGACATGCAGAGCATTTAGTGTTCAGGGACCTCTTTCTGCCTTTGAACCAGACACTAATCCTACCAGATTCCCAAAGTTATGAAAATAATACTTGAAAGATTGGTAGGTCTTGGTTCTTGATGCTTTCAAGGAAAACCAGAAGTTGCTTCTCAATTATTCACCAGTCAGCAAAGGGCACTGATGTTACAATTAATGATGCGATCTGTGAGGAATTTTCTTAAGATGAAAAGAATGCTTACAGTTCACATCTGTGTTTCAAACTGATGTTTCTTCAAAGCTTTAATCATGAATCTCCACCTAACTGCAGTGAGTTGCATTTGAAAATGTATCATTGTCTAGATTCTCTTATTATCTCCTAATTGTAAATGTGTTCCTTTTCCTTATGAACCTGATCCTGTTCATGGCACCACCATTCTCCCCTTCATCAGGCTGGAAGCCTCAGTTATATTTCTGGTACAACTGGCATCATCATTATTTGGGAACTTAATAATTTATGGCTTATCTATTGTAGTGTCATCCTAACTGGCCTTACTTGTTTTCAGCTTTTTTCAACAACAATATAGACTATGTCAAACTGCTTGGCTATTATCTCTAAATATCACTTTGATTCTGCCATACCAGTTCAGAAGTCACCAAAGGCTCTTCAGTACCTTTGGGGTGAATAGCCAAACTACTCGCAACTACAATTTACCGTACTGGGCCCTGGTTTCTCTTCCCTTTCTGTCTTTCACATTCTCTTTCCAGAATTCCTCTGCCGCTGGACTTCCTGCCAGGGATACCTGCCTCCAGCAAAGATATTAGCATCTCTGGGAAGCTTGGTTTGCAATAGCATATTCAAAATTATAATGCATTTTGTCTTCTGAGGAGGAGAGACTGTCATTTTCAGAATGCTGACTACAGAACATAAAACATGACAAAATTCTTGGCTATAGGAATAAACAGAATAGCAGGAGACAAACTTTTCTGAATTTTTGTGATTATTGGTGGGAGGATGGTATGTCAGAATTCCCTGAAAGTGAAAGAAAGTTACTATCAAAAGAGGAAAAAGTTGTGAAGGTCTCCTGTGTTTAGTCGCAGGTCTAATTGCTCTTCACCGAATATACGCAATTTGTCCATTCATTTCTTGTCCATTTGTTCCTTCATAAACAGGACTTTAAATTCAATAAGAGCTGGGACCATGCCTTTTCTGTTAGACACTGTGTTTCTAGTACCTGTATAGTACTATACAAAGTATACATGGTCAATAAATATTTGAGTAAAGAAATATTTTATAAACCAACACAGTGCCTAGTTATATGCTCCCTCTGGGATATGAAGGTAAAAAAGATACAACCCAGGTCTTCAAATAGCTTACAAGGTATTAAGGGGCAACACACCCATAGTATGAAAAATCACAGATCAATTTGAGTGCACTAATAAAGGTGTGTACAAAATGCAGTGGTCTCACCCTCTTTCCCCTCAAGTGTTTCGTATTGAACTTGTGGAGAAGTCAAACTGCCAAGTCTTTTCCACACAATCTTACCCTCATTTGCAATCTTCAGAGCCCAGCCTTTCTTATCTGCAAACCTGCCTTTTATAACTTTTTGCTTGTTGTATTGCTCTTTAATAGGGGTGAGACCAGGGGAGTGTTTTTATATTTTTGCATGTGCAGATATTTAAGCATTGTTTTCTAATTGATAGATTAAATGCAAAAGTCTGTAAGTGCAAAGTTGTTAAGTACTGCATTTGGAGAACTTGGATATTATAGGGTGATGTAGTTTGGGTATTTGTCCCCTTCAGATCTCAAGTTGAAATGTGATCTTCAATGTTGGAAGTAGGGCCCGGTGGGAGGTGTTTAGGTCATGGGACTGGGAGTTACTCATGAATGGCTTGTCTTCCTCATGGTAACGAGTGAATTTTTACTCTATTAGTACAGGTGAGATCTGGTTGTTAAATAGAGCTTGGTACCTCCTGCTTCTCTCTTGCTGCCTCTCCTGCCACGTGACACACCTACTCTCCTTCAACTTGCACTATAACTGAAAGCTTCCTGAAGCCCTCACCAGAAGCAGATACTGGTGCCATGCTTCTTGTATAGCCTGAAGAATGGTGACCCAAATAAACCTCTTTTCTTTATGAATTATCCAGCCCCAGATATTTACTGCAATGCATGATGGACTAATACAAAATGGACTAATCATAGGGTACAAATAAATAGTTTGTAACTATTACGGGATATTGCTGGGTCCGGGGCTCTGTGTTCTAATAGAGAAATTTCAAGGACTCTAATTGTCTGCTTGATTTCTGAGAACAGAACATTGGACAATTACCTGACAAATGGATTCTGATTTTGACTCAGATTAAAAAAACTACAATGTAGCATATGTCATGCCATTAATGTCTTCTCAAGTGGGCCTTTCTTCCAAGTCCATAATATTTAGACAGTTAGAGAGAATGGTACAATTAAAGGTTATGAACCTTGCTGCTCCCTATAGCCATGGCTGGTTAAACCCAGTTGAAGCTCAGTTAATAAGGCCAGGGTCAATCATTTAATCCTGTTTGTGATCCAGTTACCTTTCATTCTAATCCTGGCCAAAGACTAGATACCAAATCCTTGCCTGCCAACTCTGAAAGGCATGGTTTGGCTGAGAGAGATTGACTGGGAATGTATTGACGGATTAACAGAAATAATTCTTACTCGAGAAAGACTGCTCAAAGCACATATTCCACCTGCATCATCTTAAATGATTAATTCATCCATCCACTTGAAAATTTGTGAAGTGTCTACCTAAAGTCTAACACTGTACCAGACCCTGGGGATACAAAGATGAGTGTGATACTCTCCCTGCTCCGGAAGAGCCCTGTAGTTTGTTTGTTTTAATTACGTCCAGTTTCCCAGAGTTGGTTGTTTTGACTCTTAGGAATATTGTGGAATTTTCTTTCTCTGGTTGGTCGATTAGAAGATAGTTGTACTGAAGTCATTATTTGCATCTGAAAGTCTTCCAATAGGTTCTTTTGCATGTCAAAATATTTTCAAGGTCTAAATAAATAAATAACAAAAGACCACTCTGGACACTAGGGAGATGTAGAATACAAATATAGTCTCTCAATTCTAAGAAGTATCCAAATCAGCACTCAAGTCATAAAGATGTATCCATTGGGGATAAATAAATAGTATGTAAGAGAGTTTTAAAATGTTAAACATATTGGACTTCTCTTGATTTTAGTGTAATTTATTCATATTTCAATTTATGCCTCATTGTTTCTTATCACATAAATAGCATTTATTCAATAAGACAGATAATAGTCTAGTAGGAAAAGGGAGAAAGAAAATGTGTCTGTCATAAAGTTTATATTATTTTTTCGATTGAGAAACTAATCTGAGTTGGACGTTCCTGTTGTCCAGAAGAAAATAAGAAACATCTTTGGCTACAGAATTTTTATTCTCAAAAAGGGGAAAGCTTATCAACTTCTCATGGTTTCGAGGGGCTATGAAAAAAATTCTAGAAATACTTTAAACCTTACCATACAGAGATACTGAATGACATACTACTCATTGTCTGCTAAAATAATTTTATAACAAATATATTTCTTGACATCACTAATAACAATGAAATGCTTCATACTAGAATGCAAAATACTGAATGTGATTCAACAAGAGACCAATCTCCTATAGACAGAGTACAGAGTATGGCACTTTCAGACATTACAGCTTTACTGAGGAACATAACTCAGATTTTTGAGATGTCTGTTTGGGCTCCATATCCCTTTCTGTTTCTTTTAAATATAAATTAGCTATTTCACTGACAGGACTTGGTAATAAAGTGTTAGATATATAATGGTTACTTTGTAAAGGTAACAGAGTTTTGAGATTATACAATTCTGTGGGAATATAGGATAGCAGTGGAAAAATTCTTTAATATCAAAAATCACTTGCTTCTACCATTTTTGATCATATTTATTTTAATTGGTACATCCTTCTACCCTTTAGTTTTTTCTCCTAAAAAAAAGGATAATGACATCAGTTTTCCTTTTTATACAATTTTATGAAGTTAAAGATAAATAATGGAAATACATGATTTTTGTAAACCACGGGACACTTTATATATTATATTTATGTAATTATGTAAACTAATATCATTAAAGTGGAACAATCTATATTAAAATTTGAACTGCCCAAGTACCCTATGATTAATATGCATGCCATTATGAATGTCTGTTTGTGCTTTGTATAAAGCCAATGAAACTCAGGTACTGAAAAGCAACAACAACAGCAAGAAAAAATGGAGACAATAACTAAGCAGCAGCTGCGAGTAGACTACTGAAATGCAAAAAGGGCAAAGCGGATGCTTTGTGTATCTTAACCTGAAATAGGAGATACCTGCTAGGTGGATGATATCTTAAAGAGAAAATACAAAATCATTGTCCTTATTTAAAGTGAGCAAATATTATTAGAAATCATAGGTAAGAGGAAATGAGAAAAACTAAATGGCACATATGTAAAAATGTTCACTATTCTTAGAATATTATTGTATGCATTATAGTGAAACATAAATTTTTTAACTAAATCTAAGACATTGTCTTCAATAGTATAGGAGAACAGGATATCAGAGTGAAAAAGAGCAGTAATTATCTTATTTTTTTTCAGTTTTACTTTTTAATAAGCTGAAGACAAATTGACAAAATTGAGCACACCGTAGCAGAGGGTAGCAGCTCTCATTTGTCAGAGTAACATGTACATTTTAGAGAATCTACTCATGTGATGGTGTTGCTGAATTTCTAAGTGATACATAACAATAAGGGAGATGAGTCTGAGACTGGTATCGCCACCCACACCAGGCATACAAACAGCATTTCATGTATAAAATGTTTATTAGATATAAAGGTGAGAGAAAATGAGGATGTCTAAAAGTATCTGTTACCTTTTGAGATGATTTAAGTAACATAACTAAAATGCTGCATATCAAAAATTGAACTTGAATCAAATTCTCACTTTTTCGCTTTGGTAGTAATGATTACATTTGATTTTAGATATTCAAGCTATAATCTGATTATTTTTAAAAATTGTATTAGAGGAACATTAGTGGAGAATAACAATGTGTGAACTAAAGTCTAGGTGTGACAAGGGTTTGAATGTTTACGGTTGAGCAGCAGGCATATGAAAAAAAAAAGTTTTCATGTGTATGCATTTTATATTTTGTCAGGGATGGGTAAAACTGGTCAGCACTGCCTACTAAAAAGCTATTAAATAATGACACAGAATAGTGGGTGGTTGAGAGAATCACCTTTAAAGTCAATCATGTACAATTCCTTTATCTACCATTTTCTAACCATGTGATCTTCAAGTTACATGAACCATCTGATTCTATTTCCTTATCAATGAAAGTTATATAATAACATGTACTATATAGTGTGACTTTGTGTAGTAAATAAAATAAGTATTGAAAGTGCAAAATTTTGGCAACGGCTATTGTTATCAAAGAAAGTACCTTCAAACTACTAACTGTTTATTTCCAAACTTTGTCATGAAACACCTTCAAATTTATAAGTGAAAATGTCATGAACATAGAGGACATAAGTTTCCAAAAATATTTTAATAAAACCCTAGAAGTATTTTAATGGGGAAAATATAGAATCTGAAAAGACTGGATAAAAATACAAATATGTATTCACCATCCCTCCATCTTGGTTTCATCTCTGTTTAGCCATATTTGTTTTTCAGTTTTGTTTATTTGTTTGTTTGTTTGAGAAAGGGTCTCACTTTGTCACCCAGGCTGGAGTGCAGTGGCGTGATCTTAGCTCACTGCAGCCTCCACCTCTCAGGCTCAAGTGATTCGCCCACCTCAGCCTCCCTAGTAGGTGGGACTGTAGGTGCATACCACTATACCCAGAGAATTTTTTGTAATTTTTGTAAAGACGGGGTCTCCCTATGTTGCCTAGGCTAGTCTCAAATTCCTGGGCTCAAACCATACACTTGCCTTGGCCTCCCAAAATGCTGGAATTACAGGCATAAGCCACTGTACCTGGCTGTTTAGCCATCCTAACAAATGAATTATTAAGTTAACAATAGAAGAAAATCCTTCTGTACTAAAGAAGTGCTAGATTCTATGGATTTAATAGGTTTATAAAGCTCCAGGCAATATTAATGAGAAAATACACATGTCTAGGCATATTTTCGTGTAATCTCATGCACTTTGGAGACTAGTAAAATGTTTGAAGATGGAAAAAACAAATATTGTGCCACAAGTGAGCAAGAGGCCAGAAAATATATCTAAAAAGTTCAGGCTGGGCATGGTGACTCACATCTGTAATCCCAGCACTTTGGGAGGCTGAGGCAGGCGGATCATGAGGTCAGGAGTTCGAGACCAGCCTGGCCAGCATGGTGAAACCCCGTCTCTACTAAAAAAAAAAAAAAAAAAAAAAATTAGCCATACGTGGTGGCGCATGCCTGTAATCCCAACTACTTGGGAGGCTGAGGCAGGAGAATTGCTTGAACCTGGTAGGCAGAGGTCTCAGTGAGCCGAGATCACTCAATTGCACTTCAGCCCAGGCAACAAGAACAAAACTCTGTCTCAAAAAAAAAAAATCAAATTGGTGAGCTAGTGGGAAGCAATATCTTCCTGCTACAGATGAAAAAATATCTCTGGTTTAAAGTGAGGGGAAAAGACTGTGTTGCAGAGATCCTAAACTACAATGCCTTCAGATCCAAGGCAGCCCACATAAGGAACATGGCATTAAGGATTGGAGGCAACTGTGGTGTACTGGGGAGCACATCTAAAGAGATTCACATGAGTTATTTTGAAACCTTAACTGCATACCGAACAAACATTTCTGCAGGCTGAATTTGGCCTGCAGTCTTCCCTCTGTCCCTAACTTATTGGGATACTCTGTATATGGCAACAATAGCAATAACAGTTTCTATACTTTGGTGTTATCTCTGTCACCTGTTACTGTTAAGGGTGAATGGAATGATTCAGAGGGGTTGGATTTGTATAGTCTTTATTTGCTCAGATGTTATCCTTGGAAAGCATATTACATTTTACCCTACACACGTATACACCCACACATACACCACTCCTCTAAGAAACATAACCTTCATTTGTTCATTTAATGTATATTGTCTCAGATCATAGCAGGTGCAGATATATCTAGTAAAAAGTAGATTTAATGCCAATGAATGAAAACTGAAGTTGCACACCAGTAACTTCTTAAATGCTCCCAGATCTGAAGCAGCATAGGTGAAGAAATACTGTATAAAACACAAAACTGAATCCCGGTTTCAACTGCAACCACATCTTCTCACAAATGTTATGTAAACCATAACATTATAGAAAAAAACAATGATTTTACTATCACTTATGTACCATAGTACATAACGGTATGATTTTATTATGTAATACAATAAGTTCAATTAAAAAGACCTATGTGACCAGATTATTTAAATTACAAAATTAGCTCTAATAACCGTGATGATACCATTTAGTTCCAAATTAGAATGACTTAAGCATTCAATCAGCTCTTCCCCGAATTCTTTTATTTCACAATTTTCTCTGTCTCATCAATAGAAGATATATGCTCTTTAAAGTTATCATAGCCTTAATGTGGTATATTTTCTAGGTCAAAAAATAGAAGAATATGACACAGATAAAAACACTGGCAGAGGGCAACTTGCTTACCCTTACCTAGAATTTTTATATTTCTAGCAGTGACCCAGGCCCATATTCAATACCTTGAAATGGCAAATGGTTGCTTTTTAAGCTTTCAGGTCTGATCAGGCATTTATTTTGAACATCTAGGTAAAGAAAAATGCTTCTATTTGTTTGTTTTTAAACCCTTTATCTTGTATCTCGGTGGAACTGACCTAAAGCTATATCTGGAATTATTCACATGTGAAAAGGCAATGCGAGTCAATACAAGTAAGGGCATTTTTAGCTAGAAGCTGAAATTAACCTTCAGAAACTTTGCAATCCAGATGTGAGCTGCTCCACATCAGCAAGGAGAACAGCTATCCCTTAACAGGAGTAAAAGGTTTCCTACGCCAGTCAAAAGTAAACAAGGCTAGTTGATCCTAATATTTCTTTTTGATGTGTTTGAGTCACTGATTCTTTCTCCTTCAACAAACTAAAATTCTTTTAAAAGCATCTTTGAGGAGTAAGTTGCTCTGAAACATGTACCCTACAGCAGAAACACTTAAAACAAAAATAATAGATATACAGTTACAATTTAACAATTTCTCATTTTGTTATATTTTCACTCACTTTAAAATATGAAAGTCGCTAAATATATGGGTAAGGACAATTGGTATACATTTGTCATGGAATCAAAATAAGGATTAAGATTCCCGGTATGTCCTTAGCAGAATTGGATTTAGAAGCTATTTTTACATAATTTTTCTCATGGCCAGAGGTAATTTTATGATGTGTATTAATTCAAACCAAAGTTCTAGACATTTAAAATGAATTAATAAGTGAATATTATTTAAGACTTTCATGACCATTTTTACCTCAGAAGTTCAGTGTTTTCCCTAAGATCTAAAAAATTTTATACATTAAAATGTCAGAGTATCTTTTAAATTTACCAAATCAATGTTGATAATATTTTCTAACTAGTGTGAAATTCATAAGCTAAATTATCAAAAAAAGATATATTTCAGGATCTAAATGAATATAATACTATTCCACCTCTCAATACTTTTTTTAGAAGCTAAAATTTGGGAAATAAAAATCAATTTTTAATTCTGTTATTTACAAATTAAACCAAAAATCTTAGTTGAGTCTTAAATGAGTCTCACTTCGTAGTGTTTCTTTGTACTTAATTTCAAATGAAATTTGTTTTAGAATCAAAAGTCTCATAAGTTGTATATTTTAGTAGTGTAAACTATAGTGTTGTAGATTTATTTAATAATTAGATGAATATTATGCAGTCTCTCCATGAAAAATTACATATATGTAAAATCATATATTAAAATTATATATATATATATAAAAAACTCAAAATGTGCATGCAATTTCAAGTTGTCCCAAATTTATGAAGCCAACCAATAGTCCCCAAATCCACAATGAGGACTTTACATGATGAACAAAAGATGTATGGTGGAAAAACTACTAATTCAAACTGAAAAACTTGTTTTTATACTTCAGCTTTCCTGAACCAGACCATGGCTGTATCTCATTCTTTCACGTCTCTCTTGTGCCCAACTGCTTCCCTTACGTTCATTCAGGTAGAGCTGAAATTCCCATTTAAATGTAATCCTTTAGATGTGTGATTGTAATTTAAAAATGGGGGACCCTAGTGAACCTGAGTGACTGGTTTCTTGCCAAAGCTTGCACCAGGCAAGGTTTACTAAAAACACACATTGATATCTGCATAACTCTCTCTGATCCATCAGAGGGCTTACAAGTAAAAGAAAAAGGAAGATAATTGTTAGCAAAACCAGCATACCAGTTTGCAAATATATATACACAAACTGAAAGATGGAAAATGGCATCCCAGTTAAAAGGGGAGAAAACGAAATTTGACCAAATAACACTACACCTATGCAAGTGTATTAAATTTGTACTTTAATATGATTATATTGAAAAATGAAATAAGTCTAAATGAAAATATCTTGTAGTATAATGTCACTATAGGCAAAGAGAATAATACTCAGACACACTAAACCCCTCTGAGGTTTCCTTATGCCATAAATGCCACAAAAATTATCCTCCAGGAAAATGTATGTTTTGTTCCCCAAGAGGTAATGGCTCAAAGGACATTATCTGTGTGTGAGTGTTCCAAAGATTTCTTTAGCATCATCCAATAGGTGCTTTAAATACTTATTTTTTATAAAGTACTTTTTGTCAGGCAATATATATGTTAGAAATTAGCAGGTCCTCCAGTTGTAAAACCTTGACATTGACTATAATTGAGGAGGTTAGTGTCAGCGTGTTCGTAAGTATTACCTGTCATTTGAAATATGACAGTGCTGTAACTGCAAGACCTTGGGGATGCTTGTGTGTTGGTACTGCCATCTGACTGCCTTAGAAACTGCCAGACAGTCTTCTTAATGCCTCTGACCCTGAGATAATTAACATGGCCCTAGAGGCCTCTGCCTTTTCCATTTGCACACTTGTTGTTTAATAAGATGTTTGCTGCTATTTATGCTTTCCTCTGATATAACAATGTGCCTTTAAAGAGAAAGGACTTCAGTTCCATTAAGTTTTCTGTTATAGACATTACTTCTGTGTACAAGTTGCTTATAGACGAGTTTTGTTACTTTTCTGAAAATTAAAATATATTTCTAATATTGTGTTTTTAAGCTTGAATTTTGATTCCTGTAAATGCATTTTACAATGAGACAAACAACTTATCTGAAATATAGGCACTTACTTTGACAGTTGCATTATGTATCATGTAGACTAGAAATTGCAAAATGGAAGCCAAAAATAAAAGCAAATTTAAATGTCTTTAGGGAAGATTTGATAGGATTTTAGTTTCTACATTCCCAAGAGCACAGCCAAGAGTTAAAACAACCTGCTTTTACTTCCGTTAAGATAAGAGGATTGATTTACAATTAGGACTGCATAGAATTTGCAAAATTAGTTTGTAAATTGGGAATAATTTTTTGTAAATCAGATATAAGAAAATTAAAGAGAAAAGAAGTGTAGCAGTACAAATCTTTAATGTAAGGAAGAATAAAATTGCAGAGTTTACTATTAGCAAGCTCTTGTATTTGTTCAATGTATTTAGTTTTATCAAAGAATTTCATAATTGTTTATGAACAGTTAATGGATTTTGGATTGTATCTATTTATTTGTATACAGCCATGCCTGGTTTTATTGCACTTTGCAGATACTACTTTTTTAAAAAAATGTAAGGTTTGTGACAACCCTGCACCCTGCAAGCCATATCAGTATTCTTCAAAAGTGTGATATTAATGACTTCTAAATATTTCATGAAATTAATATTATAATTTTAAATAGTTAAATATCATGCATGATATTATAAAACTGTTAAATACATTAGAACAAAACATTAACCAACTATAACTTTGTTTTTTAAAATTTTTTATATTTCAACTTTAATTTTAGAATGAGGGGGTACATGTGCAGGTTTGTTACACGGGTACATTGTATGATGCTTCGGTTTGGGGTATGATTGGTTTCATCACCCAGGTAGCCTGGTACCCAATAGGTAATTTTTCAACCCTTGCCTCCCTCCTTCCATACTCTAGGAGTCCCCAGTGTCTATTGTTCCCATCTTTATGTTCATGTGTACTCAATGTTTAGCTCCTACTTATAAGTGAGAGCATGTGGTACCTGTTTCTGCATTAATTCACTTAGGATAATGGCCTTCGCTTGCATCCATGCTGCTGCAGAGGATATGATTTCATTCTTTTTTATTGCTGCGTAGTATTCCATGGTGTATGTGTACCACATTTTCTTTATACAATTGACCACAGATGGGCACCTGGGTTGATTCCATGTCTTTGCTACTGTGAATAGTGCTGAGACAAACATACAAGTGCATGTTTCTTTTTGGTAGAACGATTTATTTTCTTTTGAGTATATACCCAGTAGTGAGATTGCTGGATCAAATGGTAGTTCTGTATTTAGTTCTTTGAGAAGTCTCCAACTGCTTTCCACCATGACTGAACAAATGTATGTTCCCACCAACAGTGTATAAGCATTCCTTTTTCTCTCCAGCCTCACTGACATCTGTTATTTTTTACTTTTTAATAATAACCATTCTGACTGGTGTGAGATGGTATCTCATTGCGGTTTTGATTTGCATTTATCTGATGTTAGTGATGTTGAGCATTTTTTCATGTTTGTTGCCTGCTTCTATGTCTTCTTTTGAGAAGTGCCTATTCATATCCTTTGCCCAGTTTTTAATGGGGTTATTTGTTTTTTCTTATTAATGTGTTTAAGCTTCTTATATATTCTGAATATTAGACCTTTGACCAATGCATAGTTTGCAAACATTTCTCCCATTCTTTATGTTGTCTGTTTATTTTTTTGATAGTTTCTTTTGGTGTGCAGAAGCTCTTTAGTTTAATTAAGTCCTACTTATCAATTTTTATTTTTATTGCAATTGCTTTTGTATAGTTAGTTACAAATCATTTCCCAGGGCTGATGTCCAGATGGGTATTTCTAGTTTTCTTGTAGGATTTTTATAATTTTTCTACTATAATTTTAAACAAAATTGTTAATATCCAGTATTATTAATAAATCTGTGTAATTGCTTAATATTCTCAAAAAATTAGCATTTTTTTAACAAATACTAGTGCTAGTGATATCCATGCGGTAAGCTCTATTAAGCCTTGAGTAAATTCAGTGATTTCTTTTTTTATATCAAGAATTATATTGCTCATTGTTTATTAATATCTACAACATGCCAGGTGTTCACCAAATAATCCTCATTTCCACATTAAAGTGTCAATACACAAGCATTACCTATATAGAACTTGTACCACAATAACAAATATTATATAATTTAATTTTTCAGCCATCCAACAGCCAGCCTTTTTTTTATGCTGTGCCTTTGCCTTTACCTGGCAGGCTCTTTCCCAGATGTTTGCATGTTCAAATGTCTTTCCTCAAAGTTCTTCTCACGAAAGGTTTTCCTGACTACAAAATTAAAAAATATATATATCATTTCCTTCAACTCAACTATTCTCTAATTCCATATTTTTCTCCATAGCACTTTCACTACCAGGAATTTTATTACCAATGTAGTTTAATTGTGTCATCAAGTTACTTAGGAGTCTCAACACATTTGGGCATAAAGTGGATGGAGTTTTATTTTTTCCAATCACTGCTTTCAACTATAGCATTTTCTCTATTCTTCCCTTAAAAGGGATGCCATAGCTCTCCTGTCATGTTCATTTGTTAATGCCATCTCAGCATTTCAGAGTTTCCTGCTTCTTCCCAATCAGCACAGGTGAAGACTGTGGCCCACAGTTTATTTAAAAGGAAAATTGTTCAATATAATCATGCTATATGACACATCTTTTGTTCCTCAAAGCTCAAGCGGGGGATGGAAGAGTAAATGAGATAGCAAGGTTGGTGGTGGGGAGGGGTCCGTGGATCTGGTTCCGTTGGATGTTAATGGCTCTGATGATATTTGATGGTTTCCATAAATGTGTTGTTAGTGGTTTCACCCTAGCTCCCTCCTTTTCTGAGGAACCAAAAAAGTTTAGAAAGAACTTTTTTGCCCACCCACATAAACTTCTTCTCTGACCGTGCTACCTTGTCCTATCTCCTGTTAATCTGCTGAGAACCATTGTATTTACTGTTCCTTCCTCATGAACAGATGATATTGTCTGTCTTGATATTTACTATTCTGTTTTTTGCTCATCAACTGTCACTCACCTGGAAAGGCACTCCTTCTCAGCATATGTCTAAATTTTATCATGTCACAGCTACTTAGAAGAATTTATTCCCGGTATGTGTCAGTGAAATTCCTTTTGTCAAGGTTATCAGTCATCTCCAGGTGCCTGATCCCATAGTTGTATCTCAGTCTTCATGTAATTCAATCTATCAGCAACATTTGACACAGGTGGTCTCTCCTTTTTGTTTGAAACACTTTATTTGCCTAATATCCTGGATACCACATTTTCACTGGCTGCTCCTTTTCTTATTTCTAACCCCTAAACACTGGAATATCACAAGCTCAATGCTTGGAACTCTTTCTTCTCCCTTTACTCTCACTCCTTACGTGGTTTAATCCAGTTCATGATGTGAAGCGCCATCTTGAATTTCATATCTGAATTTATAGTCTAAGAAGTTGCATTCCAAACCTCTTTGCTGAACTTGAGACTCATATATAGAGCTGCCTATTTGACATTATCACTTGAATATGTAATAGTATCTCAGATAAAACATTTCTAAAGCAAAACGTATGAAGCCTCACCACTGTGTACGGCCAAACCTATTCTTCTTGTAGTCTTCTCCGTTTCAGAATATCCACGCTTCTTGATTCTCAAGTTAAAACTGTCACATCTCCTTAATCTTCTTTCTCTCATGCCATGTATAATCCATGAGAAAATCTTGTTGGTTTTCCTTTTCAAGTATGTTTAGGATCTGATTCAATCTTGCTGTCTCCACCTTTGACACTCCATTTAATAAGCCCTCCTTGGCTATTGAAAGGATGACCTCATTTATGTTCTGCTTTTTTAAAAAAAGCTTGGTAAACTCTAGCCACACCAGCCTTTTATTGTACAGCACATGTGCATTGTTGCCTTTAAAGCCAGATACAAGTTCTGATTGTCCTTCAGTTAAGTTGGATGAAACTTAATTTGTTTGTGCTCAAGTTGAAATAAATCATATTATGGCAAATGTTCATGATGCCAAACTCAACCTCTCATTAGAAATTTTGCGCCTGTTATCATCTCAAATTAGAACTGTTTCCTTGTATAGCCACATGGCCAGGTCCCTTATTTTATTTCAAGTCTCTACTCAAATGACATCTTATCAAAGAGACTTCCCCTGGCCACACTTTCTCCATTACTATCTATCCCATTTGACTATGTTTTATTTTTCTTCATGGCATGTTATTTATTATTGATAGTAAGGCATACTGGTGACTTAAGAGGGTGAATGCTAGATCCAAACTGCCGAGAATTCAGTCTTTGTCTCCTACTGCTGGCTTAATGACTTTGGGCAAGTTTTTAAAACTTTCCGTGCCTGAGTTACTCATCTATCAAACAGGAATTATTATAGTACTTACCTCATAAATTGTTGTGAGTTAGCACAAAGCACTTAGAACAGCACCTGGCATCAGTAAGCATTCAGTAAGTGTTAGTTATAATCATATGAATTATTATTACTATCTTTTATATATTTCTTTAATGTGTGTCTTCTCTCATTAAAATATAACCTCATTGAGTGTTTTGTTCACTACTGTATTCTCAGTGTCCAGAAGTATTTCTGGCATATTGTAGGTATTCAAGAGATATTTGTTGAACAGTTGAAAGAAGTAATAAAGGTGGCCATAATAAATGAATGAAGGTTATGAGAGATGTATAATTTGTCCCACGACCAACTCCTCTTTATAACTTGCCATACTCAACTGGATCTGTGGGGATCTACTTGAACAGGTACATTCTGCATGACCTATGCCTAGGTTGAAAATTGGGATGCAACACAATAGAGTTCAGATATAAAAGAAGTTTGAATTGGTTGACAGGTATGTTTTAAGAATAAAGTAGACTTAAAGTAGCTTCCAATGAGGATAAGCATTGATGTGTGTCTGAGGGATAGAAGGACGAAGATAATTTAAAATGGAAAAACAGTATGGTCCTATGAAAGGCCAATCCACATTAGTCAGCAGGTCAGGGTGCCATCAGTAGGAGAGCAATATAAGATAAGACCAAATGTGGAGGGTCTGTGACAAGGGACAGGGTGTCTGGCTTTATGCTATGGGCCTTTTTCCCTGACTCTGTGCTCCTGAGGGGCACAATACTCTCAAGGTTGTCAAAGTGGCTTAGTAGGCATGCAGACTAGAGTAAGACGAAGGACATGTGTGGTTGATGCTGTGTTTTAATATTGATATAGCAATGAATATATAAGAATGTGAAAAAACTGGAAAAGACTGGTTAAAAGCAGAAGGCCTTTAAAAATTCAGACATCAGATATTTGGTTAAACAAAACATATAGAATTAGGTATATTTATGTTTAATTAGGGCTTTGCTGTTAATTCAAAATCATTTAAAATATGTTCTCCAGACCTCCAATATCAGACTCATTTGGGAAGCTTATTGAAAATTCAGATTCCTAAGTCCAACCTGGACTGACCAAATCTGAATATCTGAGTTACACCCGATATGACTAAATTTTAAGAAACTGCCTGTTCTCTTCTGGCATAAGATTTTCTTACTAAAATTCAGAATGAATGCATTTAGCTTGTATAGATGAGGCAAGTAAAGCGGGTAGACCTACATAAAAGTGAAGATATTTAAAGATAAAAGGATACTCAACAATTTTACTAGGTCAGTAATTTGGAAAGCGTAATTTATTTTTTACTTCATTTATGGTAAGATACACTAGTTGAAGTAAATGTTAAAATCCTTAATTAGAATCAAAATGTCACTAAAATTATCTTTCAGCATTTTGCTTGTATGATTATTAACTTCGTTTATCTTTTTCTTACTCTGGTGTGTCTTCTGAACCACTTTTTCTGTATATTTATATCTTTTCTAATTATAAAGGTCATTATTGTCATTTTCGACCATCAATATGTTTTAAAAATAACAAAATAATACTGACTTTTAATTTCTGCTCATTTTTGCATGTTTTGTTTTACAAAATCAGGATCACGTAGAACACAATTTTTTTTTTTCTTTTTCTTTTTTTTTGAGACAGAGTCTCGCTCTGTCACCCAGGCTGGAATGCAGTGGTGCGATCTCAGCTCACTTCAAGCTCTGCCTCCCAGGTTCACACTATTCTCCTGCCTCAGCCTCCCAAATAGCTGGGACTACAGGCACCTGCCACCACACCCAGCTAATTTTTTGTATTTTTAGTAGAGACGGGGTTTCACCATGTTAGCCAGGATGGTCTCGATCTCCTGACCTCGTGTTCTGCCTGCCTTGGCCTCCCAAAGTGCTGGGATTACAGGCATGAACCACTGCGCCCAGCCCATAGGACACACTTTTTTAACTTGATGTTTTACTACTTTAAAAAATATTTTATTGTTTTTCCTAATGCTCCTGCTGTTGGCCAGTGTCATATTTTTCCATCTGTTCTTTTTTTTTTTTTTTTTTTTAGCGTTCCTATACTTGCTACCCAACAACAACAACAACAGCATAATAACTCCTGTTTTCTCCTCACCAAAAGCTGAGGCATTCCTTTACTTCTTTGTCTGAATATGATACAGTCACTCCTCCTACATGCAGCTCTTCCACATTCACTCAGAGCTACTCTCTCATACACAGGTTGGTCGTTTCTTCTGAGACCTGGACAGTAGGGGTTCTGACCGAGAGTACCCTGCTTGGGCCTCCTTTAACTACGTTTCTCACCCATGAAGTCAAACAAGGCTAAAAGATTCTGCCAGTAACGAAAAAAGCTACTTTTAGATCCAGATCATTTATTACAAACAGAGAGAGTGAAAACTAGATGATCTAAGGTGCCAGCTTCCCACTTGTCCTCCAGGACAACATTGACATGAAAGGCACTGGTGATATGACTAAGTCACATGAGTATTAGAACACCCTTTGCTGACATGCTGCTTCCAAGCTGCAACCAAGCACTCTGCTAGCCTACAGCTGTACCCTAGAAGAAGGGTAGGGGAAAGAGGGCTTCATACCTCAGGAGAACCAAAGAGATGAGAAATTGCCTCATGACAACACCCCTGAAAGATAAGGAGATGGGAGATAAATGGCTTTGTAGCATCTCCTCACAAGCCTCCCATGTTCTCACAGTTTGGGAGAATCACAGGGTGTTCTGACAGAGCTTAGACTAGCTGGGGTTAACCCTTGCCTACATGGCCTCTGTGAAGATGTACAAGGTTACCAGAGCTCCATGGCAGAGTGATTTCCCTATCTGGATTCCACAGTCTGCCTACCTCAAGATCAAGCTCTCTGGGTACCTGGACCTGGAGTTCTCTGTCTAAATGGCCTCATGCCTGCTTCTACCTCCTGTGTGAGCCTTTTTCCTAGGTAGATCATTTCCAGTTAGACTGCATTCTGGTATACACATCCTAGTTCTAAGGGGGTGGCTGGAGTGTTATGTTTGTGTGAGTCTACAAAGAGCTTGGATGAGCAGGCCACGGTATCCCCATTCATGCTTGCAAGGCCCCTTAGGTGCTAGACAGAGGTACTACATCAGAATCAAATTGTACTAATGAATGAAGCCTCTGCTGCCTGGAAGGGAAAACCAAAGGAAGGGAGCGTGGATTTAAAAAGCCGAAGTAAAGACTTTCTTGGCCTCCCTCCTAATTGTTACCTAGTGATTATCAGAAATTGTAGATTCTTACAAGAGAGGAAGAGAAATATGACAACTTTTTTATTGTCATGACAGTCCAAAAACCTTGAGCCTAGATGTTTTTTTCTTAGAGTAAAAGCCAATAAATATTATGATAAAATCTTTAAATAGAAAATGAAGTGGAAGGCTTAACATTTTTTTAAGGATTCGTGGGAAGAATGCTAAATGAAACATATTTATTTGCTAACAAATCTTCTTATAAAACACAAAATTTTAGAGATTTTGATCAGTAATGTTGCCTACATGTCATTGTTTTAATAAAGCTATACACTGAGTAAATAAATAAAATAAGAAAAAAATGAATTTACTGACACTTTCACTAAGACTCACCTAAGGCATAAGCTTTTTGTTTTGAACCACAAGATTATGACCAACATACTACCTATTTGCTCACCCCTGGAGCAGTACACACAATTGCAAGTTGTAGACCTTTGACAAGGTAAAATTGTGTATGCTTAAAAATAAATTCATAAAGATACCACAAAAATTTTGCTTTTAGACTAGCCACCTACTTGTCCTTGTGACTGTTATTTCAGAATGTAGCCATTTGCCATGAATCATTTTCTTTTAGTTTCAATAATTCTTAATGAACTTTACATCAACAATGCGTAACTTGAAGTATACATCAGAGGCTCTTTTAAAATAAAGTCATTGGTCCCAAACTGAATGACCTTCTGATTCAGAATATCTGGGTTTAGCACGTAATATCTAAATTTTACGTGCTGAGGTGGAAGTGGAATTTTCTTTTTTTTTTTAAGCTTTGCCTATGTAGTGAACAAATAATTTATCGTGCAAACGTAAACAGTTTTGAAAGTGAAAGAGGGTGCTATTAATATTGCGTTGGGACCAGAGGTATAAATTGGTACTGTCCAAACCAGAACAAATGCCCATCCTATCTAAAGGTGACGGAAAAATGCTATCTAGTCAAACCAAATAAACAAACTCTCTGATAGTGGAATTTATCACATGGTGAGATCACATGCAGTTGCGGGCTAGGAGTAGCACCCCCCTTTTATTTTTGGACCAAATATAATAATGAATATTCATTTTAAAGAAAGAAAAATATGTTTTCTTTCCTTATCTCCTGGTTTATTTTTTATAAAGTTTCAGCTACAAGGTTCTGTTGTTTGTTTTTTGTTTCTGAGATGGAGTTTTGCTCTTGTAGCCCATGCTAGAGAGCAGTGGCACAAACTCGGCTCACTGCAACCTCTGCCTCCTGGGTTCAAGCAATTCTCCTGCCTCAGCCTCCTGAGTAGCTGGAACTACAGGCATGTGCCACGACGCCTGGCTAATTTTTTATATTCTTAGTAGAGACAGGTTTTTACCATATTGGCCAGGCTGGTCTCGAACTCCTGACCTCAGAGCTATTATGTCTTTAACTGAATAGGATACCTACACAATCCCTCCTCCTTTATGCAGCTCTTCCACGTTCACTCAGAACTATTCTCTCGTATGCAGGCAGGCAGTGTCTTCTGAGACCTGGACAATAGGGTTATGTAGTATAATTTTATGTAGTCTCCTTCGTAGTTGATCATCATGAATCATAAAAAGTAGATAATATGCTGTTCTATTTCGTATTCTTTGTGCTGGAGTACTTTGACCCTTTACCATTATTTTGCTAGTTTTAAACTTACTAGACAAGTGAAACAGTAGAAATAGTTTGTGGTGCTCTTAGTGTAGGAAATTCTATCTGTGAAGGGTTTACTGAGTACCAAGAGTTTAGTATACAGTAGGAAAGCCATATTCCATTTTTCCAAAGCAATTTCATTTTTTAAAATATTTGTCTTTGATACTTATGTAGCTTCTTGTTTTTTTTATTCATGTATTCACACATTCTTTCATTCCTTTAGTTTTGCGGTTGAATATACAAATTTGTACAAGATTATACCTAACACTCTGTACTGATTATACTCAGTTTTTAGCTTTTCTTTACAAAAATGTATAGATCTTACACTTACAAAAAAGATATACACATGCGCACAGGCATATGTGCACACACACGCATACACTCAACCCCAGCCAAGATCTCTCTTACAAGCTCCAGTCTTGTGTCAATCTGTCTACTTAGCATCATGATTTGGGTGTTTCAAACTCCTGAATAAACATGTCCACGCCTGAAATTGTAATCATTCTTTTCAAACTGCTTTTCTTCCAGTGTACAACTTTTTAATAAACTGGTGTCACTGTCCATCAAAACACCCAACCTCAGAAATCCATTAATTAAATGAATAATTTCATTACTGTTTGTCTCCTAACTAGTCTATAATCTCCATTAAAGCAGAATCTGTTTTTTCCCCTTCATCATTGTATGTGCACCATTCACAGAGCCTGACACAAAATAGGCAGTCAATATTTGTGTAAAAGAGGACTGGACCTGCAATTTAATGTATTCTGAAGTACTTCTAGCCTTGTGGTAGAAAACTTACGGGGGCCGTTTCCATAAAGTGTCAGTGCAGTGTAAGGGACAAATGCTCCAGACTAATACCCAGAAGACTTGCTTTGATCTTTACCCCATCTTGACCTCCACTTCCCATCTGAATGTGAACTTTTCTGAGTATCATTTTATACCTCTATAACACTAATAACCTTTTTTCCATCTACGATAGTATACTACTTCAAGGCTCAATTGAGATAATAAATATGAAAGTGTTTTGTAAACTATGAACTGCTATATAAAAAGTAAAGTCATTTATTCATAAAATCCTCTATCCTTCTTTTATAGGCAAGGCCATAACAAATTCAGTCTCTGTGAAGGGTGTTCATGCTTCTGTTTTTTCCAAGATATACAATATTTATTCTGCACTAAGTTATACAGAACCCCATATTTAAAAACATGCATCAACTCAGAGTCCAGAAAATGTTCATGCCTGAGCACACAGCAAGTAACTGTAGACACGGTGCTTGCATGCCACTGCATATTTACAGTACATTTTCATTCATGCTCTCTTACTGCCTTAATTTTTCTGTCAGCTTGAAAAGTTGCTTTTTATTCGTGCCATAACCTTATTTTGTGCAACTGCCTCTTGGAATTCATTATTATCGATATTTTGCATATCGTGGATATAGCACTTTTCAGTCTGAAAAGTCACTTTTCATGCTGATGCTATGTTTTCTAGATCTGGTGTCTGGAGTACATTATTAACCACATTTGGAGTACAGTGTTCTTCATTTGGCACTTCTTCAAGGTTCTTAAAAATATATTCAGTATAATTAATACTTTTCCATTTCTGAAGATGTTAATATGTAAGCAAATCTATAATTTACAAGCTGAGGTGGAGGAAACCATGTTTCAAATTTGCTGTTTCTAAGAATATCTATTTGCAGAATGACTTGAAGTTTTGCTCACAGCACCCTCTGTCATCTTCTTTAAACAGTTTCTAAGTGGTTATAAACTATACAAAGCTAGGAGGTCTTTGGGATTTTCTTAAGATATTGAAAGCCAGTGTCAGGATTAGAGTTATACTTCATTTGTTTAATAGATCTTAGTAATCTTCTGCTCATGGATGACACTCAGACAAACATCCTGCAAAAATGAAGAGATGAGCGTCTTTAAAAGTGTGGTTTCCATGCATTTCCTTAACATGTTTATACAATGACACTGTAGCTTTGGCTAGATGCTCCCGTCATTCCTTCTATGCTTTATGTACACTTGCAGGCTTTAGAGGAACACATGATTTATAATTATGGATGCACTGTGTATATCTATACCTGTGTATCTATCTCTATATTTTTATATTTCAGCTTTATTGAGGTCTAATTGACAAGCAAAAATTGTACATATTCGAAAGGTACAATGTATATTTTAATATATGTATATATTGTGAAATGATTGCCAAGATCAAGAAAATTAATACATCTATCACCTTACATGCTTACCTTTTCTGTGTGTATGATGGGAACAGTTAATACCTGCTCTTATATTTCAACTGTACAAAACAGCATTATTAACTATAGTCAGCATGCTGTACATTAGGTCCTCAGAATTTATTCATCTTACAACTGCAAGTTTGTTCACTTTGACCAACTTTTCTCCATTTCTCCCAACTCCTAACCCAGGGCAACCATCATTTTATCCTTTGCTTCTGATTTAGACTTTTTTTAGATTCCACATATGTGCGATCATATGATAGTTGCCTTTCTGTGTCTGGCATACTTCACTTAATATCATGTCCTCCAGGTTCATTTATGTTATCACAAATGGCAGAATTTCCTTCTTTGTTGAAGCCAAATAATTTACTATATATATAGCCTGTTTTTCTTTGGAATACTATATATACACCTCATTTTCTTTATCCAGTTGCTCATCAATGAACATTTAGGTTGTTTCCATATTTTGACTATTGTGAATAGTGGTACAATAAATATGAAAGTAAAGATGTCTCTTTGAGATACTGATTTTATTTCACTGTAATATATACACAGAATTGGGTTTGTTGGATCACATGACACTTCTGTTTTTAACTTAACATACTATTTTCCATAGTGCCTATACCAATTTATATTCCCCCCAACAATGAATAAGGGTTCCCTTTCCTCCACATCCTCATCATCACTTCTTATCTTCTGACTTTTTGTTAATTGTCATTCTAATAGATGTGAGGTGATATCTCACTGAGATTTTGATATGCATTTCTCTGATGATTAGTGATATTGACCATATTTTCATATATCTATTGATCACTTGTATGTCTTCTTTTGAAAAATATCTATTCAGTTCCACTATGGTTTGGATATTTGCCCCTCCAAACCTCATATTGAAATGTGATACCCAGTGTTGGAGATGGGACCTAAAGTGAGTTGTTTTAGTCACGGGGGTGAATCCTTCATAAATTAATGCCCTCCCTAGGGAGTTAGTGAGTGCTCACTCTATTAGTTCAGACCCATGAGAGTTGATTCTTAAAAAAAGCCTGGCACCTCCCCACCTCTTGCTTGCTCTCTCTCTGTGTGATCTCTGCACACACTGGCTATCCCTTTGCCTTATGCCATGAGTGGAAGCTGCCTGAGGCCCTCATCAGTTGCAGATCCTCAGTCATTAACTTTCCAACCATCAGAATCAGAAGGCCAATAAAACTTTTTTATTCTTTGTAAATTACCCAGCCTCAGATATTCCTCTACAGTAATCCAAACCAGACTAACACAAAGTCCTTTGCCCATTTTTAAAATATGGTTATTTGATTTTTTGCCATTGAGCTATATTATTTCTTTGTATGTTTTGGATATTAAGTCTTGCTATGTCACCCAGGCTGGAGTTCAGCGGCACAATCTGGGCTCACTGCAACCTCTGCCTCCCGGTTTTAAGTGATTCTCCTGCCTCAGCCTCGTAAGTAGCTGGGATTACAGGCACGCGCCACGATGCCTGGCTAAATTTCGTATTTTTAGTAGAGATGGGATTTTATCACATTTGTCAGGCTGGCCTCGAACTCCTGACCTTGTGATCTGCCCGCCTCAGTCTCCCAAAGTGCTGGCGTTACAGGTGTGAGCCATAGCACCTGGCCTGGTTTAGGTCTTTAATCTATTTTAAGTTGATTAAGGATCCAATTTTAATTTTTTACATGTGGATATCTGTTTTCTCAACACCATTTATTGAAGAGGCTATCATTTCCACATTGTGTATTTTTGGTGCTCTTGTCAAATTAGTTGACCTTAAAAGCATGGGTTTATTTCTGGGCTCTCATTTCTCTTCTGTTAGTCTATGTGTCTGTATTTATGTCAGTACCATACTGTTTCAATTACTAGAGCTTTGTAATAAAATTTGAAATCAGGAAGTGTTACTGCCTCTAGATTTGTTCTACTTGCTTAAGATTGCTTTAGCTATTGAGTTTTTAGTAATTCTATACAAATTTTAGGATTGTTTCATCTATTTTTATCATAAATGCCATTGTACTTTTGACAGTGATTACTTTGAATCTATAAATTGCTTTACATAATACAAATATTTGAAAATGTTAATTCTTCCAATCTGTGAGCATAGGATATCTTTTCATTTATTTATGTCTTCTTCAATTTCTTTCATCAATGTTTTATAGTTTTCATCATACCTGTTTGGTTAAAATTATTCCTAAGTATCTTATTCTTTTTGATGCTATTGTAAATGGCATTATTCTCTCAATTTCTGTTTTGTGTAGCTTGTTCTTAGTGTGTAGAAACACAGTGGAATTTGTATGTTAATTTTGAAAAAAATACACTATATTTTTGTATATTTTTGTAGATGCTCCAGAAAGGGATTTTCCTATTTTTGGACTAGTATCAGATCTTGAACTGGACTCAAATGTTAGAAATGAGAAGAATGATTGAAATCATTTCTCTCTCTCATCTCCAGTCTGAGATGGTCTTGCTATTTTGATATTTGTGTTGCTTTTGTTGTTGCATTATATTTGTTGAAATATTTAGACCATAAATACATTTATTGTCTTTCCATCTCATTATCTGTCTCGTGTATTGCAAGGGGAATCTGATAACTGTTATATTCCTGGTAAACTATTAATCATAAAAGTTTTGAGCTGCCACATAAAACAATTAAAACATTCATGTTCATACATATAATCTTCTGTCACTTCAGGTATTTTTTATAGGTGAGAGTGATAAGCCTAGTGTTCAACTATTGAAAACTAATGAACAAACTGTAATACTACATTTATATAATTATTATTTTCTATGGGGCCACATAGGTTGTTTGGGTCCATAGAAAATGTGCTGGGAAGAGAATCTTAAAAGTATCAAAGTCTTACAGATTGGTTTTGATTTCTTTCTAGTATCTTTCACTTCTGAGTCTTACTCAGTTGTTACTGCTTCTTATCACCGACATTACTCTCTTTATTATATTTTTCTGTTGGTGGAGTCTCTCCTTGATTAATTCTAGTCACAGAGAGCGAAGGGGCGCAATTTCTGATTTTTTTTTTTTCATGCTTGAAAATTATTTGATTATCCCTTTACACATAATAGGATGATATTTCAGATGTTTATATATGTTTATCAGTTTATATTTTATTTCCCCCATCCCATTGCAACCCTGAAGACACTGTTTTCTAACATAAAATTTTGCCTTTGTTGATAAGAACTCTAATAGTTGTTGGATTATTGGTATTTTGTGGAAAATCTGTTTTTTCATAAAGGCCTTTAGGATTTTCTCTTCCCACTTGAATTTCTGAAACTTCACAGTGATATAACTAAGTTTAAGTCTAACTTTCATACTGCATCACACTCTCCGTGGACACTCCACCCGAAGACATGAATGTCCTTTTCAAGAAAATTTCTATTAGTTCATTTTCTCTTCTCCTCCATTATCTTTGTTATTTCCTTGTACAGAATTTCTGTTTTATCTCTGGGATCCCCAGGTCATTTAAATTGTGTTTATAATTTTTCTGTTATCTTTTCTCAAAATATGGGGAGATTTCCTTGACTGTTTATCCTCTAAGTTACTAGTTTGGTATTTATTACTGTCTATTTTATTATTTTCAAAATCTGTGAAGGGTTTGAGATTTTAATTTACTTTCAGAGGAACAAGTTAGCCTCCCATAGTTTCATGAATACTGGAAGAAGACATGAGACTCTTGAATCAGAGAAAAATGATTTATTACTCACAGTATAGCGGCCAGTATGATAATCTAATTATTATGTCAGTTCTGTTGCCTCTGAGTCACGCAGGGTGGCAAGGATGAGCCCAGATACTTGCTCAAGAATTGCAACCAAGAAATCCCAAGCTTAGAGAACTAAAATATTTTAAGATGGATATGAAGCATGCCTTCCTTCTACTCCAGAGATAAACACTATGTGTATCTTCTAAGGCTTTAAGCAAACCTGGCCTTCATTGTGGAGGAACACTATCACTATTTTCCAAGACTTTTTACTATTCGAGTATTCTTGGAAAGACAGTCTGAAACAAAATTAATAAGTGCCTTGCTTCATAAGACATTCAGAGATAAGAGACACTCAACAAGAACCTCCTAACCGTTAATATGTCTAGACTTTATGTTTTTTTTTTTAATTTTGGAAATAATATTTTTTAGTTTTCAGGATCCAATATTTCCTTTCTGCTTGATACATTTTTACAAGTCTGCTTTTGGGGAAGTGGAAAAGTACAATGTATTTTCTAAGGTGATTAACCCTAAGGTGATTTTTAAAAGTTATCTTCTATTTTCTAGGTCAGTGCTTCATAAACTTTTCTGTGCATGTGTCTTCTTGAGTATTTGTTTAAATGCAGATTCGGAATTAGTGGGCTTTGGATGGGCTTGAGATGGTAAACTTTTAATAAGATGCTAGTGATGCAATGCTGTTGGTCTTTGGGCAGCTATTTTGACTATCAGGGATTTATTACCTTTGTTTCCTCAGGAACCAGTTCTATTTGTTTACGTTAGTTTAGCTTTTCATACTTTTTTTTCATAAATCTATTGTTGTCCATATTTCCAAGTGGAGGTCTCAGACAAATAATATGAATGTCTGGTTTATCTAAGCACAAGTGGCAGTCATTTCATCGAAGCCCTCTCCATGAGAGAACTGGCTTTGGATTCCTTCTCAGAAAAGAGAAGTTTCTCAGAGGATAATGAAGTAAAGACCTCCAACAATCTGTTGCTCTGCGACAGCAATAAGCATACTGGCAAAAACTGCCAAATTCATCTTTTTAGGAACTCAGCATATACAAAGGCTTGCGACAATCCAAGAAGCATATATTTAAGAAAAACAGCTGCATTTCAAGAACAACAGCCAGCTTTGTAGCATTTTAATGTGCTGTTTTCATCATCTTCTTCCCAGCTCTGTGATAGCTCTGAAAACCATCATCCCTGCAAACGTAGTGAAAGCCAGCAACCTAGAAGTCGGCCTTGGTCTGTTTAGGCTATTACACAATACCATAGAGTGAGTATCACATAAACAATGGAAATGTATGTTTCACAGTTCTGAAGGCTGAGAAATCCAAGATCAAAGTGCCAGAAGATTCAGTGTCTGGCAAGGGACTGATTTCTGTGTCATAGATGGCCATCTTCTTACTGTGTCCTCAGATGGTGGAAGGGGTGAGGGAACTCTACAGAGTCTCTTTTATAAGAGCACGAATCCCATTCACAATGGCTCCACTGTCATGATCCAGTCATGTCCCCTAGGCCCCCGCCTTCTAATACCATCCCATTGGGGGTTTGAATTTCAACATTTGAATTTTAGAGGGACACAAACATTCTGTCCTTGTCATATAACTGGAGGGGGGACAATTGTTTTGGATTCCCCCCAAAGTTAACATTCACATTGTCATTATTTGATCTTTCTGGCTAAATGAACTTTGCGAAAATGACAAAAAACATGTATTTCCCATAGCAGGGTGGCAATGGTTTTTGTTTAATCATGGACTTTGATATGTAATTTTTTTTAAATTTCTTCTCTGGTTGATAGGTCTGTAATAAGTTTATTCTTCAAACATTTATTTATGGTACACATAAATGACAGATATTACACTAGGGGATTTTCTGATATTGAGAAATCACTTTCCAATAATACTATGTATTTTAAAAGTTGTAACATACATAGAAACATACAACTTACCCAATAAAATGCTAAAATAAGACAAATATAACACAAACTTTGTAAATGTACCCAAACTCACTCTAAAGTTTTAGTGTCTCAGACGGTTTTAGATGAAATTTTACTAGACTCATCAGATTAATTTTTCCTTTAGTATTTTGATAAACTGAGACTAGATCAAAGAATAAAATTAGCTGACACAATTTTATATTATT
Organism: Homo sapiens; assembly: GCF_000001405.40. Classification (NCBI taxonomy): domain Eukaryota; kingdom Metazoa; phylum Chordata; class Mammalia; order Primates; family Hominidae; genus Homo; species Homo sapiens. Next base: position 175,047,761 of record NC_000003.12, read on the forward strand.
AAAACATACATGAAAAACTCTGGCATTTTATTAAAAAACTTTGCGAATTCCTGAATCTGATATTCACCTTTCATATATTCACAACTGGCAAATGCCTAGTTTTAAATAACACATTTGTGTGTGACCTTTTAAGAAAATTACCAATGTCTTTGTTTAGAGTGCAGAGGGCATGGATTTCACAGAGCATTTCCCACTAAATGGAGTATATGACTCCAATTTCATAGCCATGTTGTCAGGAAGTGGCACTTCATTAAGATAATGTGACCTTTAGAATATTCTTCCAACCTTTTACTATGTCTTTGGTAGTGGGATTTGTACTTTAATTTCTGTAGCTTTTTGATAAGTTGGAAATAAAAAGTAATTGAAAGCTACATTTTTTATTTCACTTCAACTATACATTGAGTGTGGGTTTTTCCCCCTAAAATGGCAAAAAATGTCAGGTAAAGGATTTTTGTTCAAATGAGGGATTATCTGCCAGGAAAATATCTTTTAGAGTTAAAATCAAATTGGCAAGTTTATACCTATTGTGGAAAGGAAGAAAGGGAGAAAATGGCTATGTAGAAAGAAAGCAAAAATTGTTCTTTTTTTCTACTGCATTTTCAAAAAAGTTGAGGAAGGCCCCCAAAGCCCTTTTTCTTGTGTTGTGATGACAGTGAGATAATGTTTTCGGTGTGCTTGCTGTGGCAACTTGAAATTGTTTGTTCATTTGAAGCCATCATTGAAAGTAGAGATTTAACTTCTAAAACCATTTTTTTTTTTTTTTTTGTGGTGAAGTCAAAGTAAGCAATTAAAGGAAAGAGGAAAGGAGATTATTGTTCTGGTTAGACTTGAAGTAGCATTTCTCAGGAACCATTTATGCATCATTTGGTTTACTTATAGGATTGAATTTTATGATCGGAATTGAGTTTTTCAATGAATATCTTAAAATATATTTACAGCTAAGTATTGTTTTATTTTAATATGTGGATACTCTTAGGTTTCAGAGCATGTATTTCTTAATCAGTTCTTTGGCAACTGTAACATTAAGGTTCTCTTTTTAATATATTTGAAATGGAGCATTCATAATACACCCTGGGAGTGGCTGCATTAGGTGAAATCACAGAACCATATGGTGGCCTGAAAGCTGCATAGGGAGTTTGTGATTCTTTTACTAGATATGTTGCTTTAGACAAACCACTTAGTTTCCTAAGCTTTATTTTCTCTATTAGAAAAATAACAGTATAAATTAGGGATGTAATCAGTTGCAAATACAGTAGTCTCCCTTTATCCATGGGGATACATCCTAAGAGCCCTCCGCCAGTGGATGCCTTTAACCTTGAATAGTACTCAACCCCACAGATATTTTTTTTTTCCTAGAATCAGCCAGGATCCACTGATTATCTGCCTCAGGTAATCCTGGCTCATCAAGCCATGATGATCTTGATGATTTAGTATTGGAACAAATGATATTGATGACTAAGAGGTGGGTAGCTTATACAGCATGGATATGCTAGACCAAGGGATTATTCACACACTGGGTAAATGGAAGTGGGACAGATCAAGATTTCATCATGCTACCCAGAATGGTGAGCTATTTGAAATTTATATGTTTAGATAACATTTGACCCGACTGTAGGTAACTGAAACCAGGGAAAGTAAAACCAGAGATAAGGAAGAGTTTTTGTAACAGAAAACCTGTGTATAGAGGCCTAAAAAATAGACGCAGACTTTTCTAAGCCAGGATGTGTATAGTGCAAGGTAGTCTGGCCTGGCCAGCCAATGCTATCGTCAGGACTCCATCCTTTGTATCCCCTCTATTTGAGACTGTAGCACCATGGCCACAAGAGAGCTGTTAAACCTCTAAGGGTTTTGTCCACATTCCAGGTAAGGGGAAAAGAAATACCAGAGTTTTTTCCTGATGAGGTTTTATCCTTTAATAAAAAAGGGGATTGATCCCTAGCTGACTTCTCTCTGTACCTCATTAACCAGAATTCTGTCACATAACCTCCCATAGCTGCAAGAGAGTCAGAAAAATCAAGCATTAAGCTCTCTGGATTCTGTAATAGAGGAAGACAAGAGAGAAAGTAGTTGAGAAAGGGTGTTGATTAATCTGTAATATGGACCGCAATTAAATACAGCAAGTTCTCAAATGTTGTTTTGTTTAATATTGTTTTGTTATAATGTTGTTGTGAAAAAAATAATAATCCCCAGCTGGGGCCACTCTTTGTGTGGAGTCTGCACATTTTTTTTCCATGTCTGCGTGGGTTTTCTCCAGGTACTCTGATTACCTCCCAAATTCCAAAGATGTGCACGTTAGGATAATTGGTGTGTATAAATGGTCCCAGTCTAAGTAAGCATGGTTGTGTGTGTGTGAGTGTGCCCTGGGATGAAGTGGCATCCTGTCCAGTGGTGGTTTCCACCTTGTGACCCAACTGCCGGGATAGGCTCTGGCAACCCGTGATACTGAGCTGGAATAATTGGGTAAATAATTATCTTACTTGATTGAATAATCTTTATTATTTATTTATTTAATTATTTTTGAGACAGAGTTTCACTCTTGTTGCCCAGGCTGGAGTGCAGTGGCGTGATCTCAGCTCACTGCAGCCTCTGCCTCCTGGGTTCAAACAGTTCTCCTGCTCAGCCTCCCGAGTAGCTGGGATCACAGGGACGCACCACCACGTCTAGCTAATTTTTGAATTTTTAGTAGAGACAGGGTTTTGCCATGTTTAAAAATGCATTTAATGCTCACATTTATTTCAATGTTTAATATTAGAAGTGTTTTGGGTCTTCATTTCAAAGTTTGATGTTTTCTGACCAGAAATATACTGTGGGGCTATTGTTTTTATCAATTCACTCATGGGAAAACTGGTTTCATTATGCAGTTTTGCTTAAAGTCCCAGTTTCTGAAACCCTATTGATGATGTTAGTTGAGGAATTACCATACTATAAAGGTAAAGTTTTTCTAAATGTAACAGATTAAGGTTATAGAAATAGTATCAATTTAGGTGAAATGAATTAATATTACCATTATATTTTATTATGACCACATCTAATTGAGAGTGTTATCTTCAGTTATGAGTGCACATAAGAGTTAATGTAGCTTCAAAACTATGTCAGCAGGATGTGAGTTGTGTTGACAAAATGTCATGTATCGATAAGATGAAAAAACTAGGGTTGTTTTACTTGAAGAATAAAAAAAATAATAGAGGCATAAGAGCTGCACACTTATTTGAAGAAGGAAATATACTTAGTATGGGTTAATAAAGCTAGCATTAGTGAGGAAGACAGATATTGGGTCAGTATAAAAGTATTTCTTAAGAACCAGGGATGTAAACTCCTCTTTCAGTTCAATAAGAAATGGCATAAAAAATTTACTGGGTCCTGTAGATTGAGGATGGGAAATTTTCATAGATGATGTGTATGGTCCCATCCAACCTTAAGATTTGAAGATTCTTTTCATTTACACTTAGAGCCAAATATGGGTAATTCTTCCATAATGTATTAGTTTTCTATTGCTGCATAACAAATGAACACAAACTTAGTGGGTTAAACAATACCCATTTATTATGTCAGTTTCCATGGGTCAGGAGTCTAGGCATAGCTTTGAGGGGTCTCCTGTCCTGAAACCCAGGGTTTCACAAGGCAACATTCAAGTCTGGACAGGCTGCATTTCTCTCCAGAGCTCACAGACCTGTGGAGGTGGTTATTGGCAGGATTCAGTTTCTTGTGGTTATAGAACTGAGCCTCTCAGCTCCTAGAGGTCACAGGTAGTCCCCTGTTCCATAGCTTCTGCACTGGCAGTCAGTATCATAGCAACTTTCTTCTTCAAGGTCAGCAGAAGAGTCTCTCGATCAGTTAGCTAAGGCAGAGGTTTAGATAACATAATCTAACCATGGGCGCAACATCCTTTGTCATATTCTGTTATTTAGAAGCTAATTACACTTATGGAGAAGGGATTATACAAAGGTGTGGACTTTAGGAGGTGAAAATTCTTGGGAGTCACTGTAGGGTCTGGTTGTCACAAATGGTACTTGGGATTGAATTCTGAAGTACAGTGAAGGTAAAGCGTGACTGTGGCTTTCCCACGTCCATTTGGCTACAAAGCTTAATTAAGAACCAACTGAACACATAAAGAGGAAGCCTAACGAAAGCAGAAGAGGCATTTGCCGAGACCAGCTCGGCTGGGGAGACCCTCAACCAGTGGTGCTAGAGGAATTAAAGACACACACACAGGAATATAGAGGTGTGGAGTGGGAAGTCAGGGGTCTCGCAACCTTCAGAGCTGAGAGCTTCCAACAGAGATTTACCTATGTCTTTATTAACAGCAAGCCAGTGATAAGCATTGTTTCTATAGATTATAGATTAACTAGAAGTATTCCTTATGGGAAATAAAGGGATGGGTCTGGCTAGTTATCTGCAGCAGGAGCATGTCCTTAAGGCACAGATCACTCATGCTATTGTTTGTGGTTTAAGAACATCTTTCAGTGGTTTTCCGCCCTGAGTGGGCCAGGTGTTCCCTGCCCTCATTCCAGTAAACTCACAACCTTCCAGGTGGGTGTCATGGCCATCATGAACATGTCACAGTGCTGCAGAGATTTTATTTATGGCAAGTTTTGGGGCCAGTTTATGGCCAGATTTTGTGGGGGGGCCTGTTTCCCAACATGTTCTCCTTCTTTGATTTGCAAAGTGATAAAAGCAAAGGCAGCTTTGTCATGGTGAGCTACTTCTTGGAGGAGTCAGGATCCACATCTGCAGACTATACAAAGACAAACAACACAGATTAAAATCACAATCATCATTGAAATCCCAGAGCTTCCAAGTGTTTTTATCCATTTTAATGGGTTACTAGCTGCTAATCTGTCTGCAGCCCCTTCAAGCACTCCAGTTCCTGGCATTAAGGTCAGGTGTACCTGGGATGTTTTAAATATTTGTTCTTTTAATATTTTGCAATATCCAAAAACAAGTTTGTAGAGTGTCCTTCTAGATACTTTTTTATTCTTTCCCAAATTTTGATCTTATTAAGAGCTGTTAATAGTTTCCACAAATCTTTAGGTTTAGCTCCTGTAAAGGGCCATATCATTTGAGGTTGAGGTGCCACTATACTGCCATGGTTCCAGATATAGGAACTCTTGCTGTATTTCTTGTCATTTCTACCATCTGACCATTTTGTTCAGACCAGCTTAACATAGTGTGGCCGTGGCATGCAAACCGAGAGGTGCAATTCAAGCTAAACATCCCCTTAGGGGACCAATCAATAATGATTCCATAGGAATTGTTGTGCAGCACCTCTGCCTGTTCTGCAATGTGATCTTCCTAAATAAGTACGTTCATTTTTTCTGAACAGGTTCAATTTTGTTTACAAATAGGTTTTTGAGGGCGGTATGCCTCAATTTTAGGAGCAGATTTATTATGGTAAGTACTGAGATCAGAAAGCATGTGTAACTATGTCATAGAGTGATTACATCCAGGCATTATTGCCAGCCAAGATTGATAAATATGCCCAATAAGTATAATTGTTCTCTGTGTCAGCCTTTGTTGTAGGAATACTCATGGCAATGGTGATCACCGCTATCATAGCTACCATTAAATTCCTCATTGTGAATTGTTGTCCCGCTTTCCTCAGGTTTTCTTCCGCCATCTGTGACAGCTTCTTGATCCTCCCCAGGTGGTTGGCTGTGTTCAATGGGTGTTGCTTGTGACAGTTGGGATCCTCCTCAGCATCAGCCTCAGCATGGCTGCAACCAGGGGGTCCTCGAGATCCTCCTGGAATGTCTGCCTCAGCATCTGGCTCATGATAAGGTTTCAGGTGTCTTGACAGTATCCAAATTGGCTGTTGATTCAGCCCTGGAGAAACACAAGCATAACCTCTGCCCCAAGTTATTATTTTACCTATTTCCTAACTTTCTGTTATACAAAGTGAGAAAAGGTGTCCACACATACATGTAACATGTGTGACATCCGTTTGCCAAAGAGAATTAGGTTCCAATCCTCGAGGATTAACTCCTCCCGTAAAACATGAGGAATGTACCATTTGGCAAGTTGGGCATCGCTGGATAATAGCTTAACTTCTTTCCAGGTAATGCTGTATCTGCATTTGAGACCAGAGGCATTAACATGGGTTAAATTGTGAAAATGTCTCGCATTAGATATTGCATTAGCAACTAGGCAATCAGCCATTTGATTCCCTTAAGTCAAAGTTCCTGGAAGAGGTGTATGAGCCCAAAGTGAGTGATGTAAAAAGGGTGCATTCTACTGCTAACTATTGTTTGCAATTTGGTAAATAAAGTCATCAGTTGTTCATCTGTATGAAATCGTAACTGAGCATTTTCAATTAACTGTGTGGAATGAACCACGTATGAAGAATCAGAACTCACATTCATAGGCATATTAAAAGCAGCCAATACCTCAATTACAGCTACAAGCTCCGCTTTTTGAGCTGAAGTATAGGGCATCTGGAAAACTTTACTTTTTAAGCCAGAATAAGAAGCTTTACTGTTGCTAGACCCATCTGTAAAACAATGAAAATGCTTAGCAGGCTTCAGGTTGTTTACCGCTGGAATTGTAAATGCAAACCATTCACAGTCTTGCTCATCTAAAGGGATAGTAAAGAAACAGTCTTTTAAATCTATGACTATTAAGGGCCAATTTTTTGGAATTATAGCAGGAGAAGGCAATCCTGGCTGTAATGCTCCCGTGGGTTGTATAACTGAATTGATAGCTCTTAAGTCAGTTAACATTCTCCATTTACCTCATTTTTTCTTAATTTCGAAAACTGGAAAATTCCAAGGGGAAAATGTTGGAGCTATGTGCTCATTTTCTAATTGTTCACTAACTAATCCTCTAAAGCCTACAGTTTCTCTTCACTTAGCAGCCATTGTTCTATCCAAATTGGCTTATCTGTTAACCATTTTAAAGGTATAGGTTCTGGATGCTTAACAATGGCCACTATCAAAAATGATATCTTAAACCTTGGTGGGAACTTTGTCTTTCCCCTTGAAGCGGTTCCTTCAAACCTTGCAAATTTTTTCCTAGTCCCCTAACAGGGACATACCCCATTTCATGCATCATATGTTGACTTTGAGGGCTGTATAACTGCTCTGGAATTATAACTTGTACTCCCCATTGTTGTAATAAATCTCCCTCATAAACTTATAGGTACAGAAGTTATAATTGGTTGAATAGTTCCAGGTTGTCCATCGGGCCCTTCACAATGCAAAATATGACTACTTTGATATACTTCGGGGGCTTTACCAACTCCAACTATGTTAAATTGAGCAGGTTGAATTGGCCACACGGATAGCCAGTGCTGTAGAGAAATGATTGAAATGTCCTCCTGTATCTACCAAACCCTTAAATTTCTTTCCCTGAATAGTTATTTCACAGGTAGGACATTTATCAGTAATTTGGTTCACCCAATAAGCTGCTTTTCCTTGTTTATTTGTGCTTCCAAATCCTCCTGTTCGTTTAATTTCACTTTTTCCCATTCTCGCATACGGCACAATCAGGAGCTGTGCTATACGCTCTCCTGGCCCTGCTTTCCAGGGAACAGAAGTAGATATAACAATTTGAATTTCCCCATTGTAATCTGAGTCAATGAATCCTGTGTGTATTTGTACCCCTTTCAAATTTAAACTAGACCTTCCTAGAAGTAATCATATCATTCCCTCTGGCAAGGGTCCACAGACTCCTGTTGGGACCTTTTGCAGGGGTTCCCCAGGCAGAAGGCTCACAGCTTTTGTACAGCATAAATCTACTGCAGCACTACTGGCTGTGGCAGGGGGCAGACATTGTACAGGGGTGAGGGAATGGCCTCAGTCGGAAATGCCCCAGTTTGGAATGGGGCCTGGGCCAGGCTCCTCATGGCGTTTCCCGAAATCGGGTTCCCATCTTTATCAAACTTAGAGTGACACTGATTAGCCCATTGTTTTCCTTTTTTACATTTTGGACATATTTCAGGCTCAGCGGTTTTCTATTTTCCCCTATCCGGTGGCCTGACTCGCTGAGTTTTTCTACATTCTTTTTTAGTACGACCATGCTTCCCACAGTTAAAACAAGCTCCAGGAAACAAAGTATTTCCTTTATCCACTCTCAGTCCTGCCATTGCCTGTGCCAACAAAGTAGCTTTATGCAGATTACCTCCAGTACCATCACAGGCCTTGATATAATCAACTAAATGTGCTTTCCTGAATTTAAAAGAAAAAGGACCAAATGTAGCTATAATATTTCCCTGTTGATCTGGGCGGTGTATTCTAACAGGGGACTGCCAAGCCTCTATATCACCCTCTTGTCTAGCTTGCTGAATTCCTGCCTGAATAGAACTGAGAGTGGTCGCCAAAGGTGCTGCTCGAATAGTCACTGAGGCAACTACTTTTTGCCCAGTGTCCTCCGGAAAAGAAAGATCTGGAGGGTCCGGCCGCTCTTTTTCTTCAAAATAATAATGAGGGGGTACAGAAGGGTAGGGATGAACCTCTCCCTCCTTTGCCACTTTAGCATTAGCTGGCAAACAAACCTGCTCTGTAACCTCTTCTGTTACTTGGTTATACTCTCCTTCCTTCTTATCATTAGTGTGAAAAGTTTCCAAAGTGGAATGAACCAGAGCCCACACTTGTCCCATTGTTACCCTGATGCTTCTGAGCTCCCCTTCTTACTCACCATGGGAATTGCTTTAAGAGTACTCAGGTGTCCTACAGCTTAGTTTTCCACATTCTCCAACCATCTCTCCGGTGACCCTTCAACCTGGATTCGAGCCCCCACGTATGGGTGCCACTTGCCAAGACAAGGTGGGTCAGGGAGATCCTCACCCAGCAGTGCTAGAGGAATTAAAGACATACACACAGAAATATAGAGGTGTGGAGTGGGAAATCAGGGGTCTTATAGCCTTCAGAGCTTAGAGCTTCCAACAGAGATTTACCTATGTATTTATTAACAGCAAGCCAGTGATAAGCATTGTTTCTATAGATTATAGATTAACTAAAAGTATTCCTTATGCGAAATAAAGAGATGGGCCGAAATAAAGGGATGGGTCTGGCTAGTTATCTGCAGCAGGAGCATATCCTTAAGGCACAGATCACTCATGCTATTGTTTGTGGTTTAAGAAAACCCGTAAGCAGTTTTCCACCCTGGGTGGGCCAGGTGTTCCTTGCCCTCATTCCGGTAAACCCACAACCTTCCAATGTGGGCATCATGGCCATCATGTACATGTCACAGTGCTTCAGAGATTTTGTTTATGGCCAGTTTTGGGGCCAGTTTATGGCCAGATTTGGGAGGCCTGTTCCCAACAGCATTTTCATTTCTAATTGTAGATAATGTAAGTTGCTTTCACATTGACTACTTTGAAATAGGGAGGACACGACTTGAAGGTCACAGGAGACTGTTTCTTGGCAAGATGTTACTCATTCAATAATAACTGAATTAAGAGGGAGCTCTCATAGTCTAGATTCTATCTATAAGGGAAAAAATAGACAGAAAAATAATAAATACCAACTACGAACATGGTAGGGCTTTAATCACGTTACCATTTTTTTCAGTCACGATCAACCTGACAAACGTGCCTGAAATAACCATTCAGTTTACCCAGACACAACAGAGTGGTGTCCATTTGAAAAGCCAAAGCAATTCTTGATGTATTCTTAGAGCTCAAGATAAATAGATGTGCTACTACTTTTCTACCCTCACCCCGGTTGCCATATCTCCAAATATCTTCATCATGGACCTAGCATCTTAGAAAGTTACAGTGATGTAGGAGACTTTTTGTATTTTCCTCAACTTCCTTCACTACTCTTACCCTGTTGACAGTTTATAAGCCCTGCACCATCTGGGGAACAGACTGTTGGCTGCCAAGTAGACTCATTAACATTCCCCTCCAGGAACTCTTGCTGTTTAATTAGGCTGTCAGCTGGATTCAAGCAGTGAGAGCCTTAGGTGGCTGTGTAACAAATCCATGACTCCATGCATTCAGATGTCAAGGTCACTAAGATTCCTGCTTATACTCATATGAGAAAAGGAATCCAGATCGTTGGCTGTTAAAATCCAAGTTATCAATGACTTCAATGTAAACGGGACTTTCCATAGTTAATTGAGACACTAAGTTATCCCCCTAAATTCACAGCTGTCACTACTACATTGTTTGAGAATCCTCTAACCCCTAGGCCATCATGTCTGGCATTCATGCTAACTTTCTTGTCAGAGCTAGTCAATAGAGTTTGTAGAGTTCATTCCAAACCCATACTGAAATTACTCTATGTACCATAATTAAATGCATCCAATTAATTAAGTTCTCTGAGAACAGATTACTAATAGTGTTAGCACTCTAGACATATTTGATTTAAATAGAACAGTGATTTTTTTTCAATGACAATTTGGTAAACTTCTATTACGAGAAAAATGCTTCTCAACTGAATGGTTTGGTTACTGTTGTGTAAACAATTTTCTAACCATTGTTAGTTTGAAGGAAAGGGAAAAACTTCTTTAGGCACAATGTGGAAACCTGGAGTTTTCTAAATCCAGAGAGAGAACAATCACCCATAGCTGTCAATCAATTCTAGTAACTTTTGGTTGATTAAGTATTCATCTATCTACTGATTAAGTCATTTAATTTATTAATTTGTCAAATATTTATTGGTTATTCACACATAGCTAGGCCCTGGGCTCGGTGCTATTAATATATTAGTAACTCAGTATAGGCACTGAACAAGTCTCTATTTTACTGAGGGAGGCAGTTATTCATCTAAGAATCATGAAAACAAAATATAATCAAACAATAAGTAAACATACCTACATCCATGAGGTGTCATAATTGAGGGGCCAAATCTGCTGAAAATGGAGGAATGATAAGTCGGGGGGTGCATAATCAACACTTGGTGGAGGCAGGCAGAGAGAACCTTCTGAAAAGAGAAAAAGCACATGCAGACACTCTGTGTCTGTGGGAGCAAGACATCTGTATGAAAGCTCGTAAGCTCATTTTTAGAAAAGAGGTGGAATTACAATAAGTGAGGTCTAAGGAAAGGCTTTCTGAATCTACCCAGATTGTTAAACTATTTTCTCTACGGCAGCTAGAGTGTCACCTTTCAGCAGTATCCTTAACATTAAGACCTGTGCTGTTTTCTTCGGGCTGTCTAAACCTAATCCTGCCATTGGTGAAAAGAAAAAGTAGTGAATAGATTAGATGGCTCAGTTTTGCTTTTTCCTCCTACCTACTAGTCTTGACTGAAAAAGAATATGATGAATCTTTGTATAATCCTCATAGTGAATTTAGAAGGAGTTGTCAGGGACATTGCTTTATAATGGGTTTCTTCTGGTGGTGTATTGAAAATGCTTGGCCCAAGAAATATTGTTATTAACCTTTTTAAGTAAAATAATGACACTTCGTGTGAAGTCATTGCTTTTTAAAGCTATTTTACCTGTTGCTGTGTGTACGTATTTCTTCATTTTTTTCTTTAAACATCTTTTATTCATCTCTTTTTTCCCACAAGTTTTTCAAAGGAAGTGAAATATTCTGTTATCTCTAAATAATTATTGTTTTCTTGCTGCTTACAGATGTCAATAGGAGACTTTGAGCTGTGTTTATTTATTTTTTTTTCAAGTTTTAATTTTAAGTGCAATGATCTGGGGTGAATTTTCGGTCTTATGGAAAGCAGCCATATCCATCGACTACACAGAATCCTCAAAAGCAGTGACCTGCTCCGCCAGTGTATCTGCTCCAACTTTATCATCTTCAGTTACACACTGGATTTGAAGTTTTTAAATTACATATTCCATCAGAACTAGTTTAGAGGAGCCCTAGACTAAGCCGTCTGCTTGAATGCTTCTAACACATTCCTCTAGTTTTGCCATATCTGCCACATCATCCCACGGTTTCACATCAGTATGATGGAAAATGGCAACAAGTGCATGTTTTTTGGCTTTCTTTGATTCATTCTGGGCAAGCCATTCTTCCATTAACCTCTTTGCTGCTTCACCTTCCTCCTCCTTATCAGATCCAAGGAGATCAATGTCATCATCATCTTTACTATTTGCAGCTCTGCTTCCTGTAGTGTCTTCTACATTAGCAGCACCGTATTTGCCCAAAGGTTTCTTCACTCCTGGAAGGCTGGCCTTTTCTTTTCATGAGAATTGATGTGACTTTACCAACATAGGGCAAGACACGAGTTCACAGGCAATGGGCCAGAGACTGCTTCAAATACTGCCACATCTGCTTGTGGTGGCACATAACCTTCGATGTAGCTCTTGTCTGCCAGGTAATCATTGAGCACATGGAGGCCAGCAGGGCTTTTCAGGTCTCTGAAACCCATGGTGTCAGCTGTATTTGAGAGCTGGGTAGCAGCAAAATGAAAGAGTGTAAATTGTGGGCACCCCTGCTAAGAGAGGGAAAAAAAGCTAGTTTTGGTTTGTTAAAACCCGAAGACACACAGAAAGAAAACAAACCCCAACTGTATTTAGCAAGCTGTCACAGCCTGTCTTTTCAAGAGAAAGATGAAAGTGCTCATAGGCTGCCAGGGAAATCATACTTGGATTTCAATATATTAAAGTCCCCTTCCTATTTCACTTATAAACATATCTGTGGAGAAAGAAAGGAAGAAAAGTTCGTAAATACAAATAGAATTTCATCCACATGTTCCAAAATTGCGGTGATATGATTTCTGTTTTATAGACTTCACTTATAAGAAAGGTTACAGAGTGTGAGCAATCTGTCAAATATCCCACAAATGGCAAGTGCTACATTTGACGGATAGGCATTGTTTTAAATATTTTCAATTAATGCTTTTGCTCTGGATAGTTCTTTAAAATTAATCTCAATTGTATGAATAGTATGTTGTGTTTAATTATTAACATTGAACATTGTTAATATTTATACAAGTAACTTTACAAATATAACTCAAAATGATCTTTACTATCTGGGCATTAAAGCCAATAGCCGTACTATATTAGCTATTTCACTGTGTTAGCTACAGGGTATACATAGTAGGACAATATCTGGGACTCAGTGTGGACCACAAGCTGACTGTGAGTTTATAAAGAAATTCTTCATTCTGAGTGCCGTGGCTCATGCCTGTAATCCCAGCACTTTGGGAGGCCGAGGTGAGTGGATCACCTGAGGTTGGGAGTTTGAGACCAGCCTGATCAACATGGAGAAATCCCATCTCTACTAAAAATACAAAATTAGCCAGGCATGGTGGCACATGCGGTAATCCCAGCTATTTGGGAGGCTGAGGCAGGAGAATGGCTTGAACCCGGGAGGTGGAGGTTGCAGTGAGCTGAGATCGTGCCATTGCACCTCAGCCTGGGCAACAAGAGCGAAACTCCGTCTCAAAAAAACAAAAAAAATCCTTCAGAGAAGCATAATGTATTTGTAATTTTATAAATACATAGTCATGCAGTCATCCATTTTTCTTTTCTTAAAAAAATTGGAATATGAGATATTTAAGAAAAGAGTAGAAGAGGGCAACAACCTCATTAAAATGCCAGACAATATTACCAATGAGAAAAGCCTAAATAAATTGGAATTAGTTCATGTGCAGATGAAAAAGCTAATGGTCTTTCATAAGTCAATAATGATTTTAAGCAGCAAGGAAAGCATTTTATAAGCAGAATTATGATCAGCTGGTTTTATTATTCAGTGAAAATAAAGTATGAGAAAATAAATCTACACTGGAATTTTATATGAAAATATTCTGTTACATCTGTTGCTGTTACATGTGCTGGATGTTTTCCTGTTTAAAGTCTTCATCCATAGACATTTCAAATGCACAACTTCATAGTCTTCTGCTAGGGCTGGCTAAAGTGATGGCAAAAGAAACCAAGTACTCTAGATTGTTCCATGGATGGGGAGGGAGAAAGTAAGTGGAAAGAAGGATATAGCAGTGTCCAAATTTGAATCAAAAATATCTAAATTTCCTCAGTCTTAGGAAACATAGATTATTTCTCTTCCATTCATTTTCCAAATATAAGGAATAAAATCAGTTATTTAGTTTCACCTGCTCACTTGCACAAATATATATATATATATATATATATAGTTTTATACACCACAAAATTATATATTGTAGTAAATCCATGAGCTTATGCCTATGTAATTTTGCCTGTATTAGCCATTCTAAGTTGTACTAAGGAAAGTCTTGCATTAAAGGAGATACATAGATGCACTTGGGTAAATATAGAAGTCTTCAACTGGATTCAAACAGATGGGACTTAACCACAACTGGAACTCATACATTATGGTAGCAGAAAAGCTGGATCACAGGTGCAAGGGAAGCCCAGAAGTTTCTTGGTAAGTTTAAGAAAGAAAAGGGGGAAAGGAGTCTTTATTTTCTTTTATTTAACATGAACAAAACCCATTTAATTACTGTCAGAACAGTGGAAAGAGATGGTGTTAACTTTGAATGAAGAGAGGATAAATGTCTACTGCTTTGAATCTTTTCTAATTTAGCATTACTATTTGGGTGAGGTAATAGAGACAGCAACTTAATCTTGAAGGAAAACTGCAGGAGCTTGTTTTGGTTAAACAATGTACTTTTGCCATCCTGACAGGATTATTGATAGAGAAAGAAACTCAAGGTCACAGGCCTTGATATTTTGCTCATTCTATGGCAATCTTATTTTTTGGAGATTGTTGGCTCAGCTAGTTCTTTGCTAGATGCTGGGAAGATAAATTTGAACTTGGGCTTGTGACACCACTTAACTTGTAATAATGATTGTTATCAGTGCCTCTCCATCCTGTTTGTAGGGCTGGAAGTTTGGCTGTGTGTGTGTGTGTGTGTGTGTGTGTGTGTGTGTGTGTGTGTGTGTGTTTCCAACTGTGAATGACATTTGAAATGCCCAGCTATTTCTTCCAAAGTGGTGGTTGGGAATTACTACTATCATAGAACTATAAATGCTCTTACATTATTTAGGGCAAGGAAATGCTATTGATCCATTTGTCTCTATAACGGGGCTAATTTTTTCATTTGATTTTATAAACTTAATCTTAACCAATCACTTAGCAAGAACTATTTAACTATCATATGTATGTTTTAATCTGTTTCGGTTTGTGTAAACCCAAAGACATGCAGAAAGAAAACAAACCCTAATTGTATTTAGCAAGCACTCACAGACTCTCTTTTCAAGAGAAAGATGAAAGTGCTCATAGGCTGCAAGGGAAATCATACTTGGATTTCAATATATTAAACTCCCCTTCCTATTTCACTTATAAATATATCTCTGGAGAAAGAACCAAAGAAACTTTGGTTTATTTACTAAATAAATTTTTTACTTGTAAACTCTGTGATAATAATGTATTTCATACTTAACATATTTTTTTCTACATATATTTTTATAAAATGGAGCTGGCTATGTTTTTTGTTGGTGAAAACAATGTAAGTATACAGTTTTGAGAAAGTCAACTAGTAGGTAAAAGTTCAGGAAAAGGAGACAAAATAATTATAATGCAAAGGTGAACAGTCTGTTTACCTTTAAGTGACAGCTGAATTATTGCAGTGTCACAGAGTAACTTGGCAGGATTTAGGATTATGAAAACATTTTTATCGCTTGTTAGTTAAATAGTATTTAAAAATTAAACAATTGATTTGATAAATATGTATGTAGTTGCTTAATATAGGTAATTTTTAAGCATTATTTTAAACTGCTAAAAAGCTTGAGGAACAAATCCTTCGAAACATAGACTGGTCCAGGTGCAATGGTTCATGCCTGTAATCTCAGCACTTTAGGAGGCAGAGTAAAATATATATAAACAGCCTGTTTATATATATTTTACTGCTTTTGAGACAGGGTCTTGTTCTGTCACCCAGCCTGGAATGCAGTCTTGTCATCACAGCTCACTGCAGCCTCCACCTTCTGAGCCCAAGCAGTCCTCTTGCCTTAGCCTCCCCAGTAGTTGAGGCCACAGGAATGTGCCACTATGTCCCCACTAATTTTTTTACTTCTATTTTTTATAGAGATGGATCTCCCTACATTGCCCAGGCTAGTCTCAAACTCTTAGGCTAAACCAATGCTCCTGCCTCTGCCTCCTAAAGTGCTGAGATTACAGGCATGAACCATTGCACCCGGCCCAGTCTGTTTTTGGAAGGATTTGTTCCTCAAGCTTTTTAGCAGTTTAAAATAACGCTTAAAAATTATCTATATTAGGCAACTACATCCGTATTTGTCAAATCAGTTGTTTAATTTTTAAATGCTATTTAACTAATAAGTGATACAAATGTTTTCATAATCCTAAATCCTGCTGAGTTACTCTGTGACACTGCAATAATTCAGCTGTCACTTAATAGTCAAAATTCTGTGATGGGTAAAACAATGTGAAGTTCAGAAATCCTGTATACCCAGGAACCAGGTTCATCCCAGGAATTTATTCCAGTTCTCTTCAACCTGTCGTTGTCTAGATCTTATATAGACTCTCTTTGGAGGCAGCAATCAAAAGCAAATCAGTTTATGGAGTTGGATTGTGAAGATGGTGGTATTGTTGGTGTTAGGATAGAGATTTGCCATGAAGAAAATAGTTTACTCTTGGGGAAAAGAAGAAAAAAAAAAAAAGAAAAACGACAACAAAACCACCAAGACAACAGGTTCAAACAATGTAGTTTCTTAAGAAATCAAGTGATGATGCTCACTTCTCTAAGTTCCAAGTCCAGGATATGTTACTTATTTGGGATTGTATCAGTGAGGAAACAGATCATATACTCAAGCTGAGTAAAGATGTAGGCAATTTTAGGCAAAGTGCCTCAGGGCTGGCATCCAGGGCGCCTTAACTGCCCTCTCCCTAAAGGGCAGGGGGCAGATGAAACAGTCTGAAAGGAGAGTTAGGTAGAAGACATCACTGGAGTAGCCGTGGCCTTGAGTCAGGGACAGGGTCAACTTTCTGTGACTTATCAGGGAGGAAGCTTGGGAAACAAACACTCTGACCTCACTCTCCTCCTGACCAGTGATCTCCAACTCTTGGCCCTCATTGGCCAAATCCAACTAGCAGCCAGAGTGGAAGTGATCTTACTCATGTAGCTCATACTTGTTAGCTTCTCTGGGAACAAAGCAGCCTGAAGAAGGGTGGAGCTGATCTGGAGGGGCCAGTGAAAACTCTCTGCGTAGAAATCCTTCCCGGTGGAGCTGTTTGTAAAACTCCAACAAAATTGGCTTGGTTTTCATCAAAACTCCAACTAAACTGGCTTGGCTTTAAGTAGAAGGAAGCTTTTTTGTTACCTTAAGATATGATTAAATAATGCGTAGTTTGAAAAGTACTTCATCTAATCACTTATTGATTTAAAAATTCATTTTCGACAATTACATATATTAATAATATATCAGAGTAAAAAGTGAGAAAAAAAATTACAAGTCTTCTAACCAACATTTAAAAAGAAGGAATAGTCACTATGAAGGCAGCTAGGAGACCTGGAAATTCAAGTGACTTTGATGTCAGAGCTGAATTTGAATCCTGGGCGAGACATTACTATTGAGACCTTATGTAATTTACTTACCTGGGCACTGTGCTGCTTGATGGACCCACATTTAGGAGACGCTTAACAACCTAGTGCTTCTATTGTCGTCGGGACTCCCTTGCTGAAGTCTTACTATAAATCACTGGGAAAACAAATAATATTCATTTTAGTATGCTGCAGAGCTTTGTAATCTTGCTCTAAAACTGTTAATGCCTATTATTAGATTCTTTCAGAGTCAAAAAACAAAGTGAGCTGATTCTACATAGAATTTGCAAGGGGATAGTCTTTAAATTTTTAGATAGCTATGACCAGATTTAATGATCTTGTTGAACCATGTCAAAAGACATACAAGGTATAGTAATCCCAGTTTAAATGGAGGATGTCCTACCAGTCCCATCTCTGTCACCAGTGAAGAGAAGCAAGCCTGTGTAATTCAAGTCATTTTAGACACATTTATGTTTGAAACAAGGAATGTAAGAGCAGGTGTCACAATACAGTTTTCAACATATGGTAAGCTCTTCCACTGCAGCTGGCTGCAATCCTTGTCAAAGGTCATGGAGAAAAAAAAGAGAGTCAGAAGTCACTATGAGCTTTAAAAGCACATTCAGGAAACTGCACTGTTATAAACCGTGTTCACTGAACCCGAGAAAAACCTAGCCCTTTTATCAATAATGTAGAATGAATTGAAAGCTGATTCTGAATTTAGTTATGTAAGTTTCCATATAGCTGTGAGCAACAGAGATATAGAGAATTGAATCAAGAAGGTCAGAGACCCTCTCACATAACGGTATTCGGTCTTAATGTTGCCATCAAGCTCCAGATATGAGTGAAAGGATGTATAACGGGAACAGTGTAACCGAATGCACTTTGAGATTCAACCAGTTAGCCCCTTCAGTGTCTGTATTCACTGCACTGCAGAGAACAAGTGGAAATCCTGAAATGTAGCCACTCTGCAATCACTGAAACAGGGTGACTGTTCCACCACTCTCCAGAACTAGGTGTGTGAAAGGAGAGGTTGATGAGACAGATCCACATTTCAGGGAAAGACACGAGTTATAGTAACCACAAACAGAAAATGACATTGCACGTACTATGAGGACAGAAGTAGTTAGGTTACCTGTCACCTTCTCTGAGGAGCCTTTCCTAACCCTCCAAGCCTGGGTTAGGCAGCTTTCTTGAGTGCTCCTGGGCCTCCATATCACTATCATGTAGTGCTGTGTGTAGTTGCTTATCTAAATTGTACACCAAACCGGAAGTTCCATGAGGGCAGGGACTGTCTCTTCAGTGCTCTATCCAGCACCTTGCACTGAGACTGCCACAAAGTAGATGCTCAGTACCTGCTTTTTCAGCAGCAGAAACAACCAAAAGTGCTTGTAACTGGAAAAGAGGGAAAACCCTTGTGGCTGTTACACAACTGCTCTTTTACCCTGAATGGCTTATGGTGAGGTGGGATTGTTTCTTGGTTAGTTTGGATGCTTTTCCTGGAAGATATTGTTAATAAATTCTTGTTTAAAAAAAAGTCTTGCATTTAGAGTTTAATCTGACAGGAAGGAAGTGTATCCACTCTAGATTATCCTTGATCCTTGCCCCTATCAAAGACCTTGTCAGGCTTTTCAGTGTCTGGCTACAATAATCCAAAAACAGGTGAGATGTCGCTTGTGAACACACATGTAGGCAATCTAGTGTTTGCCCACAACAGAGACAACAGCTTTCCTGATACCCATGTTGTCATTTAACCAAGAATCAATAAATTAAAAGGAAATTTGGAGGCATCCTGTAAATCTTTGTAAATGTCAAGGCCTATCTAATTATTTCCCTTTGATTTTTAAAGTTAATTGCCTAAGCACTCAATACTGAATCCTCAGTTTGCTAAAAGAAGGTTGTGGATTCCTATTTTTGATCAAGATAGAAATATGCTGAGTTTTCTTACCTTGTAAAATGCTCTCTTAAAGATTTAAATGTAAGACCTCAAACTGTAAAAATCCTAGAAGAAAACATAGGAGACACCATTCTGGACGTGGGCCTTGGGAAAGAATTTATGACTAAGTTCTCAAAAGCGATTACAACAAAAACAAAAATTGACTAGTGGAACCTAATTAAACTGAAGAGCTTTGGCACCGCAAAAGAAGCTATCAGCAGAGTAATCAGGCAGCCTACAGAATGGGAGAATGTATTTGCAAACTATGCATCCAACCCAGGACTAATATCTAGATTTCATAAGAAACTTAAACAACTCAACAAGCAAACAACAACAACAGACATTAAAAGGTGGGCAAAGGACACAGACACTTCTCAAAACAAGACATATCAGCGGCCAACAGACGTATGAAAACAATGCTCAACATCACTGATTATCAGAGAAATGTAAAATAAAACCACAATAAGATACCATCTCACACTAGTCAGAATGGTTATTGTTAAAAAGACAAAAAATAACAGATGCTGCAGGGCTGCAGAGAAAAAGGAATGCTTATACACTGTTGGTGGGAATGTAAATTAGCTTAGTTACTGTGGAAAGCAGTCTGGAGATGCCTCAAAGAACTAAAAGCAGAACTACCGTTTGACCCAGCAATCCCTACTAGGTATATATCCAAAAGAAAGTAATTTATTATACCAAAAAGACACAGCCACTTGTATGTTCATCACAGCACCATTCAAAATAGCAAAGACATGGAATCCACCCATGTGCCTATCAATGGTAGATAGGATAAAGAAAATGTGGTATATATACACCATGAAATACAATGCAGCTAAAAAAAGAATGAAATGAAGTCTTTGAAACAACATGAATGGAGCTGGAGGTCATAATCCTAAGTGAATTAATGTAGGAATAGAAAACCATATACCACATGTTCTCATTTGTAGGTGGGAGCTAAACATTGCGTACTCCTGGAAATAAAGATGGGAATGAGAGACTCTAGGAACTATTACAGTCGGGGGAAAGGAAGGTGGGGCAAAGGCTGAAAAACTACCTTTTGGGTACTGTGTTCACTACCTGGATGTTGGGATCTTTTGAACCTGAAATCCTTAGCTTCATGCAATATGCCTATGTAACAAACCTGCACATGTACCCCTGAATCTAAAAGAAAAGTTGAGCTTGTAAAACAATAGAATAAAAAATTAGTTTTTACACTTCTTACTCCTCACAGGAATGGATGATTTTTAAAAGTTATAGATGGACATCATTTGAAATAATTTAAAAGTTATAGAAATAAAGGGTGATATGAGAGAAGAAATTTCAGAACTTTCTAAAGTATATGCATAATATTCAAAGACTCAAGAGAATTAAAAACAAAACAAAACATTGAATGTTGTGATAGACCACCTCAAAAGAAAGGCATTTGTGAAGATTTGGAGAGATAAGGAGATTCTTCCATTCAGTGTTGTCTCTCGCAAACTTGGGAGGACGTCTCTTGGGGTTCTCTGTGACTGAGGATGAGTGCAAAGTTTAACTTAGGTCTTGCTATCAAGTTCACTTGGGAATAAAGTGAAAAATTTAGCATCAAAGATAGCAAACTCTGGTAGTGAAAATGAAAATGAAAGCTTTTGAAGAAAATAGTCCTGGAGATAAGATTTATAATTTATTGGTTTGTAAACATTGGTCGAGTTATATTTTAACTCAATAAATAACCATCTGGGACGCAACATTTGCAATCAGAATACCTTTGAAAAAGTATGCACTTGGTATCTTCCATGGAAAACTCAATTGGGAGCATGGGTTCCTCTAAAATAGATCAACCATTAAGAAAATTGCCAGCAATTATATGTTGGTTAAATTCCCCATACGCCACTTATGTTTTAATTGTTTGGGGGAGGAGAGAGTTCCAAAAACTGTATTTTAACAAAAATTAATTCAAGATGGATTAAAGACTTAAACGTTAGACCTAAAACAATAAAAACCCTAGAAGAAAACCTAGGCATTACCATTCAGGACATAGGCATGGGCAAGGACTTCATGTCTCAAACACCAAAAGCAATGGCAACAAAAGCCAAAATTGACAAATGGGATCTAATTAAACTAAAGAGCTTCAGCACAGCAAAAGAAACTACCATCAGAGTGAACAGGCAACCTACAAAATGGGAGAAAATTTTCGCAACCTACTCATCTGACAAAGGGCTAATATCCAGAATCTACAATGAACTCAAACAAATTTACAAGAAAAAAACAAACAACCCCATCAAAAAGCGGGCAAAGGACATGAACAGACACTTCTCAAAAGAAGACATTTATGCAGCCAAAACACACATGAAAAAATGCTCACCATCACTGGCCATCAGAGAAATGCAAATCAAAAGCACAATGAGATACCATCTCACACCAGTTAGAATGGCAATCATTAAAAAGTCAGGAAACAACAGGTGCTGGAGAGGATGTGGAGAAATAGGAACACTTTTACAGTGTTGGTGGGACTGTAAACTAGTTCAACCATTGTGGAAGTCAGTGTGGCGATTCCTCAGGGATCTAGAACTAGAAATACCATTTGACCCAGCCATCCCATTACTGGGTATATACCCAAAGGACTATAAATCATACTGCTATAAAGACACATGCACACATATGTTTATTGTGGCACTATTCACAATAGCAAAGACTTGGAACCAACGCAAATGTCCAACAATGATAGACTGGATTAAGAAAATGTGGCACATATACACCATGGAATACTATGCAGCCATAAAAAATGATGAGTTCATGTCCTTTGTAGGGACATGGATGAAATTGGAAATCATCATTCTCAGTAAACTATCGCAAGAACAAAAAACCAAACACCGCATATTCTCACTCATAGGTGAGAATTGAACAATGAGAACACATGGACACAGGAAGGGGAACATCACACTCTGGGGACTGTTGTGGGGTAGGGGGAGGGGGGAGGGATAGCTTTAGGAGATATACCTAATGCTAAATGACGAGTTAATGGGTGCAGCACACCAGCATGGCACATGTATACATATGTAACTAACCTGCACATTGTGCACATGTACCCTAAAACTTAAAGTATAATAATAATAAACTAAAATAAAAATAAAAAATAAAAATAAAAATTACAATAAAAAATCTTAAATCTATCAGTTTTCAAAATATTGTCTTAGGCATTTTATGTAATTCTCTGCAAAAGTATAAATTTTTATTTTTAGGATTCGAACATAGAATTATTAGACCTTGTGGTGATTCGGTGAAATAAGGAATTGTAAAACACTATTAGGTTAGCTTTTATTGCATATAATGAGAATCTCCTAGATGATGTAGAAATCATTAAAACTTAATTGTATAACTGCTGGACTTGTCTCAAAGTGTCTTGAACTGATAAGCCTTCCTAATCTTCTAGTGTTGCTTCAGCTCATTGATGAAGTAAAGTGGCTGGCTTTTAAAAATTGATAACCTTATTATAATTACTAAAGTGTAGCACATTCTGTTTGCCTAAGGTGTTTGAATGAGTCACTACCTATCAAAGGAAAATTATGCTATGGTATAGGGAATCCCAACATGTCAAATATGCAGATACTTTTTAATAGACTTATATTATTTCAGTTGACTTTTTAATGTTTGTTGATTGAGAAAGCATGGTGAATTACTTTGAATGAATTGCTTTGGATGAATTTAGTACCATATTAAAGTAAATACATATTTATTAATCCATCACTAATATTTATTTGAAAAATAAAAGTACATAGTAAATATATTAATAGTATAACATATATTTTGTATGTGAGTGAATAATTTTTGCAGTAACTGTGCTTTCCTATGTTTGTGAATTTGTTGACCTATTGCTCTAGACCCTTTTTAAGACATACGATCTCAGTGTTATAAAATAGATGTCATTCAAGATGTTCTATTAGTAGGTTGAAGATGTGTCTAAGAACAGTGACCTTCCTGTGCTGAGGACTTAGCTGGCTTCTCTTGATGTTACAACAGTGCTAGGAGGAAGCCAGTTAGGTCCCTTGAGTGCCAGTTAGTGCACTGCAGGGGCAAGCACAAACACTGACTCACTTTCTAGGTAAGTGCAAGTGTCTCCTAAAGTTCTCAGTCAATAAATAACACATGCCAATTAATGCCACAAAGCGTGTCTGACTTGTTTTGGTGTAAAGAATGTTTTTCAGCTCTGTTTTTATTTCTGACTATGCTAAGATATTTTAAATATGTGCTATTATAGGTCATGTATTCCTTTACACGAATTTTTGGAAACATAACCTTATCATTGGATTTTCAAAGGCTACTTTACAAAGTTGTCTCCATTTGCTTCTATTAAATTATAAGTTAATATGGAAGTCATTCTTTTCTCTTTTTGTTATGTCAGTTGTGTGCATACAGTTTTTCATATATTTATATATTCACACATATTACCCTTACATACCTCTGGGAGAGTATAACACATTTGTAACACTCCTGTATAAAATATTATATTTAAACATGTTATCTCATGCTGAACATGCTTGATAAGTTTAGTGTGTGAGATTGTGTACCGTCCCCAATTAATTGGTTGTATCAGTTGACTGGGGAATGTTATTGGGCCAAATGGACACAGCCACCAATGCCTGGTATCAAAACAGCTTAGGGTATTTGTTGGAAGGAAATGATATTGCAAAGCATTTGAAGAAAAATGAGAGAAGCAGAAACAAAGGATATTAAAAAAATTGTAGCAAATTTGAGCAATGAAAAACATGAAAAGAGATGAAATAACTAGTTATTTAATTCCCCAGTGACTTCTTAAGTCTGGTCCTCACCAGAGTTTCAGTATTAACTCTCTGGTATTTTTTTCATATCAACTGCTGTTTTTAACTATATGATGTGGCAGTCATATATTCTGTCTTTTCTAGGATTGTTTCCACTTCACATATTCTTTTTTCCCTATAAGCATATTTGAACTTGTCGGAATATATGTACATTTTGTGGTTCAGAAAATATGGTCACAGTGTAAAACCCACAACATCAAAATAAGCTCTAGAGTTTGCCATGGAGTCTTTACATTAGTTGCCATTCAGGACTGTTGAAAGAGTTCTACAAGCTTTACACAAAAAAGGACAGGCTAGTGTTGTGATTAGGAACTGGGGAGTCATGTATCCTGAATTCACATGTTTATCCTGCCATAGGCAAGTGACCTAACCTTTCAAAATCTTAGTTTCTTTATCTGAAAATGGGGATCATTAAATAACCACTTTCAAAAGGTTTTATTTAGATTTAAAGTCATGATGTAAATTCTTAATAAATGCTAGTTGTTATTTTTATAGTTATCTTTTTAAAATTAGACATCAAATATTTGAATATGAACATTTGAGGACATGCAAAATTATCTAGCTATGTCTAAAATGAAAAGAGTCATCTTTAAAAACGTTTGGCAAGAATTTTATTCCCTCTCTTGATTCTATATCATTGTATGAGTTACCTCTGCAACTTAAAATGGAGGGTGGCTTATCCATCTTGAACAGACATTACTACTAGACTTCTCATTGTTACATGTATCATTAGGAGATGTCCAATTGCTTTTCTTTCTACTGAGTATAACTATATCCTAGGTTAATTATTGAAAAACGGGGTGGGGGGAGGGGGGAGGGATAGCATTAGGAGATATACCTAATGCTAAATGACGAGTTAATGGGTGCAGCACACCAACATGGCACATGTATACATATGTAACAAACCTGCACATTGTGCACATGTACCCTAAAACTTAAAGTATAGCAATAAAAGAAAAAAAACGAAAAATGGAAAAGTTAATAAATATTTAAAGAGGCAAAAAAGTCACTCTGCTTTTTTATAAATGATTGCAATGAAAATTTATATGCATGCAATTTTGTTTTATTTTCTTTTAATTTCTTAGGCTAGATTTTAGAAATGAACTATAAATATAGACATTTCAAGAACTTTGGTATGTCTTCCTAAAGTGTTGTGCCCATTCATACTGTTTAGAGTGTGCCAGCCTTGCCACAAATCTGTTGGCACTCAGTGATGTTTTAAAATATCATTAAATAATTTTTAGGCCAAATGTATAAATTGAATACCACAATTGCCTTCTCTCCTCAGTTACTAATGAGACATTGTTTGATTAGTGATTTTTTGTAATGCTAATATCAGATTTGTTTGTTTTATATCTGAAAGGGTTAAACAGGATCAAAGTTTATATTGTTTGCTGTTAGAGTTGCCTTGAAAAAATTTTATTTGGCCCTCTAACAAAGAAGTGATTGCAAAAGTGGTGATCTTACAACTTTGAGATCAGTTGTGGCAATACAGAGCAGCTCTATATTTCTCTTCTAAATCATCATCGTAAGTTATATAGAAAGTAGTCATGTAGACAGTGTAATTCAGTAGCTCCAAAGAGAGGTTACCACGGTTACCTGGAACATCAGACAGGAGGTTTGTTCCTAGGCTCATTTTACTAATACAATTACTTGTCTGAATTGAAGTGAAAATGTTCGAGTGTTATTTTTTTAACCTTGTTACTGGCATGAATTATATTTTCATTTATTCTGAAGTATTGTGAAGAATGTATTTCAAGTCTGTTCTACAGTTTTATGTCAACTAAATCCTTTGCAACATCCTTTGACCTACAGCTGAATTTTGGTGTTTATGTTCAGTGTTACTCAAGAGAAGAACGGAGTAGAAACTAGTGGTTATTGTGGTGCTGAATACTCATTATTTTATTATTAGTTTGATGTATTCCTTATAAAAGACAGTAATTCGAATGGAATGATCGTCATAAAAAGAAAACCTCAGTTAGGACTTCTTTCACCACTTATTGAAAACTGCAAGCCCCCTCCCCTACCATTTGCACCCCATTTCCTATGTATTCAGGGTTTTTCTTTCCATGCACCATCTCACACACTGTATACATGAAACTTTCCTGTGTGTTTGTTTTTTGTTTCTCTCATTCTACTAGAAGTGAGTTCCATAAGGGTGGGGATTTTAGCTTTTTTTTACTGTTCTACTCCCTATGTCTAGAAGTGACTGGCAGCACATAGTAGGTTCTCAATAGCTGTTAAATTAATGAATGAATTTACCAAAAATTATGTTTCTAGAAAATGCATCAAAGAACAAGATGAAGCAGGTATGATTAGATTTTTTAGAATAATTACTAACCTTTGTTTAACTTTTGACTCACATGTCTCAGGTATAGCAATCTAACGTAATGCTAATCAAAGCTATTAACGTGAGGATATATTTGGTGATATGTAAGTTATTTTAGGCCAGATTTACTTTATTTATCAAAAATATTCTCAAAGCCCAATTTTTAATAGCTGGTAAATATAAGACGTTAAAGTTAAGATAATCTAGCATCCTGGGTACTACTGTTTTGTATTTCCTCCTTTTATTCAACAATTTAAATTGTTGTTATTGAATTTTTTTGAAATAAATACATTAACTTTCCAGTCTTTGCAACTGGAGTACATCGAGTATTATTTATTCAAAAAAAAATTGTGGTTTGAACATTCCCTAGATACTTGACTATATTAGGGAGTTACTGTTAATTATTTTAGGTGGATAATGATACTATAGGTATATTAAAAATAGTCTTTGTCTTTTAAAATTACATACTGAAATAACTATGCATAAAATGATATGGCTGAGGGTTTTTGTTATTTTTTTCAGTCTGAGGGGAGAGTGGATAGGAACGTGCATGGGAGTAGACTGATGATCAGTGGTGCTAGGGATGAGTACCAGGGGTGAATGGTTGATATATTATTCTTTCTACTATTATGTTAGTTAAGTATTCTTCGTAATAAGAGAAAAAGGAGGAGTAAGGAGATGAAGAGCAGAGAAGGAGAAGGAGGAGGAGGAAGAGTAGAAAAGTGGAAGAAGACAAAAGTATTTATGAAAAAATAAAATAGGTGTTAGAGAGATACGTAAGCAATTCCATATAAAACAATGGACGAGACAGGGACAGTTAACATTATTGAACACTAATATATGCCAAGCACTGTTCTACCTCCTATAATCTTAGCAATAACCCTATGAGCTGGGTTTTATTATTACCACCATTTTTCAGATGAGAAAATTGAATTTCAGAGTGGCTAAGCAACTTGTCCAAAATATAAGTGGTGAAGCTGTCAAACAGTCACTGAACCTAAGACACAATTGTAACGTATGCTATTATTTTGTGTATCTCTAAGAAACAGAAACTTAGAATTTTTATGTTATACTTATTGTAAGATCTCTTTTAGTCTGCTTTATGCAAAGCTTATTATGTTGTTACATATCAGTCTTGTTTATATATAAAAAGGAAACTACAAAGTAAATGAAGCTCTTTCTAAAACATTTTACATTCAGAGGATGACTCATTCAAATCTTTTTGACTCAGAATTTTTAATGCCTGTATTTCTCCATGCAGTGTCACCCTCTGTGCTATTAACAAAATAGTGATGCAATTTTCATTAAAACAATGTTCCATTTTAGTCCCTGGGACTTTCTTCCAAGCCAGTGGTGGCCATTCTGCAAGTTTTGATACTAATCATTTCCTGAACTTACCAAAAGATATCAATGGAGGGTTTTCAACAACAAACAAGACTCCTCATTCTTCCTAAAATGATCTTTAAATGGTTCAATAACTTGAAACCTGAGGGACGAAAGTTGTCTAGTCAGGCCCAGAATAATAACCAAGTTAATGCATGCACAAACAAGTAAAATTGTGTCACAACTGACACCTGAACTATGGTAACTGTAAAAACTAACTACGAACGCACAGATATTAAAATAGAAAAAAAGTCTAAAAATAGATAAAATAAGGTAAATTGATTAGCTGGGTAGTAGGTACACAGGTGCTCACTACTGTGTATAAAATAATATGTCATAACAGGCCAGGCATAGTGAGTGGTTCACGTAATCCCAGTACTTTAGGAGGCCGAGGTAGGGGGATCACTTGAGGCCAGGAGTTCAAGACCAGCCTGGGCAACATGGCAAAATTCCGTCTCTACTAAAGATACAAAAATTAGCCAGTTGTGGTGCTGCAAGCCTGTAATCCCAGCTACTTGGGAAGCTGAGGCACTAGAATAGATTGAACCTTGGAGGTGGAAGTTGCAATGAGCTGAGATTGCGCCACTGCACTCCATCCCAGGTGACAGGTGACAGGGACTGTCTCAAAACAATGAAAATGAAAAATGTCATAAGAAAAGATTAGATGAGATGTGAAAGACATGTTGGGTCTTGCTTCTGCCAAATCGTGTATTTCATGCTTTTTTTTTTTTTTTTTTACTTTATTCTAGAGAAGAATAGGTGTCTAAAGACAGTTCTTAAAAGGGGCAGAGACTAAACCAGATATGCTCGATTTTAAAAGATAACTCTGATAGCAGTGTGTAATATAGACTATTTCTCGCTGGACACAACATTAAGAAGTAAGAAAAACACAGAAGGCATCAAAGAAAAGGGGAAGTTCATTGACTATCAACAGTGGGACTGGGAAAATGACGACCCTGCTAATATTTCATGAATAAATATTGGACATATCTTGGCTTGTTACTTACCTCATCTTTCTAAAAGTCAAATGTATAAAATATTGTTTGATCTCAATGTGTTTTGATATCTAAATGTAATGATAATTCTGTTTCTTTTAGAGTTTCTGGTTGTAAGTTGGAATGTAGTCCAATATCTAGATATAATTAGGGAACAATTGACACAATTATACTAAATAAAATATTTAGTTTTGAAATCTATAAAGCATACACTCTCAAATGCAAATACTTTAAAGGTACTGTTTATGTGCAAAGATATTGTTCAAATATAGTTCTATAGCACAAGTGATATGTGTGTGCAGTTTTGTAGTTTTTCAGTATCAAAGTCCCATGATAATTGGCATATGGTGTTCTATAATAATACATAATAACATATGATGACTGTAATTAAGTGCAGTGACTTAGACTTTGTCTTTTAATGACCCTCAGTGGATACTGAATGAAAGGTAAATTAAAGGTTCATTAAGCTGTGTTCAATAGAAAAAAAATGTTTTCAAATGGCAGATGTACTGTGAAGTTAAATGAATTTTATTCAGATCTGCTCTTCTGTATTTTTTCAAATGACAAGCCTAGTCTGAAGTATTTGAAGTGTTTTAGGAAATTTAAAAAATGAGCATTTATTTCAGCTTATTTAATATTTCAAGCTTTAAATGTGTAAAACGATTGGAGAGACCCTAGAAATTTGGCTGTTTCTACATCAAAGTGGCCTTTAGTGTGGCTTTGTTTGACGTTCTAGTCTGTGAAAGGAAAAGAAAAGCAGAAAGGAAAACAACAATAATGTACACAGTGAAGTTAAACAAAACATCTGGAGCACCCAGTATTTTTTCCGTGTATGCTAGCCAGCATTTAAATTTAAAGTCTTGTGTTTCAAAATATGTATGGGAAATCAGAAAAAAATCACAGGCAGAAATATTTCTAACTTTGTTTCTTATGCATAAAGCTGTCAAAAAGGCATTTAAAATATTTAAAATGTAATGAATTTGAGCTTTTTAATATATTTACCATTCCATTAGCATTATTAAACAGAAGTATAAAGGCAATGCTATTTATATAGTAATATCATAAATATACTATAAATGGCATGTGAATATTTACTAATAGAGGCAGCTGCTCTTTTAAAAAAATTGCTTGTGGTTCTGATATCCTATATATAATGTTTTACTTTTTTAAAAATATAATCATTATGGGTGTGCATGGTTCTTTTATTAGGAAATGCATGTATACGGAAAAAGAAGAAGGAATCTTTACCAATGGACTACAGGAAGTGAAAGCAAAACGTTTCCCTACCTGAAAGTTTCCTTGTGTGAGACTGGAATATATAGTTTTACCTCTGTACACCATTTTTGCTCTAGCCTATATGGACTACCTACACTCATAATGAGAATAATGATCAAATGAAGGAGTTCGGTTTTGTTTTGTTCTTTTCTTTCTTTTTTTTTTTTTCTTGAGACAATCTCACTCCGTCACCCAGGCTGGTGTGCAGTGGCATAATCTCTGATCACTGCAACCTCTGCCTCCCAGGTTCAAGCAATTCCCCTGCCTCAGCCTCCTGAGTAGGTGGAATTACAGGCATGCACCACCATGCCTGGTTAATTTTTGTATTTTTATTACAGACGAAGTTTTGCCATGTTGCCCAGGCTGGTCTCAAACTCCCGACCTCAAGTGATCTGCCCGCATTGGCCTCCCAAATATTGCTGGGATTACAGGCTTGAGCCACTGCACACAGCCAAATGAAGGAGCTTTATCTTACGTTTAGGAAAGAAAGTTGTAGCAAAATGCAGCGCAGCAATAATAAGAGTATGTAATAATTTTAAAAAATTATTTAGATATAAATTAAAAACCATAAAATTCACTCATATGAAGTGTGCAATTTGATGGTTTTTAATTTATTCAGTTACAAAACCATCACCATGATCCAATCAGTTGTAGAACATTTCATCGTACCAAAAATAAAGTCCCCATTCATTAGCAGTTACACTGTCACTCCCCAATTTCTCCAGTTTTCCTGCCCCAGCCCCATGCAACCAGTAATCTTTCTGTCTCTATATCTGCCTATTCTGGACTTAAATGTAAATAAAAGTATCCAATACGTGGTCTTTTGTGACTGACTTCTTTCACGTAGGAAGATGTTTTTGAGATTCATCCATTTTTTACTATGTATCAGTACTTAATTCATTTTTATTGCTGAATAATATTCCCATGTATGGATGTATCACATTTTATTTATCCTTCCGTCAGTCTATGGATATTTCAGTTGTTTCAACTTTTTGGCTACTATGATTAATGCTGCTCTAAAACATTTGTGTACAAGTGTTTGTGTTATGTTTTCATTTCTCTTGGGTATATACCTAGAAGTAGAATATTGGATCATATAGTAACACAATGTTTAACTTTTTGAGGAAACCTCAGACTATTTTCCAAAGCAGCTGCACCATTATACATTCCCACTAGCAACGTATGGGGTTCTAATTTCTCTAATATCCTTTCCAACACTTATCATCTGTCTTTTTGGTTATTACTACCTTAGTGAGTGTGAATTGGTTTTTTATTGTGGTTTTTACTTGTGTTTTCCTAATGATTAATGCTATTTAGTTTCTTTCCATGTGCTTATTAGCCATTTGTATATCTTCTTTCGAGGAATTTATTTTCAGATCATTTGTCATTTTTTAAATTGGATTGTCTTTGTATTAACAAGTTGCAAGAGTTCTTTAGATAATCTGGACTCAAATATTTTATTAGATATATGTTTTGAAACTGTGTTCTCCCATTGGTGGGTTGCCTTTTCACTTTCTTGATTATGTTCTCTGAAGCACAAATGTGTTTTTGTTGAAATCCAGTTTATTCATCTTTTTTGTTGTTGTTGCTTGTGCTTTCTGCAATAAAGTTTTAAGAGAAAGAAATGTTGAAAAAGTATGCTAGGTCTTAAGTATATATTTTGAAAAATTTTTCTAACATGTTTTTGGATAAAGGCATCCAAATTACTAACTATCTGGGTCTAAAGCAGGAGATTCGAGATATTGACATAAACAACTCCATATCAAAGAATGATTTTTAATTTTTGGAATAAGATATAGACTAGGGAAAGTGACTATTTATGTGCATATCTTCTGGATCAAAATAAAAGGAATATGCAAGCTTCTTTTTTAAGCTCAATAGGAAGGATTCCTGAAGGAGCAAAGACCATAAGAGAGCTAACTGCACGTGCACACACACGTACGTAAACACATACTCAAACAGTTATTCATGTAAATCATTCAGGATGCCCTTGATATGCCCTCAATTTAGCTTTCTGTCTTTAATTTTTGATTCCTAGCAAATATAAGAATTGCCATACTCTAAGGGTGGTATTTCACATATTCTAGAAATATAGACTTTTTTTTTTTTTGAGATGGAGTCTCTCTTTGTCACCCAGGCTAGAGTGCAGTGGAGCGATCTCGGCTCACTGCAAGCTCCGCCTCCCGGGTTCACGCCATTCTCCTGCCTCAGCCTCCCGAGTAGCTGGGACTACAGGCGCCCGCCACGGCGCCCGGCTAATTTTTTGTATTTTTAGTAGAGGCGGGTTTTCACCGTGTTAGCCAGGATGGTCTCGATCTCCTGACCTCGTGATCCACGCACCTCGGCCTCCCAAATGCTGGGATTACAGGCGTGAGCCACTGTGCCCGGCGAACTATAGACTATTTTTAGAATAACTGTTAAGAGGTTATCTCTGTGGATATCTTAGTTAACATAACTTATTTCTGCTTTCAGTTCTGAAATTCTTAAACTGCAAATTATGCAATGAAAGTAGTTTTCAGGTTTCCAACTTTACCTTAATTCTAAACCGAATTTTCCAAGTTGGTGAGAGTCTACTGTATCAATAAGACAACTAAAATATGTGTCTTTATGAATTATCTACTCTCCCAGAGTTAGCAAGATTTGCTCATATATCATAATATAAGCTTATCGAAGCAGAATTGCAGCTGCTTGGCAGTATGAGTTTTATATACAAAGCATTGAAATCTTACACATTATTGGCTATAGGAAATGAGAATATTAGTTTTCCTAAACATTTTGCACACTGAAACATTTGTATCATCACTTATCTGTGTGGAAAGAACAAATCAAAATGGGATTCAATACCTTGGAAATC
Organism: Homo sapiens; assembly: GCF_000001405.40. Lineage (NCBI taxonomy): Eukaryota > Metazoa > Chordata > Mammalia > Primates > Hominidae > Homo > Homo sapiens. Next base: position 175,080,728 of record NC_000003.12, read on the forward strand.
CTATATTTAGTGATTTTTAACCAAGACTAATTTGGTCCAGTGCCTAGTAAATATCTTCTATGCAGTAAATCTGCTAACTCCTGTCATTAGAATTTAAAACAATTTAGATTCATAAAACCACTTAACTATGTTGTGTAATTTTAAAGAGAAAAATATAAGATTGAATTTTGCCTTTAGAAAGATCTCTTTGGAGTTAGTGTCAGTAGTGTTGAATCATTCAGGACTGGATATTAAGTACGTAAGGGCAATAGAAGAGCCTGGAGCATATTTCATATCCCTCTATCCCTCAGCTCTTCCCCAAGGGTTCACTGCTATAGATTGTAAATGGGACACTGACCATCAGCAAATGGTTTCCACGGCTGTCAGAGCAAGACCAATAACTAGTCACCTTTCTTTTAAACCGGTTTTCCAGTAAGCATTCAAAAACATATGATTGAGGATATGAATGTAGAAAATGCATTGCTGTCATCATTATCTGAAGCAAAACAAGACAAAATTTCTATAAGTGTAATTATGTTATCAAATATAATGTGATAAATATAACACAGTGTAATTATAAATGATCATAAAATGATTAAGCCAAGTGTATACACTTTGAGTACTAATTCATCAGCGTTTAGTATAAATGATTTTGATGTTCACTGGTATCTATCTGTATATCTTTCTGGGGTAATCCAGTTATCCTGCCTCACTGTAGTAATGTCTTTAATACCAGCTTCTCCTTGATTTATATTATTTTGTGAAACTCAAATGTCATGGTGTCTTTATCCTGGAAGAATCTGGAATGACATATGAAGACCCCCTTCTTATCCTACCAATCTAAATTTCTTTCCTACTGGCCTCTAATATGTACCTTTTTCTCCATTGAGGGAGATCACTTCACTGACTCCTACATATCAATGCATATTCCCACCAGCTCTTCTTTATTATCTTTTTATTTAAGGCTTCAAAGCACAGCATTGGTTCTTGTTGAAGCCCTCTTTAACCTAACCATTTCTGATTTCTTAACGATAGACCCCACAATTTACTTCCGAACTGGTAAAGTGTACATATAGTTAGTTTTTTCTTAACTGATAGATTGTAATTTACTTGGAACCATTTATTGTACATTTTTGGTTTATATTTTCATGACTCTAATATTGTACGCATATTGTTATTGCTTAATAATCTTAAAGGCAATGATGATTGGGAGCCATTTGTGGAACACATACTCTGTCTTAAGAGCTGTGCTAAGTGATTGAAATTTTTTCACTGAAGTCTCACAGTGCCCTATAACCACTGTCATTCTCTCTCTCTCGTTCCCTTTGTGTGTGTATGTGTATGTGTGTGTGTGTGTATGTGTGTTTATTAAAACACAATAAGTGACGGAATCTTCAAGGCATCAATTTCTGGCCTAAAGTCACACTATCAGTGGCAATTTGGGGATTCATACCCATTTCTGTCTGACACCCAGTGCACAGTCTTTAGTAAATTACAATGCAAAACTGTTATTGTTTTCTACTAATAATGACATCTTTAATCTATGTATAACAGGGGCTTTAAAAGGGTCTTGTGGATTCAAGTGGAATGGAAGACTGGTTTTGGTTATTGGAGTCTGAAGTTTATTATAAATATGTAGTTTATTATTTCTATCTTATTTTGTTCATAAAGTGCATTATGCAACTAATTTGACTATCATAAAATGGGATATTTTCTAAGAATATATGAATTCAACTTTATCAAAATATGTTTAACTTGAAATTAATTCTTAGAGGTGATAAATTATGCTGGGTAAACAATATCAGTTTTACTTATGGCAATTTTGATTCCAATACAGGAGGAAGGCAGACAGGGAGAAGCACTTTATTTTTTAAGAACAGGAGATTTAGTAAAACCTAACTTTATTGCATTAATGAAAGTCAAATGTGATTTAGTTTTTTCTTTCCCTCCCTATTTTTAAAGAATAACTAAAAATATTTTCTTTTTTTGGAACAATTTGTTCATGCTTTAGGAGCTATTTAATTAAATTATTACCTGCTGGAACAGCATCTGTTTTTGTCCTAAAAATAAGCATAGCTTTCTTTTACATAGGCTTGGTAAATATGTAGAAGGTGCCAAAAAGCAATAAATACTATCAGCAGATGGACTGAGGCACTTCAGTCTCTACACAGTCAGTCTTTATTGTTCTGGGCATAGCTAAATGGATTTTTCTGGATAGATTCCTTTCAAAATGTATTATGTACAGGAGGAGAGTTGGATTAATTTTCTCACATAGATCTCTTCACATTATCCCCCTTGAGATGTAAGATACAGGACCTGGTTTAGTTTTCAACTCTGTGTTGTCCACATAAGAAACACCAGTTCTGAAAGGCATATGTAAATAACAACTTTATAATGTGTTTAAGGAACTTGATGTTGGTAAATTCTAGGATGGATTTTCCAGGAACCACCCTCCAGAGGCTGCTTCCTTCTTTCTTCCTTCTCATCTTTTGTCCCCTGTTCCCCCGGAAACAACCTTCACATCTGACACACAGCCTGGAAGTTCATCCTCTCATTCCAGTCTTTGTTTTCTTTTTCAGAGATTGGAGAAATTCAAGCACTCATGATGCATATTTATCTCCCAACATCTGCAGTGTTCAGAATTTGGGGTGTCTGGGCGTGTGCATACATGTGAAAGAATGATTCATTTAATTAACGTTAACCAACTTTTATTCATCAGTTGTGACCTTTCAGTAATAATAAAATATTAATAACTAGTACTTAAACCACACATTTATAAAATGATTTCATTTAGTTTTCACCAAAAAAAATCTAGTTTTACCTATGAAGAACAGTGACTTTTTCTGGAGTTCATAGCTAGTAATTGTGGATGCAGAATTCAAACCTAGCTGTCTTGACTCCTAATAGTTTATAATTATTTTATAATTAAAACTAATAGTTACATAGGATTTTATAGTTTATCAAATGCCTTTAATTTAATATTTAACTTTATTCATCAATTAATTTTCAGAAGTATGTAGATGAGGTATTACTATCCTATTCTGAAGGCTGAATGAGTTAAAATACCTACCACCAAACTTGTTGCTGGTAAAATGACAATTATCTGACCCAAAATTCTATACTTTCTTTAAGATGCTATACCTATTTTGAAACTATTATTTATTGAGCAACTACCAGGTTCCAGATACAGCGCTAAGCTTCAAAGATAAAAGATAACTCAACAAATTAAGAACTGAACCTGAGGGCAAATCAGGCTGAGGAAGAACATGCACTGTGTATGCCGAGAAGAAGCTTGAAATCAGGGAGTAGTGGGAAGGATCAGAATGGAAGTGTAGGCCAGGACATGAAGGTCTTATATGCTTTGGAAAGGAATCTGCAATTTTATGTTGGTGCAGAATAGGATTTTAAGCAGTCAAGTGATGTGATCAGGTGTGTGTTTTGGAAAAAATAGCTTGAGTGGTGGTCTGGTTATTTATTGCTGAGTAAAAAGCTACCCCCCAAATTTTGTGGCTTTGACAGCAGTCATTTAATTATGTCTCATTATTTGATCAGGAATACAGGCAGGTCTCAGCTGGCCTATTTTTTTGCTCCACATGGCATTGACTGCTTGTCACTTGGTAGCGATCAGCTGCCGGCAAGTTGGGTCTAAAGGGTCGAGATAGCTTCATTCATATGCCTGGAACTTTAGTTTGGGTGTCTAGCTCTGCTGCTTCTCCTCGTGGTCTCAGGGCCTCTCCATATGGTCTCTCCAACAAAGTAGTTTAATTTCTTGGTACTCAGGGCTATAAGAATTCCTTCTTTGTAAGTTATTCATGCCTTAATTACAGTCTGCATAAGACACCTCAGCATATAAATGTCTCACTATCAATCTGCTTAAGAACCATCACATTTAAATTAAATGATTTCTCTTAAGGTATATATGTATTCCTAAAAGAGCATAGATATAAATGTGAGGAGATTATTGAGTTATTTGGGGTTTTTCAAAGTTACGCATTTAGTCAAACATTTCTGTGGTCAAAGAATTATCATAAGACTACAGGCAATAAAAATATGAATAAGGTATAATTCTTGGAGGTGGAACCAAAATGAAAAAGTCAATTGAGAAAAAATTTAAAGGTAATTAAAAATCACAAACATAGGCAGTTGGTAGCCATGTGGTTGGATGCAAAATGTGTTTGGGGGAACTACTAGCAGTACGTGAGGACAGAGTATAGAGACTGTATGTTTGTATGAATGTGTGAGTTCATATCTTCTCCCTACTTTTTCTCCAAAAGACTCCAAGGGCGCTATACACTGATGGAGCCTATGGGAAAAGGTCATACTACAAAATTTTGTTAGGGCTTGATTTTGGGGAAGTTGAGTTATGTTCTCCTGTGTATTTTATTTTGGTGGAATTCCCAATTTGCCTTCATGGGATTCCTTCCTGTCATTATGGCAGAGTGGTTAAGAACACAGATTCCATAACCACACGGCCTTGGGTTCGAAACTTGCATGATTGAGGGCAAGTTACTTCAACTCTGTCTCTTAATAGTAACTTCATGGTGTCGTTCTGATGTTAACTTACTTAATATAAATAGAGGGCATAGAGTGCTAAATAATTGTGTGCTGTTTTTCCTGTTAATACTATACTCTTTACCGTAGTGAAACTAGTTAAGGTCATTACTGCTTATAACTTGTGTTGCAGTGCATGTTCCTATTTTTATTGTTATCATAATTTTTGTTTTCTTCATCTTTAAAGGTTATGCTCCTTTTTTCTGCAGAAACCAAGTTATTTCCATTATGGGGGCTCTCAAGTGTTATAAATTACTCAGGAAACAAAGAGACCTGAGTAACTTTATTTTTAAACCCTTTGCAGGATTATAAAAATAAGGAAAGAGAGAGAAGACAACGGATACATTTTGGTTCCTAAGACATGTGGTTAAGATATAGATATTTTTGCCAGTCGCGGTGGCTCACGCCTGTAATCCCAGCACTTTGGGAGGCCTAGCAGATCATGAGGTCAAGAGATCGAGACCATCCTGGCCAACATGGTGAAACCCTGTCTCTACTAAAAATACAAAAATTAGCTGGGCATGGTGGCATGTGCCTGTAGTCCCAGCTACTCGGGAGGCTGAGGCAGGAGAATCACTTGAACCCAGGAGGCAGAGGTTGCAATAAGCAGAGATCGTGCCACTGCACTCCAGCCTGGTGACAGAGTGAGACTCCATCTCAGAAGATATAGATATTTTATTTGGGGGTAATAGACAGGTTATAATTGTAAAGGATGATTGGAATGGAAAGTCTCACCAGTTGCAATAGTTGAAGGGAGTATTTGTGAAAGCATTAGGGAAAAGAGTCTTTCGTTTTTCATAGAGTGTCAGAGACTATGACTCCAAAACAGCAGGTTAAGGATAAGTCAAGCTTTACTATCAGTTTGAAAACTAAAGATCTGATATATTTGGAATGATAGAGGAAAACATAGTCTTTGTTTTGACAGTCATTTCTAAGAAAACATCCACTGGTTCTTTATAGTTTACAATATATCATTCTCAACACATAGGAAAGAATGAAATGAACTTTTTATGGTCAGTTATTTTATTATTTTAAAATGGATGCCTTAGATATCAACAGTGAAACTTGTAAGAATAGAAAGGTAAAAATGAAATAATGAGAAAGGCTGAAGGGAGGAAAACATATATAAATTTAAAAATAGAGGGAGCATTACAGAAACAAAAAAAAAGAAACGGGAAAAGAAGCTAAAATTCATGTTGATAAAGTAATAATATTTGACATTTTAAAATTAAAGGTTAGATGAATTCTAAAAATTTTGCATACAATATTATAATAAATGACTTTTCAAAGATGTCAATTATATAAAAGTTCTGTTAAATGTTTTATATTTAATTTCTTTGCGGCTCTTACATTTTCATGCCTTTTGCCTGACATTTAGTTTCATATCAGCATTACTTTTATGTGCCGTTGGAGGTCTTTCATTTTTTATATTCCTCTTCATAAATAAAATATAAATGACATAAGAATTGCTCATTATAGTCTTTAGTAAATTGTTTAGTTGCTTGAACTTACCCAAAACTATTAGTAGACATGTCTATAAATTTGTAATAAAGATTAACCTCTCAATGTCCAGCTGTCATACAGATATAGCTTATTGCTAGATTATTTATCATCCTTTCTTTTTAACTAAACATCTATTTTTATTAAAGATGCTAACAATAATTAGTACTATCATACATAAAGTTTACTTACAGAAAAAACTTGAATTTTGTATTATTGAAAGAATAATTATGTTACTTTTTTCAGATAAAATTCTATTTTTTTATATTAATGGGAGGCCTAGAAAAAATATTAATGTAAAATATTAAAATAAAAACCTATCCTTGTTTATCTTGAGACATAGGTATATTAATGGATGTGACTTGTTAGAAATAAGAAAGAATAGCAAAATCTTGCACAATTTGTTTCTCCCTTTTCGTATGCTGCTTAGATAATTATTGAAAAGTTGAAAAGTAGTTTAATCTTGACTTTGAGGAAGGTGGGGGGCAGCCCCTGCCCGGCCAGCTGCCCTGCCCGGGAGGGAGGTGGGGGGCAGCCCCCGCCCTGGCAGCTGCCCCTTCCGGGAAGGAGGTTGGGGGCGCCTCTGCACGGCCGCCCCGTCTGGGAAGTGAGGAGCGCCTCTGCCCGGCCGCCACCCCGTCTGGGAGGTGTACCCAACGGCTCATTGAGAACGGGCCATGATGACGATGGCGGTTTTGTCGAATAGAAAAAGGGGGAAATGTGGGGAAAAGAAAGAGAAATCAGATTGTTACGGTGCCTGTGTAGAAAGAAGTAGACATAGGAGACTCCATTTTGTTCTGTACTAAGAAAAATTCTTCTGCCTTGGGATGCTGTTAATCTATAACCTTACTCCCAACCCCGTGCTCTCTGAAACATGTGCTGTGTCCACTCAGGGTTAAATGGATTAAGGGCGGTGCAAGATGTGCTTTGTTAAACAGATGCTTGAAGGCAGCATGCTCATTAAGAGTCATCACCACTCCCTAATCTCAAGTACCCAGGGACACAAACACTGCAAAAGGCCGCAGGGTCCTCTGCCTAGGAAAACCAGAGACCCTTGTTCACATGTTTATCTGCTGACCTTCCCTCCACTATTGTCCTATGACCCTGCCAAATCCCCCTCTGCGAGAAACACCCAAGAATGATCAATAAATACTAAAAAAAAAAAAAAAATCTTGACTTTGTCATCAGTTAATTGCAAGTTAAGTTTTATACTTTCTTAGTAATGAATGAACTTCACAATTCTTGGTTTTCTTTCCATTACTGTATTCCTACTACATAGGAAAATATAATAATTCACTTAAACTATTTTTTAGATATAAAATTAATATATATGATCTTTAGTTTATAAGGAACACACCATGCAGTTAATCTAGAACTGAATCGTATAATGGTAGTATTTTGGGTTAAATTACCAATTTTAATTTTCTTTAGATTGTAGCCTAACAGTGTGTAAGCTGAATACTAAAATTTTAGATTTGGATCTTACTCTTGGGTCCTTAAAGAATAGATTTTCAGAATTTACCCAATATAGATTTGGGAGGTTAACATAATTTTGTTACTAACAGAATTTTAAATGAACATAGACATACTGTGCAAATGTGTTTCTCTGAGCTGCCTCCTTCTTTCCCACGACTTAACCACAGTATCATGATATATTAACACTGCTTCCTAAAAGAACAAGTATGAGAAAAGCTATTTCGGAAAATAAAAAGTGCAGATGCTAGATGTACTGAATTACCACTGTGGGCCTTAAATAGTCTTTGTGTGTTATGATTTTAGGAAACAGAGGAATATAAGTTTAGAATAAAGCACTTCTAGTTTGTAGAAACCTGTTACTTTTTGAAAGTAAAGATATTTAAAAATTAAACCAATAAAGTACCTTTGAAACATCTGACAAATAGAGTGCTTTAGTAGCCTTGTGTAGATACAAGCTTCAACTCTCTGTTCTTGGAAATCCAAAAGCCATAGTCAAAAAGCAAAATTCACCCTGGCTGAAAAGATGAAAAATTGCAGTGTATCTATCAAGCTATGAGGCTCCTCCTGGCAGATAGCTCTCAAAGAGCCAAGTGGTGATTGTCTTGAGGTGTTAACTCTTGACACACTTTGAAGCCTTCTTTTTCCAGTGTAAACTACACATAGTAGGGAGTGGACAGGATGAGCCAAAGGGTTTTAATATCTGAAAACAGGTCGGCAGCAGGTTGAATGTGAACTGTAACTGTCACGTTCTTAGCAGAGTTGCTTTGCTCTTTGTCCCTCAACAGCAGGAGAAAAAAAAAATTGTAAATGTTGTTAAGAAGAGACAATAAAGTAGAGGTTGTGGTCTTTTCCTCAGGGCACTGTGCTTGGAAGCAATTCTTCCTCATTCAAAACCCCAGTGCCAGGAAACATAGCCTGCCAGAGTGCTGTGGAGGGAAAATAAAAAGATCTGTCAGGTCCTGAATATAGTCAGAGCAGATCCGGAGATCTGAGGATCCACATAGGACCATTAAGATTGAAGGACCCTGGAGACTCCTGGTGCTTAGTGTCACTTTGGTACCATAACCAGGGATTAATAAGCCAATAAGATGCATTTGCTAACATCATGCTAACTCTGGGAACTCTTAGAAAGCCTGGATGTTTAATATTTAAAAGAGTAGGTTTTGAGATTTAACATGCCAGCTCTTCTACTGACTAGCTGTGAGAACTTGGGAAAATAATTGCTGAGCCTCAGATAACCTCATCTATAAAACGGGGATAATAATAGCACTTAACATAGGATTGTTTCATTAAATGACATAATGGAGGTAAAGACCTAACTTTATAGTAATTCTTGGCTCATTTTAAGAGTTCAGTGAATTGTGAATTAGCATATAATTTTGGATGATACATCACGGGGATATTGTCACTCTGTACATCAAAATCTAAGTGCAAAAGATAAAAAAGACATTAATAGATTTCTCTGACTAGATAGAGCATATTCTCAATACAGAAATCTGCAACTGCAGAAAAAGATAACAGAAAAAAAATAAGATTAAAAACAAACCCTTCAGCTAAGACTGACAGCCTTATATATTAACAACTGAGATCAGGCAAATGCTGATGGAACTCAAGAAGACCCTGTAGACAACCCTCTTTGCTATGCCTATAGTGAAGCTCAGAACTACATTAAAACTCTATTACAGTGGCTTTCTTTTAGCCTGAATATTAAAATTTTTTCTCCTCCACTCTTTTTTTATTTTGTAGGTTTGTGACTGTATTTATCTCATGTATGTGTGTTTCTAGTGTAAGCCACTTCCTACACTCTGAAGGTAGAAAGTATGTAAATTTGATAGAAGTAAGTACAGTAAATACTTCTAGAAACAAGCAGGAAAAGATACTCTGGAATCTAGGTGGAGGTGGAATTGGACAACAAAAAGGACCAAGAAAAAAGGAGCCCATGGCAGGAACAGGAATTATTTACACACCCCTGAGAAAAAGAGTTTTGTGATATTAGTGAGACTTAAACTTATGTGGTAGATATCCTAAATAATACCAAGTGTTCACACTACCAGTTCAGGACACCCATAAAATTTATTGCTTTGGTTCATACTAATCAGCTCTTCTGCTTGCCAAATCCTGAATTGAATTATATAATTCTGATATTTAAAAACTTTACCATAAATATAGGAACTCAGGTGGGCCCAACTAACCATCCATTTAGGGTGTGTTACACAAATTGCAGTTGCACACAGGGCCCCAAAGGTTGGCCTACTCGGGGAACTAGCAGGTGCTCATGCATATGCAAGTGATCTAAAACAAATTTACACGAACTGACTGGATTTCACCAATGATTTTTTTTTTTTTTCAAATGGCTTTGACTACATTTTGCAATCTATAGCTCATTAATTTGACATTCTATAAGCATACCTTTTACATGTCATTTAGTGATCAACATAACTCAGGCTTCAGGGTGAAGTTTTAGTTTATGCTATCCAACTTGATTATCCACTATGCCTAAATTCAGTGTACTACTCATTTTAGAGTAGGCACTGACTAATTTATTTTTCTAAAAATAAAGCACAAATAATAATTTCCTTTAGTTTATATATCCTATTTAATCTATTAGTGAAGCATGAGCAACAAATAATTATTTCTTTTATGTGGTTGATGTACAAAATTGCAATTAAATAAAGAATTCTTGATGCATTTACAGATACTATAGCAGTTGCCAAGACCATTTCACTAAAACCACAAATGGAAAAAAAAAATATCATTATACTGAAGAATTAAGTCAGGAAACAGAGTCTTCTGAATTACTATTTTTATAGTTTTATTTTTTGCCTTGCTCTCAAAGGTGATAACATTAAAGCTTTCAACAACAAAAATTTATTCCACAAACATGGACTTTATTTGTATAAAGTAGGTTTATACTGAAAAATTTATGTCAAATGATTTTGCCTATAAAGAATATTCTTAAACTTAGATTTAAAAATTCCTATGGGTACTATGTAGTTCACTGTTGCAGTACCTAAAGCAATACTCCACAAAGATGCATAATGAATGTCTTTTGATGATGCCCTGACATTTCTAAGAAATGCCTTTGCCTCAAATCAATCCACTCAAACCAGCAAATGATTTGACATTGAAAGCTTCAGGAAACACTATATGAATATTTTTATCATTTTACAATAAAGATTTAATCATGGATTGTCATAGGAAATTGAGATTCTGCCTTACGTTTTAAAGCTAATCTGCTACAGTCATTCATTTATTTTACTTGTAAAATAACTTTTACAAGTAGGAAAGCCTTTATATGTGTTCTTAATTCTAATAAGATCTGTACAATCTTTTCTACTGTTTGAGTTAAAATATTATCAGTAACATTACAGTCAATGAATCAAGTCAAACTTCTTTGATAAACATGGTGTTCTACAACAAACATTTGTAACTCAGAATTACGATTACACATCACCAATTCCTGGAATATTAAACAGAATTCTTTACGATGGAAAAGCTCTGTTGTTCTTTGAGTAAATAGACCAAAAATCACGCTGTAATAAGATATAGTCAAATGTAATAATGAATTTTATATAAATGTTAGCCAAACTTCTCTTTTATATATCTGAACCATAGCTAATGATTAACAAGATGCTTCCCATTTTCAAAGGCATTTGGTACACAGCTTTATTTCTCAACATCTCCAGTTCTTTGTTATTAAAGCCTGAGGTCTCAGGTCATAGGTTAATTTAGTTAACCATGTATTTTAAACTTGTAAGCTCCGAATATTTCTATTTTCTTAGCTCTATAGAATTCGTGGAAAAAAATAGTGAATGACTGCAATTATTATTATTAGTGTATCGCTAATGTGTTAGACTATGTTTTGAGCACATTAAATAATTTATCTCATTTACTCTTCATAATAACTTCAAAAATGTGGTACTGTTATTATTTCTGTTTGACAAATGTGAAATTTAAGCATAAATTTTAAGTATTTAAGCATAAGTATTATGCATAATTTTATGCATAAAATTAAGCATAAGTATTAAGTGTCTGGCTTAAATTACATAGCAAAGCCAGGATTTGAACCAGATAGCCTCACTATGAAGTCCACTCATTTAGAGATTTACAAGGTCAGAGCATTCATGTAATAAATTCTCTCATTATGACTGCTGAACAAGAAAGAAATACTGCTGTGATCATATTCGTAAGTGGCATAAGTAATATGTAACATTTAAAAAATACTTTTGTCTAATCTGTATTATCTAAAATATTTGCCAGACACTGTGTTAGGCTAGGTCTGCAGCAACCAGAGATTATATTTTACATATTAAATTTTCATTTTATTTCCATACTTATCTTTATTTCCATATAATTTACTTTGTTTAAGCCAGTATTTGTGAAATAGCATTCAGAAGAATCAGTTTATTTTAAACTATCATATGTTGAATATAGATGGATATTCATTATTATTAATCTAAGTCTGTCACAGTCCAGAAAAATACCATTCAGTTCAACTTGTATCTGTTTTATTTTTATAATAGAGGGTTAAGTGTATGTAAAAGATAAATGTCTTAGTATGTTGAATTTTAAAAACTGGACTTTGGTTGTAGGACTGGATGGAAAGAGATGTCACCTAAGTGAATAAGATCTGTTGAAAATATGGAAAATATATTACACTTTTCATAATAATTGCATTTTATAAAACAGACCATGTGGCACAATATAACATGTAAGGGTGTTACAGATATTTCCATCCGTAGAAATGTCACAAGTTTCTATAAATTCCTCTATACTAAAGTATATCTCTTTTAGATAATTATTCATGCAGATTATAAAATCTACTACATGTACTTTTAACACTCACATGGGGTAATCTTAAAATAACATGACAATACAAACTAACCAAATCATCTGCATCAGTAATAAAAAATTGAATGGCATTATTATGTGATTATGTGTAAGACATGCTGATTTTGCTGAATATTTGTCTTTAAATATAAAATTTTCATGTTACTAGGGAATTTGAAGCTTCTGATAAAAAGAAACGTGATATGTTTTTGTCTCACAGGGCAGAGGTGTTTTTAAGACAGCTACATTCTTGATGGGAACCATAGAATAATTTATGCTATCTCAAAGCTGAATGTTACTAAAGTTTTATTTATTTGATAGTTTCTTTTTTTGTTGAGTTCATTTTATTTTTTTATATATATATATATATGTTTTAAGTGAAGCAAACAAAACTATCAGGGCAGAGATTTATGTTTATTTTTGCAAAATGTCTATACTATTTTTAAGCTAAATAATTTTATAGAAATAGTTAATAATTTTATATATGTATATAATACATTTATATATACTATATTTACATGTATTTGATATATAAAATATATAAGACATATATAATTGATTTTACCAAGTTAGTGATTAAAATGCTTTATCATATATGTCATTACATACTCATTTCCGTAGTAATTTCCCTGAAATACTTTGGAGTTTGTTACACCAAGTGACTTCATCTACCTTTATCCCAGATGTGACTCTGCTGGAAGATAGAATTTAGTGAAAATGTAATAATGTGTAATGAATCCAAAAGTGGTAGTAAGGGTGTCAGGCAGATATCCATCATAGTGAGGAGTTAATATGTGTATCTGCATTACATTCTAATTGATGGCTCTGTCTGATGTTTGAAGACCGTTAAATTGCTGATGTACATGTGATGGAATGCGTATTGTCAGGCTAGAGATGAAAACTCTGCCTCACCATTGCAGTTGGCTTTTAAATGATTTATAGAGAGGTGACTTTGAATGTTTGTATTAGAGGTCAGAATTAGAGATCTCACATTTCTGTAGTAACTCCCATGTGTCAAGTCTTTTTTGAGCATAAACCAAGCTCTACGATTCAATGTTTTTTAAAAAAAAACCTTTAGAGAGAGAGACTCTGATTCATTAAAATGGGAGAAAAAAATCTAGAGAACTGCATGGAAAAAATGTCTGAGTAAATTAATCAGGAATGCATAAGCTGAACAGTTAAAGAAGTAAATATAATATCATTTCAAGGTTACAGCAATTTACTGATGTTTAGGCCAAAGAGAAAAAAAAATTGACTGGTGCTAGGAAATTGTAGTTTATAAAGCACATTAAAATAAATTGGTTTCTAAAGTGTCTAGAGATTCTTTATTCTACTTTCTTCAGACTTTTTTCTATCCTCTAGTATTTTCTTTTGACAGATTCTTTAAACCCAGTGAGATTCAGTTTCTTCCTCTATAAGTTAATCAGCTGTCACCTAACCTATCTGAATAGCTATCATTAACGTCATACGTTACTTCCTTTCTCTGCTTGTCTTGATTTGACCAAAGACAGAATTCAAATGCTACACTTCCTTGAATCATTTGGGAAACAAGACCAAACAAGAAGAGATGGAGGGAGGGAGGGAAAAAGAAAAGCAATGTAGAGCCATGAGAATATTTAGTATAACATGGTGATTTTTATATTTTAATCTCTACACATAGACTAAATGTTAAAAAAAAAGCACCAGACACTATAGTGTGTGTGTGTGTGTGTGTGTGTGTGTGTGTGAATATTATACATCCTCCTCTCCATCTCCACAATGTCTTGCATAATTATATAATTATTAACTCCCTACCAATCCTTGAAAGTTCTATCTCCTCTAAGAATAGAAATGTTCCTTCTAACTCATACAGACTATCCACTACTCAATAGATGCTTTAGGTTTACTATGTGAATGCATCCTGATGACAACACTACAAAGTTTATATTATTATTATACCCATTTCACATACGAAGACCCTGTGTCGTAGGGAAGTTAAGTTTTTTGACCAATGTCACCTTTTCCTAGTTTTTTCCTCAGCATCTTTGGCCCATGTGCGCTATCCTCAGCCATAGAGTACCACTCTAGGTTTTTCAAATGGGGCATTCTTATTCTCTCTTTGTGTTTGTAAATTTTCCCCTTCCTGGGTATCCTCCTCTCACACCCTCCTCTCTTGCAAAAGCAACTTAGAGGTCACTTTTTTGTATAATTATTTCTCGTATTTTCTGCTAGAATCAATCACCCCTGAGTTTCCCTGACACTTTGCATATTTTATCTGACTTTTTTGTTTGTTTGTCCATTGTCTCTCTGATTTGATGGGTCGCTATTTGTGGAATAAGGTCCTATTTATTTCTGTCTTCATTACCTATCTCTGCCTGACATGCATTAGATAATCATCTTTATTGAGTCAATGCTAGGTAAGAATGATTCCTAGATTTTAGGGCAGCATATGAAAATTCTAGTCAGAATTACAGTTTTTATTTTATAAAATTTAATATTTAGTTATATTTGAATTTTCTTAAAAATTTAGGAAATTTTAATTATATGGGCCTCAGCTAGCCAAGATTGGAGACATGTATGGCCATAATTCTGTGCATAATGCCACTCCCTTTGTGAAATCCTTGTTTTATCTTTTTCATAGGAATTTACTTGTCTACCACGATTCCTAAGGCAATTAGCTTATCAGTTATCAGTTGAGCTGTGTTCTTTGCCCACCACAGTGGGACACACAGAAAAATCATAAAACATAGTGAGGGATCTAAGATCCAGCTGGGGTGACAAATCTAATACACAGAAAATTTAAGTATAAATACTCTTAATCTGCAGCCATAATACACCAGTGGTTTACTGAATACAGACTTAAGACCACTTGCAGTTAATTAGCCCAGTTTTCCTAATACCACTTGGCAGGATACAACAAGCTGTCATCCAAAGCTGTGCAGGGGAGAAGAACCTCCATCTGCCACTCCTGTAGCAAGGTTATGAAACCAAACTCTCCTAGGCTGGCAAAAGGCTTTCCTCTTTGGATTGATGCCATCCCAGACTTTTATTTAAAATTCACCGAGCCAGGCCAATTCATGTCACTAATTTCTTGGGACATCTTGGTCCTCTCTCATACTCTTAAAGTTGTGTAATCTTTTTGGTAACTTAAGAATCTGTAACATAACAGATTTTGCTTCTTGTAGAATTCATACTTCATTTAGTTGTTCTGCCTATTTTTATAATGAATTTGTGTTTTTAAGACAAGCTCTGGCAATGTAATCATTCCAGGGTTTTTATTATTTTTTCCCTTTAACTTACCAAATCGCAGCTTTATTACTTTTGCCTTTAATTTTTAAAAGTGATTTGGTAACCATGAAGGTTTAATTTTGCCTTCTGCATTGCATCATCCTTCAATGTAATTGTACATTCATGACTGTTGTTATTCTCCTGAGCTTCAAAGATTAATGGGGCGTGTGTGTGTGTGTGTGTGTGTGTGTGTGTGTGTGTGTGTGTAATTTTGTTTTCTCATAGCTTTCCCACTAAGTACCTTCTACTTTCATTTTTCTTTTGTCTTCCTTTCCTATGGTAACATCAACAGAAAATTATAAGATTAATTAAATAAAATATGAGTTTCTATAGGGAGAATTTATTTCCCTGTATTATAATCATTAAACACTCAATATGGCTTACTGTTTTGTTTTCACTTTGTTAGTTTTTTTAATTGTGTGTTTATTTTATTAAAATATATTTTTCTTATTTTCACAGGTAAAAAGATGGCCTATCAGAAGGTCCATGCAGATCAAAGAGCTCCAGGACACTCACAGTACTTAGACAATGATGACCTTCAAGCCACTGCCCTTGACTTAGAGTGGGACATGGAGAAGGAACTAGAGGAGTCTGGTTTTGACCAATTCCAGCTAGACGGTGCTGAGAATCAGAACCTAGGGCATTCAGAGACTATAGACCTCAATCTTGATTCCATTCAACCAGCAACTTCACCCAAAGGAAGGTTCCAGAGACTTCAAGAAGAATCTGACTACATTACCCATTATACACGATCTGCACCAAAGAGCAATCGCTGCAACTTTTGCCACGTCTTAAAAATACTTTGCACAGCCACCATTTTATTTATTTTTGGGATTTTGATAGGTTATTATGTACATACAAATTGCCCTTCAGATGCTCCATCTTCAGGAACAGTTGATCCTCAGTTATATCAAGAGATTCTCAAGACAATCCAGGCAGAAGATATTAAGAAGTCTTTCAGGTAGGTGAAGAAGAAACAGATGTTGTTTGAATGCATTTCTTGGGAAAAATGTCTCACAGGGGGTATTGAACTGATGATTTTTCATGGTTCACGTCAGTGTTGCAAGCTGAGAAACATATCACCACAACAAGAATAGAAACTTCAAAGAGGGGAGCGCACATTTTCAGATTTATGGTACTGCAATATAAATTTGTGATGCAGTTTTATTAGTTACTAGTAAGAATCATAACTACTATGGAGACTAAAATTCTCCAGCCACTGTATTTTCTCCCTCTTGGTGAGCCTTGTTAGGCCAAATTGGGATGCAAAGATTGCCAGATATACAGGTAATAAAAACTAGGACATTAGCCATATGATTAAAAACTTTAATGACATCAGAATAAAATAAACCTGCTTTATGGGCTGAAGTAACTCTTCAAAAGTTTCACCGATGTCATATAACTAGTGGATAACTTGGAAAAGCTTTTTGTTATTTTATTAGCATACATGTTGAGTTGTAAAAGGTTTTCTAGTTTACATATTTAGTGAAGTGAAGAACTAGATATGCAAGATGAGGTATTTGCATATATCTTCTATATTTGCAGAATAAGAATAGTCCTAGGTGAATCATGTACGTTGTTTGTAGGCAGAGAGAGTAGTGAGGTACTGCTTCTCCAGAATATTCTTTCTGGGTTACATTGATTTGTTACAGCCAAGATGTTGGCAGGTGTGCATTTCCGGGAATTTTCTCAGGGAAGCATGTCCACTGAAGATGTGTCACTTAATTCATGTGCTGAAATACCAGGTGTATTGGTGTTGGTGGATTCTAATCCTCTAATCCTCTTCCTGAAGATTAGGCCTCAGTGACTGACAGGAATGTGTTTCCTATACCCTTCTGTGTCTGCTGTTCCCTTTTGTATAACCATCCCTGGACATTTAATATGTGGATAACAACACTTTTCATGATACTTCCCAATGTAAAATTGTTTACATTGAGCTAAAAGATATGCTGTTACCTTATAATGAATGATTGTATCATTCAGGACCCAGTGAAGATGTTGGAAAACTTCCTGAATATTTAAAGTAGAGAAATGCTTCCATCAGTGATCAGGAACTGATAAGCCAATCAGGGGATACTCAGGTAGCCCAGAAATTCACAAAATGGAGCCATTACTAAACCTAGTCTAGAGGGAGAAAGTGATGGGGCTGGAATGTCTGTGCACACAAGGGCAGATAGGGGGGCATAACCTCAGCTGGAGACACCACTGAAGACAGAGAGAGGGAAATACCTCAGCTTCTCTTTTACTCCTGCCACTAAGTGTCCTAGCAGTTGTCCTGTTAGCTGAAACCAGCAAGAGACTGCTGACTTACAACCTGAGAAACTCATTCTGAAGGGATCCGCTGCCTGCAATATAGGCTGGAGCAGAAAAAGGGAAAGTTGCAGATAAATCTAACTGGCTCAGGATGTTATTAGAAAACAAACCAAGAAAATAGAAGAACTCTTTAAAACTGTTTAACTGTTTTTACTTTAACTTCATTATGGACATCTGTTCTATTACAAAATGTCTTCTGGAAAAGGATCCATAGCATTAATTTCTTTTTAATGGTAAGGACAATTATGTGTTTTTTTTTTTTTCCCTGAGCATCTGGTTAGTTTTTAATTTATTGACACAATGAATACCATAACCTAGTCTGCTTCCTTTTTTACTTTGACTCTTAGTAAGTTTATAGTCAAATTTGTATTTGTAAGTTTATAGGAACTTCATAACATGCATTTTATTTACAAACTAAGCTACATATTTATTTTCCCTCCTTATATAACTTTGGCTTTCTTTGTCTTACTTGTTTTAATTCTTTTTTCAGCACCGTAGTCATCTTTAATAGCTGGCTTATGTCTGCTTTGCAAATAGGCAACTGATTATAAAATTTAAAATAAATAATAATTACATTAAAATATTCATTATTTCTCTCAGAATGGAAGCTGCATGATGGTAAGGATTACATTCCAGTCTTACACTCCAAAATCAACAAAGTAACATGTATGTCAAAGCTAGCTCTGAAAGCATAACCACTAGCAATTACACTCCCAGCTAGTACTCTGTAGTTAGACACAGATTAACAATTATGGGTCCATGAAGTAGCCATATTTGTTTTCTTTATTGAGATAACATACTTTCTTCTTCAAAACAATTGTATTTTTGGTACAAATATCTTCATAAACATAACAGCTCCTCATCCAAAAATATCTTCTCCCTCAATTGTCATCCTAACCACATGTCATTATGAGTCTGTGTTTACTGAGCCATCTCAGCCTTAATTCCGTACCTCCTAGTAGTAGCAGATCCCTGCTATTACTTTCCATGAATTTATTAACAATTTTGTGCTCTTACTGGCCCACTATTTTGTTCAATTGCTGTATCTCTTTTCTATTGGTTCTCTTTTCCTGGACATGCTCTAAACCTATGTCAGTTCTTATCAAATAGCCTAAAAGTTGTGCAATACAAAATATATTATTTTTATAATAGACTGCAGACTCTATAAGAGAATGGACTAAACTTGTTTGTCCACCATTAAAGTGCCATCATCTAATAGACATTGAGTAATTATTTTCTAAAGAATGAAATGAATGCATGAATAAATGAGAAACAGATCTGTGTTTAATTCATCAATTATATTATGTATTTTAAAATTTTATCATTTAGATTTTTCATATTATATTACAATTTATACAAAATATTATGAACATAGTATTTATATTATATGATATAATTATTTTAAGTTATATAATTATATTATGATTACTCAGAGGATAGCCTATGCTCTGATTTTAAATAAGTGGCAACTTATATCAAAACCAGGTACTGTAAAAATATTAAAGTATCACTACTGATGCTTCAGTTCCAGTTGAGGCATAAAGACAATTGATGCTACATTTCTAAGACCAACATGTAGCATGTAAAGCTTGAAAAAAATGAGAGTATGGCCCCAGAGATGATTATCCATTTTTGGCTTATGAGAGGTTGGAGAAGCAAAAGCTAGGGAGAATGGAGAAAGTGAAGCATTTTTGAAAAAGCTGCTGATGTGCTATACGTCCCGGTCTCTTCTCAAGAAAGAAGCCTCAAATCCAGTGGAAAAAGTTTAACAAAACTATTTGGAAGATGTAGGGGTGGCAAAACTACTTGGAATAACTTGATATCTTTCTCATTCAGAGAATCCAGCCTCCTACCTGCCATATCTAAGTGATAAGAGATTCACAAGCTAGTTGCTGATAAAAGTGCAAAAGAAGGCCAGGGGCAGTGGGTAATGCCTGTAATCCCAGCAGTTTGGGAGGCCAAGGAGGGCGGATCACCTGAGGTCAGGAGTTCAAGACCAGCCTGGCCAACATGGCGAAACTCCGTCTCTACTAAAAATACAAAAATTAGCTGGGCATGGTGTTGGGCACCTATAATCCCAGTTGCTTGGGAGGCTGAGGCAGGGAGAATCGCTTGAACTCGGGAGGCGGAGGTTTCAGTGAGCTGAGATTGAGCCATTGCACTCCAGCCTAGGCAACAATGTGAGACTCTGTCTCAAAAAAAAAAAAAAAAAAAAAAATTGCAGAAAAAGAGGTAGTTGTTTTAGGTGGCGTACGGCAAATCATATTTCAATGGATTCTATCTGGGTTGAGAGGGAGAGGGCAGGAGGCTTGGAGAGGGGAGAAGCTTGAGGTGTGTTCAGAGGCCTGGGGGTTGTAAGCAGGAGCTGGAGGAGGGTATATTAGTACTCATGTCAAAGGAAAATGAGAAGTCTCCAGTTGTAGAATAAATGAGTCTCCAAAAAACACACAGAGCACACACCGGAAAAAATTTCAGCTGAGAATTCATCCTGAGTAAACACATTCTCTGATTTGCATTGAAGTGTTGATCACCAAAGTGATTTAATCCTTTTGCAATTTATTCTAGCTTTTGTTTTTATATTTGCATCTTTTCCTAATGCTAATTGCTATATTCTCCAATACACTATTCTTCTATTCCTATTCTCCAGGATGAAATGTCATTATTATCCTTTTGTGGACCAAAGATGTTCGTGACTCTCTGTCAAGTGCTTGTCCCTAATCTAATCAGCTTAAGCCAGTTGAGATGCTGGTTATCTTGTATAAACCATGTTTACCTAGGACGGTTGAGAAAGCTCTTTAACTTAGAAGAAGCTTGAATGTCACAGGTACAATGTTTCATTTCTATTATATAATAAATCCACCAAGCCTCTAATAATGTATTTTTTATTTAAAGAAATGACATATACACACACATATATAATTGCTGTTTTGCCATCGAAAGTAATGGCAAAAGCCGCAATTACTTTTGCATCAACCTAATAAATTCTGAAGATCATAAGCAAATTTCTGAGCAGATTAAGTATGTTGAAAACTTCAAAACATAGTTTGAAAATATAATATTGTAATAATAAGATATTTGAATGGATAAATTAATGAGGTTTAGTTTATTTTTGAAGGCAGGAATGTGTTTGCCTTTGACAGCTGTCGATGCTGTGAAATGGTGAGACAAAAAGGAGAAAATGTGTTGTTTTCTAATTATGGCTAATATAATTTCCTCTTCTTAATGGAAAGATCATTATGGTTCTTTCTAATTATAAGTGCAATATGTACAGAAAATTATAAAGAATAAAGTAAAAACCATCCATAATCCTACCTCTTTTTAGAAATCCTTGTTATTTCCTTCTATCATTCCCTATCAATCAGAAAATTGTATTAGGCCATGTATATTTCTTTAACACCTGCTTTAGAATTTTTTAAATTAAAATATTAGAATCACTTTTCAAGCCAATAAATATAGATTTAAATCACTACATAAAATACTGCCTGGTATTCCATTATATGGATGTCATGTAATTTAACCTATTTCTTATACAGGGACCTTTAGGTTCCCTCTGTAAACATTCTTGTACATAAATCCAATTGTGCCTATTTAATTATTCCCTTCTGATGAATTCCTGGAAACAAATCACAGCTTCAAGGAGTTCCAATTTGTGTAGTTGTTTGCTTTGTGTCACCAAATGGTCTTGCAGAACCTCCAGCCTTCCAGGTCCTTATTTTTTATTTGTTTTTGATAGGCCAAAAAGAATGTTGATAAAGGTTTTCCCTATGAATTGACCACGTGCATTTCATTTTTCATGTATGAATTACTTTTTAAAGGAGTTTCCCCATGGCTTTTATTGGTTCTTTCCCATGGTATTTAAAGGTTCAGAAACTAAAATGTCATAATAGTAAAGCAGTCAATCACAGTATGTATGGTACGCCATCTCTTTGGATTTCTCTTACTAGACACATTTTATTTTCTGACTTCACAAATAAAATGAATAAATAATAAAATACAATCTCTAGAGATGTATCTATTTTTAAGTGTTTGCATTATTTGGACAGGGCAATATTTTTTATCATTGATACAACTAAGCAAGCATGAGTTAATTTATACTGTGAAATGATCTTTATAAGCAATATAAAAGACCATATTTTCTTAGCTGAGGGTTAACTCTTCAAAACATTTAGAAAATGTTATAAATTGGCCAGGCACGGTGGTTCATGCCTGTAATCCCAGCACTTTGGGAGGACAAAGCAGGCAGATCACGAGGTCAAGAGATTGAGACCATCCTGGCCAACATGGTGAAACCCGGTCTCTATTAAAAAATACAAAAATTACCCGGGCATGGTGGCATGGGCCTGTAGTCCCAGCCACTTGGGAGGCTAAGGCGGGAGAATTGCTTGAACCCAGGAGGCGGAGGTTGCAGTGAGCCGAGATCCACCACTGCATTCCAGCCAAACGGCAGAGCGAGACTCCGTCTCAAAAAAAAAAAAAAAGTTTTAAATTATCTTCAACAATACCATGATGAATAACATCTTGTCTGGAAACCTAGTTAAAATGCTGCTTCAGATATAGGCATATTTTAGTAATTACTTAATATAATACATTGAAATTGATTCCTAAGTCTCGTTTGTTTTCTGTTCTTCTCAATGTACTTTTACAAATGATCTTCTCCCTTTTCTCTTCCTTCTGTCTCCTCTTCCTCCTCCATTACTCCCTTTCAGCAACTAAATAGTATATTTAGTTATCTTATGTGTAATATGGGTGGTACATTCTGTAGTACTAATTAAACTTTACCATTGACACTATTTGTTTAGGTTATCTGGCTTTAATGACATTAAACTAAAGGAATGACAAATTTACTGCATATATACTGCCACTTCCTGTGTCATGCTCCATGTCCATTAATCATAGCACTCTTTATCATTGTACTCAGACCTTGCCTCAGAATCCTTCTCCACCCAACATTCTTGAAAGCCCTTATTAATTGATCAGAAGTACACAAGAGAGGATTTTCCATTCTTATCCTATGATATAGCTATGATGGATCAAAAGATACAAATAAGTTCATTTAACTTATAGGGATGAATTTTTCTTTTCTGGAAAGATAAATTCCATAATTTAACCGGGACAACTATCAACAGCAAGAAACACAACTTATGACCACTCTGTAATGCCAAAGAGTTCAAAATCTTAGAACCCTTCATTTTAACATTTAGTATGTTTTTATGGTCTTTCCTGACAAAATTGATCTGCTGAAAGGAGAAAATCTCTGTCCAATCTACCTAGAAACAAAATATATATAATTTACTTTTTCACCTATGTCTTTCTCACCAGTACTAATTTACCATCCCGTGATATAAGAAAATAAGCACCTGGGCTGCTTTCCTGTCCCCTTCTTTTAACTCAGACATTAGGTTTGTTTACTTGTTACAGTATTGGTGTCTTTCCTGTGCAAACAGTTTTCTCATTTTTTTAATCTCTCCCTTTCCACACCTGCCACCCATGTTAACTTCCTTCCATTCAAGAACCACTGCACTTCATTTACCAAAGAATGTATAATTGAGCAAGTTTCCTGTTCAAGACAGCTGACGACTTATACATTACCTCCAGTCTTAAATGAGGGAGGCGAGGTAGTCCTTACCTATAGGTAAACTGGCTGTGGAATCCATGAAGAACCACAGAGTGTTTTTATGGTTATCAGGGCACTAGAAAGGCTAATATGAAATAGTGGTTTGTCTCTCCTCTGACCCCACAAGAATATATTTTTCACTGACATGCTTTTGTACAAACATAAGATGTTGCTGTTGTTTGATGATGGTGATGTCATCAGCAACTGTTCTCTTCTAGTCTCCAGCCTTACTTTCCAACCATTTTTTTGGCCCCTCTTCACATTATTGTTGTTCCTATTATTATTATTTTTTGTACTTTGTCTTCTCTATTCTTCATGTTTTTTGTCCCTCTCTAATTTCAGTATTAAAATGAATGAGAGTAGGAAGATTGGGAGACATGAAGAAAGCAATAAAGCAACTGCTATTTTAATTAGAGAAAAACATGTAAATGCATGCACATAATTCAGTGTATGCAAACGATAACAGAATGAATTTAACAGTAATAGAGTGATGGCTCCTAAAGGAAGTAATTAGCTATCCTATCGTTGATCTCTCCAGATAACAAATGTACATTGTCTGAAGTTTAATCAGAAAAGGAATACATAGGATAAGATTGATTTAATTATGCATAGTGTTTCATTGCTCTGAACCTTAAGTAAGGCAACTCCTTAACTCGGAGTTTCTCAGTGTTATGCAGAATGACATTAATTGTATTAACTGGATTCAACTCACAGATCCAAGCTTATGCCCCTCGCAATCCTTAGGTATTTGGCTAAAGCAGCACCCACCAATGGGAAGAATAAAGATTGTTGACAGTGGGGCCTTTGACTGCAATAACTTTCTCCATCTTAACCTGTTAAAATACTGTAAAATACTGTTTGAGATCTGGCTCAGGTGCCCACTCCTTCATGGAAATCTCATTGATATCCCATCAGCTGAATTCTCTATTTGCCTTTGCAACCCACAGTACTTCATTTCCTCCCATTTTGTTGGCATGAATCACTTTCTGTTTCACAGTGGAGAAAGAACTATGGGTCTGGCAGAGTTTAAACAGCATGTAGGCTCTCAGTAAGTCTTTACTGCCTGAGAAAATGAACCAGAGTACAGATCTTCTTGATAAGGCTTCATGTCCATGAGGATTATCACTTTTTTTGAAAATGAAAATAATGTATACTTCTGGTTATTTATACCTCTTATTGAAATTTTAATCATACATATATATGATTCACATATATATAAATGGCTATGTATGTATGTGTGTGTATATTTATATATAAATTCATATTTTATACATTCATATATTTATATATAGATTTATATATATTTATATATTCATACACACACACATACACAAATCCTAATCCATGCTTTAGAAATTAAGCAAGATATTTGAGAATACACACAGACACACACACACACACACACACACACACACACACACACACATCCCTTTGATTTTTAAACAAATTTTATCTATGTACTCATAGCATGTACTAAAAAAGTTGATTTTGAAGATAGAAGATTTTTTTCTCTTACATAAAGGTGAGCTGGATGTCTACTATATTCCAGGCACTTGGCTAGTCACTCTATAGTTTTTAATGACATTCTGTTTAATCTTGAGAGCATTATTTTTCTATAAAGAAAAAATGAAAATAAAGATTTCACAAAAGGTATTTCCATGATCACAAGTTTTCAGGAGGTGCAAAGTGGATCCCCTCACAGGTCTTTTTTTATCCTGTTAGTTTCAGCTTCAGGAAGAGGTTGTCTCAGTCTGGGCCATTTCTGCCTAAAGGTTTGCTTTCTTACTCTTAATGGTCAAGTTCAAAGGATTCCATCTCTCTTCTCCTCAGCCCCTGTGCATTCACACATGCACACAAATTATTTTATCCATTTGGTTACAAACTGAGATTAGGTTAGTTACTTTCCTAGTAAGCAAATGTCCTTTTCTTCATCTTTTTTATTAAGTCTATCTGATGTAAAGCATCAGGACTAAGTTAGAGTGTTAAGGATCAAAATGTTGGAACCATTAATTTTTCTAATTTATGTTGTATTAATTAGCGGGATCTATTTTACATAATTGCAGTGATTATCTTCTACTGTCAATGAACTATTTCCATCAGATATATCAGGATCATCTGTGATACTGGCTGCCTATTCTGAAAATTGATCAACTTTAGAGCTAGTCACATTTTTCTTGTATCTTTTTCCTGCATTGACTATAATATGCTTTTCCATCCATCCACTTCTTGATCTTATTCGTTCCAAAAAAGGAACAGGATCAGTCAGTTGTAGTACAAGGGAATAACAAATGTTTTACTTTGAGAATCAGGTATGTCAATTTCCTGTGGATTCATTTGACTTCCTGACACTCATGCTATAGAAAAGTTGGTAATGATCACATTCAGTAGAGTGCGGTGTAAGTTAAACATGGAAAAGTTGAGAACTGTTTGTATGCTTCTCTCTTTCACGTTCCTGTTTAATGTCAATGAAATCAAGATTCAAGTGGCAGACGTGGTCCTTTGAAATTTGCAATTTGAAAATCCTAATCCATGCTTTAGAAATTAAGCAAGATATTTGAGAATTTCATCTAAAACCATTAATTCCATAATCTCATAGGAGTGATTTACAGGGGAACATTTAAATTAAAATACATTTTAAAATAGATTATTTATGCAAAAGTATCGAATCAATTAAATATTGTAGTCACTTAAAAATTTTTCCAATGGATATTTCTAGCTAACGAGAGAGAAAGTAAAGTTGCTGGGCAATTTAGGTACCAAAAACAGGTGATGAACACCCTCACTCTACTGTCCCCATCCTGGGAAACTATCACTGAATGGATAGGTAATTTTATTTTTGCAAATTGTAGATGCTTGTATAACCAGTGTAATGTTTAATTTTATGTAGCAACTAGGCTAATACATGGTATCAAATGTTTGGTCAAATATTATTTTAGATGTTTCTGTGAAGGCATTTTTAAGATGAGATTGAGATATAAATTAGTAGGCTTGGAATAAAGCTGATTACCATCCATAATGTGGGTAAGGCTCATCCAATCCATTGCAAGCTTTAATAGGGAAAGACTGTCCTTCCCAGAAAAGAAGTAATTCAACCAGCAGACTGCCTTTGGACTCAAGCTGTGTTCTTCCCTGGGTCTTTAGCCTGCTAGCCACCTTGCAGATTTTTGACTTGCCAAACATTCACAATTGTGTGAGTCAACTCTTTAAAATAAACCAATCTAGCTCTTTTCATACACAAGCACGAACACACACATACACACACACACACACACACACAAACACACACACACACATCCTATACGTTCTGTTTCTCAGGAGAACCCTGTTTTATACATACAGATTTATATAACTGAAATAAACCAATGTAAAATGGTTGCAGTTGTAAAATTCTAGAATAATTTAGTCAGTCCTTAGGGTTTAACTAATAATATGAAAAATTGATATTGAAATTTTTAGAAATTACCAATGTTCATTATTATATTTATTTCATTAAAAAATTTCAGATTTTTTTTAATGTGGTAATATTAAGTCTATGAAAGCATAGAATTTGAAATTCTATGTATCTAACAAATACTTCAAATATATTACTAAAAATGCTTAATCATTTTCTTCAACTTATTCAGTTTGTGGCATCAAAATGTAATCAACTCCCCAAGCAAAAATTCACTTTCCAAATTTCACAAAGTATCATTCTTATCTATAAAAAAAATGGTATTGAAGTTCTCTTTCCTTTCATTATAACTGGAGAAAATATATTAAATTTTATATGCCTGATTTGGGAAATCAGTTTCTGTCTTCAGTAACTGATTGTATGTTATATCTGGGTCTTTTACAAATGAAGTGCCCTTCTATTGCTTAAAAATTGCTTTCCTGTGCAACATGATGTAGTAATGAATTAAATCCAAATGAGCCTTATATACACAATGTCATAATATGTAACTTGTCCCCTGTGGAACTTTTTTATTATCTAATACAAGGCAAGCTAATGTCTTCCTCTCATGGCTCACTTCTCAGAAGGGTATGCAGCTTTCAGTATTAGAAATAAAGAAAGAAAACTATGATTTGAGATCAAATTACCTTTTTATAAACTATCTAAATCACAGAGAGCACCTTAACATGTCCTGAAATGTGCAAATCTAATTCTCATAGAACAAGAAACAAAAGAAGCAGTTCCAATTCTATGGAGTACATTTGTATCTGTGAGAATAAAATGAAACTGATCATTTTTCTTTGAACAGAAATGTGTGCAGGTGATTTTACCTTCAAGAAAAATAAAACAAGTGTGGGTGTTTTCTCTCTATTTCTTTGGTCGGTTTCATCATATTAACTCTATTCTGTAGGGAAAAACTTGTAAGATCAGCTTGTACCAATATTGTATTTCAAGCTGCTACATAGATTTAAAAGCTCTAATTTATT
Source organism: Homo sapiens (assembly GCF_000001405.40). Classification (NCBI taxonomy): domain Eukaryota; kingdom Metazoa; phylum Chordata; class Mammalia; order Primates; family Hominidae; genus Homo; species Homo sapiens. Next base: position 175,108,674 of record NC_000003.12, read on the forward strand.
AGCCTGATAATTTTTGTAACTTGATGAAACACATCAGATATTCCCTTATTATAACTTCCTTAGGCTTATCTGAAAGGTATATTTTAATTAAACTGGATATTTCAAAATATGCCTTGCTATTTCATGTGGGCAAAGAGCAAAGATAGACAAATATTTATTCTATTCCATTGGGACAGCCAAGAAAAATTGTGTCAGGTTTTTATAAGCTGTTATTTCTTGTGGTTTTTCTGAAGGTTTTTCTCTTGGGGGTGGCATGGGCAGATTTTTTTTCTTCATCCTGTTTGTGCCATAGCTAGATCTGAGTCAATTGCTGCTGGGTATAACATGTGGTCCAGATCTAAGCCTTTCCTCCACTTTCTTATTTTAAGTAGAGAACAAATTCCTATAAGATCTGTTTTCGATTGTTTAATTTTTAAATTATATTTCAATCAAATAATTAAAATCGCATACAAACATAAGCAAATTGTCTATGTAGAACAGTGCAAGGGAGTTAGAATCAAGGTCAAAGCTATAAACTGTTATGGGGGAAAGTAGACACCTCAGCTTTCTAATTTAATGATTTATGCTGTTCTTAATCAAATTTATATTCCAATTTAAAAGTAACACCTGATAGCCTATCATCGCAAGATGCATTAAAGGTCTCTTTTAATGCAAGTGTATTTATTCATGTTAACAAATATTTATTGAGGTCCTAGTGAGTGATGGGTACTGAGCTAGGTACTACAGACAAAGCAGTGAATAAAATATGCAAGATACCTGCATTTATGGTGTTTATGTTCCCATTGGCCACACCTAGACAATAGGAACATACTTGTTTATATAAACAAAATATAATGACACAAAATCACACATTGTAGTAGGAATGAAGGAAGGAAAGAAAGAAGAGAGGGAGGGAAAGAAAGAGGGAAGGAATATAGTTTACAAAGGTATCTAGGTGATTATTTGGGATGCAGTGGTCAGTTCAACTTCAAACGAACACTTACTGTGCTCTATGAGGGTGGATCAGCCCCTCTTTGCCTCTTCAGAGATTCTAGCATTACCCAGCAACTAACTGGTTGTCAGAGCCTGCCCCACCTCTTAACTTTGCAGAATGCCATAGAACTGTTTCTTTACTAATTTATTTGGTTTTGGTCATCATATTTACAAACAATAACAAAACAAACGAACCCACTCGTAAAGAGCAGGTCAGCAGAAAGGGCAGGGGAGGAGCATATGGTGCTACGTTCTCCCCTGTTGCTGAATTTCTATTCATTTGTAACATTCCATGTGGAATTTTACTTTTCCAAACAAGCATCACTGCTCCATTCCTACCTCTCTCTTTAAAAATATTGAAAGTACAGTAATTTATTTAAAGTTCTACTTTTCTTCTCAAAATAGCCTCACTTCTAAGGATTGCCTCATCGCTTTCAGTTATTGTGTTTTGGGGCATTTTTCCCATAAATTTCACATTACATACAGAACTCTTATGGTACGAATAATAAGAGAAATGTATTTCTGATTCTTCAGTCCTATTCTAAAAGAAGCAAGTTAAGGATGATACGTTAATCCTGGATTCTTGATTTCTTCATTTCATTTTAATCAGTTGCAATCATTTAAATTAGTTGAACTTTGCTAATTATATACAATTATGATATGATGACCAGTGGTGTATGTTAACTTTTAAAAAATACAGGCCATATTAGTGAGAAAAATTCATTTACAGACATGGAAATTAAACAAAGATGTTAACATCAATTTTCCTAACATCAATTTATACTGCAATTTCAGCCCTTCGTATGTATAGGGACAGGGTTTTGGGAAGGCATTCTGCTGTAGCCTTTTCAGTTGCCCTTTTGACAACTTATGGCCAAAGAGGGAAGAAGTTGGGCCAGAGGATTTGATAACACTCAGTGTGTTCTCAGAATTGACAGAGTGGTACTTCTGTGGTAATCATGAATGCAGAAAAGATAATGATTGCTGATAGTAATTTTCATTTCAGGAATAAAATTATTTTTCTGTTTGGGAATCAGAGCAAATTGAATAACAAAGAGTACTGATATTACTACAATAACCTATAAGCAGAAAGATAAATTTGGGGATTGCGGAAAATGTCACTTAGAAAATAATTTGCTGATTGGTTCAAGAAAAAATATGTGAAAATAACACAGGATGACCAAAAACGTTTAGTAAATCTGGGTAACAATTTGGGGTCAAAGAAACAAGATGAATGACAAGAGAAAGAAAATGAATTAAAGTTGTTTTTATTTTTTCTGCCTGATGGTTCCAGAGGGTTCCTGGAATAAGTGCACCTGGATTAGAAAGTGATCTAGGATCACAACATTACTCTAGTGTCTAGTTTAGAAAATTCTTAGAAGAAGGGAAGAAAAAAGGCTACCCTGTAAGCTAATGGGAGAAAGAGTCAACAACAGTGCAGTTGAGAAATGACTATTCAGCTATTCAAATCTGAGAGGTCACCTCCCATATCCTGTGTGGAGCTATGTCCAGGTGCGGGGAAGAAGATGATTCTTTGCTCTACGGAATATTTATCCAACCTAAGTCTGGGTCTGGAAAATGAAGTAATAATGTGGATTGGAATCCAAAAAGAGCTACAACACTTAGCAGAAAATCAAACACACTTCTAGATCTCCCTTGACCTTGGAAAGTTGCCCAGGACTTTCCAGAATCTGTACTTAAGCTGTACACTCAGTGTTTAATAGAGGTTACACAGAATGTTTTTGGGTATTAATATAACTCTGTCATAGGAGTATTTATGTTTAGTGTTTCTGAAATTCTCCAGAGTTCTGGGAAATAGGAATATGCACCTAGAACTATTGCTGAAATACCAACTCAGGAGCTACAATGGTAACCTAGATATCAACTTACGATCTTTTTCAGATAGCTACTGACATAATTTTTAGGAAAATAAAAGAAACAAAATTTGAAAAATGGTTTTCATTTGCTCCTGAGTTAGTTGTACCCTAAAGCAAAGGCTCAGACTTCAGCGGTGGTCTACACATGCCCTTAGCACAGCTCACTTCCTAGGATGTTTAGACTTAGGTTTCACTTGATCCAATGCTGCTGCCTTCTCTAGTCAGACAGTCAGGAAAGGGAAAATTAGGGTCATTCCACATATATTCATATTCCCTGTAGTGCCAGTACTATATTTTGGTACGGGCATTTCATGTTATTGTGAAGACTTGAAATCGGGGGAATTTATATCACAGCAACACAACCAATTTGGAAACAGACTTGAAACTGGTCTGCCTGGGATCAAATCCCAACTCCATTACATCCAGCTAATGTAGTGGATGATCTTGAACAACATTCTTAAATTTACAATGACACAGTTTCCTCATTTTTAATATATAGCTAATAATGGTCCCATCTTTAAATAAATGCATAAATACATAAATAAGGTTTAGATGAGAACCTGACACATAGTAAACAATATTACCTGCTATTTATGATTACATTATTTTTGTTAATAAAAGGTCTTCAGCCATTCTCCATTGGTGATTCCTCATTGACCACCATCCTTAGTAGATGTGCTTCTTGGAGTGTTGCCCAGCCCATGTCTCTTCTTGGTGTCTCCCGCCTCCTCTCAACTTTACATTCTTTTCCCCAAATTCTTGTTAATATATTTTTCCTGTCTCTTCCAAGTCATACTATTAGGGTCTCATGCTCCATATTCCAAGTATTTTCCTGAGTAAAGTTCTCTCTCTAAAAATTTTGATGACAACTAAGATAATACTTTTATATTTGTAAAGTAAATTTTTATTCTGCTTTATAAGTAAGTCCAAATACTTTAGGTCCCAACACATATTTAGGGGTAATTCAGCCAGCCTACTGAGTTATACTCCTCTGTCATGACATTAGCTAGATAGTTCCTACCTGGCATTAGGTAGATAAGAAGCAGAAGTCCATTCTTCTTGATTCATACTATAAAGACACATAAACATCCAGATGTTACATAGAGATGGCAATTTCCAGTTACAGAATTATTAATAATTTAGTTGAATTAAAACATATTGAATGCCTACTCTGTACATGGCATTCTATTACATGTAAAATTTAGTAAATACAAAGATGGATAGATCCTTTAGGAACATACGGTCATATGAGAGTTACATAAATGTCTAAATAACTGTAATATAGGCATAATGACATCAGCGCAAAGATTGTAGGAGAGAAGCATATAAATTCTGATAGGGTAGAGTCTGTTACACTTTCCAGAAAAGATGGGCACTGAAGGCTATGAATGCTTTAGATACATTAATATATAGATATGAGACATGACTTCAGGAAAGGTTGAACAAAGACATGGAGGTAAGAAAGCACAGAAAAGTAAATTAGGGTTGTTGTGAGTGTGCCTTTTTTGACAAAAGATTAGTTTGTAAAATATCAGCTTTCAGAAGTAGATTAGGATAATTTCATGGAAAGTTTTGGAGAAAAGGTGATGGTTAGAATTTGGTTCTGAATACCATGAGAAATCAGCAAAAGATTCTGAGTAGGAAAATTATAAGATCAGACAGGGTAACTCTCTAAATGATAGATTAGAGAATAAAAACAAGAAGGACGTTGCAGAGCTGGTTACAGGTGTCCCTTTCGTAGTAGCCACTTCATAAATATTCATCAAATGTATGGTCAGTGAGGTATGTGCTGGTAGAGCATCTGTGCAGAGGTGCAGACAGAAAGACAGATGCCAAAATGAGAGGCACAGTACACAAAACTGCTTTTAGATTTTAATCAAAATCTCCTGCCCAATTTTGATTAAAACTAAAATTCTTAGGTTTTAGAATAACAGCATCTGTGTCAGTTTTTCTTGCTAAGATTCTATCAATGTCTTTGAAAGGTCCCATATTTTACCGAGCTACCCAGCTAACAAGTTAGCTTGCCATAGTTTCTTGGATAGTTGCAGGAGACATGAGACCCCTGGGTCAAAGATGACAGAGAGTTTATCACAGAAGAGCAAGCAGCGTAAGAATCATGTTTGCAATACTGTTTTGATCCCCATTTCCAACAAGTGATGAAAAGAGGCTAGTTGGACCCTGAACATGCAGTGGTTTTATAACAGGAGAGGAAACTTGTGCTTAAGGATCCCCAATTTTTTTTATGCTGGACAATAAGCATGCCTGCCTATTGCCCTTGAGGGAGATACTATATTCATCTTTTCAAAATCGTAAACAAACCCAAAGTTTTCTCTGGAGAAAACGCTGTCTCTGTTTTTCAAGGCTGTTTGTTACATACACAGTCTTGGAAAGATAGTCTTGAAGAAAGGTAGTTTGTGCCTCTGCTCACAGGATGTGCAAAAAAGTGAAAGAGTCTCACAAAGAATCAAGTGTTACTTTGTCTCAAGTTTGTCAGGTCTTAGTAATTTCCTTAAATGTATTTAATATCGGCTTCATGCAAGTACCATTTGTTAGGAAGTAGGAGTGGAGGTATCAGAGGAATATAGTACAGTCTGGTTTCAAAGAGCTGAAAGCCTTAGTGAAGGATAGAGAGGAAAATATACCACCATAGAGGAAGCTGACAGTCATAATTGTACTAATGCAGGTATAGACAAAATGCCCTCTGGAGAAAGAGAAGAATTCTCATTGGAGGACTATTAAATCACGTGGATGTGGCAGTATTGATTGTTAACACTTGGGTTTAGCATTACAGCAAAAATAACTCTAATAAATCAAACCCAACCTGAGAAAAAACCTGAGACCATCTGGCAGGGATAGAGAATACTAATAGATGGAATTAAGATTTCTGCTATAAGGTACCCACTTTAGGCTGTGGGGAATGTGTATTATTACGCTAAAGTAACCCTATTATATCTTTTATTGTCCTAAATACATAATTATTTTCTAAATGTATGCTAAACATATAAGTGTTTTACTTTTCTTAGAGTTACTTAGAGCACTGCAAAACTAGCTATTCCTTATGATACTCTGACGAGGCATTACTAATCACCAAGTGGCAATTAAAAATATTGAGGCAGACTATTAAAACTAAATGGATATTCTAGGATATGCTCTAGAACCTAAACCTTTTAGCCATGGTTCAAATGTCACAGTAATACATTGGGACTTAGAAAATCTTAGAGTGAAAATTATGCCTGCAATATGAAGATTGAGACATTATTTATTACATAGTGCTTGTTTGTGGAATGGGAGGCTTAGACTCATTACAGTATAAAAGCAAGGAGAAAAGTTTCTAAGATGACGTATATTGGCTATAGTAATTCACTTTGGCCAAAGCAAATCACAAAAGAAAACTTTATAGTTTTGTTTTCTCTTTACGAATTACATTACTGGTTTAACTAATCTGGGTCCTTTCCTAGATATGTATGGTAAACTAAAATAAATATCTGAAACTGAAGCACTTATAAACTTGTTTTTAAATGAACGATAAAGATGTTAAAATGTCACAGACTAAATGATAAAATATGCCTATCAACCTACTTAACCTGTCATATTTTTTACATATTAGACTTATATTTTCAGAAATAAATACATATTTCTTCATAGTTCTTAAAATTACCTCTGACTCCTAGATATATAATTTTTGCTTCTGAGAGTAGAGCTTGCCTTGTCTGTCATAGGCCCAGCAAACAGTCAAACATAACTTACTTCTTTATTGTGAGCATTGATTTGTTATGCTTGTGATTTTTTTTTCAATCAAACTCCATTATTGATGTCACAAAGGTTAGTTACAGTTTCTTGACATGTTGCCATCAAAATCTCTCTGAGGCACATGACAATTAGCATATATATAAACTTAATTTCTTTTAATAAAAGACACTAATAAAATACTTTCACAAGTCACATGTAAAACTCTGAGTATTTGCAAATAGCAGATAACGTGTATCCTAATAATACTTTCTTACCCAATTTACAAGTATAATGTTTGTGTAAAAGAGAATGCTATTAAGCAGCAAATGTAAATTTCTTCTATATTTTGATGGGTTAAGAAGCCACTTAGAAAGTATTTGCTAGGCATATGGGTTGTGAAACTCTCAAGGCCATTAGATGAGGAGGAAGTAATGAATGGTATTTCTGCTTGGATAGGATATTTCCTTATTTTGCTTCTCTCAAGTCAGATTTAAAAATTTCATCAGATGAGATCGAGCGCATTCAGGGGAAAAAGGAGAATTTTAGACCAATATCCCTGATGAACATCGATGCAAAAATCCTCAATAAAATGCTGGCAAACCGAATCCAGCAGCACATCAAAAAGCTTATCCACCACAATCAAGTTGGCTTCATCCCTGGGATGCAAGGCTGGTTCAACATATGCAAATCAATAAATGTAATCCATCTTGTAAACTGAACCAAAGACAAAAACCACATGTTTATCTCACTAGATGCAGAAAAGGCCTTCGACAAAATTCAACAGCCTTCATGCAAAAAACTCAATAAACTAGGTATTGATGGGACGTGTCTCAAACTAATAAGAGCTAGTTATGACAAACCCACAGCCAATATCATACTGAATGGGCAAAAACTGGAAGCATTCCCTTTGAAAACTGGCACAAGACAGGGATGCCCTCTCTCACCACTCCTATTCAACATAGTGTTGGAAGTTCTGGCCAGGGCAATGAGGCAAGAGAAAGAAATAAAGGATATTCAATTAGGAAAAGAGGAAGTCAAATTATCCCTGTTTGCAGATGACATGATTATATATTTAGAAAACCCCATCATCTTAGCCCAAAATTTCCTTATGCTGATAAGCAAATTCAGCAAAGTCTCAGGATACAAAATCAATGTGCAAAAAACACAAGCATTCCTATACACCAATAACAGACAAACAGAGAGCCAAATCATGAGTGAACTCCCATTCACAATTGCTTCAAAGAGAATAAAATACCTAGGAATCCAACTTACAAGGGATGTGAAGGACCTCTTCAAGGAGCACTACAAACCACTGCTCAACAAAATAAAAGAGGACACAAACAAATGGAAAAACATTCCATGCTCATGGATAGGAGGAATCAATATTGTGAAAATGGCCATACTGCCCAATGTAATTTATGGATTCAATGCCATCCCCATCAAGCTACCAATGACTTTCTTCACAGAATTGGAAAAACAAAACCACAACAACAACAAAAAAACCAAAAACTTTAAAGTCCATATGGAACCAAAAAAGAGCCTGCGTTGCCAAGACAACCCTAAGCCAAAAGAACAAAGCTGGAGGCATCACACTACCTGACTTCAAACTATACTACAAGGCCACAATAACTAAAACAGCATGGTCCTGGTACCAAAACAGAGATATTGAAGAATGGATCAGAATAAGGCCCTTGGAAATAACACCACACATCTACAACCATCTGATATTTGACAAACCTGACAAAAACAAGAAATGGGGAAAGGATTCCCTATTTAATAAATGGTGCTGGGAAAATTGGCTAGCCATACGTAGAAAGCTGAAACTGGATCCCTTCCTTACACCTTGTACAAAAATTAATTCAAGATGAACTAAAGACTTAAATATTAGACCTAAAACCATAAAAACCCTAGAATAAAACCTAGGCAACACCATTCAGGACATAGGCATGGGCAAGGACTTCATGTCTAAAAAACCAAAAGCAATGGCAACAAAAGCCAAAATTGACAAATGGGATCTAATTAAACTAAAGAGCTTCTGCACAGCAAAAGAAACCACCATCAGAGTGAACAGGCAATCTAAAGAATGGGAGAAAATTTTTACAATCTACCCATCTGACAAAGGACTAATATCCAGAATCTAGAAAGAATTTAAACAAATTTACCAGAAAAAATCAAACAACCTCATCAAAAAGTGGGCAAAGGATATGAACAGACACTTCTCAAAAGAAGACATTTATGCAGCCAACAGACACATGAAAAAATGCTCATCATCATTACTGGCCATCAGAGAAATGCAAATCAAAACCACAATGAGGTACCATCTCACACCAGTTAGAATGGCGATCATTAAAAAGTCAGGAAACAACAGGTGCTGGAGAGGATGTGGAGAAATAGGAACACTTTTACACTGTTGGTGGGACTGTAAACTAGTTCAACCATTGTGGAAGACAGTGCGGCAATTCCTCAAGGATCTAGAACTAGAAATACCATTTGACCCAGCAATTCCATTACTGGATATATACTCAAAGGATTATAAATCATGCTGCTATAAGACATGTGCACACGTATGTTTATGGTGGCACTATTCACAATAGCAAAGACTTGGAACCAACCCAAATGTCCATCAATGGTAGACTGGATTAAGAAAATGTGGCATGTACACACCATGGAATACTATGCAGCCATAAAAAATGATGAGTTCATGTCCTTTGTAGGGACATGGATGAAGCTAGAAACCATCATTCTGAGCAAACTATTGCAAGGACAGAAAATCAAACACCACATGTTGTCACTCACAGGTGGGAACTGAACAATGAGAACACTTGGAAACAGGATGGGGAACATCACACACTGGGGCCTGTCGTAGGGTGGGGGGGAGGCCAGTCATTAGGAGATATACCTAATGTAAATGACGAGTTAATGGGTGCAGCACACCAACATGGCACATGTATACATATGTAACAAACCTGCACGTTGTGCACATGTACCCTAGAACTTAAAGTATAATAATAATAATACGAATTTCATCATTCTGAATAGCTCAAAATGTTCCTCTAAGTCTCGATAGTAGCAATAGATCACAGAACTAAACTGAGTTGCCTGATTGTTGTGTATCAATAATGAGTATGCTAGTGGGGCTTTGGATCATTAAAAAAATAATTAAATAAAGCATAAAAATAAATAAAATAAAACTGGCCTTGGGAAAAACTATAAATTATCACTTTGTAATCACCAGATGATGTGCTTTAATGAGAACAGCAGGCAGGAGGCGGTAAACAAACCATTAAATTGTGAAAAGACCAGTCAGCACATGGTATAGTGGTGCCACACACAAGAGAACAATAACTTATTTGGTTGTCTCTTTTATTCAATACTCTATAATGTCTAAATCAAAGTTTCTAATGCATTTTTAAAAATGCAAGTTATAAAAATCTGCAATAGAGTTCTGGATCAGTAAGCACTGTCAGAATAGATTATAGTTCTGCACAATCTCTGCTGTAACAATATCATGATGAATGGAGAATGACACCAGCTGCCCATTTATCTCCTAAGCTTACTGCTTTGATGATATTGATTATTTCTGGGGCTTCTTAGACTCAAAATTATAGCTGTGGTACTCAGATATCTGTTTTGCAAAGTATGTTGTTAATATGGTCCATTTTTTCCCCTTTGGCTAAGATATGCTGGTCATCAGGTAGCAAAAAATTAAATTGTTGCCTATTATAACATGTGAGGATTTTCACAATTAAAATATATTAACTTTGTTTCATTTACAGATAAATCCAAATTCTTAAATTGCATTTATACGTTTTTTTTTTTCCCAGTGGTCATTATTGACCATATGCTTACAGTGTGGTAAATATTGAGGCACAAGAAATTTTAAAATACCTAAGTTAGATTTACACATTTCAAAAACCTCTGAAACTGTTAGGAAGCAGGGATGAGAAATAATAAATAATAATATTCAGTGAAATGATAAAGTTTGAATAAAGTGCCATATAACCAAACAGTATAAAAACATCTAACTAGAAACTAATAAAAAAGCTTTAATGAACAGGGGTGAATTTACAGAAGGATAATAAAAATTTGAATTAGTTTTGAAGGATTATTCCAGCCAGAGGCAGGAACAAATAATATTCCAGGTATATGGTCTAAAGGTACAGAGTTATTTGTAGTATTTGGAAATGGCCTTTAGTTCTACATGGCAGGACTATAGGATGTAGAGGCAAGGTTATTTGAGAAAGACAAAGGAGGTGGGAAGAGAGGCAGAGACAGAGAGGGAGAGAGAGAGTGAGAAGAGGAGGTAAGGAAAGGAGAAGAGGAAGAGAAAGAAATATAATTATAAGTCGAAGTCAGATTATGAAAAGCCTTATATGACATCTAAAGATGTTTTTAGTTTGTTTAACTTGAAGGTTGAGGAGTCACTTAGTAAGGTGTGTATATATAGATATAGATATAGATATATAATGTAAAATAAGAATAGATATATACTTATATATCTATATATAAAACTATATATAGATATATATATAAAAGTATATATATACTTATGTATCTATATATAAAAGTATATATATAAGATGTATATGACTTATATAGCTTATGTAAGTGTGTATGTGTATGTGTATATATATACATATATATATATATAAAGAATAGGAAACAGCATGGAGGATGAATTATATGAGGAAAAAGTTAAACAAGGGTGAGAGGGGAAAGGCCGGTGTTGTAATGATTCTAATTATTGTTTGCACTGCTATTGAAGTTTGAATCATGCAAAACCCATGGAAATGGAAGCAAGGGAATGGATTTTGATGGTATTTAGATGTACCGTCAACAGTATTTGCTGCTTTAGCAGTGGATGCAGAAGTAAGAAGCCCACTTTTTCCTGACTGTACTTTCCTAAGACTGAGAAAAAGATGATTTTAAGATCAGATAATACTTGTGTTTCATCTTTTCCATGTAGACATTTTACAACCATGCTCTGGGTTCTTCCTTTCAGAAAAGCCCAGTGCTATGGAGTATAATGTAATTAAAACCCCTGTTTAATGTGCTATGTTTTTCTGGCATTAAAAACATAGAAATCTATTAAAACAAATCCTCTAAAAGGTATGGATTTCTAAATAGTGTTTGTAGAGGCATCTGGTCTTCTGTATTTAGCAGTTTACTCCTTTGGGACCTGTTATTAAAGCCAAGAACTTAATCTCATAAAAAAGGACTGTGTGTTGTTCCACTAAACTGGTGTTCATGCAGTTCTAACTGAAATGACAAGAGTGAAGGCCATTAAAAATAATGCTTGAAATCGATCAGAGATAATGAAATTGCATTGGTCCAAGTATTAATGAATTTTAATAATTGCATGTTACAATGGTCTTGCAATAAAAAGTCTGTTATCTTCAATTCAGCTCACTTTTGCTATGTCTAGATGATTGTAACACAACTGGTTGAAAAGTGTAGCTATTTTCAACACCTGTGCTGTATTGTTTTATTATTGACCCTTTTTGTTCTTTGAAAACCCCAAACAAAACTTCAGTTGTCTAATTGGTTGATAAAACTGTTCAAACCAATTCTTGTTTTGTTGTTATATAGGTATAATCTTAAAAAGTTAGTTTTCAAATAGAACAAGACTAATTTGGGCTAATAAGAAATCAATCATTCAACAAATGATGTCTTGATTCACACGTCTTTCATAAAGCTATATATTGATTCATTGAAAGAATTATTGATAGAGTCATGGACACCTCTTTTTGTTTCTCTGATGAGTCCCCCTTTTTGCATCTACCTTTTAAGTGGTATCCTACATTCTTGTCAAATATAATTAAAAATTAACATCTTCTAGTTTAGGTTAATATTTTCTCTGATCCTGACTGAAGACAAGTAATAAGGTTGAATCTGTTTCTATAACAAGGAATAGAAATTTACTTTATGCTTGTTTGAGGGTCTGGCCAAACGGCCATACAGATCTATAAGTGTGTTGGTGATGGCTGGGTCATCACTGATTACATACTTGCCACCTGACTTGTCTTAGGTTCTTTGTCTTGGGCTTTAACAAACAATATATGCAACTGATTAAACATTCAAGCTTACTTTACTGTTGTCCTTGGCTACCTCTTGGCCTGCAAAGTGGAGAACTAGATGTTTCACAACCAGAGCATGGGGCAAACTAATGGATAGGGTGAAGAGCAGAAACTCATTTTGGCGCCCTCCTCTGGACAGGTAAGATACAACACTTTCATTACTGGCTGTGGTTGCAGCTGTTACCTGAGGGTAAGAGAGCTGAGGAACACCCCCTTTTATGAAGCTAACTGGAAATAATTGTTGCTCTTACGGGAAAAGTCCAGGAAATTCCAACATCCAGTTAAAATTGAAACCTACATATTCATCCACATCACACTTTTGTTTACAGATTTGGGCCAACAGGCTTCCACTATTTTAGTTAGTACCCTGGGCATCCTCCCTATGCAGGTCCTCATTCCACAGAGCACAGAGCCAAGATACCCCCAGATTCAAGATGGGTTTCTCCATATGTTCCTCTGGCCACAGTTTGGTTGACTTTTTGATGTAACTAAAATGCATTTTTTTCCTTTTCTTTCTCAGAATAGAGGCCAGTATTTAGGGGAGATTTTATATAAAAGACAGGACAAGCTTCTACCACTTTTTACTGGTTTCATTCTTGTATCTGTGATCTCTGCATTTCTTTTTCTTTCCCGTCCTGTCTTTACTGCCACAATGGCGACACATTGTAATAGTTGAAAGGAAATGATGAAAATAATTATGCTGTCCTGAATTGGTAGTTGATTAAAGTCAGCTCTATATTGTTAGGGGAGCTAGACGGTGAATAGGTGGAACATACCTTGTGAATCCCACTTTTACAAAGGATTTTCTTTTTCTGGTTATAAATAAGCCCCTGCCTATGCTGATATAAACTTTTGTTCATGATTGCCTCAGGAAGGAAATAGAGGGCCATTCTGCATACTGGTTGATTGCCACTGGGCCACTGCAATCAACAGTGATAAGGATATGTGTTGGCTTTATTTATGCACTGGAAAAGTTTTATTGTATGAATATCCAGTGCAATCCCCCAATTTCACGTGACTGTGAACCAAGCATTGGTTTTGGCCTTGAACTTGTTTTTCTTTTAAATGCTCCTGAAAGGTGCATTGAGATGTAAAATATTAAGTATATTCATGTTTATGAATAGGTGTAATGAGACATTAAATATTGGAAGCCAAACAAAGTTGACTAAGGGACTTCAAGAAGATAACTTATTGGCATATCATTAGGCAAGAAAGGGAGCTATGAGCAGCACTACCTGAGAATTCTTAGAATTTATCATCTAGTATTAAATTAGGTTATAAATTGGGGGTTTCCTGTTTAATGGGTCTTGCTTATATCTGGGGTTTGCTTGAAGCAGCTTTCTCTTTATTATCTCCTCCCATTCTCTCTTCCCCTCTGGCCTCACTGCACTCACATTTGCATTTTCCAGTTAGAGGAACAATTTATATGAACATTGTCTCAATCTGTTTTGTGCAGCCATAACAGAATGCCACAGGCTGAGTGATTTATAAACAATAGAAATTTATTTATCATGGTTCTCAAGGCTGAGAAGTCCAAGATCAAGGAGGTGGCATCTTGTAAGGACCTTCTTGCTTCATTATTTTATATCAGAAGGTGGACAGGCAAGAGAATGTCAGCAAGAGAAAGGCAAAAAGGGAGCCAAACTCATCTTTTTATAAGGAACCCATTCCTATGATAATGAACCCATTTTCATGATAATGACATTAATCCATTTATGAGGGCAAAGCCCTGTGGCCTAATCACCTCTTAAAATTCCTACCTATTAATACAGTTACAATGGCAATTAAAGTTCAACATGAGTTTTGGAGGGGACATTCAAGCCATAGCAGACATCTTTTAAAAATTACCTTTAAAATTTTTAAAATAGGAAGGACAAAATCACTTGGAAAAGTCCTTAAACCAAGAGAAGACATTAGAATATGGAGATTTTTGTTGATTATAAAGTGCTCAGACTTTTGAACTAAGCAATGACTAATGCAGTTCAGGACATGTACGGATGGTGGTACTAATAGATGGTAGGGCAATGGTCCCAAGTCATGATTTCTGTCATGAAACCTTTTTAACTTCCGAGTACTTGGCATAGTGCCTATCCACACTAGTGCTTGGGTGCTATGCCCTAATAAAAATTTGACATTGTTCTTGATATACTCATTGTCACATATTAATTACAGAAAACTATCCAAATTCTTAATTATGGCTTCAGGTCATGACCTGGCTCCTCTATTTCGGACTTTCTCTTTCTACTGTGCCTCCAGCTGGGTTACCTGCAGTTGTCTAGATGCACCCTACCGTTTACTTTCCATGTGTTCTTAGCTTAAACTGCTGCCTCTGCCTTACATCCCCTCTTCTGTATCTCTAGTGAATACATATTAATCTTTCAAGAGTCAACTTACGTATTTCCTCCACTGTGAAACATTATCAAAGCCCTTACCAATCTTCTATAAAACACAATTGACCATGTTAAATTTTGTGCTCTGACAGTATATTAGCATTAAGCACTTAAGCATTCTTGATTATCAGTTTTGTTTTCTTCAACCATATCATGTTTCTTAAGAACAAAGCTATATGTTATTCAATTTTTGTGTTTTTTCTTTTTGTCTAAAAATGTAATATTTGTACTTGCAAAGGGATAGTTTTTTTCCTCTTAAGGAAAGAGAAAAGAACATCAGGGTAGCCATCTAAGATACTTTCCAAATCAGATTGCAGACCTCTGTGTTGTTTTTGCCCATCTCTTGTGTTTGTGTCTATGTGGTTAAGTGGATTATCTAACTTGGTTCCACTTCATTTAAATATTTGACTTCTTCTGTTTGTAGGGGTCTCTGCCGCTTTTCGTGAGAATACTGAAGCTATTTGGGCATGATCAAATTCTACAATCTAACATATAATTAGGCGAAGTAATAATAGCAGTTTTAAGTTTCAAGTAACGGAAAATTCAGTTAACATTGGCTTAGACAAATAAAACAAGATGTTTGGAGTTAGGTGGTCACTGTTGTTGGTTCAGTTGATCATTGATGATGTCACAAACCCATGCACATTGTGACATTGCCAGTTTCAACATCTTGGTTTTCATCCTTACACTTTTTACCTCAGGGTCATTAGAAAGCCACCACAGATCTAGGCATCTAAGCAGGAATAGGAGAGGAAAGGCAACTGTAGCCACATTAATCACTTTTATCAGGAAGATAAATGCTTTTCCCGAATCTTTCAACAGGCTTTCATTTTACATTGGGCATATTTTTGTCATATAGCCTTCCCTAGCTGCAAGGGAGGCTTTTCAAACTTCTTTATGGAATTCAGCAAGAAAGTAAAGAGGTAAGAAAGAGTGATGTGTTACACAAGAATGTGTGCCACACATTAGTAGGGGATTAAGAAAAGTGCTTAAATTATTATCATACATGATAGAATAAGAATATATCATATGACACATTCTAACACAGCAATATGGGTGTTTCAAGAAAGAAAGATAGCTATTTGGTGAGAGTATTGTGTCCCAAAGAAACTTTATGAGATAATGTCCTCTCATATGGAACTTAAAGGTTAATAGAATTTCAATAGGCAGAAATGGGGATAGACAATATATTAGAGTAGAGACATGAGCACTAAAGTTTTGTTTTTAGGGAAGATCAATCTAGTGAGCAGTTTTCAAACATGGGTGAAATGAGTCAGAAAAATAATAGGGAGAAGTAGATCGTATAGAGTAACACTTTCTAATGGAACACTCTATGGTGATGGAAGTGTTCTAGATCTGCATTGTTCAGTATAGCAGCCACTAGCCACATGTGGCTACTGAGCACTTGAGAAATATGGCTGTTGTGAAGTAAAAAATGTATTTTAAATTTTACTTATTTTCAATTTAATTGAAATTAAATGGATGGTTTAATTTCAATTAAACTACCTGGTAGCTGGTGGTTAACATACTGGATAGTACAGGGTGAAACATTGTGGGCCATTGTAAGTCGAGTTTGTTTTTTTCTCTGAAAAGGTTCCAGAAGCTACTGGAGAATGTTAAGCAAAGGAGTGACATGATCCAAATTAGGTTTTTACAAGATCACTCTACTACTTTGCTGAAAATAGCGCTAAGTGGGAGAGAACAGGGAGCCCTATTGCACTAATCCAGATGGTAGATGATGGTGGCTTGTACCAGGATGGTATAAATAGGGGTGGTGCAAAGATATTGGATCCTTTATGTGTTTTGAAGGTCAAATGAACGGGATCCTTTGATTGATTACATATGGAATGTGAGAGAAAATAATTGATATAAGAATACTTTTACATTTTTTGGCCTAAGTGGCTAAAAGAACATACAGTTTATTAAATGAGATGACAAAGATTTAAGGAGGCACCTATTTTGTACAAGAATAGAAGCTGGTATCTGGAACCGAACAGGTTCGAGAAGCCTACTAGACATCCAAGAACATATGTTAAGTGCATAGTTCAGCAGAGTCTATTTTGGAGATAAAAGTTTTAGAATTGTCAGCATATTAGTGTCGTTTAAAGTTGTGAGACTAGTGGAGATTACCAAAAGAGTAAGTGTAAAGAGAAGAGAGATGAGACATAAGGACTGACTTAGACTTGAGGCATTCCAACATTTTAATGAGGCAGAACCAGCATAGGAGACTTGAAATTGAAAGGCAATACTCCTGAATTTACAGGAAATCCAAAACAGCCAAAATTTGGAATTCTAAGAGTATGTAGTGTTCAACTTTGTCAAAATGCCCTTGCTATACATAAAACAATGAGATCTGGCAATTGACTAATGGATTTAGCAAAGTGAGTGTATGTGTATGGGAGAAGGAGTAATTGGTGATTGCAACAAGAATAGTTTCTGGGGGGTAGGAAGGGCAAAAGCCTCATTGGAGTGGATTCAGGTGAGACCAGAAAAGAGGAATTGGAGATAGGAAGAACAGATAAAAGAGGCGATTGACTTAGGAAAAAAAGCATTAGCTCTAATAAATTCTGATTGTGCAGACTATGGGCTTTAATTTGATAGAGGTATAAGGGAAAAGGTACATTTTAAAGCAGACATAATTTCTTTTATTGGTTCTGGGATCAGCTGAGCTGTCTCACTCACTGCACACAGTATTGGCAATTTCACTGATTTAGAGCTATCTTGGTAACTTTATCAGCCTATCAAACTGGCATTTCAAAAGTAACTGAACAATTCCATTTTTAAAATTCAATCTTAGTTCCAAGATATGTTAAAGGAAAATATATATATTTCAAATGAACACATGTAACTTATTTTCTGAGAACAGGTGTTAGAATTATATATGATAATGGAGAGCTTTATTGTCACCAAAACAAAACAAAACGAAACAAAACTCAAAACTATTTTTCCACTGTTATGCTGAGCAATTCATCAAAGAGAATGTATTTAATACACAAATTAACGATTAATGAAGTTTCCTGAGGTTGACAGGTAAACACATAAATATTTGCAACAGAAATCTCAAAGATAGTCCAGATTTATCAAAACCAAAAGGGATTAAGTATTTTTCCCAAGGGCATTCAACTTGTTCAAGCTACCTTTTTTTTTTTTTTTTTAAGAATGTTTACTAACATTCTAAAAATTGAATGTGAGTTGTTGGTCTTATTAAAGTGTCATGGTAAATGTTATGAGTATCGACTGTAGAATATGTTAATATTCAGTTAATATGGGTCTGAGGGGTAAAGAAACAGGATACTTAGGTGAATCTGCTGAAATCGCCCTGAGGAACCAGGGCCATTGCTTTGAGCTTGGCCTCTCTTGAAGTAAATCTCAAGAAATGTTAGTCTGTTTGCCACTGCTCTGGGACACCGTTCACAGGAGTGCTCATGTAATAAACAGATCCCCAGACATCATGACATGTCATTCAGAAAAAGGTAAATACAATAAATATTTATCATTTCACTTCATTATCTCCCGCTACCCCCCAAAGTGAAGCATTTTAGTTTAGGTCATAGATTATATCCCAGCCTGTGGTACCTTGGATGATTAGAATTGCTTTGGGAATCTGTTCTTCTCCTATAAGGTATCCCTGCGGTAATTTCCAAAGATTCATGAAGTTTACATAGCAAGTCTATGAATAGCAGAAATATTTACTTTCAGGACTGACATGGGACACCTTTGGGCATCATAAACTATGTTTACCTAGTTCATAGGAGGGCTCCTGCAGAAATGCCAAGGGCAGACTTTTCCAATTATGATGTTGACCATGATATTAATAGAATCTGAAGAGGAAGAAATGTCCCCTGCTTTTCTTTCAGTTAAACTATCATCTTAATTACACATTTTGTGACCCCTTATCTGGAAATATTACTATTAAGTACTCTTTACATTATTATATTTATGCTGACTATACTTAATAATTTCAGTTAACACTATTTACTGTTCATACTGTTTTCAATATAAAATAAATATTATTAATAGCTGGGCATGGGGGTGAGTGCCTATATTCCCAACTACTCAGGGTACTGAGGCAAGAGCATGGCTTGAGCTCAGGAGTTTGAGACCAGCCTGGGCAACATAGCAAGACCCTGTCTCTACATAAATAAATGAATAAATATTATGAAAGACACGTGATATAAAAATGATGGAAGTAAAAACACAAAATATTAATAATAGATGTGATATAGTGTAGTTATAGTTCATTGATTTCAATTATGTATACTTTTATGAGTTTTCCTTTACTGCTCAGTATATTTGCATTTATAATTATACAAAACACATGAATAGAAATATATTTTGTATGAAGTGTACACATCTATGAATGTTATCATCTCTTGGTTAAGTAATATAGAAGGTTGTCAAGATTTCTCTCCTGGAAGAATTACAGTGTTATTGGAAGGCAAAATATAAATACAGGAGCATCTTGGATAATAGTTTAGAAAATTAATGCTATTAACTATATTTTATTTAAAGCATTTTTAATTGTGAAGAAAGTGCTTGTGATTAAAATTAATTTCAATCTTTCTTTAGAAAGAAAAATGTAAGGTAAAGGTAAAGGTTTTTGAATTCTTACATATTTGAAGATCATGGTTGTCTAATTTTTCAACATTTGTAATAAATGATTTAATTTTCAATAATTAAGGATTAGCTACTTCAAAGAACAAAGGACCATTTGATTAGTATCATTTCTTCAATTTACCTTTTTTTTCTCTTTTGTGTTTTTAGTAGGCAATCCTATGGCCTGCTGAGATTTCATTTATTTGATTTTGTTCTGTATTCTCATCATTGCAGAGAAGATTGGAAAAATGTCCTGCTGTATTGTTTCAGTTCATTTGAAAATTGTGCAGTAGGTATAAGGGAATACAAGGAGAAATGTATTTTCAATATCAAGATTTAGATATGAGTGAATTTAACAAAGGGAAGTGTTATAAAGCTCCAGTGCATTCTTTTCATTTCAGATTCTTTGTGATTTATATAGATTCATAGGATCAGAGGATGTTAGAACTAGAAGAGACTGTAAATGCCATCAAATCCAATATTTTTACTTTTATTTTTAAATTTATTAAATTTTATTTTTATTTAAAATATTTAACTCACAAAAAATGTATATATTCAAGATGTACCACATGATGATTTGAGCTATGTATAGATTGTGTACTAGTTACCAATTTTTTTTTGTTTGTTTGTTTGTTTGTTTTTGAGAGAGAGTCCCATTCTGTCACCCAGGCTGGAATGCAGTGGCAGAATGTTGTCTCATTGCAACCCCTGCCTCCCAGATTCAAGTGATTCTCCTGTCTCAGCCCCTGGAGTAGCTGGGACTAGAGGTGTGCACCCCTATGCCTGGCTAATTTTTTTTTTTTTATAATTTTAATAGAGACAGGGTTTTGTCATGTTGGCCAGACTGGTTGAATTACTGGCTTCATGTGATCTTCCTGTCTCAGCTTCCCAAATTGCTGAGATCACAGGCATGAGCCACCACATCCTGCCACCAAAGTCGAATTAACACATCCATTACTACCTATAGTTACCATTTTGTGTGTGTGTGTGTGGTGAGAACACTTACAATCTGCTTTCTTGTAAAATTTCAAGTAAACAGTACGTTATTAACTATAGTCACTGTGGTTTACATTAGTCACCATGGTGTACAATAGATCCCTGGAGCTCATTAATCTTTTAACTAAAAACTTTGTAGTCTTTGACCAGCATCTCCCCATTCCCCACCCCTGTCCAGTCCTTGGCAATGACCATTCTATACTCTGCTTTTATGAATTTGACTTGGTAGAGTCTGCATAAAAGTGTAAACTGTCTGTGTTTGAGTTATTTCACTTAGCATAGTTTTTCAGATTAAGATATGTTATTACAAATGGCAGGATTTCCTTCTTTTTAAGGCTTAATAATATTTCATTGTATATCTATACACATGTATATGTATATATCTTACATTTCCTTTATCCATTCATCCGTTGACAGACATTTAGGTCGTTCCCATATCTTGGCTACTGTGAGTAATGCTGCACTGAATATGAAAGTACAGATATCACTTTGAGATACTAATTTTATTTTCTTTGAATGTATTCCCAGAATGAGAATTGTTAGATCATATAGTAGTCCTTTTTTAACTTTTTGAGGAACTTCTGTACTGTTTTCCATAATGATTGTATCAATTTACATTCCCAACAATAGTGTACTTTTCTCCACATCCTTGCCAACACTTGTCTCTTGTCTTAATGATAATAGCTATCCTATCAGCTGTGAGGTGATTTCTTATTGTAGGTAGGATTTGCATTTTCTTAGTGATTAGCGATGTTGTATACGTTTTCATATACTTGTTGGCCATTTTTATATCTTTTTTGGAGAAATGTCTATTAAGGTTTCTTCCCCATTTTTAAAATCACATTGTTTGTTGTCTCATATCGGGTTGTATAAGTCCTTTATAACTTTTGTATATTATAACTTCTTATAAATTTTGGATATTAACTTCTTATCAGATATCAGATATAAGGTTTACAAATACATTTTTTTCCCATTCTGTGGGTTGCCTTTTCATTTTGTTGATTATTTCCTTGCTATGAAGAAACTTTTTTAGTTTTATGTAGTCCCACTTGTTTATTTTTGCTTTTGTTGCCTATGCTTTTGGTATCGTATCCAAAAAGTCTTTGTCAAGACCAATGCCACAGAACTTTTCCCTATGTTTTCTTCTAGGAGTTTATGATTTCAGGTCTTACCTCGAAGTTTTTAATCCACTTTGAGTTGACTTTGGTACGTGGTGTAAGACAAGGGTCCAATGTCAATTCTTTTGCCTATAGATATTCAGCATTCCCAATACCATATATTGAAGAAACTATCTTTTCTCTATTGTGTATTCTTGGCACCCTTATCAAATTAGTTGAACACCAGGAGGCCATTGAGAGGGTCAGATAGAATTATGTATTTGTTTCTCTTTAAGCCATCTAATTTGACACATGTATGTGTCTATTTGTGGGTTCTATTCTGTTTCACTGGTATATATGTCTGTTTTTATTCTAGTGGCACACTATTTTGATTACTGTAGCTTTGTAATATAGTTTGAAATCAGGACATGTAAAACCTCCAGCACTGTTCTGTTTTATCAAGATTACTTTGGCTGTTCACTGTCTTTTATGGTTCCATACAAATTTAGGATTATTTTTTCTATTTCTGTGACAAATGCCATTGGAATTTTGATAGGGATTGCATTGAATCTGTCAATGACTTTGGGTAGTATGGACATTTCAACAATATTAATTCTTCTAATTCATGTACATGCTATATCTTTCCATTTATTTGTGTCTTTTAAATTTCTTTTATCAGTGTTTTACAGTTTTCCTTGAACAGCTATTTCATCTCTTTGGTTAAGTTTATTTCTAAGTATTTTATTCTTTTTTTTTTTTTTTTAATTGTTCATTCTTGGGTGTTTCTCGCAGAGGGGGATTTGGCAGGGTCATAGGACAATAGTGGAGGGAAGGTCAGCAGATAAACAAGTGAACAAAGGTCTCTGGTTTTCCTAGGCAGAGGACCCTGCGGCCTTCTGCAGTGTTTGTGTCCCTGGATACTTGAGATTAGGGAGTGGTGATGACTCTTAATGAGCATGCTGCCTTCAAGCATCTGTTTAACAAAGCACATCTTGCACCGCCCTTAATCCATTTAACCCTGAGTGGACACAGCACATGTTTCAGAGAGCACGGGGTTGGGGGTAAGGTCACAGATCAACAGGATAATAATTTTTCTTAGTACAGAGCAAAATGAAAAGTCTCCCATGTCTACCTCTTTCTACACAGACATGGCAACCATCCGATT
Organism: Homo sapiens; assembly: GCF_000001405.40. Taxonomy (NCBI): domain Eukaryota; kingdom Metazoa; phylum Chordata; class Mammalia; order Primates; family Hominidae; genus Homo; species Homo sapiens. Next base: position 175,131,573 of record NC_000003.12, read on the forward strand.
TCTCAATCTTTTCCCCGCCTTTCCCCGCTTTCTATTCCACAAAACCGCCATTGTCATCCTGGCCCGTTCTCAATGAGCTGTTGGGTACACCTCCCAGATGGGGTGGTGGCCGGGCAGAGGGTCTCCTCACTTCCCAGTAGGGGTGGCCGGGCAGAGGCGCCCCTCACCCCCCGGACAGGGCGGCTGGCCGGGCAGGGGGCTGACCCCCCCACCTCCCTCCCGGACGGGGGGCCTGGCCGGGCGGGGGGCTGACCCCCCCCACCTCCCTCCCGGACGGGGCGGCTGGCCGGGCGGGGTCTGACCCCCCCACCTCCCTCCCAGACGGGGCGGCTGGCCGGGCAGAGGGGCTCCTCACTTCCCAGTAGGGGTGGCCGGGCAGAGGCGCCCCTCACCTCCCGGACGGGGCAGCTGGCCGGGAGGGGGACTGACCCCCCCACCTCCCTCCCGGACGGGGCGGCTGGCCAGGCAGAGGGGCTCCTCACTTCCCAGTAGGGGCGGCTGGCCAGGCGGGGGGCTGATTCCACCACCTCCCGCCCGGATGGGGCGGCTGGCCGGGCGGGGGGCTGACCCCCCCACCTCCCTCCCGGACGGGGCAGCTGGCTGGGCAGAGGGGCTCCTCACTTCCCAGTAGGGGCGGCCGGGCAGAGGCGCCCCTCACCTCCCGGACGGGGCGGCTGGCCGGGCGGGGGGCTGACCCCCCCACCTCCCTCCCAGACGGGGGCAGCTGGCCGGGTGGGGCTGACCCCCCCACCTCCTTCCCGGACGAGGCGGCTGGCTGGGCAGAGGGGCTCCTCACTTCCCAGTAGGGGCGGCCGGGCAGAGGCGCCCCTCACCTCCCCGACGGGTCTGTTGGCCGGGTGGGGCTGACCCCCCCACCTCCTCCGGACGGGGCGGCTGGCTGGGCAGAGGGGCTCCTCACTTCCCAGTAGGGGCGGCCGGGCAGAGGCGCCCCTCACTCCCGGACGGGAAGAATGGCCGGGCGGGGGGGCTGACCCCCCCACCTCCCTCCCAGACGGGGCGGCTGGCCGGGCAGGGGGCTGACCCCCCCACCTCCCTCCCGGACGGGGTGGCTGGCCGGGCGGGGGGCTGACCCCTCCACCTCCCTCCCGGACGGGGCAGCTGGCTGGGCAGAGGGGCTCCTCACTTCCCAGTAGGGGTGGCCGGGCAGAGGCACCCCTCACCTCCCGGACAGGGCGGCTCTCCTGGCGGGGGCTGACCCCCACCTCCCTCCCGGACGGGATGGCTGCCGGGCGGAGATGCTCCTCACTTCCCAGATAGGGTGGCTGCCAGGCGGAGGGGCTCCTCACTTCTCAGATGGGGCGGCTGCCGGGCGGAGGGACTCCTCACTTCTCAGACGGGGCGGTTGCCAGACAGAGGGTCTCCTCTCTTCTCAGACGGGGCGGCCGGGCAGAGACGCTCCTCACCTCCCAGACGGAGTCGCAGCCAGGTAGAGGCACTCCCCACATCCCAGACGGGGCGGCGGGGCAGAGGCGCTCCCCACATCCCAGACGGGGCGGCGGGGCAGAGGCGCTCCCCACATCTCAGACGATGGGCGGCCGGGCAGAGACGCTCCTCACTTCCTAGATGGGATGGCCGCCGGGAAGAGGCGCTCCTCACTTCCTAGATGGGATGGCGGCCGGGCAGAGACGCTCCTCACTTTCCAGACTGGGCAGCCAGGCAGAGGGGCTCCTCACATCCCAGACGATGGGCGGCCAGGCAGAGATGCTCCTCACTTCCCAGACGGGGTGGCGGCTGGGCAGAGGCTGCAATCTCGGCACTTTGGGAGGCCAAGGCAGGCGGCTGGGAGGTGGAGGTTGTAGCGAGCCGATATCACGCCACTGCACTCCAGCCTGGGCACCATTGAGCACTGAGTGAACCAGACTCCGTCTGCAATCCCGGCACCTTGGGATGCCGAGGCTGGCGGATCACTCGCAGCTAGGAGCTGGAGACCAGCCCGGTCAACACAGCGAAACCCCGTCTCCACCAAAAAAATACGAAAACCAGTCAGGCGTGGCGGCGCGCGCCTGCAATCGCAGGCACTCGGCAGGCTGAGGCAGGCGAATCAGGCAGGGAGGCTGCAGTGAGCCCAGATGGCAGCAGTACAGTCCAGCTTCGGCTTGGCATCAGAGGGAGACCGTGGAAAGAGAGGGAGAGGGAGACCGTGGGGAGAGGGAGAGGGAGACTAAGTATTTTATTCTAATTGATGCTACTGTCAGTGGAATTATTTTCTTAATTTTTTAATAGCTTGTGGTTAGTGTATAGAAATGCCAACTGATTTTGGCAACATTCAAAATGAACATTTGAATGTTTTTACTCTGAGGTGATGTAACTGAACATAAGAAAGATTAAAACATTTTCCCCAAATCAAGCAACTAGTTGGCATCATCTTTAAGCACATAATGAAAATTACTAATTCCCCAGATAATCATCTATCTGGCCTGTGACTAGTGGTTTTCTGGGTGTTTCTATAGTTGTATACACAATTAAGTTTGGATCTACCTGTTCACACACACACATTTGCAGTGACTATGTCTTCCATGTGTGCATGGCTTGTCTACAGTCACAGTTTATTTGCTTCTTTTATTCTGGTTTGGTTTCTTCTCATTGTGTCTTGTAATATGTGCTCAAGTGCCATGTGAGATATCAGTAAAGAAAATGAGTTCCCTTGAAGAATGATTTTAGACAAATTGCTTCAAGGTAACTTGTAGTCAAAGCTTAACCTGTATCTGCAACTTTTGTTTTCCAACTGCAGAGTTATTTGTGCACGTTTCTATTGTATCTCCTGAAAGTGTGATGATACTAGTTGACATAATCCATACATTTACTTCATCATGAGTGTCATCAGCTACTCAGCTTTTTTGGGGGGGTCCTTTTTCATGACTGTTTTGTAGCTTAAAAATGGAAAACAGCTGCAATGTATTGATCCTATGTGCCTGGTATTTTGTGTGCATAATCTCTAATTCTCAAATAACCCTTACACCTAAATATTACTTTTTTCTCAATATATAGCATGAAAAGACAGGCTGAGTAAAAAATACAGCAGAGTATAGATGCTGTCTCCATTTTTAATAGTTAATAAAGCTCTTTTGAAGACTAAGGGTGAGGGTGGAACAATAAGTAAGGGAGATAAAGTATGATGATACTGAGCAGGGAATAACTTAAAATTCAAGACTATCATCACTTTTCTTAAACATTCTCCCACCACTGCCACTCTAAGTGAGACCATGAATACCTGTCTACCTTCTTTGTCTTGGCTCCAAGATAACTGATTTTTTAAAATGCCTTTAAATTTTATCAGAATAATAAAGCATAAATCAATTTAACTAAAGCAACAATTATACAAACATATTATAGTTCAAATTATAAGATATCAAATATATCCACATAGAGTGAAAACATAACATCCTACATTAATTGATGAGTAAGTTTTGCCCTTTTTTACTTTTATTATCGGAGATATAGAGTAATAGTTTCCTTATGTTGTCTATAGCTCTTTATTAACAAATAGATGGCTCCTGTCTGCTACTACTGCAAATAATGTTTTGTTCAAAAATAATATCTCTCAACAGTTTAAACGTTTATGCTTAAAATCGCTGTAAGTGTTCTAGAGTACAGATTTCTCCACTGGGAGGAATGAGTTAATTCTCGGTTAATGTGAAGAATTCTAATAGAGCATCATAATTACCTGTGAGGGGTTTATTTCAAAATCATTTAATATACGTGCCAAGAAAAGTGATAATTCATTGTGTTGGGAAGATGAATGAGGGCATATATTTCTTCATACGGTAATAAAAATATCCTTGTATTTCCTTTGTTAATATCCCTAGGCTTCTTTCAAAAAATGATATGCACACAAAAACATAAACACAGATTTGTAGAGTAAGCGTGTGTAAATAACCAACACTATAAAGCTTATAGTAGGATTTTTTGCTGGCTTATGAAGATTTTTAATAAACACCACCAAGTTAGTCAAATAAAGTGATTAAAAATTACCGAGGAAAAAAAATCAGTCAAAAGAAAGATGTTGATTTCAAAACCTAAAGTCAAATTGTAACAAGAGGCCCATAGAAATAAAGTGCAGATCATGAAGATAATACTACCTTTCAGAACAGAGCAGGTGATCCTGAAAGATCCTGTGAATAGTAACTGGAGGATAGATAAAACTAATGTCAGAGATAGCCAGGTGTCTTGATAAGAAATCCGAGATCAATAAAATAAGTATGTATTTAAGTAGAAAGCACCAGAAAAATTGGAAGTTGTTCTGAGAGCAGAATTTTAGGAACCAGACAGAATATCAGTTCTAGAGAAAAATGTTAAGAATAAGCCTGGAGAAGCTCATTATGGCATCATATTAAATATCAGAAGCAGAACCTTGACACAGAAGACTAATGTAAATTATATGCAGACCCAAAGTTCAAGTGTTACGGGGAGAAGGAATGGGAATATGGGCAAAAGCTTTATGTGACTGAAAAAGCAACTCTTTTAGTTTGGTAACCATTGTGAACCTACTCCTTAGGGTGTAGAGAGGGAAGATAAGGTGAGATAGTAAGGCAGAGTATCTGAGGGGCCAGTGCTTCTGGTTTCTGAAGGAGCCAATGATGAAGGAGACATCATTGCAGTGTAAGAGGAGAAAGAAGGCTGGGAAAACATGTACACTAAAGCTGAGACAGGACATAAGTCAGATTGTGGGGCCAAGAGTTTAGAGTTGACTTGAGGGAGGCAGGAAGCTCTAAAGCAGTTTATCACTGTTTCATGGATATTTGGTGTCACTGTGTCTAGCTTAAATGGTCATTGGACATCTCTCAATAAAATGGATAAAGCTCAACTATTCCAGTGCTTTCAACTTTCTCCAAGAAGGACGGGTTAAAGTGGCACTGAGACTGTAGGTAGCAGGTAAGTTGTCCCAGGTATAGGTTGAAGGAATGATTAGGGGACCAGGAGGCCAATGTTAGGGTCAGAGAAAACTATGTATTTGTTCCTCTTTAAGCCATTTAATATTGCAGACATTGTGATGCAAATTTTTATAAGCATGCTTGAAGAGAAAAATCAAAATCCAGTTTTTTTTTCTTTCTGAAGATGCTAAATGGGATTTTCACAGTAATGAGGGTGTTCTTCAAAAATGACCTCATGCTTTAAAATCTGCTACCAATTGAAGGCTTGATTGATGTAGGGCAACACTATTTAGCAGATTTCTACTTTAAAGAGTCTAGTGTGATTACCATCTTTGACGGTTAAGAGGTCACAGTGACCTTGTGTTTCTATAAGTCAATAAAAATTATGATATTTATTTGAAATGATTCATCAAATAAGGCTTTGGTTTTAAAAATAACTCTTGGCAAGCTAATATTCTTTTGGGAAAAAAGAAGTACATACATCATTGGTGGGCAAAAATACACTTCTGTGTTATAGAATTCCCTTGATAAACCCCCAATTAAACTTTTGTTCTGGGAACTTAATGATGGAATTTGTTGAAATTGACCCCTTACAAGATGACAAGTAGTACTAAATATCTGTATTATAAAATTTTGTAGTCTTAAGCTTGTCTCTTTCTTTTATACTAAAGAAAAATATTTCTCATTACACAATAATAATCTCCCACTATGGAAAAATTGAAAAATGCATAAATATAGAAAAAAAGGTTACCTTCATTAGTTTTACCATAATTAGCACATTGATTGATATGTTTCCTTTGCACAAGGATGTATAATTTTTTTAAATGTTTCACCCACATATATTATTTTAACCAGTTTATTTAACCTAACGTTATATCATTAGAATTTCATAACACATTATTTCTAATTACGTTTTTACTTATTCTTAGTAATTATTTATAATGGCTGCATGCTATACTATAAAATGACATGCCTTAATTTATTTAACCTATCCTTATTTTTGTGCATGCAAATTATCACCACTTTTTTAACCTTAAAATTAATATTTCTATAAATAATCTTATACATAAAATATATCTCACATTCAGATATTTTTTAGATTACATTTCTACAAATGGAATTAATATGACAAGAGATTGACCCTTTTTTTTTTTTTTTTGAGACAGAGTCTCCCTCTGTTGCCCAGGCTAGAGTGCAATGGCTCAACCTCAGCTCAGTGCTACCTCCTGGGTTCAAGTGATTCTCCTGCCTCAGACTCCCAAGTAGCTGGGATTACAGGCACCGCCACCACACCCAGCTAAGTTTGTTTTGTTTTGTTTTGTTTTGTTTTTGTATTTTTAATAGAGATGGGGTTTCGCTAGGTTACCCAGGCTGATCTCGAACTCCTGACCTCAGATGATCCACCTGCCTCGGCCTCCCAAAGTGCTGGGATTACAGGCTTGAGCCACCACACCAGTCCGAGATTGACCCAATTTTTAACTCTCCTGATAATAATAATGTCAAACACCATCTTCCAAAAGAATGTTTTACCACTTAATTAATTTTCCTCCTTTAGAAAATAATTTTTCTCTCTCTTCAAAGGCTGGCCATGGGGCGGGGGTGAGGGATCAGACCTAGAGGACTTCAAATTGGATGGAGATAGTGAAAGGAGTTTCAAAACAGAGGATGGAGTGAGAAATGCAAGAAAGGAAAGTAAATCCAAGAGAAGACTGAGGTTCAAAAAGTCAAAAAAGAGAATGAAGCAGATTATCACTGTGACTATTCTAGAAGACTGAATACAGAGATATGTAGACTGAGAAAACTTACCCAGCAGTTGAATCAATGCTGAGAAGAATTAATATAAGTCATAGGCAATCTCCTAGAGGTAAAGAGCCACAACTTCTTATCCAAAACTCCTGGGGGCAGGTATGCTGACGTTCACGTTTTGGATTTTTTTTTAGATTAACATCTTCTAGTAATATAATTCATAACACCCCAACAGGGTTTGGGGTAGTACAAGTAATAAACTATTAATATTTGTTTTCCTAATCATTTGTCCCTGGATGGGACACCTTAAGATTAATGTCAGTAATGATGAGATTTTTGCCACCAAATGAGTTTACTGCAAACTTACGAAAAATGGCTTTGCTTTACAGAGTATTTATTATTATTATTATTATTGTTATTATTATTATTATTTTAGAGATGGTATCTCTCTATCTTATTCAGGCTGAACTCGAGCTCCTAGGCTCAACTGATCCTCCCGAATAGCTGAGACTGCAGGCTCACAACACCATGCCCAGCTACAAAATATTTTTGAATGTAGGAAATACACATAAGATATTGTGAATATATACTGCTATTGGTAGTTTGCTTTTAGATCTGTGGTACATGGGCAGATGAATTGCACTAAAGAGCCAGAAAAAAAATTTCAGCCTTTTAAAATATATATATATATATATATATATATATATATATATATGATAGTGAAGGTTTTATTTCTGTTATCCTTTGTTTATTTTACAAATATCTTTTCAAGAGTTGCAAAAATTATGTATTTTAAATGTGTTTTTTTGAAAGAAGTGAAATATTTTTCTTTCTTTGAATTTTTCTGTCCAATGTTATATTAAACACAAGTAGAACTCTTACCCTCTGACACTCAGGAATATTCTGTTTGAAAAATCTCCAGGTGGAAATTAGATTTTTTTAAGCAAATATTTTGATTAAATATTTGGAAGACATAAACTATGATATTACCCTCAGATTTATTCATTTTCTTGAGAGTTACTGCTTCTCTTTCCCTTTTAAATACATCCTTGTTCTGGAAATCATAAAAAAATAAAATGTGGCATTGGATATATATATACCTGAAAAAGTGATTCATTGAAAAAAAGAAGTTTGGTTTCCTTTCTACTTGGTAATTTGTAATGTGGAAATATTATTTTCTCTTTGTACATACAATTTTATCTTTCTTAGAATTGCAAAAGTCATTATTATCATATAAGAATAAGGGACAATACATTTCTAAGCCTGGTAGAGTTAATTTATTTCCTATGTCTCTGCTGTTCAAATAGTTCTCTATCAACATTATTCTGAAATGCTACGTAGATGATTCATATATCTTCCCTTAGTATCACCTTCTTATATTTTATTATCCATATTCAGAGAATTTTTTTCAATTTCTAACCTAGCTCATTCTTTCTATAATTTAAATTCATTATTCTAACCCTATCTTCAGTTGAAACAAAGAGTAGGTGATTATCATCAAATTATATTTCTTCTTATATTTGAAGATTGCATTAGTTTTCAACTTTTATTTCTCTACAGTAAAAAGCATTTCTTAAAAAAATTATGCATTGCAAATTAGTTTCATGCTCTTTGTAGCTGGGTCAAAAGCAAAACACGCAACTCTAACAAAGGGGTACCAACTGATAAAAATTTTGACAACTTATCATTCAGTCAACTAATATTTATATAGCGCTAATTGGGTGGTAAGGCAGTAGGGTAATGGACAAAAAAGGATTGAATTAAATGACATGAGTAGATTGGACAGGAGCCTGTCTCTGAGGGGCTTATAGTCTATAGAGGAGATAATACGGATAAACAAAGGGATTTAAATTCAGTCAGGCAAACCTGGCTTTGAATCTTAGCTCTGTCTGTCATCTGTATTAGGACTTTAGGCACTTGACTAAAGCCCTCCGTGCCTAGTTTCTGAGGGATAATTGTGGCCATCTGGTAGGATAGTTGTGAAGATTAAATTAAATGCTGCATTCCATGTACCTAAATCAGTTCTGGACCTCAGTAATAGGTGTAAGTTATAATGGTAACCATCCATTTAAATAAACACTGAGTACCCATTAGATGTCAGGTATTCAGGTGGGACTAGAAAATGTACTATATGCATGAGATCATGTCCCTGTCCTCAGAGAGCTTATAGTCTTCTGGGAATGAGAATTATGCAACACACCATAGTGTGCTAAGTACATGATAAAGGCAAGACAGTGTGCAATAGATGCACATAAAAGGGACACATAACACCACCTTGAAGGGTCAAGGTTAGTTATCTCAATGGACTGAGATCCAAAAAACAATAATTTGGGATTAACTAAGCAAAGAAGGCAGGTAAAGAGTGTTCAGCACAGAGTGAAAAATACATACCATGGGGGGAGGTGCAAGAGCAAATGATTGCTGTGAACGAAAACATTACGTTTGGCTGGAGCATGAGTTTAATAAAGGGAGTGACATAACGGAGAATGTTGAGATAGACAGGGTCCTCGCTACAAAAGGGAATGCCAGCCATGTAAAGAGGTTTGGACTTCATGGAAAAGTCAATGGACAGTTATTGAAGTGTTTTTGCAGAAGGAAACAGAGGGAAGATGTTGAGTAAATATGTATATAGGTGTGGTGACACAAGTTGAGCATGATCCTGTCTCATATCTTACCCTTTTGCTTGGCAGTAAATCACTTAAGATGGGGCAGAAAGGGGGCAAGGAATTATGGGGCAGGTAGATTTCCACAGAGTGGATAATTTTAAAAAATAAATTCAGTGGGGTTTTAATTGACTATGGGATTGTAGAAGGATTTCAAAATATCATGGAGGATAAAGGAGTCCGTAAACATGTAATATGGTAGATATGGATGTACACCAGATTTCTTTTCAAGGAGGGAATCACTACAAAGCTATGGAGAGTGTGTTCAGCACATGGCTTCCTGTTGTTAGCTCAGTCAAAGTCTGCTTTAGGTACAGAAAGTCACTTCCCTAATAACTATCTTTCTTCTCCTTGCTTCTGGAGAACCCATGCTACAAAATGTGTTATCAACCTGAGAATGTTCATAGCTCCTTTTTTTTTCAGCAGTTCCCAACAGGTCAAGTTTAGATGCCAGTTATGGGGACCACTGTTGCAGTCTAGGGTGGAGGTCTGTCAGCCAGGTGAAGTAGAAATACAAACTGAAGCAAGAGATAAATTCAAGTCATGAATATGTAGTCTACATGGTCATAGAGAAGGTGAAGACAGGAGTTTTCAAATAGAGAGAGTAGAGGGTCAAATGATTCCATGAACTATAAGTAAAGGCATCAGTAGCAAAGCTTGACTGGGATATCCAATATGAACTTTGCTAAAAAGTTGTAAATATATATTACAATGTAGAAATCTACATATTTCATAAGAAAGTACAGCAAAGCTGCCATAGTGTTTAGAGGATATCAGTTTAGATTGGGTAGAAGGCATACTTATACAGATTGATCTGAGACTACAATGTTGAGGGTATTTATTCTAGTTTCTTTCTTCTCTGGATTCTCAGAGCCTTACCAAACAAACTAATTTTGAGCTAAATGTTTAATGGCTTAATGTGTTCTGCTTTCAGATAATGTTTATTATGTAACAGGGGACTTCACCTTTTTATTCAAATGATCAAGGTATTTTAAGCGCTGGCAGAGTGGATGAAGATGTAATTTGGAAGGCCAGCAGAATCTTCAGCATCTCTCACAGAACATTTATATGTCACAGTTTTCTCTGAAGACGTAAAAGTATAGCATCAATGAAAAACACCATAGGTGTTTGCATTCTTGTCTTCAGGATTAGTTTAGGAGTTCCAGAAGTCTTATTCTTTCTTAAACTACCCTCGACCTCATGCCCAGCACAATCGATGACACATTTTAAGCTCTCAGTACATGTTTGAAAAATAATATTTTGTAGCTGTGGCAATGTATTTAGTTTAGTACGATTCTTGTCCTCATTGAATAAATTTAACCATTTTTCATTTGTGCATCTAAGTCTGAGAACTTTTCTAAAGTGAATTAAACAAGATTAACAAATGCCATTGTTAAATTTAAGATGCTTTAGATTAATTTCGTTTATAATTATGTGGAACCTTTGAAACAATTATGTTTTATTTTCAAATGTGCTTTTGCTCATCTATAGACGTACTCCCCTGACTTTAAACATTTACTGAGATCTTACTATGTATGTTACTATATATATTATCTTAATCCTCTCAACAACCTTATGAAGTAGTAACATTATCTTAATTTTACAAATGAGAAAACGTAGTTACAAGTCTGTGAAGTAATTTGCTTGAAGCTCCTAAAGAGCAGGACTCAGATTTAAACCCATGAATCTGCATCTACAGCCCATCCTATTCCCAACCGTCCTCTATTACTGCACTTTTTTTTTTAAAACATAGTTTACATGATTTCTCCTAGATTTATTGAACTGCATCCTATGTCAGGTAACATTTGCAGTTCTGTCTCATTCAGTATTTTGTAGAGACAAATTGGTTCTATGCCTGAGTCTTCATTTCATTCTATAAGGATGATAAATCTTCCATTAATATTTGATTCTTACATGATTTTGGCTATTTGAAATGTATTTTAACTTGTCAAACTCTATTTGAAGAGGGATATGAATACCTGTCATTAGTATATCTTTTCATTTATGCTGTAGGATATTTTTGTACTTTCTGTCACATCGTAGCTTTTAAAATAATGCATGATCATGTAGATATTGAAAAGTGTTTGTTTTAAAATATATATTTAAATTGGATAATTTTATTCTTCCTTCTAGGGGAAATAATATTGGCCTTGGAGCATGTGGTATTTGACTGCAAAATTCTGATGCTTGACATCACCACAATATATTATTTGACTTTGGGCAAGGTACTTGCTTCAACCTCTTCATTCACAAATCGTAATACTTGCCATGAAGGTTTACGACAAGAACTGAATAATTATGCACATGTTCATACACACACTCACACACTCATATGCATAGTATCTAATAGTGTCCATCTTGCAGTTCGTTCGCAATATATTTCCCCACGTTTTAGTGCACCTAAATATTCAGCTTTGTTAATTCATGCAAAGATAAATTGCAGTGATATATGCTAGGCAAAGTAATGACTATTCCCTTTGATTCTGAAAACCAATTCTGTCCTCTGAAAAATTTTAAATTGAGATGCTTTGTGTCACTTCTGAAAAGAGGCTAGTGCAAAACTGCTAACTCTCCTCTATACCAACTATCAGCAGTTGACAAAAACAGAACGACTTGTTTGGCATCTCAATATAATTTAAATATTGAAAGTGCCAGTAATCTAATTGTCAATGTTAGCCAAAAAAAAAAAAAAAAAAAGACAATGAAACTACCATCACATTTAAAAGTCACCTTTGTAGAGAAGCTAGCATAGAATAAGACAGGCACTTTTAAAATGGGTAAATACACTTTATGGAAAATAATTCATTGAATCCTAAAATCACTGTAAACAAAACATTGTCTGGCACATGGAAGGCACTCCGCAAAGATTTGGGGAATAAATGTATTCTCAAGTTTCTTTTTTCTTTAATGATGTGGAAGCTGCAGAAATGGTTACCTCCTTACGCAATGACATATCATCAGTAAATAATGGACCTAGGATTTGAATACAGTATATTTAACCTCAAAGCTAGTGTTCCCTCTACTTCACTATGCTGGCTTGCTGTATGCAATACATTATTGTAGAAACAATATTGATGTTTTTCTATCTTCATGAAAAATTGAATGAAAGGAAGTTATTTTAAATTTCCATTAGAAGAAATTGAGTAAAATCGTGAATGAGGACTTTTTAAAAGAACTTAAAATAATTTAAAAGAATAATAAAAATATTCTATGTTGGGGCTATTTTTTAAAGATTATTCTGTTTCATTTCCTCTTGAGTTACTAAAGATGGCTATAAAACACTGTCCTTGAATGATGTAAATCAAGAATCAGTCAGCATGCTGCAATATTATAAGTTAGAATTAATTCTAAATTCCGGCTTCATGGAATTTTAAAGTGTGCAGAGTTAAAATGGAGAAATACAAAAAGCCATTGGGCACGTTTCGGTTAATTACTTCATTCTCATAATTTAAATATATCAGCTTTAGAAAGTCTCCATTTTAAGATTGATTGGAAAACAGGAATTGATTATTGTAGAAAAAGCCCATTCATCAGTGGTTATTCTGAAAAATATATGAGTTAAGTTGAGTTTTGTGTTTATTTTTTCTTCTGATTACAAAAGTAATACAGTCTAAAGTGTAAAACACTTTATATTGAGAAAATATACAGAAAGAGTGAAACTTTCTTATGATTGCGCAATCCAGAGATGGCCACTTTTAGCACCTTTGAATATTTCCTATGTTTATTCTCACTGAATTTATCCCCCACATGCAGGATCATGCTATATACAGAATTTTGTGTGTTACTTATCTCCGTCACTTTTTTCCTTCATATTTTTGGGCAGCCCTTCAGGTTTATTCTCTAAATCCCTGATTTTATTTTCCTCCTGTGCCAGTTCTTGTGTTTAATGCCTCCAATGTTGATTTTGATTTTGCCATTGTGTTTTCAGATTTCTTTTAATTTTTACTCATTTAGACAACCATTGTTTGAATCTCAGCCTGTTGCTTCTTCATCTCATACAAGATTACGGCATTTCAAAGAGACTTTGGAATCCTGTATGTTTTCAATACAAGTTTCAAAATTCTCCTTTACTTCCTGGTAACAAGTCTTTTTTCTTTTTTTAATCAAAAACATTCCATTTCTTTATTCACCACCATGTTCCTCTTTCCTTGATTTGATGTATTGCTTTTTCACACTTACAAATTTTAAATATTTAATTTCATCCCTGGATAGAGAAGGATTTGGGAGGGGCTGTCCTAGCTCTTGCTAATAGGCAGGGTAATTTTCCTTAGTCCCCTTATTCTTCATTTAGGTGGTGACAAAATTTCCCTAGTGAATACCGTGTTTTGATGACTCACATGGATCAATGTTCAGTCACCTCCTCTAGATCTTTTATCTGCAGTGCCCATTGGCTTGGTATCACTTCCTTTAGCTCTCTGAATTTTTAATTTTGTAAGTTGCTCTTCTTCTTCCAATTAGATTTAGACAAATTTCTATTTCCCAGTGACCTACATGGCAGTAGCACTCAATAAACCTAAACCCACAAACATATATCTGTGTTAAGGACGTTGAACAGATTGCCTTCAGAATTAACAGAATTGGTTTTCTATATTTCTATTGGCTTGACGAGCAATGGATGAAACTTATCGGAAAGAAAATGTATTTTTTTTCTTCTTTCATTTGACCTTTCTTAAGCCTAGATTTATGAATTTGGGCTTAAAGATAAAGCTGTTTAGAAGTAGTGCTGAACCAGGGACTTACTTTGTTCTTGGCTGATTTGCTGATTGCCTAAGCATTCAATTTTGTATTACTGTCTTGATACTTCTGTGTATTTTTTTTTACCTGAATTATTGCTATTGCAAAACTAAATGCTTTCTACTAATTTTACACAAAATTATTACTTTGGCAATAAGGATTTACTGTTCCTTATAATAATTGAACTATTTAAAGTTTTTAATAAAAGATATTCTAAAACAAGTCTTCCTACCACTTCAAATAATTCAGAAGTTGTTTGAAATGTACTCTTTTGACAAATATTAATAAACCTCTTCTTTATCATTTCAGACATATAGCTAGAATCAAGTACTGACTGACTCCTGTGGATGTGGAAATTGTTTTCCATGTTTTTGTAGCACACAAATTAGATTAATGTAATTCTCAGTTTCCACCTTTGTCAGAATTCTCACTGTAGAAAATGTGACACATACTGTATTTGGTAATAAGTAAGATTCGTGATTCTTACAGAATAGTAAAAAATCTCATCAGCTGAAGTCTCCCTATTGGCCTATTATTGTAAATTTTCTTGAATTTTAAATTTGGCTCATGTGTGTCTGTTGACTCTTACATAACCTTCTTCATACAAAATAAATTCAATTCCATCAAAATTTATTTTAGGTAACTACTAGATCACAAAGTGAGTCTCTGGTCTACCCAGAAAAAAGAGAAGGACTGTGGAAAACAATGGAAAATGATTTGAAATAAGCATCAAATATGTACAGTGCTCCCATTTGCACAGCTTTTATAGAAAAATGAGTAAATATCAGTATTGTGCTTATTTGAGTTTTACAGCCTGAGTTTTCCCCTGTCTGCCCTCTGGTGGGACTACTAATAACTAACTGGCAAGCTAAAATAATTATTGTAGAGAATGCATTAAAAAATTGTAGATAAATCAGAGATGAAATGAAATTCATAGAATATTACTTTTGCTTCACAAAGTAGGGCATATAGCATATTACTAACAGTGTGCTGGACGAACTAGATTGTGAAAAATGAATGGCTTCAATCACATGAACTAAGAAGAAAAATAATGAAAGAGGCTGAAAGTTACTATTTTACTTCGTGATGCGTATATGTTTTCCCTTGTAATTACTTGACAAAATAGTGATAGGAAAACCAATTACTTGACTATTTTGCCTTCCATGTGTGAAATTGTTGGCTTAACTTTTCTCTTTTTGAAAAAGGGAAGGTAGCTTTTTTTTTAACTAAATTTAATTAAATTACAATTTACTAACGTCATTCAGGTACATAATCTTCTCCCAAGATCTGAAGTGGATCAGTTATTTTAATGAAAAAAAATGCATATGATGTAAATGGCTAAATTTTAATATAGTCCCCAAATTATTTGCATTTGTGCAAATCTTTCTGGGTAAAAGCACTGATTTTTGTCTTTTTTTAGGAAAACTCAACTAAGATCTTTTGAAGTAATTCTGTAGTTAAGAAAAGCAAACATGATTTTTAA
Source organism: Homo sapiens (assembly GCF_000001405.40). Taxonomy (NCBI): domain Eukaryota; kingdom Metazoa; phylum Chordata; class Mammalia; order Primates; family Hominidae; genus Homo; species Homo sapiens. Next base: position 175,147,091 of record NC_000003.12, read on the forward strand.
AAAATAATTTCAAATTCATTTTAGATTCAAGGGATACACATGCAGGTTTGTTACATAGATATATTGCATGATGCTGAAATTTGGAGTACCTGTCACCCAGGTAGTGTGTAGAGTACCCAATAGGTAGTTTTCAAATCTTGCCATCCTCCTTTGCTCCCCGTTCTAGCACTCCCCAGTGTCTATTGTTGCCATCTTTGCATCCATCCATACCCAATATTTAGCTCTCACTTATAAGTGAGAACATGCCGTATTTGGTTTTCTGTTCCTGGATTAATTCACTTATGATAATGGCCTCCAGCTGCATCCAGGTTGCTACACAGAACATGGTTTTGTTCTTTTTTGTGGCTGTGTAGTATTCCATGACATATTATGTACCACATTTTCTTCATCCAGTCTACCACGGATGGGCACCTAGGTTGATGATATGTTTTTGCTATTGTGAATAGTGCTGCAATGAACATGTGAGTGCATATGTCTTTTTGGTAGAACAGTTTATTTTTGGGGGGGGTATATACTCAATAATGGGATTACTCGGTTGAATGATAGTTCTGTTTTATGTTCTTTGAGAAATCTTCAAACTGCTTTCCACAGTGGCTAAACTAATTTATATTACCACCAACAGCGTGTAAACATTCCCTTTTCTCTGCAGCCTCGTCAGCATCTGTTGTTTCTTGACTTTTTAATAATACCCATTTTCGGCCAGGCGTGTTGGCTCACGCCTGTAATCCCAGCACTTTGGGAAGTCAAGGCAGGTGGAAAGCCTGAGGTCAGGAGTTCGAGACAAGCCTGACCAACATGGTGAAACCTCGTCTCTTCTAAAAATACAAAAATTAGCCAGGCATAGTGATGGACGCCTGTAATCCCAGCTATATGGGAGGCTGAGACAATAGAATCGCTTGAACCCAGGAGGCAGAAGTTGCAGTGAGCCGAGACTGGGCCATTGCACTCCAGCCTGGGCAACAAGAGCAAAACTCTGTCTCAAAATAATAATAATGATAATGATAATAATAATAATAATAATAATAATAATAATAAAATAATAATAATAGCCATTCTGACTGGTATGAAATGCTATCTCATTGTGGTTTTGATTTGCGTTTCTCTGGTGATTAGTAATTTGACTTTTTAAACATTTTTGTTGTCTGCTTGTATGTCTTATTTTGAGAAGTGTCTGCTCATTTTTTGCCTACTTTTTAATGGGGTTATTGGTTTTTTGCTGTTGAAAGTTCTTTATAGACTCTGGATATTAGATCTTTGTGGGATACTTAATTTGTGACTATTTTCTTCAATTAGGTAGGTTGTCTGTTGATTTTGTTGATAGTTTCTTTTGCTGTGCAAAAGCTCTTTAGTTTAATTAGGTCAATTTTCTCAATTTTTGTTTTTGATGCAGTTACTTTGGAGGACTTGGTCATAAATTTTTTCCCAACGCCCAAGTCCACAGTGGTGTTTCCTGGGTTTTCTGCTAGGATTCTTATAGTTTGGGGTTTTACATTTAATCTCTAATTCATCTTAGTTAGTTAGTTTTTGGCTATGATGAAAGGTAGGGGTCCACTTTCATTCTTCTGCATATGGCTAGACAGCTATCTCAGCACCATTTATTAAATCGGGAGTCCTTTCCCCATTGCTTATTTTATTGACTCTGTCAAAGATCAGATGACCATAAGTGTACAGTTTTATTTATGGGTTCTGTATTTGGTTCCATTGGTCTATGTGTCTCTTTTTGTACCAGTACCATTCTGTTTTGTTTGCTGTAACCTTAGAGAATAGTTTGAAGTCAGGTAACGTGATACATCTGGCTTTTAGTTTGTTTGTTTTTACTTAGGATTGCTTTGACTATTCAGGCTCTTTTTTGGTTCCATATGAATGTTAGAAAATGTTTTTCTAATTCTGTGAAAAATAATATTTCTAGTTTCATAGGAATAACATTGAATCTATAGATTGCTTTGGGCAGTATGAGCATTTTAATGATATTGATTTTTCCTATGCATGAGCCCACAGTGTTTTTCCTTTTTTGTGTGTGTCATCTGTGATTTCTTTCAGCAGTGTTTTGTAGTTCTCATTGCAGACATATTTCACCTCCTTGGTTAGATAGTTTTATTTTATCATTGTGCCTATTATAAATTGGATAAACAAACCTGTTTTAAAATGTTCAGTTAAGCATAGATATTTTACATTTAAATTGTCAAAATATGTTTGTGATTGTCAACTTTTAATTTACTAAAATAAGAAAAATGAAACTATGATCAATTCATTATTTCATAAACTGAGGCCTATTTTAACATCAAAAAGGAAAGACAGTCTCAAATTTTAGGAATTGCACCTAATCGTATTAAACAGTTTATTAAAACTCACATCTCCTAATCAAGATGTTGATGTGAAGACATCAAATACCACATTGTGTAACTAACCTACCACAGTCTAGCTAAAACATTAGCTATGTCTTTTTCTAAGAAATAATATTTTCTTCTTATTTATACAAAACCCTTTGGTTAGTTGCCATGACAGCAGGATGTCATATATTTGAGGATAATTCATGACACACTTTTGGTTTATAATTATTTTCCTACTTTTAGTAGTGATATTAAATTTTAGAGTTTTTGTTCCTTCCACTTAAAACATAGTTATAAAAATGTCTATCAGTAGCACCAAAGTGGTGGCTTGAACCTGAACAGATTCAATTCATCATTAGAGAAAACCATTTCCTCTTTACAGAACCGGATTAGTGCGGTATGGTATTTAAAATCTTGGACTCTAGAAAGCCACCTGCTTCTGCTGAGGTATTCAGACAAAGACTCTTGGAAGCGGGCCAGGTTTGTGCAATGCTCAAACCCATTGCTTACGTGTTTGACAGTAACATCTGGTAGCAACAGGTGCTGAATTCTAGAGAGCCATAATTATTTTGAGAGAAGGAGAAGTTGTCTTACACAGTTATTATCATGCTACTACCTCAGGTATTAGAAAGAGGCAATCATTTTATACTTCCCTGGCAGCATATGTTTTCTCAATTTTGCAGATGAAATTTCTAGATCATATACATCGTGAGATTAAGAATCTTTCTATGTTTTATAACAATAGGTTTCAAAAGAGCATCAAGAATCAGATGCAAATGTTTTGTTGCCTCAGTTTTTCTGTTTAAAAGCCATTGAGGTAGGTGCCAAAAAATTCATGGCTAGCCTATTACAAATAAAATTTGATAGCAGTACCTCTCTTGGTTTCACACTCTATCCTGGAGCCAGTCATAAATAAGACTGTCAGATTTTGTACCATTAAATTTTTTTTCTTAGCTTTGTTTATCTCAGCTGTTAAGAATTCCCCTTTTCCATTTTTTTCTGTCTCAGACAGATTATTATTAAAAAAGATATGACAGGTGCCAGTGCATCTATATGTTGTTTGTCTTTTGGAGCAATATCTTATATGGTGAGTGCACCCACAAAAATAGTTGTTTGATCACGTTTACCTCCAGAAACCAGAAACTGACATTTATACCTTGGTAGCATAGCCAGTTCGAATAGCCTGCCTTAATTTGCATTCATTTGTCATAACTAATGGGAACAAGTAATGGTCATTTTTAAGGGATATAAAGATTATCAGGGTAGGCATTTTCAGGTACAAATTTTACCTCCCTTCTGCTGCTCACTCTGAAATTCTGAATACAAAGCTACCATTCATTGATTTATACATTCTTTGTTTCATCAAACATTAATGATAGCCTACAATATAAAAGGTATTCTGGGAGGTGTCAAATACGCAGTAGTGAATGAAATAGGCATAATGCCTGCCCTCCTGTAGTTTATGGATTAGTCATAGGACTTATGAATTCAAATGCCTTCAGGGCCATGCAGGTAAAGATGATGAGTAAGGCTGTGAATATAAGCCTATAATTAGTGCTGGGGGTTGTAGCTGAAGGAGAGTGATTGTTCTACTGGATGGAATTGAAATTCAAAATTTGTTTAAACAATGAATCATACTTACCAAAATAAAAAGACACACCTGTAGTCTGAGCACTTTATTTGGCTGGCACTCCACCCATGAGACTGAGCTTCTGGTCTTGAATCAGAGAAGAGATGTCCCAGAGACTGTGAGATCTGTGTCTGCATTTACAACCTTGTTTTCTCACTTACCGCATATCATGTGATCAACAACTGGGCAGGCAGGCACCTTGGGGAAGTCAGCTATGGAAGCCAGGATGAGTTGTCAAGTTCTTATTCACAGAGCAACCACATGTAACTGGCTGAATAGACGGCCTACCTTAGGCACTCGTGGTCTGTTGGTTACACTGAACTGCTGTCTGCTCAGATTACATTCAGCAGTTCTGGCTGATATACTGGTTTGCTTTATTGGTAGTGACTTTTATCCAATTAACATCTGATTTATTATCGTATAAACTGGGAATTGTCTTTTAATTCATAGCAAATAGTTTAATTGTTTTCTAAAGGGTGAACTGTCATGAGCTTACTTTAATGTGAATGTAGGTCAGACTCTCTGTGGGCCAGGAGTCTCCAAACTCTTCAGCTGAGCATCATAGCAAAATGAAACAAACAAACAAACAACAACAACCAAAAAACCCAATAATGATTTGACTACCCATCATACATACATACACGCACATGCATACATACTACTCGACTTTATGGAAATTTAAAAACCTATGTAAAAAATAGAACTTTTTAAATGAATGAAATATCATCAAAGGCTATGGATTAAATAATAGTAACAATAAAAAGAATAAATCATAGCAACAACAAAAAATTGTAAATGCTAACATTTATTTGAGTGCCTATTACCTTCTAGATACATCATCAGTGAAGGGAACATAGTAATTACCAAATGTATTTTATAACTTATTCTATCATAAAATAAAACTGTTAATGTCTACTATAGTAATGCCATTCTTTTTTGCTATTTAACAGATTAAAAGTAATGTCTTCTTTGTAGTTTGTGTTTATTTTTAATAGCTGTTATCAACTGGGTAATGCCTAAGTAGTCTTCTTGTATAAGTTGGATCGTCATTGATTAATGGTTTATAAGTAGGGTTATATTGTAGGATGTTATCGACAGTAATACCAAAACTTTGAGAAGAAAATTTGGCACAATAATGTAATAAAGAGATCATAATATAATAAAGAGATCTAGTTTTCTGTAAGAAAAATAGCAACATTCCGTTGTGTTTCTGAGATCATAGATCTAGTTATTTGCCCTTGTCCCTAATAGGCCATCCCATGGTAAATCAACCTAATACAAACTTGTTTTATAGTATGAACATCAAAATATTGTGAATAAAAAGTTAGACAACTTTTGATTGTTTCCTTCTGCTATGGTCCATGAAAAATTAGGACTATGATACTTATACTAATGGTGCTTATACTATTATTTATACTTTTTTATGTATGTGGGTACATAATTCCTAGGGAAGATTAAAGAGAACTGGCACACCAAAAATATTATACAGAAGTGAAACAAGGATCTGGTAGTGGTGGGGAAATATAATATGGATATTTAACAATTGCTACATTATGTAGAATTCTAATGTATTGTCTAGGAGCAGTGGCTCATGCCAGTAATCCCAGCACTTTGGGATGTCGAGGCAGGTGAGTCACCTGAGGTCAGGAGTTCGAGACCAGCCTGGCCAACATGGTGAAACCCTGTCTCTATTAAAAATACAAAAAATTAGCTGGGCTTGGTGGCAGGCACCTGTAATCCCGGCTACTCAGGAGGCTGAGGCAGGAGAATTGCTTGAACCCAGGAGGCAGAGGATGCAGTGAGCTGAGATCATGCCACTGCACTCCAGTCTGGGCGACAGAGTGAGACTCTGTCTCAAAAAAAAGAAAAAAAAATTCTAATGTATCTAAATATGTTCCCAATAGAAGGTACCCAGAGAAGCCATGAAACTTTATTATAAAATAGAAAAATTACACATTCATAAGTAGTAAATAACTTCTAACATTGATATGCATACCTATCTCTTATATTTTCATATTTCTTATTTTCTCTTATATTTTTATTCTTTGAGAACCTGTATGTCTTAGTAACAGGAAGTATACAACTTACCTCTTAAAGATCTACCTCTGACATTTTTCTTGCTGAATTGCTCAAAACCTTAAAGGTTTACATGTTTCAAATGGTGTCTAGCCTTTCCAGCCAAATGGAGGGAGAGATAAAAGCCTGCTCCTCCCAGTCTCCAGCTGCTGTTGCTTTTCTGTACTATGTCATGTCAGTGTTGAAGATGGGACTGCCCATCTAACAAATGATGTTCTGTGATGCAGTGAGGCCTACCTTACCCACAAGCAGTTAAGGTCAGCTTGATTCCATGAAAGGACACTGCACTGTCTCAGTTGGAGGTTGCCCTGTGCATGGTCTTAAAGGATGCAGCTCTTCATATACAGTTTTTTAGTTCACATATGAAACCTTGTCCATGGGTCCCTTTCTGCTGTAGGGACACTGGGCCAGCACTGATCTAACTTTTCCCACATTATAAACCCCAAATTACTATTATGAATACATTTTAGGGTTCAAGTAAATTTAAGTTTTAAACAGTTTAAACAGAATTTTATGCTATATTGATAGAAGAGATCACCACTCATTATGTGATATCGAAAAAGTAAAGTAAGGAAGAGCTATGTTAGTCTGGCCCAGTCTGACTGAGCAAGGCAAACTCCTGGTGTCATTTAGTTTATTGGCATGTAGATTACTGAAATAGGGGTGGGTTGACTTAGGCCTTGGAAGCTTTTTCACTAGAGTGAGTATACTGCTGATTGCCTGTCTTTCAAAGAGTGAGACTGTCATTGATTGGTTGGCTTTCAGAGGTCGTTCACTGAAGGGAGCTTTTATTAACTGATTAAAATTTTAAAACCAGTTGTGAAACTGTAAAGCAATTAGACTTTTTCTAAACATATGGGGATTTAAAAAATTCTCATCTTTTTCCCCAAAATGGAACTTTTCACTTGATTTATAGGAACTCTTTTGAGGGGATTTACCCAGAGTTTACTCAAAGTGACTCCTTCTTTGAAGTGGTGGCCAGTGTAACTTAATTTTCTAAATGATAATTTCTAGGTGATTTCAACATGCATATACCTATTTTTCATATCTGAGGCTGCCTTTAATGATTTCAAAGAGATTTTCTGGTACCTTTATCACTAGAAAAAAATTCCATGAAAACCATATATCATTTCTGTTGCATTATCCTACTGGACTATGAAGATTGAGCCGATTAATTATAAGCATAATAATATGGAAAATTATCTGTCTACCCAAAAAAGGTAAATCTTAATTCTTATAGAGACAACACACTGTTTAAGTTAAGAGCATAGATTTTAAAGAACAGATTATCTGTCACCTACTTGATAGGTAACCTTGAGAAATTTATTTAATCTCTCTTTCCTTATCTGTAAAATAGAAGTAAAATATTACCTTTTTTATTGGGTTGTTACTAGGATTACATAAATTATTATCTGAAAAACATTTAGGACATCCTAGTACATAGTGCTATGTAAGAACACTGTGTGTATACTTGCTTGTTTTCATTATTAATAATATCACAGGTTTTTAAAGCCATTTTACTTCTGGATAGTTGAGAAGATAGGAAAAAAGCTTTTCAACTTGTCATCGTGTTTGCTATATTTTTCTTACTTCTGAGGAATTAATGATGGATGTCTTTAGCACTTAAACTGTGAAGAATTAAGAATATAGATAAATTAAACAAAATATAGCAGAGGGAGCAAAATCTCAAATGTCTATTTACTTCTGATGAAAGCCACTGTTTGAAAGGATTTGTAGCAAATCACAGTAATGTCTTTACTCCATACCCCTGTTATTTTAAAAAATAAAGGAATTTCAAAATGGACAAGAGCAAGCTTTAGTTAAATACAAAGGGAGAAAATGTCAGAAAGAAGAGTTGAAGGTGTGTGAAAAAGTGAAAAGGATTCCCTCAGATTTTGTTCTCATGGGGATATTACAAATTGACTACATTCGTATGACCTTGAGGGTTTTAAAAACCCATCTCAGTCAGTGGTCCTCCACTCTAGCTGTGTGTAACAAACCCCTGGAGAGATGACAAAGCATAGGATGCCTGAGTCCCACCTCAGGTCTCTGGGGCGGTGGGGCCTGGGTATCAGCAGTTACCATGAGAGTTTCAGAGGTCTCCAGAAGAATATAAAGTGCAACTGGGGCTGAGAATCACTGAAATATTCCAGGTATTCCTTGCTAGTGAGTACCTGTTTTGTGTAACAGCTGTAGCAGTTGCCCCTTTGACACATTCTTCTTCACCAGGTGTAACTTGTTTGCCTAAAAGTTGGCACCGGTCCTGTCAGAATCAAAGTGACAAAAACCAACCTGGCTAGCAAACCAAAGCTACAGAGCCTTCACCACAGCAAAACTAGTTCAGGAAGCTTCTGGTAATAAGGAATGGGAGAATAAGATTAATGGCAATCTTTATGTTGGGAATTAATTCATGGTACTTTAAGTGGATAGTGAGGTTTTCTTGTCTTTTTTTTCTTATTAATGATCTTTTTCTATTTGCTTTATGCTATGTCTTGAATACAGCTATGTATGTGTGATTATTAGCCATCCTGTTTTAATAAATAGTTTATATTTCTGTAGATATTTATGACTATTACATTTAGAATATGTAGCCAGTGTTCCCCAATAACTGGGCATTGGAATCATCTCAGAGGCTTTTAAAAGAGACAGATCTTTGGGCCTCATCCAAAGCGACTGAATCAGAACTTTGGAGGTGTAAGACAAGCATTGTGATGTTTTTTAAACAAAACTCCCCACGTAACGGTAATGTCCATCCAAGTTTGAGAACCACTTGTACAAGAGATGCAGATAAAGCACTGAGAAAAAAACAAATGAGATGTTAAGAGGAAGAGGAAAAGTAAACAAGTGCTTATTAAAATTTAGCAAACATTTTGAGGAAACAGTAGAATATATTCTTACAGAAGAAGTTTAATGTCTCTTTGAAGGTGTTTATTTCCAAAGTGGTAGGTAAAATTCAGATCTGTCAAAATTTAAGGAGGTGGAGTAAATGACCCTTTGAGTTAGTGTTAGACTAAGGATTCTTATTTTCAAATTTAAATGGTTGTGAGGGAGGAACAAATACTTATTCTTCCATATTTGAAGCTATCCCAGAACCTGAGTAAAATACTGAAGAGAATCATGGATTTAAAATGAGACCAGAATGCTTTTGATGCATGTTAGATTTCATGTTCTTTATTCTCAGACAAATCTTTAGATAAATAGCTCTACTACCTCAGTGTAGATAGTATTATTAATGTTTCGCATGAGTGAAGTTCATTATTCAAAGATGAAATATGTGATTAGTGTATATTGAATTCCTTATGTGATCAATGATTGATTATGCTTATTATTTCCTACATTGCTTTTTTATTTGAACACTATGTTGAAATAATACTCGTCACAGCTTTGAAAGGTATAAAAAGGAGATATTCTGCAATTTGGTATAGTAAACTAATGTATCCTATATTTTTGTTATTTTAAAGTGACATTTAATGATGAAATACTGATTAAATATTATTCTTTATTAAATTACTAAATTTGTGGTAGAAAAAGTAGTAGATTGTCTATCCTTCAAAAATGCTGACCCTCAGAGGACTTCTGGAACTAGCTCATCTAGCAATAACAACTTAGAACTTCTCATGGGATTGTGGGTATCACATACATAGGTTTATACAGCTGACCTACAGAAAAGTGGGGAAGAGGTACCTCTAGACCTATTGTGTTCAAGTTAAAAAATAGATGTTTAAAATTAGCTAACCTCTTGTATCTCACCTACCTGGGTTCAGTATAAAAGAGCTAATCAAGTCAGGTCGAACATATTGTCTTAACTCCATGATGAAGTTTCTTTACATAACAAAGCCACTGCCACCGAGTCACATTCAGCCTCTGTCTCTATTTCTTTCTCTTTGTTTTTAAAATAGAAAGGAAAGAAATCCTAGCTTTCAAATCACCTGTCTTCTTTCAGTCTTTTAGAAAGTTTGGAAAATTTTTAGTATGTACTTAGTTAAAAAAAAGTCATTAAAATAATTTTTTAAGCTAAAGTTATAAAATTGAACATACTTATATTAACCTTGGAACTGTCTACCTCCAGTTGCGCCTGTGTATTCTATCATGAGGATAGGAAAAGATTTTCTAAATCTAAATAAAATACAGCATGAACTGCAGAAGGCAGCATTTTGTAGTTGTAAAAGCTGGAATTTTAAATTAAATATGAGTTCAAATCTTGCTTAAGTATTTTTTCTATTTTACATATCTTTCAATTCTCAAAACATCAGTTTTATCATTTGTAAAATGTAAAGAATAATACCAGTCAGAGTTGCTGTGATTAACAGATACAGTATTTGTAAATAACCTGACACACAATAAGCATTAAGTAATAAATGGGCATTATTCATGATTTTGTTGTGTATATCTGTAAAATTTACAATTAAACAACTCTGAATTAGCCTTCTTATTAGGAAAGGCTCTAAGCTTGATCTGGACATCTATTCTTCCATCCACATTTGAACAGTAATGTCATAGGATCAGCCTGCTGTCACTTACCATCTATATAGCCACAAAACCTAGCTGAAAATGAAGAGAAACAAGAAATCATGCCATTAACTGGGATTTCCCAGTTGATTGTCATCTCTCCATGTTTAACTAGAAAGTTATCTCGTAGAACAGTGTCTATCCTTTCAGACAGATGTAATTCAATGCATTTCCAGATGGTGATTAACAGTTTCCTAAATAACTCACAGGACTGAAGTTGATCAACATACAGAATTCATTTCCTACCTGGTCATGAATGGACTATTCATTTAATTTATCAAAATCTAATTTTCCTGAAAAAATAAAATTAAAAGTTCATTCTAATACTCCATGCACCAAAACCAAAGGAGTTCTAGAAAAGACTTATATAACTTTTTAAGATTTTTATTAAAGAACTTTGTAGACGAAACATATTCTTCCCTTACCTAAATCTCTTATTTTTTGAGGAGTTTTCTTTAGACATGGAACCAGAATCTAGGTAGAATCATTTATTTCTTCAATCACCAAACATTTGTTTTGTGCCTATTATGTGTAAGGTACACTCAGAGTCTAGCTAAATCATATTCAATATTCCATATCACAGTGCTTTAGGCACATTTCAGTAGGGTTACGGATTTTTTGCCCTCATTTGGCGATCAGAGAGACCATTTCTATTTCAAAATAAGACAATTTTCACCCCAAGTAGAAAAAGCAAGGACACTGTGGTTTATAATATGCCATTTAGCACGAATGTTACACTATTTTGAATTGGTAGCTCAACAAGTAAAGCCATCATCAGGAACCCAAAACTTGATGATACAGTGCATTTTTCAGGTAAAGAGATGCATTGGACCTGTTTGAAAATTGGGGAATAGAACTTTTGGATTCCATCTTTACTTCAAAATATTTTCTCTGAATGTAGTTTTGTAATCAGGACATATCAGAAGAAAAATAAGTGAAGTAAAAAATAGGGATGATATATTTGGCTTTATAAAGTATTTTGATAATTTTCAGAAAGCAAATCACACTATTTTAAATATTTTTGTCTTCTGAGCTCCAATGTTTAAAATATAAATGTAAATAGCAATTTTTTTGCAGTGAAGATTTTTCTGCCAAGAAAAAGGAGCAAAGAGAATTTCTAATTGAAAATTAGAAAAAATAGGAGAAATAGAGTTCTTGAAATTGTCAGAAAATATGAATAAAGTTAAATGTTTGAAAGTATCCTAATTTGATAATGAATATATTGGAATGATCCAATTCTGAAAAATTATATGCTTATTGAAAACAGATTATAAAAAGAAAATTTACTAAACTTTCACTTTTAGCCATTTTCTATTTTTGAATATATGTTAATCAGAATGAACATGTGATAAAGTCATTAGTGAATTTTTACATGATTTTTTAAGTTTTAGAAATCAAATTAAGAGATAAAGGAAAAAGCATATTAATTTAAGAATTCAATTTGGATTCCAACAAAAGCATATAAATTCAGATCGATTCTTTTAGCTTAATAAAGATGGATGACTAAATTATTTTAGATGAATGTGTTCTCAATTTTATTTTCAGACAGGCAATTAGCTACAAGTGCAATGAAAAAATCAGCCAATCATATCTGCAAGATTCTCACAAAAGTGTAAACAAGAAATCTTAAAGGAAAGTCTTGGGTTTGATTGATATCAAAACTACAAGGACCAACTTAACCAGAATTAAGTATATTTGCAGCAAAAAGCAGCTGATTTGAGTAGTGTGTGTGTCTGAGCCTATAAAGATACTCCAAACAGGAATTGAAACTTTATTAGAATTGTAGTCAAGTTTGAGAAAGAAGGGTTAAGAGTTTTGTTTTGCATACACACATATCATAATATACATATTTGAATTTAGCCTTCATGAGATTTTTGACAGGAAGTGAAATAATTTTGTAATCTCTCAATATTTTCATAATTTTTAGTGTCCAATTTATGCAGTGCATCTGGGATAACACCAATGATTTTTCAAAATCTTTTATAGGTAGTTCAAAGCTGTTGCATAAAGGAATATTTTTGATTTCTTGAAACTACATGGGACTATTTGAAATAATGAATTAGTGTAGTACCTAAGTAGTTTTGTGGCAGTTTTGTTAAGATTATTGAAGTAATAAAAGATGTAGCAAATGATTTCCTTCCTTCCCTCCCTCCCTGCCTCCCTCCCATCCTTCCTTCCTTCCTTCCTCTCTCTCTCTTTTCTTTTTCTTTTTCTTTTCTTTCTCAGAGTCTTGCTCTGTTGCCCAGGCTGGGGTGCAGTGGCAGGATCTCAACTCACTGCAGCCTCTGCCTCCCAGCTTCAAGCAATTCTCCTGCGTCAGCCTTCCTAGTAGCTGGGATTACAGGCGTGTGCTACCACTCGTGACTTTTTTTTTTTTACTTTTAGTAGAGATGGGGTTTCACCGTGCTGGCCAGGCTGGCCTCGAACTCCGAACCTCAAATAATCCACCCACCTCAGCCTCCCAAATTGCTGAGATTACAATTGTGAGTCACTTTGTCAGGCCGCAAGTGATTTTCTTGAAATTAAAGTGATATTCACTTGCACATAGGTCACCAGTACAGTGGTAGTTTTGATTATATAATAAATTGTTCCCAATATTAGCTACCAATTTTGAATTGATCTTTTGTTTAAATTTGTTTTACAAGGGGCTAAATATAGCAATTGTTTACAAAAGGCTTATAAGTAAAATTTTAAAAATATATATTATATGTGTATCTTTTCTTTCTTTTTTTTTTTTTTTTTTTTTTTTTTTTGAGTTAGAGGTTTGCTCTTGTTGCCCAGGCTGGAGTGCTCCGCAACCTCCACCTCCCAGTTTCAAGCAATTCTCCTGCCTCAGCCTCCTAAGTAACTGGGATTACAGGCATGCACCTCCACATCCAGCTAATTTTGTATTTTTAATAGAGACGGGGTTTCTCCATACTGGTCAGGCTGGTCTTGAGCTCCCAACCTCAGGTGATCCGCCCGCCTCGGCCTCCCAAAGTGCTGGGATTACAGGCGTGAGCCACTGTGCCTAGCATGTCTTTTCTTATAAAAATATAAGCAATACTTAATTGCTTATCTGTAAGAAATAATGATTAATCCAAAATATTTGTAACAAAGATAAATAATTATAATCTGGAATAGTCTCTAAGAGTTTCAAAGTTAAAAAAACTTTCACCATTTCGGGAGATATCAAATTTTTTGAAAAAGAATTTATGCCAACTTGGAAGTTATCTTTTTTCTTATATTTTTTCAGGAGTAATTCATGAAATTAATATTTATTTCCAAGGATTAGCTCTGTATCAGTATATTTGTATTTGTATATTTAAGAAAATGATTATAATAAAACAAAATGTATCTTGGAATTCCTATTTCGGTGGGATAGTCATTAAGTGAATTTAGTCAAATATGTGCAAAAATTTTACAAAAAAGTACATATGGAAGCATAGAACTTCAATTACACCGCAACCACCAAAAGATAACCGTAAATGATTATCTATAATCATTTCATTGTAATGAGTTTGGTTGTGTCTGTTCTTCATGGCTTTTACAGTAATGATTTAGGCATCATAGATCTGATGAGAGTCCAGGTTCTTGTCTGCAAGCAACAGAAGCCAACTTTTGCTAACTTAAGCAAAACAGCAACAACAAACATTTACTGGACAGATAATAAGTAGCTCACAAAGTCAATGTGAAGACTGCAAAACAGAAAAAAAAAAGATTGAAAGATGGGTGTGGAGGAAATAAAAACTAGGATAAGGGTTAAGAAATGGCCACACGAACTATTTTCTTAGGATATCACTACTGACTATGCCAGGAATGCTGTAAAGCTATGCCATAGATAATTATCGAAATAGCTCCATGTTGTTGCACCATTGTCTCAAGACTAAAATTCCCAGAATGGAGCAGGGTAGGAGTCAGGGCAGAGGATCCAGGTACTTATACATCTTCAACTTCAGTAGTAGATATAGAGTCTGTTTTCCACGAACTGTAAATCAGAAACCAACCCCCCCGCCCGTCCCACCCTAAGAATGATGCTAAGATGTTAGACAATAACAAATGTGCATCATATAGCAATTACTTTTTTTGGTTTGCCCAAACTTCTATAGCAAGTAAAGTGCACTGGTTTTATATTCTTCTTATAGTCTAATTATACATTATATTGCCCTATCATAAGGAAAGAGACAATTAATGACTTGGCGGTCTGTGTCTGTCAATCAATTATTGCAGTCATTCTGATGGTGTCTGTATACATGCTGGTAATAACTAACAACTGAAGCAGTTTACAACATCTTTCTCATAACCTGAACTTCTAATAACATTTTAACAATTTTTTTACACAGTCATATCTGGGTGTGACTTTCTTTCGGAAACCTGTCTTCTGTTTTATCACAGTTAGAGCAATTGGAATTTCACCTTGTAATCTTCTAAGCTTTTACTATTCAGGACTGTTAGATTTTGCTGCTGTTGAAGGCCTTATATTAATTACAAGGTCATAATCTTCAAACAGATTTGGTGTGAAATATAAACTGAGTTTTGGGTAAAAGGCTATTAAATTTCTCCTTCTCTCTCTTTCTTAACCAGGAATTAGTATCATATTACCTATCCCCATCAATTAAATGCCTTGACTTTCCCTTTTCCCATGAGAACCCACATTTTATTTATCCACAATGTTGTGTATACCTTCCCCCTTCCTCCAGCATATTTAAAATTTGCACTGCAATAGATTGTGTTGTCTACATAGATATCCACAATAATGCAAACTACAGGTTGAAGTCGTATCAGTATGTTTAATATTTTATAAATCAAATAATGTTTAAGAGGCAGTGTTGTGGAATAGAGATGGAGGTATCATTTGCCATGTTTATGAAAAAATACCAGAAGTTCTTATTTTCTTCAGCTTTGATTGATTGCGTCTCCTTCTTGTACATAGCTAATACAAATTATTTGTGCCTCTTGAGTATGTAAGATGAGCCTAAAGTTGCACTACATCCTCATACTGTTTGCAAACTCTCTAAATGATTCTTGCCAGGAACCAGCACTCATGGAGAAAGTTAATATTCCAGGATATTCAAAGAAGTTGATTTGATTTCATTTTCAAAGGAAATTTTGTCAAAGTAAAGCTATAAGATAGGCATATCTTGAAATTTGTTTGTTCATATTAATTTGTATGTTTGATCCTTTGTTGTCTTTTCTCTCTTTAGGCAAACTGAGATACCTGTGTATTATTTAAATATTTTGAATCAAATATTTGTGTTTTAAGTTTTAGAACATTTTCTGACCATACAAATATATAATCTCTGACTCTTTAAGCATGAAAATGATGTTGACATATGAAAAAAGCCTAGGTGAAGTTACATAGCCTGGAACTAATCATTTCTTTCTTTTCTCAGGGCTTGAAAAAGTAGATCTTTGACAAATAATTTCTCTGATTTGATCATCATGATATATATTGTTTCCGAAAAGTGTCTTAGTGAGTTAGTCTGTACTTAGTTCAAAGAGGCAAGCAAAAATTTTGTGTTATGCTTAAAGTTTATATGAAATGAAGTTGATGTTGCAATACTAGAGGTTATAGCAGAATAGGTTTGAATGGCTGAAAAAAATTGACCAGTTTTCCACTTTAAAAAGTTTACCCTGACACAAAGGCAAAGTTCAGAATAATTATGTCTGCTTTTTTACATCCAGATTGTATAAACTTACTGGAAAACATCCATACTCTTTTTAAATGATGAATGGAACATGATTATGAGATATTTAGAAAAGTTATAAAGTAGTTGTTTGCAAATGTAGTTGCTGATTTTGCCCCCAAGAGGCTCCGTTTTGTATGGTATTTGGAAATTTAACATGAACTGAAATTGGTATAGCCAAGCAGAAGCAAATTAATGTGAAGATAGAGGGGAAACAGGACTAAGGATAAGCGTGAAAACCATAATATTCTACCTATGGAGAGTGTTGAGAGTAGGGGAGATGCTGATTTGTGTTGCATTATTTGTCTATTACCATAACAACTATTCATACATGACTAGTATAAAAAGACCCATCGGTCTATAGTCCTAATATTTTTTCACTTCCTATTCTATTGTAAATTGATTTATTTTTCAATTCATCTGTTTGGCCCCATGTGGTAGAGCTACATAGTTCTCTTTCTGTGCTTCATTGCACCTTTTGGTTTGTACAAGCCTTGGGTGAGTACCAGAGGGGCAGCTGCTCACACACTGGGGAAGAAAATTCAATGATTCATGAGCATACACAGGAAAGAGCAAAGACTGCTAGTTCTTGAGGATAGTCTGCAATATTCCATTGTCAATGATGCAGAAATTTGAATGTGAAACAGGTTCTGATCTTGGCATTTTGCCGGGAATATCTAGTTGTATTGAAGTTCATAAAGTAAACACTCCACAGATTTGCACGCTTATGTAGGAAGTTTAAAAAGTGATTGCATGTCCTAACATGCATCGTAGTATTTTCTTTTTTAATTTTAAGAACTAATAATAAGTTCAATTCCAAGACATTTTAAAAATGTCCATTTTTTGTTTTTTTGACAAAATAAATGCATGCACATTAAAGAAAACTTAATATAGCCATGAAAAAATAACAAGGAAAAAGAATGAGTAACGCATTTTTATTCCCCATTAAAAATATATGTAAATATGTATATATGTGTATATATATATATGGCACATAATAAATGCATAATATATTACATATATAAACTTTTATTTTGCAGTCTAGGGTGAGCATCTTCTTATCACATATTATTCTAGTTTCATCAATATTCTCTTCCCATTCTTTCCCTCAACTAATAGAAATAAAGAATTAAAGGAAAGAAGCTGGGAAACTGAATAGAAAATTATTTAATTTCTTTTAAAAGGTAAAAGTATCGATTTTACTATTTATAACATTTTTAAGTTATTTAAGAAGTTCAAAAAATGGTGCCTGTTAGTTAACCAAGTACATATTGCAAATTGGCTTGTATAAAATAACCAGTAAGTTTGAATAATATTGGTCACTCTGGATAGAAAAATATTAACTGGGAAGAGTTATACACATGATGTGGAAGTTAAGTTCTATGGTAAATTCTTAAAGTGTGTTAATGAAATAAGACAAGCATGTCAACCTATTTTCAATGATAACAACTATAAGAGCTAACAGATTTGGGGGCATCCCTCAGGAAAGACTTTGAAAACCACAATAAGCATTCTCTAATCTGTATTCTGAGTCTCTGCACCAACTTCTGCATGACTTACTCCCTGAACTACAATCAAATGTAACAGAAAACAAAACATCAGAAGCAAAGGAATTGTGGAGAAAGGCAAATGGATGCCCCATATCTTTGAATGGAACTATTTTCTGCCGCACCCCTTGCCATGTATGCCTTCAGCAGGTATCTACTGCACACCGCTCTGGGCCATGCAGTCCTGTAGACACAGGGGATCAAGGGGTGAATGTGCTATATCTGTCCACGTGGCACTTATATTTGACTTCTGATCTATTATTACTCAATTCATGCATTCTTCTTTCTATGAGGCCTTTCTCAACACCCAAGCCGAAACAGATAATCTCTCCCCATGCTTCCATAGTACTTCAAAGAATTACCAATTGTCATCCTCATAATGTGCACTGTTTTAAAGTTAGTCTTATTTACTGGACCATGAACTTCTTGAGAGCAGATTTTTTGGATTAGTCTTTCAATCCCCAGTGCCTCACAGGATTCCTGGCCCCAAATGAATTCTTGATAAATGCTTATATAGTGAATGGGTAAATCAATCCATCTATAAACAATAAGTAAATCAATAGAGGACCTTCAACAGAACAAACTAAAAAAATTAAAAATTCATATTCTAAAATTTAAGGCTCAAAAAAGTTATAATTAAAAGTTAATAAAATCATGGACTTACACTTACATTTGTGTATCAAATCTTGAAATTTGGAAAAAAAATATAATGGTGGTAAGACCATAACAGAAATTCATGTAAAATTCCTAAGAAATGGTTTAGCTTCCCCTCTTCAAAAAGAATTTCTGTAAATTAATTAACTTAGTGTGTGGTGCTAAGTATATTGTATAATCTTTTTCTGATGTTGAAATGTTTATCATGGAAGGCCCTGCACAGCACATACCCTGTCATGGGATGTACATCTCTTGCTGACTCACTTTTCCTGGATCCCTCTCTCTGCCTGATACTCCTCCCAAACACAGAGACACCTCGGATTCCAGGGGTGTGCTTAGCATCTTTACTGCCTCCCAGTGCCCTTCACTCTGATTGATCCACCCTCTTCCTCTTATTGTTGTTTGCTGATATCTTTCTGTTTACTCTCCTCTCAGGAATAACTATGTGGACTTTGCCACCGGCCTCACATTAGTTCTCCTGCTACCATTTGCTGGCTTCTTCAATATCACCATCTCTTGCATATAAGGGACTCCATATTTTTTTTTTTTTTTACTCTTCTAAAATTTAATTTTAAAAAATCTTACAAAAAAAACTTACCTAGTATATATACACATTTGAATTGTTATATGCTGATATGTTTTATCATCATTACCTTCAGAATCATGCCTTAGAAAATCTTACCCCTTGAACATGACTTTCTCAGAGTTGTTCCCCATCTTTTCCCAATTCAATTGCACATAAACTTATTATACAAACACACAAACAAAAATTGACAAATCTGCTTTTATTCTGACTTGTGCTTCTGATTCTCACCTCATTTCCCTTGCATCCTCAAATTTCTCACTCTCTCTCCATTTCTTCCCATTCATTCTTTGCTCTCTTCAAACTGTCTTCTAGCTTTATTCCAGAGATAATCACAAATACCGCTAGCTGCCTTTCTATTAGAATATCTAATGGAAATCTTTCCGTCTTGATCCTACTGTCTCTCAGCAGCAGTTAGAACTCTTGACAACTATTTCCTTATTAAGAAACCATGTTCTTTTTGACTTGCAAAACACCACACATTTTTTTTTTATTGTGGTTGGCCATTTCTTCTTAGACTTTGCTGACATCATATCCTCTCCTTTACTACTGGAACCTAAAAGGCCCTCTCTCCCTAGATGATTTCATACATTTCCATGGATGTAGCTACGTCTTTCTGCTGATTACACCTATATTTATATACCTGCCCCTGTTCTCCTCAAATTTCAGGTTCTATTATCATAAATATAACTACCTCTTGAACTCTCTAAGCTCATAGCTTCTCAAACTTTGCATTTCTGAAAAGGAACTCTTGAATTTCCCCTCACAGTGTCATAATCCTCACCCAATCCTACTTGCTTTAATAAGTGAGATCACCTTCCACCCAGCTGCTCAGCCCCTAACTCACCTCTAATCAATCATTCAATTCTTTGGTTAATTCTCCTAAATGTGGCCTGAATATGCTGCTTTACATCCATATTTTCTTTCACTTCCTAATCAAGGACATTTAAGTTCTTTCTAGTGCTGATCTTCCCATAGGATCTTCCTGTCTCCATTCTTGTTTCCTTCTAATCCAGGGGTCTGCAGACTTTTTCTATAAACAGATGGTAAACATTTTAGACTGTGTGAACCATACAGTCTATTGCAACCACTCAATTCAGCCATTCATTGTAGCAGGAAAGCAGTCACAGACAATACATAAAATAATAAGCGTGAGGGTGTTCCAATAACACTTTATTTACAAAAAAAGAGGTTAAACTCCTGCCATGCTACAGCTAGAGTGAGCTCTCTCAATACAAATATTATGTCACTCCTCTGCTTAACACCCACCCTGAATGACTTCTGACTACATATAAAAGAAAATCCAAATGTGTGGCTTCCAAAGCAATGCCTGACTTGGCTCTTTCTTTCCTTTCTCATTTTATCTGAGGTCCCATCATCTTCAGTCACCATTCTCCTTTAAGTTTCTTAAGCGTGTGCAGGACTCAGGACCTGCTACATAATTTGCAAAGTCCAGTGAAAAATGAAAATATGAGGCTCCTCATGTAAAAACTATTAAGAATAGCAAAATGGCAATAGATTCATAAACTAAGCACAGGACTCTTCTGTGTATCACAAGTGACACATCTATGAATGCTGAATATCCACCCTATAATCTTTGAATATACGTTCTTAAACCTTGAACAATATCTTCCATCCCCACTTCTCATGCTGCTCTTCCTCATCTTTTAGGTTTCAGTTAAAAAACAGCATTTTCTCAGGCCAGACTTTCCAACTACCTTGCCCAAAGTGGAGCCTCCTTCTATACCCATGTCTTATTCCTTTATTTTTTATTACAGTTTTGCAGCAGCAGTTGTCATTACTGGAAATTAGATATATATTTTATTTGAACTGTAAATTGTGATGGCATTATAATAATCACTGACTCATGTATTAATGACCCAGAACAAATAAGCATGGGCTTATAATGAAAACTAGCTACTATGGTAGTGAAAATAATTCTGAGCCACTATTACAATTTTTTTTCCCAAACCACGTTTCCACTTTATTATTATTTTTGGTATATGTGGGGGAAACAAGGTTTTTGGGACTAAATAAGTCAGTTGTGATGAGAAACCACAGATATGTAAGTTACATTAAAAAATATTTTTATGTTATTCTTGAAAGAATCTGTGGCAGCATAAAAATGAAAACAAATATATTTAGAGATAACCCAAAACAAAGGCCACCTTAAGGAATCAAAAAATCTGCACTTTTAGGAACTAAAACTAGGCTACTTATAATAAATGCAAAATTTTACATATAGATAACCTAGTTTATATAAATATTTCTCTGACAAGAGGAAGCATATGCATTCTTCCATAGGAGACTTTTCTGGCATGTTAGCATGAGAAATGTTCAAGACAGTCCTTTTATAAGATATGTGACTCCCTGGACACTAAGGTATAATATAGCAAGCAGTATCTTCAGGTTTAAAATGGAAATACTTTAAAAATAATTGTTCATATGTACTGTTCTGATTTTAATAATCAAAAGTATGAAAATACTGTATAAAATTAGACACTTTTTCATATTCAATTCTAAATTATTCATGTAATTTCATGAATGTAAATATATCAATATCAAAGGCTGAGATATTGATATCTTTTTTGTTTTTATTTTTCTGTTTGTTCTAATGGTTCAACTTATTAGAAGACTTAAATAGGGAGATCTACAAAATCAATTCAGGCCAATTTGTTTTCTTCACTCCAACATGAACATACATTATGGACAGTTTGTGTTACTTATTGAATTATTAAAAATATGCGGTAGGATATCAGACCCACACAAAATCTTTGTTATTTTGCTATCAACATTTAAGGGCTGGAATTTTATTGTTGTCCTCAAATAAGATCAAACATTTTAGTATATTCATGAGAAACAAAAGTTATTAGAGGAAGAGCAAAACAGGATAGCTGTACAGATTTTTTTAATGTGGATCATCCAGATTAATTTCACTGTTCACATATATTACCACCAAAACTCAAGTAAATTGAATGTGTAGGAGTCAAGCTGACATTTTAGCTGATCTTCATGATTGAAGTGGATCAGCTACTGAAGATTTTTAGAATAATAAAGTTCTAAATAGATTTATTTTTAATAATATTGGAGACGTATGCTTTCTACAAATGCTTACTTCAAACATAAATCTTTTTGTGGTTTTTGTCATCAGTTTACTAAATACTTTTGGATTAGTTATACCAATATTTTTCTCTGTTTTGGATATTTATATATGAGAGAAAAATATATTTCTGAAGTCTGGACAGCTAGCTTTAAGTTCTCGTTCTGCTACTTACTAGCTATCACTACAGGCAGATAATCTAGCTTCTATGAATCTCAGTTTTATATGTGGAACAGTCCATGACTACATAACTAAGAGGGTAGTTGTAAGAATATATATATATATATAATCTGTTGACATATACAAATGATAATGGTATTTTTGATGACAGTATTAAACTAATTATTTTGTAAGACTGAAGAAACTGGCTGAAAGATTTTATTGCTTTTGGTTCAATGTGATATTCTCATTTTGTAGTTCTTTTTTTCCAATTCTGAGTTTTTATCCGTTTTTATTTTTTCTTTATTGCCTTTTGCATCCTGTCCGTGATGCATCCCTTGTCATTTTCTGTACTGCCAGTTTGGAAATATCCCAGAGGATATCATTATATAGGTTCAACCAGACTTTGATGATAGCTATTTTGTTGGATGAGGGCTATTCTATTGATTTGTTACATGTTGCATAGGAATAGATACCTGGAGACACATATTTGTTAAGTTTCTGATATAGCTTGCAGTTGCAGGTGGTGGTTTACACAATTTAACATCGTTTTAAACTCACTGGTTGAGAATATTTCAAAGCATTTCCTTGATATGAGTGAGTTCTACACATTTTATTCCCTTAGGTTTAACTTTTTACAACCTGTTTGGGTTGCACTTTAATAGAAGTGTTTGAATAAGCCTACTGTGTTGACAACTTTTAACTCCATTTAGATTTCATATGGTATTGCTCTGTTTTTATTAAGTAACTGACATGCAATTTCTGTTATATAAAGTGCTTGAAATGAATTCCTAATTCCCAAACTATATTTCTCTTTTCCTCTTGAACCAGAAAAAATAAAAGTTTAGAATAACAATTGCAAAATCATACCATTTCTTCTGTTAATTTTCTTTATTTCTGCTTCATTACATGAAAATAAATTGATGATTTGCAGAAGGATTTTCTGTTTAAATTTTTAAAATAAATTCTGTTCAATATATGTATAGACATATATGAATTTCTTCAAGTATTTTATATAACAAAAATTGTCATTGGTTACTTAACAAAAATGGAGCAATAGGGTATGCCATTTAAATGGAGTTAAAATTTATATATATAAATATATAAATAAATATAATATATATAAATATAATATAATATATAAATATAATATATATATACAAACACATATATAGTATTTGCCTAGAAGAGAGATAAAAGATGTGTTTAATATCTGTTTGCCACTTCAATGGCATATCATCTGTATTTCTTGACTCTAAATATTATTCTATAAGTGTATTCCAAAACAATACAAAGGATTTACATGGACATTCATATAGAAGAATAATCATTGGGACATTGTTTAAATAGAGAAAAATTGGAAACTAAAATAAACAGCCCATATTAGGAAATAATTAAATTATGGAAATTCATAACCCTTAACGTGATGTTGCCATTAAGCATGTTTGTATTCATTGGTACATGTGTATAATGTCCTATAAAGAATATAAGGAAATAAAGGCTAAAAGGATACAAAATTGTATATTCAGTATGACACAAGTGTGAAAAAACATATATAAGAGATTAAAAGGAAATATACTAAAATGCTAGTATTGGCTGCCATCAGAGAGTTATAATACAGATTAATTTAGACTTTTTTCTCATTCACATTTTTTCCCAATTTCTCTAGTTTCCATAAGGAATATGAGAGTTTAAAATAGAACAAATATTATTATTTGAAATATAATATATAGTCAAAATAGTTGTTTTATTTCTTATATGGTGTTGTCATACCTTTAAAATTTTCAAACCCTTAAGAACTCATACAACTCAGGCTTATAACTTAGGTCAGGTGCTATTATTCTGCATTTCTATTATACTACCTTATTGTGTCAGAAACTTATATTACAGAGAAGCAGTGTATACTGGACACTGAAAGACTAGGCAAGTTTGAGACTGCAGGGTAGAGAGGAAAGTAAGCAATTGGCCAAGTAACTCCTTATAAAGTCACATTTTGCCATCCTAACGATGGAGATGGCCCATGACACATAACAATCGAATAGCAGATTTAAGTCTCCTGTCATTTGATATGACTGCCTTCTAAACGGAGTTGTGTGTATAATATATTCCTGTACTTCAGTCATCTTATCAGACAAAATGTATAATTAGAAACATAATACCAATGGGTATATGAACATTGGTAGTATGAAAAGTTAGATATTTGTTCATTATTTATTCATTCTTCTAAGAAACATGTATTGAAACTCCTCTGTCTAGCTACTGTGTTGCAGGCTAAAAAGCAGAGTTGTTATTTCTTCTGATTACATTACTATATCTATATAATCTATTATAACAGAAGAACAGGTGAAATGTAGTACATGCACACAATGGAATACTATTTGGCTATAAAAAATATGAAATCGTGTCATTTACAGCAACATGGATGAACTTTAGTTCATTTTATGTGAAACAAGCCAGACTTAGAAAGACAAATTTCCCATGTTCTTACTCATATGTGGAGAGTTTAAAATGTTAATCTCTTTTTAGTTGAGAGTAGAATGATAGTTACCAAAAGCTAGGAAGGTTGTTTGGGTGGCAGTTGGGGGGATAAAGAGAGGTTGGTCAAAGGGTACAAACATACAGTTAGAAAATCTAAGTTGTAGTATTGGATATAGGGTAGATTAAGTGTAGTTAGAAACAAAGTCTTTTATATTTTAAAGTAGCTAGAAGAGAGGACTTGAAATGTCCTCAACACACAGAAATGTTGAGTACTCAAGGTGATACCCCAAATACCCTGATGTGATCATTACACATGTATGCAACAAAATATCACATGTACCCCACAAATACGTGTAATGTTATGTATCCATAAAAAGATACATTGATAATGTAATCATATCCCACTGTATAATTATTTTTGGAAGATATGTATCTTCATATATATATATAGTCATTTTAAACCATGACTTGAGTACTAAACCAGTAGTAAATTTTGACCAGATCCAACAACTGCTCTTACTATTGAATTATCTTCACAGTCAATAATAGTAAAAGGTAATTTCTTGCATAGACAAAATATATACACATTCCTGGTTAAGTAACAACTTCGCTAACCCTCAGTCATTATCCAAGTGATAACCCTGTAGTTCTTCAGTGCTTAATGTCTTATACCAGTGTTCAAAAGAACTATAAATATCTGAATATAATATGTCACACATTTAATAAATGTCCAGCATTTTGTAAAGAAATATTGAAATCTGAGGAATTGAAATTATCCTCACTCTTGCAAGAAAAGTAAGAGAAACATACATGAGTAAGACACAAAGTTGCTTATGACTTATGTTAATACATACTAGGTGGTAAGATACTAATTATAGTAGTGAACACAGGAAATGGAAGATTTGGAATAGTAAAGGAATTTCATTGAAGAAATGAGGCAGTGAGTTCTAAATGGCATTTAGAATTTGGATTATTGAAAAGGAGGCGAAAATGTCTCCTGAATACTTGGCGAACTTTAATACTATTTGTTTTCACTTAAGGACCTTGTTTAAGATGCAGATTTATTTTTTGATGTTTAATGTGCTGTCCATTAGGAGTGTTCAAGCAAAGGAATAAAAGTACAGCTTTTCGGTACTCTGTCAAATATAGATATTCGATGCTGGTGTCTTTAAAAATATTGCAATGAAGCCAGGTGCGGTGGCTCACCCCTATGATCCTGGCACTTTGGGAGGCCAGGGTGAGTGGATCTCCTGAGCTCAGGAGTTCAGGATAAGCCTGGGCGACATGGCTAAACCTAGTCTCTACCCAAAACACAAAAAATTAGCGGGGTGTGGTGGCAGGCGCCTGTAGTCCCAGCTACTCGGGAAGCTAAGGCAGGAGAATGGTGTGAACCCGGGAGGCGGAGTTTGCTGTGAGCTGAGATTGTGCTACCGCACTCCAGCCTTGGTGACACAGCGAGACTCCGTTTCAAAATAAATAAATAAATAAAATAAATAAATAAATAAATAAATAAATAAATAAATAAATAAGCAAGCCAGGCATGTTGGTGTGTTCCTATAGTCCCAGATACTCAGGAGGCTGAAGTGGGAGAATTGCTTGAGTCTGGGAGGCAGGGGTTGCAGTGAGCCAACGTCGTGCCACTGCACTCCAACCTGAGTGACAGTGTGAGACCCCATCTCAAAATAATTCCAATGACATTTTTCAAATAGTTTATTTTAGCGGAGCTACAGTGATTTAATCTTAAATATGAACCTTTATTTATCCACCATATTATATTTGATACATGTTTTCCAACTTACTGGGCCATCTACTGGTGTCCTACATTAGTTGAAAAAGAAAGTTAGTAATGCTGCTTCATTTTCATGTTCCCTATTGGTCTGTTTAGCTTTCCTTTTATTAATTGCATTCAAACTTCACAGTTGCAAGCACGTTTATTAGTGAAAGTTGCATCCATCTTTCTGTCTTCCATGCTCTCAGCATAGTTTGTTGCATTCAGTAAGTGTGTTGAAGTGGACTTCTGCAATTTTCGTCTATAGAGTTTAAAAGTTTTCTTTGATTTTGACCTATGTCAGAATAATTGTCAATATTTTAATAACAGACTTGAGAATTATATTGTGCTTTTAAGGATGATTCTTCAGTTTGAATTTTTTTTTTAACTTTGGTCCTCCAGTTGTATGTAATTGTAATTTTATATGGGATATTATTTTATTATTGTACCCTCAATCATCCTTAAAAACTTAGAACATAAATTTTAGAAAGATTTATGAATGGCAGTAACACACTCCTAAATCTCACAAACATATATAACACAGCAAAATGTAGTATAAAATGTGGACACATTTGCATGCACTAATTATTGAACAATCCATATAACAAATATTTTAAAACCTTTCTTAGTATTACAAGTTACCCCGTGTTTAATAGGCTTCCCTCTTCATTCAACCAGCTCTTGTTCTCATTACCATATACATTGCCAACTAAGCGGCTTTTTATATGCCAAAATTGTTGTTTCAAACACTTATTTTTAGCTATTGGGCATTAGCACATCTTGATAGACTACAGTTATGTATTTGCAGCATTTTCATCTTATTTGAAAAGCAATATTTGTGCAATTATCTGAATATCTATTTGCGTCTTTCATATTGCCCTCAGTATTTTATATAAGAACATGAAAATGAAAAAAATTATATTCTGATAAAAGAAATAAAAAGAAATTTTCTTGTATGTACTAAAATAGAACAAAGACAAAAATAAGTGTGTCAAATATGATATATTTTTAAGTTTAATTGGATAATTATTGGACATACACACATGAGTGTTATTAACCATGAAGGAAAATTAGAAAAAATAAAAGTTCATATATAAGATTCTGATAATAGATCAATAGAGATTGTGTTTGAAAACCATGATATAACCCAAGAGTTTATATAAACATATATGCTATTCATGTGTGTGTGTGTGTGTGTATATATATGTGTGTGTGTGTGCGCTATATATGTATACACACACACATGCACACAGACACACACACACACACACACATATCTCTGTTAATAGAACTGCAAACAGAGAACTACATTTAATATTTAACTTTTGACCATTAATCTTCTTGTACACTATTAGGAACATATAGAGTTAAAAGCATTAAAATTCAATGAAGATAATTTGTAAATGATATTGAATTTTTTGAATGTATAATTTTTTCTCTTCTGTTTTTCGTTGTATCATTAAAAATTTCATAAGTAGAGATTATAGAAATCAGTTTTATTAAATTTATACAAATTCTATCCAGTAAAGACTTGGTTTGGGGTAGAATGCAATGTAATATAAATGTGCAGAGCTAAAATAATCAATTACCCTTTTTCCAAGAAAGAGAGAAATGATCATGCTTTGTAAATACTTTGACAGGATTTAGTGTGTGGAAGAGAAAACTTTTTAACATCATTTTGCCTTTTATTTTATTAGCCATAGTTTTAAAACGGAGTTTTTAAAAAATTCCAACATAGCCTTAAGGTCATTGACAATTAAATACCTATTTTCAGTATTAAACAACTTTTTTGTGGCCCCATGTAGTCTATGTTGGTTGGTATTTTTAAAACAATGTCCTTTGTTATGTTACATTTTAACTACTTTGCTCTTTAAATTGTTTTCACAATATCTTGGCCTTTGTATTTTAAAATTTCCTGTTGTCCGTGTAAATTTCATATAATTTTATATTCTTCACATCACACTCTATTGTGAATACCTGCATGTAGTTTTAAAAAAATTATTTAGTTTTCATCTGATGTACACACTGACCTTCTTGCTGTTTCAACAGTTAATTAAGTGGCGTAGCATAATTGAGATGGCATTTGTCTATCAACTTCAGTTTCAATAATTCAATTATCTTTTCTGATTTTTAGCCAATAATATATTTCTTTCATATGTTCACTCAATCTGTACTAGTGAATCTAACATTATGTTCTGAACATACAGGAATTATCTTCTTAATATTCAGATGTCATAATGGGAAGAGATGCATGTAGGCACAAAATTAGATGTAGCAGTGAATCATACAATATCTGCTTTATTTGTAATACATATTTTCAAATTTTATCTTCAGTTACCATCTTTTTGTATTCAGGCAGTTATTTATGTGCTAGAAAATATACATTATGATATGCTATTCGTCTGGAAATTGTTTTGAAAAGACTAACATTCTATTTTGATGGTATAAGAGAGAATTTTTATAAAGCCCATTTTCATCAGGAACCGGTTTATTTGAATGTGTGCATTTCATACTGAATGATTTTTATATTTGCATGGGTAACATAATTGTAAATATATATTTTGTGGCCAGAGAGCTGTAACTCTATTTCCCGCTGCCTTGGAAAATGACATTTTTTTTTTCAGAATTTAGATTTCCTTTCATTTTAATGAATTGTCGCTCATCAGACAGATGCATGGTCATCATTATTATGTGATAATAGCAACACTTGGTTTACTAAATAGAATCAAAATATTTTACATAACCTTGACTGATAGTTCTGTGAATCTTGGAGCAGTCTTTCAAGATGATATATTTTAGGCCCTAGCCCTTTAGTAGGTTTGCATTTAAATCAGACATTGTCAGAGAAGATATCAGAACACAATTCTGGTAGACAGAATAATGGTTCCCAATTGATGGCCACATTCTAACCCCTGTAACCTGTGAATATATTACCTTGCATGGCAAATGAAATATTGTACATGTGATTAAGTTAAGGATTTTGAAAAGGGGAGATTGTTTTGGATCAGTGGGGTGGGCCTCTCTCTGACTCTTTGCCTCTTTCTTTCCCTTGAGAAAATAAAGTCAGAGAGCACAATATGATGATGGAAGCAGAGGTCAGAGAGGAAGGGAGAATTTAAAGGTGCTAAACTGCTGGCTTTGAGGATGGAGTAAGGGGTCGGAGCCAAGGAATGCAGATGGACCTTAGAAGTGGGAAAGGCAAGGAAATGAATTTTCCTGCAGAGCTTCCTGAAGAAACATAGTACTGCTGAAACCTTGATTTTAGCGCCACAAAATCAGTGTCGCATTTCTGACCTCCAGACTGTATGATAGTAAATTTGTGTTGTTTTAAACCACTAAATCTGTGGTAAATTGATACAGCAACATTAAGAAACTAATACAACAATCATTCGTATATAGAAGAATAAACCGTAGACTGTGTGAAAGAAGGCAAGGCAAAGTTTAATTATAAAGTAGATTAAGTTTGTCTCTGGAGTTCCCACTTCTTTTGGACATTTTCTAGTAAGAAAGAACCATTTCCTTCCTCATGCCCTAGCACAAGCATCTTATCCAAATCTTTCTCCCCATATGCTCCAGCTTCTTGTGTCTAATTTTCCCTAATACCTTACTACTTCCCTGCTATCTCCATTATACCTGTCCCCTACCCCATCATCATACACTTCGTTTATCTGTGATATCTGTGCTTGTAATTTATAAAGCTGCTATCTGACCTCTATTTCTCCATGAGAACATCTCTATTGCTGTCGGGCTTTTCACACCTATTCTCTATCCTACTATTAAAGTCATTCAGAATCACTTATAAAGAAGATTTTAATTCACATCTATGGATAGAAAAGAAGCTTAGAATAAACAGGGCTTTCAGACCCTACTCCGATCACTCATCTTACCACTAGTATAAAATTATTGGAATGAATTTGAAGAATGGGTTGGCAAACGTAACAGTAGTGAGCTATTTGAAGCAGCTTATTAAAATTTGTAAGGAAGCAATGGAAATAAATATACTAATTATTGTTACAAACCATAAAAATGCAAAATATAAAAGGAGCATCTATCGTATAACATACTCTGACTTTTTATTTCAGGTAACAACAAAAACCATAATAGGTCCTAGTATATCCCAACCACTCCTCTAAATATTTTCATGTATGCACGTATTTAATCCTTGCAACTACTCTGTCCTCATTGACTACCAGAGGAAGCTGAAGCACGAATAAGTGAGGTGATTTGCCCAGTGAGGTAGGGTACAGTGTGTGTGTATGTGTGTGTGTGTGCATGCTGTAAGCACCTACAAAATAATCTAAAAGCAGCAGAATTATTTTCTAGTGTCATGGGTATTGTCTATTAATAGGCTGTGAATACATTGAAAACTATATTGAAATATATCCTGTGCTAGCTACAGTATAAGAGCTGTTTTGGAGCATGGATTCAGGAGCCAGACTGCCTACATTCAATCAGTGTTCTCACTACTCAGGTTCATAGCATTTCTTCCATAGACAAGTCATTTAACCATTCTGCTCCTCAGTTGTTTAAGATAATACAGTTCTATGTCATAATGGGTTATTAGGAAGATTAGGGGAGTTAATCTAGGTAAAGTACTTTGGAACATTATTTAATACAAGGTAAGTGCTTTGTTGGTGTTAGTTATATAATTATTATTATAATAGAAGAAAAGCCATCTCATATATATGTGCATTTAATAAAAAAAGGGTACATATAATTTTGAATCATCATTTCTTTCATTTATCCCAAGTATACATTTTTATCCTCATTATCTTTAATCAATGTCAGATAAAATAATCTTGAGTAAACTAGTCTGGTCAATTGTGTATTTATGTGTAGCAAAATTGAGACTGCTTCCAAGTTGATTTAGTGGTCAAGGGTAGAATTCCTTGGGATGATCACGTGAGTTTATTACAGATAGAGTCCAGTTTTCCTTTCCTCTGAAGACAGCCAGGACACTCACAAGAAATGTTAATGCTGGAAAAACAGTGCTTTAAATCAGTGATCCTTAAACTTTAATATACATCTGAATGATCTAGAGGGCTGGTAGAAACACACATTGCTAGTCTGCATCCCCGCAGTACCTGATTCAGTAGGACTAGGGAGAAGCCCGAGAATCTGCATTTCTATAAAGTTTCAACTAATGATGCTGCTGGTCCAGGGGTTATGCTTTGAGGACCAGTGCTTGAAATCTTTAAGCTATAGAAGAAGGAATTTGGAAGAGATAGAAATGTTTTAGAATTTTTTTTTTGTCTTCAAATAACATTGTATTAGGCTAGCTCTACAAAAATATCAAGACTATAGATTCAATAGCAGATTGGCTATTGTGATTGAAAGGCTGATTTTAAATGTCACTTGATTAAGTGATTGAAAAGAATTGTGAATTCTTACAGACACTCTTCACCAGCGTTTACCAAACTATTCTTCTGCCTAGAAATGTCTACCCTCCATGGTTTTCTAACCAAGCTCACTCTCTAGGAATTATTTTTAATATTACATTTTTCTTGAGAGCTTTCTATGATCCACGAGAAGTTATTTTACTTTCCTAACTGCTCCTAACACAAAATATACTTCCATTGATAAATCTTCCCAGTTGTAGTTTAATTTGTTAATTTGCACATGAGTTACTGCTATAGAGTGTGACCTCTTATTTGTCTTTGTAATTCCAACAGCTAACTCAGTGCCAGGAAGATAAGAGTCACTAAATAAATATTAGGTGAATGAATATCTAAGTAAATAAATGATTCCTAGTGAGTTATGATAAAACTGACCTTTGTTAGAGACAGGATAGAGAGGGAGAAAAAATAATGGCTATCAGAGTGCTCTTTATTAAGACCACTATGGACTATAATTTACTTAAGAAATCTCATTTCACATCAATGAGGTTGTCAAGAAGGAACAAGTAGCCTATGGAATTTTACTGGTGTTTCTTAGAAATTCAAGATACTTGCTTATTTTATTTCTTCATAATATGAATATTTTTCTAGTGTCCCCAGGTTCCTGGAAACTTTTAGTTTAAAAGTTGGACTTATAAAACTTTATAGTTATTTGTAGGTTCCATAGACATGGGTTACTTCTAGAGAGACTTGATCTTAGCTACTGTCACTATTATAAGGATTTTGAGAGGATTGCTGGCTTTTTAAACTACATAAATTACATTTTCTATTTTTATATTTATCATGTTTTATTTTGTTGCATTTCAATTACTTTATCAGCTAATTTAGCTTGATTTATACTGGTTCAGAATCTCAAGCAACACATTTCAGATTAAGCTGAGATTTGAAAAACTATTTCTGACAATCATTGTGTCACATAGTATCGGTATGCATAGATTTTTGTTTGCCTTTAAGCACATTCACTGACAGCACTAACTCAGATTTTAAACACATTTCAATTTCTGTAATTGTGTTGATGGTTCAGAACAGCTTTTTGAGGCTCATTTAGCAGGCCATAAGGTGTTTGTTTATAGGTGCTGATGGGGAACTAATAAAAGGTAGTTGTAACCAAAAAATGAAAATATTTAGCCTGTACTTTAACATGCACTGAACGTATTAGAGTATATTGATTTAGATAACTGAATTCGGTTGAATTATGATTATGTTCTGAGTACGTATTTGGCCAATGAAAATTTAAATTTATTTAAATAAAAAAGTCAGAACAAAAATTATATCAATTGTCCTTTCTCTTAACATATAAAAATGTCTAATACAATTACACATTGATTATTTTAATGCAATATAACATAGTTGGAGGGAGATAATACTATTCATGTTATAACTGTAAACCCAACACCACCTTTATATTGTTCTACGTATTATCTGTTACTATTACAGAATTCCAGTAAAAGTGGGCACACAATTTGTAAGATAATTTTCAAAGCTTAATCATTGCTAGTGAAGGCAAGACTGAAATCAAGATAATGAAATCAAGAATGAAGTGATCCTTCTGGAAAAGTTCACAGTTCAGTTCCCACACACTGTATCTCTCTATTAGTAAATGACGGATTGCAAATGGGAAGGAGATCGAAATTTTAAATGTATGCAATTCATGAAATGAGAAAGAGGACTTACAACATTTCTTCCAACCACCATTAATTATTATCATAATCATAAATATCATTAGTTATTTTAAATATAATGTATAATATAATAATTATCAATATTATTATTATTCCTAAAGTGTACTATTTGTTATGTTGCTGGCACTTCTCTAAATGCTTTAGTCCTTACAATGGATCTATCAGAAACATGCAATTATTATCTTCATTTTATTTACAGATAAGCAATCTGAATTGTAATGAGGTTAAATAATTTGCCCAAAGTCACATAGGTGATAGACTGAGCTGAATTTGATTTCAGACCATTGAGCTCTAAAGTTTTGTTAATAACTGTGCTATATAGCTGTGTGTGTGGTTGAGGCAGCTCCATCTTGATGTATGTCCAAGCTAACACTTCTACTGTGTTTCATACCTATGACATTTAGAGGCACCCATGTATTTTTAAGACCTTTGTCTGTTAGCGTTTTGGTGAGGGACAGGGGAAGGCATTAGACCAAAATATTAAATGTATCTCCCTGTGATCTAGATCTATTTATCCTAGTTTTCCCACACAGTGTAGTACCAAACCCCCTGAAATCATATATTTGAAAATAGCTAACTTCATATCCCTTGATTCTTTTTTAAATTGTAGTTTTTTATATTGACAAATCATAGTCATATATAAATTTATGTGGCACAAAGTGATGTTATGATACATGGATACATGTAGACAGTGTATAGTGACTGAATCAAACTAGTTAATATATCCATCATCTCAAATGCTTATCATTTATTCCTCTTGTGTAACTGAAACTTTGCACCCTTTGATCGACATCTCCCAATTCTTCCCTGCCCCTAAATTCTGGTAACCAACATTGTATGCTTTGCTTCTATGAGTTTAATAGTTTTACATTTCACATGTAAGTGACAACATGTGGTATTTGTCTTTCTGTACCTGGCTTATTTCAGTTAGCATGTCTTCCAGGTTCATCCATGTTGTTGCAAATGACAACATACCTTTCTTATTTATGACTGAATAGTATTCCATTGGCATATATATATATATATATATATATATGTGTGTGTGTGTGTATATATATGTATATATGTGTATATATGTATATATATGTGTGTATATATGTGTGTATATATGTATATATATGTGTGTGTGTATATATATGTATATATATATTCACTATTGTGAATAATGCTACAATGACATGAACATGAACATGAAAATGATGATATCTCTTTGAGACACTCCTTTTATTTCATTTGGATATATACCTAGGATTGGGTTTGTTGGAATATATGGTCATTGTATTTTTAACTTTTTGAGGGATCTCCACACTCTTTTCCATAATGGCTGTACCAATTTACATTCCCACCAAAAATGTACAACGGTTCCTTTTCTCCACATCCTCACCAACACTTATCTTTTGTCTTTCTGATAATAACCATTCTGACAGTCATGAGGGGATATCTCATTGTAGTTTTAATTTGTGTTTCCCTGATGATTAGTGATATTGAGAATTTTTTCACTTCTCTGTTGGCCATCAGTATGTCTTCTTTGGAAAAATGTCTATTCAAGTCCCTTGCTCATTTTTAAGTTATGCTATTTGTTTTCCTGCTATTGAATTGTTTAACTTTCTTATATATTTTGGATACTAGCTCTTTACCAAATGTATGGCTTGAAAATATTTTCTCCTAATTCATACATCTTTTCTCTATTAATTGTTTCTTTTTTGTGCAAAACTGTTTTTTGTTTATTTGTTTTTTGACACAGGGTCTCTCTCTGTCACCCAGGCTGGAGTGCAGTGACATGATTATAGCTCACTGCAACCTTGTTCTCCTGGGCTCAAGCAGCCCTTCCAACTGAGCTTCCTGAGTAGCTGAGACTATAAGTCCATGACACCACAGCCAGTTTTTTTTTTTTTTTTTTTTTTTTTTTTGTAGAGATGTGGTCTTGCTATGTTGCCCTGGCAGGTCTCAAATTTTGACCTCAACTGACCCTCCTGCCTCAGCCTCCCAAAGTGCAAGGATTACAGGGGTAAGCCAATGCACCTGCCAAAAGGGTTTTTTGTGTTTGTTTTTTTATTTTGTTTTAGTTTGACATAATACCATTTGTCTATTTTTGCTTTTGTTACCTGAACTTTTGGGGTCAAATACAAAAAAATAATTGCCTAGACCAATGTCATGTAGCTTTTCCTCTCTGTTTTCTTCTAGTATTTTTACAATTGCAAGGATCATATCCATATATTTTATCCATTTTTAGTTGATTTTTTAATATGATGTGAGATTCTTTTTAGTTACTATAGCTTTGGAATATAGCTTGAAGTGAGGTAGTGTAATGCCTCCAACTTTGTACCTTTTGCGCAAGATTGGACTATTTGGGAAGTTTTTTGTGGTTCTATATGAACTTTAAGATTTTTTTTCCTATTTCTGTGAAATATGTCATTGGAATTTTGTTAGAGATTGTATTGAATCTGTGGATTGCTTTGGGTATTATGAACATTTTAACATTATCATTTCTTCCAATATGTTTTCTTCAATTTCCTTTATCAATGTTCTATAGTTTTCATTATACTGATCTTTTGCCTCCCGGTTAGATTTATTCCTAAGTATTTTTTTTTGTAATTATTGTAAATGGAAATGTTTTCTTGATTTCTTTTTCAGATAGTTCATTGTTCGTGACTTATATATCTTTCTCTTGCCTAATTGCTCTGACAAGGACTTCCAGTACTCTAGTGAATAGATGTGGTGAGAGTGGGCATCCTTGTCTGTTCTTGATCTTAGAAAAAAAGCTTTTAACTTTTTTCTGGTGAGTATAATGTTAGTTGTGGGCTTGTCATATATGGCCTTTATTGTGTTAAGGTATATACCTTCTATATCTAATTTGTTGAGGGTGTTTATCATAAAAGGATATTGGATTTTGTTAAATTCTTTTTCTGCATTTAATGAGATCATGTTTTTTGTCTTGCATTTGTTAACATGGTGTATCACATTTATAGGTTTGTGTGTATTAAACCACCCTCGGATCCCGGTGATAAATTCCACTTGACTATAGTCAACGATCCTTTTAGTGTGCTGTAGAATTCAGTTTGTTAGGATTTTGTTGAGGACATTTGCATCTATGTTGATCAATCATATGCCTTGATTTTTGTATTTTCCAAGCTAAGAAGCTTCCTATTTTGATAGAGTTTGAGTCCTATTATTTCTTACTTTGTTGACAGAGCATGAGGCCCAACATAGGTCAAACAATTATACTCTTTTCATTATATTTAAAAACAAACTTTATTTTAAAGTGCTGCTTTGGTCACTGTGCGGCCACCCTCAAAGTGAGACTGTTTCCCTTTATTTTTCAAGCCCTTCAGCTTTCTGCCTTCACACTACGTTGCCATCATAAGTATTATTGTTCAATTTTCTACCATGTTACTCTTCAAACATCAGTGTTTCCTGTACTATGATTGATGATGTCTCTCCATGTTCTTAGGAAGTTCCTTTGACATTCTTTGTCCATAGTTGCTTGTGTGCCCCATTTCCTAAAATTTTCATTGTAGGATCAACGCCATCTGGAAGAATGGAGTTTGCATGAGAATTACTTTAATTATGTTTGATTAATTCTCCTTTAGAGCCTCAGAACTTTTTCCCTTTAATATCAAGCAAAGCTTGAGATGCAGATTGAGCATTGGGTTATCTAAGTAAATATAAGATAGGGATATTACAACTAAGTTAAATCTACAGATAATGAACTAAATTCATTTTACCTAATTGTTTACCCTCTACTGCAGCTTTTAGCAGTGTTGTGACTATTTAGTACATTAATTAATTAAATTTTAATTTTAACTAAATTACTTTTTATCATGATCTCTTTCCTTCTCCGGAAGTACTGAGGGGTACTGAAATTTCGCCACCAAGATAAAGCAATAACATGAAGTTGGAAAGTCCCATATATGTACAACTGTCCCTAAATAAGTGAAGATAATTAAAGTTACTTCCTCTTTGTAGTGCTTTATAGATTTTTGTAGTTAATGCTTTGGAGTTTTAACCTGCAGTTTACTGCTAGTGTATAATAGAGAAAGTCTTAGCTTTGGAGCATTACTAATTTAGTTTGAATACTGACTGGCATTTACTAGCTATATTCCCTTAGGCAAGTTACCGAACCTCTGATTCAACTTTTGAATTTTCTCTTGAACAAGGCAAGGATAACACCTTCATTGCCAAACTTATTCCAAAAACTAAATGAGATAATGCACGTTAAGCACCATGTTTATCAAATAATTGCCCCACCACAAATAATAGTTTATTGTCATTTAAATTACTATACGATAGGTTGTATATTTTGGTTGTTGTTGAGGACTCCTGTTTCTTTTGCCTGTGAGCATTGTACAAATGAGAGATAGCAAAATTATTTGCTGCTTCTTGACTCTGGGGAGTGATGTTTACTTTCTGAAACATAGCTATTGCCTGTGACATGCTATGCTGGGAAGATACTCTGATGCAAGGCAGAATGAAAACCTATAAAACAATTCAAAGCCCTATTAAATGGTGTACTTGTGATACCACATACAATTATTTCCATTCTGATAAATTGGGATGACTACTTGATCCTATCTATACAGCTGAAGATGCATATATCCTATAACCTAGCAATTCTACTCCTAATTGTATGCCCTGAAGAGACTTGTCTACATATGCACAAGATGTATGCAAAATACTTTTAACAGTGTAGTTTATAAAAGAAAAATGTAAATCACCCTAAATAGGTAAGTGGTAGTATATCCACACAATGATGAAGAAAATGTATGAAGTAGATTGGATAATTATCATAAATATAAATTGAATTAAAAAAACTATTTAGAAGAAAGCATGCATCATGATGTATTTATATAAAGTTTTAAAATATGCAAAGCAGTATTTTATAGATATGTGGTATAGATATGTACATATGCATAAAAGCATAAATCCATGCATGGAGATAATTAATATTAAATCTAGAATAGTGGTTATCTTTGATGTGGAAGGAAGATTATGATCGTGGCACTGGGAATGTCTTATTTCTTAAGCTAGTATTTTTTGTATAATTATTTTGATATAATTGTATAAGCTTTTTTATATAATTATTTTATATAATTATATAAGCCTTTTGTATATCTAAAATATTTAATAAAATAATGTAGTTCAATATATCAATTATAAATAGCCAAAAAACAAGCCCTCAAAACTTGCAATTTTTTTCTGTTCTTATCTCTATTTTACTTTCATCATTCTTTTAAAATTTATATTTTCACATACTTATTGCTTTTAATTTGAAAATGTTAACATTCTACATTATATTTATTGGGTAAAATTTCAGTATCAAATTTTGGAAAAGTCATCCAGTATTCACTCCTAGTAACCTAACTTTGTATTTCTTCCAACCTAATTGCTTAACAGCTGGAGGTGTCAGTCAGCAACATTAAATGGCATAACTTTGTAAGGCATCAGTTTAAATATTTGACCACTTGAGTGATGTACGACATATTGTACATGTTGAAGAGATGAACTCAGGGAACTAAAAGGAAGAAAATTGCCTTATTTGTAGTGTCAGTCTTCATTATACAATAATCTTACATATTACCCCTATAGATCCTGAGAGAATTCTCTTCTTCATGTGGCATTTCAGCTGCAACTTTGACCTTCACTTTGTCACACAGGAATCCCAGGAACCAGTCAAGAACTGACTGCAAAACCTTCATCAGATGTTCTTACTCTTTCCTTACAATCATATCTTATATTTCCCATGACTTAAAAACAATGATAGTTTGGCTAATTTAAAAATATAAAACATCTAATTTTAAAACAAATGCCCTCTTTTGTTTAAATCATTTTGAAAACAACCAGGATTAGAAAGTAGCGACTATCCATTGTTGTAAAATTTTACTTTATAGAAAGAGATAAAGAGATTTACACCTAAAGAGGTAAACTGTTTCTTTGTTAAATATAGCTTGCTTTTACTTTACTACCTTTGAATTTTGACGCCAAGTGCAGAAAACTGTCTGGCAAAATGTTCTAATACTTGCTTGATTTGTCACACTGTGGTGGTCATGTGACCTTTTTGTCACATTGTGAAATTCTTTGAACTGTTTATCCCTGAAGAACTGGTTTTCTTTCCCATCTCTCTTCCATCTCAGTAGGTGGTATACATTACAGATTCTGTTCAAACTAATTAACATCTCAAATTTGCCTTTCTCGAGTGCTCAGAGCCCTGGTAGTTTTATTTCATGCAATAGGGAAAATAATAATAATAATAATTTTCCTCATCTTGTGAGAGCAAATAGTATAATGAAAAAAGATTATCTTAACAATCCTTTAGTTCACTATTTCATTTTCTGTCTTTTATTTTATAATAAATAAAATCAAATTCAAAAAGCTAGGTGATTTCAGAGAGCCAGTATTTCTGGTAGACACTGCAATTGTCAAGGCCCTGATGACTGGATTGACCCTCATCTAGGGGAGGGATTCCTACATTTTACTGACAGCTGTTCATTCACTTATTCATTAGTTCACATATTTATTTGATCATTCATTAAGTTCATAAACACTTTATAAACATCTACCATGCTTCTTATAATTGTTGCCTTGCAGGAAGTAGCAGAAAGGGAATAATCATAGATACAAGTGAGTTCATGACTATAGGAAGTGCTGTAACAGAAGCATTGATAAAAAGGTTTACTGACTCAAGGGTGTTTATTTCCTATCGTTGTCGATTCCAGCATTTACATTTATTTTATATTGCTTTTAGTTTTATGATGTTTTCCAACTTTTCATTTATTCAAACCCTAATATTGTAAGCTTTAGGTTTGAATCTCTGTTTTCCTCAAGCTTTTATTTTTTGTTCCCGCAAGTCTTTAATTATGGCCAACACACTGTAGATTGTAGAACAAAGTGCTTCCAAATGATTATTTTATTATGTATGTATATGTCACTCAAAATATATAAAGACTAAAAATGTTTATTCTTCATTTGAAGACACATCTTTTTTTTTAAATTCTCTTTAAATATGCTAGGCAAGTATAAGTAATTAATCTTGGTTTGACTATCCCATTAAGATATGTGAGAATGATCTCACCAGCAGAATATGGAACCACTCAGAAAGCATTGGCTGCCTCCCATATTATGGGCCAAGCACCACTCTGGGCTCTAAGTGCAATGAAGTGACTATAAAAATGAGTGAACATGATCCTTGCCTACAAGGAGCAAATAAACACATTATTAATGAGAAGTGTAAGTGTTTTAATTGCACATACCCTCTTGTAATGCCAGCTCGTTTCTTCTCCATTTTTCCTGTACGTATTTTCTCTGGTTAATAGGTATTTCTTCAGTGATCTGAGTTCATGAATATGCTGTTAGCCGTTGTGGATTATTGCAACAAACTGATTCTAGGTGAGAAAGGCTTAATGCTCCACACATCCAAAGCTCTTTTCATTCTGCAATACATGTTGTTGATTATGTTATTAACTCTTTTTCTATCATGAATTTTGACAGAATGAGTATTCTGATATGTAGTTTTGACCTGTAATACCTGGCAGCAGTGATAAAGTGATGATACTTGACCTATTACAAACAAAAGAAAAATACTATATAGATCTTAAAATACAAATTGTATTGTGCCTGACCTGATGTAGCACCTGCTCCTCCAGGGACCCAGACTCTAGGCTAAGTGGAGCAATCATCCCCTAATATTGCTCCCTACACCTGAGCTGGTATGACACCCCACCCCCGTGAGGGCCAGATTCTTCGCAAAGCAGGGGAGTCATGACCTCCAGTGCCTGAGTTGATGTGATGCACTTTCCCTTGAGGAACTGGAATCTTGGGCAGCTCATGTAGCTGCACCTTCTGGGGCCAAGCTAATGTAGTTTCCTATGTCCCAGGGAATCAGAGACATGACTGAGCTGTGCCATCTCATCCTCCAGGCCAAATAGCTGCAAAAATTCACCTTCCTGGAACTGGACTAGACCCCTGGAGTCCAAGCTACTGAAGTTCCCTGGCTCCCCAGGAAGTGGGGTCAACACTGTACTGCTCCCTGCTAACTGGTGCCCAAGCCACAAATGTGTACCATTCCTTGGTACTTAATCCTATTGCACCTGGATTCACAGCCTAAACTCTTGCTGCGTCCTCCCAAAGTCGCCATTGTGTGGTACCCCAATCCCCTGGGGCTTGAGTTGCTGCTGTGCCCTGTTAGTTCTGGGACCAGAACTGTAGCTATGCCCTGATCTCCAGGACCCAAGCCCGAGATCACACTTTTTTCCCAAAGCCATGTCAATGCTGCACCCTTCCTCCCACAATCAAACTCATAGCTATATCCCTGCTCCCAAGGCCTGAGATGTGGGGATGAGCCTCAGAGTCACACACCCTGGTTTTGTTGGTGATAGTTATCCACCCATGCCTTGGAGAGTGAATCTTCATCTTATGGTTTCAACATAATAAGGGCTATTTGTGAAAAATCCCACAGCTAACATCATAATTAATGGGGATAAACTGAAAGCCCTTCTATTAAGATCAAGTACCAAGCAAAGATGACCACTCTCACCACTTCTATTCACCATAGTACTAGAAGTACTAGCAAGAGCAATCAGACAAGAAGAGAAAATAATCTTCAAGTAGGAAAGAAATATGTAAAATTATCTGTATTTACACATGACACAATCCCCTATGTAGAAAGCCCCAAATATTGTACAAAGAAACTTTTAGAACCAATAAATAAATTCAGTAAAGTTGCAGGATACAAAATCAATGTACACAAATCAGTAGCATTCCCTACACAAATATTGACATAGTTGAAAATGAAATCAAGGAAAAATTCTATATATAATCATCAAACAATAAAATACTTAAGAATAAACCTAAGGAGGTAAAAGTTTCTTACACTGAAAACTGCATAACATTAATGAAATAAATTTAAGACAAGTAAATTGAGAGATATTCCATGTTTTTGGATCAGAAAAATCAATATTGTTAAAGTGTGCTTACTATCCGAGACAATACACAGATTCAGTGCAATTCCTGTCAAGATAAGAATAACATTCTTCACAGAAATAGAAAACACAGCCTCGAATTCACGTGGAACCATAAAAGATGTTGAATAGCCAAAGTAATTCTGAGAAAGAAAAACAGCATTTGGGACATTACAATTCTTGATTTAAAATTATATTACAGAACTATAGTAATCAAAGTGGTGTGAAACTGGAATATAAACAGACACAGGTAACAGAAAAAGACAGTGAAACAAAATAGACAGTCCAGAAATAAACCCAATCATATACAGTGAACTTGCATGCCAAGTTTCACAAGGATGCCAAGAATGCACAGTGGAGAAAGGACAGTCTTTTCAATAAATGGTGATGGAGAGATTGGATCCTTATCTTACATCATATGCAAAAATCAACTTAAAATGGATAAAAGACTTAAACATAAGATCTGAA
Source organism: Homo sapiens (assembly GCF_000001405.40). Taxonomy (NCBI): domain Eukaryota; kingdom Metazoa; phylum Chordata; class Mammalia; order Primates; family Hominidae; genus Homo; species Homo sapiens. Next base: position 175,190,091 of record NC_000003.12, read on the forward strand.
ACCATCAAACTCCTGGAAGAGTACATAGGGGAAAAGCTCATTGACATTGGCCTTGGCAATATATATATATATATATTACATGAAAACTTCAGACTACAGAAACAAAAATAATTAAATAGTACTACATCAAAGTAAAACTAATCTGTGTATAGCAAAGGAAACAACAGAATGAAGCAACAACCTACAGATTTGGGTAAGACATTTGGAAACCATATCTCTGTTAAGGGGTTAATATCAACATTTACAAAGAACTTACACAACTGAATATCAGAAAAAAATAACCCAATAAAAAAATGGGCAAAGAACATGAAAGACAAGGAAAACATAAAATGGCCATCAGGTAAATGAAAAGGTGCTTAGCATCATTAATTATCAGGGATATGCAAGTCAAAACCACATGATATATCAACTCACACCTGTTAGGATGTCTATTATCTAAAAGTCAAGAGATAATAAATGTTGGCAAGGGTGTGAAGAAAAGAGGACTCTTGATGGCAACGTAGATGGTGCGGTCATTATGGAAAACAATATGGTACCAGAAGTGAGGCAGTTACCAGGAGAAAATAAAAAGATGTGGGTCAGAGGATGAAAAGTAACCAATATGGGCCGGGCGCGGTGGCTCACGCCTGTAATCCCAGCACTTTGGGAGGCCTAGGCAGGTGGATCACGAGGTCAGGAGATCGAGACCATCCTGGCTAACACGGTGAAACCCCGTCTCTACTAAAAATACAAAAAAAATTAGCCGGGCGTGGTGGCGGGCGCCTGTAGTCCCAGCTACTCGGGAGGCTGAGGCAGGAGAATGGCGTGAACCCGGGAGGCGGAGCTTGCAGTGAGCCGAGATGGAGCCACTGCACTCCAGCCTGGGCAACAGACAGAGGGAGACTCCGTCTCAAAAAAAAAAAAAAAAAGAAAAAGAAAAGTAACCAATACGTAGAATGAACGAGTCTAGAAATTAAATGTGTAACACAAGAACTATGGTTAATAACATTGTACTGTATTTGGAATTTTTGCTATATGAGAAGATTTTAGGGGCTCTTGCCACAAAAAAGGAGGGAGGGCTAACTATGTGAGATGATGAATATGTTAATTTATTTCACTGTAGTAACCGTTTCACTCTTTATATGTGTCCCCTAATATCATGTTGCATACTTTATGTAAATTATTTTTTTAAAAAATCCCAAATATTATAGCCAATTCAGGCACATTCAAATAGTTGAGGCAATAAAAACTGAATATAGTCAAGTAATCAGGAATTGGTAGAAGTGTTGAGCCTTTATGGAAGGCATCACAAATTCATTGTAGAGCAGAGTTGGATCAATATTTGTATAAAGGGTAACATAGGATATACTGGTCAAGGAAATGTTCTAATTTTGGAAGGAGGAGATTGGAGAGAACAGAGGGACAGTTGTCAAAAATGATGTCAGGGATTTGTCTCCATGTGGTATCCACAATACTAACCCCAGAAAGCACCCCCTGAATGATATATTTGTGAGAAATATTTGATGGAAGCAGAGAGAAGAGAAGCTTAACTCTGTCAAGGATATTAGGAGAGGCTTTGCTGAGCGATAAAGTTTATTTGATCCCCAAAAGATATAATGTACGCATTTTGGTTTTATTTTATAGCAAGCATAGTTTTGGGGAGATAATGTGTAAGGCTAAACGTTTTGTGTAACAAATATTCTCACTGATTTCTTTAAGAAGTTTGTGGAAAACACAAAACTAATTAGATCACACTTAAAATCTTCAAGTAAGACAGTTCTTATCTATTTCTAAGAAAATAATAGGTTTAAGAGTATCCCCATGGAAAGCTTCTCCAACAGTGATTTACTTTACATTATTGTATAATCAGTGATCTCCCAAATAAACACATTTGTTCTCCCCAAAATGAAATAATTTTAAGGTCCATTCTAAAAATAAAGCCTGAAAGTGGCAGTTAGCTATATAATTGATTAATTTATTTGGGAATAAAACTTATTTGAGGTGTGCATGTTTTAATTTCCCTTTTATTATTCCTAAAATAGGTAAAACAAATATCAAACACTTTGGGCTTTACTGGAGTGTTCCTGGAAATTGTTGCAAGATGTACTTCATCTTGTGGCAAGACAAATTTTAGAGGAAAAATCTCAGAACTAACATATAGTTATTTATAAATAAAGTAAAGCTAGTTTTCAAAGCAGTGTTTTACTATTGAACAAAACTCCACCTTTACCATCAGAAAAATAAACTTGCTGTCTTAGATTTTTATAAGATTCAGTGCAGTGATTTTTAAAATAAAATTCTTATGCTATGAATAGTATATGCTCTACCATTTCACTCATAAATCCGTTTGTCGTATTAGTTTCATAGAAGGTCAGTTTTTACCTTTTCACATTCTAATAAATTACTACAAGTCTGTTTAATGTATTTGTGTTGTCATTTTCTAGATTAGCAGCTAAAATTTGGTTCACAATGTAGAGAGCATTCATTAATTTGCCTCCTGAGTTTCAAATGGATTGGCTACCAAAGGTAGAAAATTGTTAATTAATTTTCTCAGTGGGAAAAATCTATGGCATGGATTTTAATTATGACAACAGTCACTACTTTCAAATTATTTCTGAATGATGACTAACAACGATGTTAGCCAAATATATCTAGAAACCATTTCCGTTGGCTCCTATCCAATGTATACTCATCAAATCAGTAGTTGTTTTGTTTATTGAAATAATGCTTTTATGAATGTATTGATAATTTTTAATGTTATCCAAGGCAATTTTGAACTCTAATGATTTTGATCAGTTTAAAATTTTACGTGTAGCCACAATATGATAAAAAAAACCCTGCACATTTTAGAGTTGAAATAGACCTTGGAGATTAACTGATTTATGCTTTTTTTTTTCAGATACAAAATGAGGCTAAAATAGACCAAGAGACTTTTTCAAATTCACACACTTATCACTGGATTTGAAATGATAAAAGAATACTACTCAGATTGTTGATGTTTTGAAAGTCGCCTGACTTTTGTAATCTTTATATTTTTAATCTACAAAATGTCAGGGATACTTATTTAAGCAAATGTGGTAGAACAGCAACAAAATCAAATGTTAGAAGCCCTACATAGATTCCAGATCTACCACTTACTAGTTGTGTGTTTTTTTTTCAAATTATTTACACTCTCTGAGCCTTGGTTTTCTTATTGTAAAATGGGGACCCATGTGCTCACAGAACTACTTTAGGTAGAAGATATAATGATAGATATGAAAGTATTAATTTTAGAGGGTTTATCTCAAGGAGAACACAACTATTCCTCTACACGGGCCCTTATGCATGTGTAATGGTCAGGAAGAAGAAAAAAGCAGCCATTCCAAAATTAGCCTACTTTCAGGCCAAAAAATGGTCTCTGTGAATATCCTACACAGACATTTACTCATTACATACTGTTACGGCCCCCTTTTTATGAAATAGAGGTGAGATAAGAAATAACTTCACCTTTTTCTCTCTTCTCTTTCACAACATAGCCCTCCCTATCCTTACCCCATTCCATACCCCTCTACCTGTTTCAAATATTAGAGGCAAAGTCTCCAAAAGTACTTAATTAAAAAACAAAAAACAAAAACAAAACAAAAAACCTCCACTATTCACTGCTTTGTTTAGAGGAGTTTTGGTTCTTTTGCTATTTTATTAATATGCTACTTTGAATTTCAAACTAGAACAGGTGTTTTTTTGGCTCTGTTTTTAGCAGATAGAAAAGCACTGGACGTTAAGCAAAAGTTTATTTAGAATACAAAAGATAGAAAAAATATGTGAAAACATTAGTTGCTATTTCATGAAACTTAATGTGACTAAACATAATACCATTAGGACTTTTAACAGACGAAAATAGATAATTTGTGTGCAAAGTGCTAGCAGCCCTTTCTTGGAGCATAGAAATTACATGTATATCTTCAAGTAACTGAAAAATATATCCGATATGTACGTGTGTTGGTTTGTGAAAACTGAAGTGCAGAATGTCATTGTAAACAATTTTGTTAAAATATTGTGCTTAAAATTTAATACCTCATGTTATAGAAGCAGATGTTATTATATATGTATATATTTTTAAATGCTATCATTTTCAAACTAAGACTTTTAATTAAATGATTTTTTACATTGGAACCAAAGTTAACAGGTTGAATGAAATTTTGCTTATGGCATCTGTTGCCATTTTTAGTAGGTGATTAGTCATTTTCTTTTTCCTGCAAGTATTTGACAGAAACTAAAACAGAGATGAATCATAGTTTCAAGCTGTTGCTCACCTCATCCCTACCAAAAAGGAGAGCCTTGAAATCATCCCAATCTAAGAACTAAATTCTGAAAATCCCTTAAGGGGCTTGACAGAAGTATTTAGCAATGTGAAAATTACAGCAATCTGTCACATCAATTTTAATGAAAGGTAGGCTATATGGAAACATAGATATAATGTAGTAAGAAAAACCCAAGTGAAAATCTCTTTTTGAATATATGAAAACATATTTGCCTCTATAAATACTGAGTTGTTATTGGGTCAACTTTTATAGAGGAGGAGTCCTCAATGATCAGGAGTTTATTATGCAGCTTAGATGAGGTATTTTTAAAATTAATGGCATTAATAATTATGGCTCAGTTGGTGTGTATTCACAATATCATTCTTGTATTAATATATACATTTAAGAATCTTGTTTTGTTCAAGTTATTAAGATTTTTTTCTATTTAAGGAACCACATCCTTGTAATTCTGAATTAGTTATAATACTAAGAGTATCAAATCATTTAATAATGAAGTTTTTCCCCAAGAAAACTTTTAAATTTCTTGGGAAGTTTAAAATTATACAAGAGTCATGCCATTTTGTAAGAGTTAAATTTGGCTGGAGTCACCATTTAATCAATGTAGTATTATTCCCTTAATTATTGAGCTAAGTGGAACTTTAACTTAATTTTTAATTCTCTCTCTCTCTCTCTCTCCCTCCTCTAAGACTATATAATTCTTATGAATATGCATATGACCAGGTTAATTCCACATGGAACTATCATTTATGCCAGTAATGATAGTTTATTTGGATGATAATTGAAAGTGCAAGAGACTCTAATAATGTCTACTTTCCAATCACTTTTTAAATTCATTTAAATATATTTTGGAGAACCTACTGTGTGCCAGGTATTGCTCGGAGTGCTAGGGGAAGAGACAATGAATAGAACAATCCCCTGATTTTACAACACTTACACTCTAGTGGAAGAAGGGAGACAATAAGCAAATCAATGAGTTAATATATCATATGTTGGATGATGAAACGTTATGAAAAAATAAGTTATGGAAAAACAGCCATCCTGAGATGGATCAGGTGGTGAGGAGGGGGTGCTGAATAAATGTTTATATAGGATGATATGTAAAGGTAGATATATAGACCCAAAGGAATAAATGGAAGGGAGGGCATGAGCCATGGGAATAACTATTTGAAAAGTGTTTCAGGCAATACCCTGAGATGGGAACATATGTGATTTGTTAAAGAATAGCAAGAGGGTCTGAAGATGATGAATGCAAAGAGGTAAAAAAGAAGCAGATCGTATATGCATTTTGAGTTAGGTCTATAGGTCTGTGCTCAAAGATCATCTATCAGAAGGACATTTATATATCAGCCTGTACAGGCATAAATTATTGTTCCATGTTGAATTTATTGTTATGGGCCTGAAGGCTTTCATGGATTTTCAAAATAACAATGACAGTATCTTCAATGCTTCAATGGTATAATCCTTCCAGACATTCATGATGTCTCTATCAGAGTTCTCTTCTATAGCATTGACAGTTCTTTCCACTAAGTATCATGTGTAATGAGCTTTAAAGATGCTTATGACCCACTGATCTAGAGACTGAATAAAGAGCTTATATTTGGGGGCAAGTAGATTATTTTAATGCCTTTGATATTAAGCCCATGGGGTTTGGGTAGCCAAGGGTGGTGTTCAATATTAAATAAACTTTAAAAGATTGTCCCTTACTGGCAAGGTACTTCCTGACTTCACAGTCAACGTGTTGATGGAAACAATTCAGAAAAAGGGGTTCTCATTGTCCAGGCCATCTTTTTTATATAATCAAAAGCTGGTGTTTATCTTTTCCTTCAAGCTTTGGGGGTTAGAAACTTTATAGAGAAGGGAAGTCCTGATCATAAACCTGATTGTATTTCCACAAAACCATATAGTTAGCTTATTTCTTGCTGCCTTAAATCCTGGTGCATACCTCTGTTCCTTACTAGTAAATGTCCTTTGTAAGCATTGTTTTCCATATGGGGCACTTTCATCCACATTAAAAACCTCTTTAGGAAGATATCCTTTCTCCAGGCATCTTCCTAGTGATGTCTGGAAGCTCTTCCGTTGTCTCTTGGTCAGCAGAAAATGCTTCTCCTGTTGTGTTGGTATTTTTTAAGTCAAATCTCTTTCTAAAATTATTAAACCATCCTTAGCTGGCATTAAATTCTTCAGCTTTAGACTATCCACCTTCCTTTTGCTTTAAGTTTTATACATTGACTTCGCATTTTCTCAAATTGTATTATTCTATAGATATGCCTTTCTTACAGTAATCTTGCACCCACGTAAAAGTTGCATTTTTAGTATGAGGTAAAAACGTATTTCACAAAAAGTACGAGGTTTTTGCACCTGCTGGCATAGCTGCAGTAATGGCCTCACAAATTTCCTTTTCCTTTTTAACAATGATCCTTACACTGGATTCATTTGTCTTGAAATTGAAAGCAATCACAGCTGCAGCCCTCGATCTAGGGTACATATCAAGTAATTCAGCTTTTTTTGTGTGTAATGTCATGTATTTTCCCTGCTTCTTGGTAGCAATTTTGGCATCACTAGTTGCACTTTTTATGGGTCATGGTATCATTCCAGGTTTATGGTATTGCACTAAAAAATAAGAAAAAAATAGGTGAGAAACATAAGGGGTCATTTTTTTACTGCAATATGCAATTTGCTGGAGAGAGAAAGTGCTCACACAGAGATGAGTAGCATTACATTACATTTTAAATGGATGCTTGCAACACTTAAGGCCCTCTGCAATAGCAACAGGAGGTGGCTACAAAATTATTACAGTCATAGAATATGTACTACAATTAATTTTCTGCAGCTATGGTTTAAGTCTGCATATGTCTGTATTTGTTTATATCTCTGTTAACTGTGAATAAGCCCGCGTAGAGTCCGTAAGCTTTTGTGTGCATATGTTTTAATAAATTAAAACTTTTTATAATAGTTTTGTGTATGTTTTATGGTAGTAAATGATAAAATAGACTATATCTACGTATATTTTATGCATTCATGACACAGCTTTTTTTCTATATTTCTAGACTATGCAATTAGTCTGCGAAGTTTTTCAGATTGTCACAAATCACCAAAAATTTTTCCAATATATTTATTGAAAGAAAATCTGTATTTGAGGGGACACACCCATTTCAAATCTGTGTTGTTCAGGGATCAACTGTGTATATGGTTGAGAACTTCGAGGCACAAGGAAGAGAACTGATTTTTTGTAAGGTTGTCCAACCTTTAATTAGTAATAAATGTTAATTAATTAATTAAGATTTGTCAAACAACTCTATACACCAGGCATTCTTATCAACATCAGAAACATAGATACAGACCAAACTATCTGACATCAGAAACAGACTGTGTGACAAAAATATGAATTCAGGGAGTTTACATGGGAGGTGTCAGGAAGCTCTTATAGAGAAGTATGGAATTGAGAGTAAAGGCAGGAAGCCAACAAGAATGAAATATTGAGAAAATTACCACTGAGGGCAGCTGAGGGTCAGTCTTGCTGGTGAACCCTGCAACACAGTGCAGAACAGTACTTCTTGAATTTTCCATTAGATGTTTGTGGGAAAGTACAGTACTTTCTTTTTTAAAAATATAAATATCTAATCTGTTGTAGAAGATATTTTTGATACTTTAACAATTAGATTTAACATAAACAAAGTTATCCTGTAAAATTACTCTAAAAGTTTTGAATCCCTGGCTTTTAATATCTAATTTATTTAATCATAGATCAATAACAAACCATTTTCAGAACATATTTGGAATAACACAAGTGTTGAATATGCTTTGAAGTTGTTCCCCAGTACTCACTCCTAGCAAGGACAGTGTAAAAACTTATCTTCAAGATGAATATTAAATTCGAAGAATCTAGTACCTTTTCTAGTTATAGAATTTTAATTTTACATTAATGGAAAAAGTGAAGGAGATTATTTTTAATGTTTAAAAGTCCATTTTTTCTATTCCTGTATATTACTTCATACCTCTAACCTTTACCTGGATGAATGTCTATTCTACACATGTACAATATTTTGTGTAATCATTAGTTCCCAAAATTTACAAATGAAGCTTAAAAATTAGGTACCTTAGTTACATATGTATAAATAAATATACAAATATATGAAATATACCTGCACACTTCTAGGATTTATACACTCACGTAATTCCAATATATAGTTAGTACTCTTTTCACAATGCTGGAGCTTCTTACTTACCTTGCCTTGAAATGATAATGTTGAAGGAGGGTTGCAGTGATAAACTACAAACATACTGTGGGGGAATAAAGTTAAGCAAAAGGACTTTCCACAGCTTTCTAGGCTGAAACCTTTGGGTATACTGACAAGAAACCTGACAAATACTTTCAAGCTAAAGTACTTTGCAGATTTTTTTTTCATTTTAAGGGCAGATTTTTTTTTTTTCCCAAAAACTCAGGATTTTCATAAGGTCACCATTATTTTTTATGTAAAATAAATACAGTGAGTTTTGCTAATTAGGTAGTATCCAGGTGCATACCTTAGGCAAACTGATTCATGCACCTCAAAAACAGGACCTATTTGCTGTTTTCATCAGAAGCTCAGAACTCTGATTAGTTATTCAGTGCATGTTTGCATCTGGACATTGTAGACTTAAATTTTAAGGACAGTTTCAATAAATAGTTTTAAGTAAAGCATCATGTTAGATGCTATACAATTATTTTGCCTTTGAAACGGGATTGTATTCATCAGCAGGATGTGTGTTTTTATGTCTGGAGATAAAAGTGGAGGTGGCTGCTGCCAAAAGAGCGCAGAGCTTTCTCCAAGGCCTCTTTTGAATGACATTGAAGGTGGACTGTTCTCAGCTCAAGTGTGGCTGTTCTCTCTGGATTTATGCTTCATCTAGCAGCAGACAAGTTGAATTGTAGTTAGACATGTCTGAAGGTAGAAAAAGCAGGTTATATTCACAGTATCTTTTTTTCTCAGCTGTCTTTAGAAGTCACATATAACTCTTGGGAGAGTATATTGCTGCTACTTCTTGATACCATGCTTTACTCCTATCTAAAATTTTCATACTGTGCTAGGTTATAATGCTTTCTTTACATATAATATGTAAATAATGTTTGCAGGCATCCAAGGGATGAGACTGTGTGTGTGCCTTATGCACTATTGTAGGACTATCTGCATATACATTTGCAAGCAAATTGTAAGTATCAAGTTAGTATTTGTTACGTGAATGACTGGATGAATGAATAAAAGTGCACTAAGGGCTATGGTGCGTAGACTGCGTGGAGGGAGGGATAAGAATTCACAGATGTCCCTGGCCTCCCTGTTTGGCGTTAGCTTTACTCCTAGTTTCTCTATATCTCACATGTGTTTCTCCTTGTGTGTCCAGGAAAACTGATTGATTTGCTGCGTTAAGACAGTATCTTCTTAATCTTTTTCTTTGTGTAGGGGGGAAAGAAATATATATATATATATATATATATATATATATATATATATATATATTTTTTTTTTTTTTTTTTTTTTTTTTTTCCTTAGTCCATCTGAAGCAAAGTTGGTATTCCCAGGAGACTGTGGGAAAAATAATACAGGTTAACCCAAAAGCAAATGCATAGGCTTAGAAATAAATACTCTTTCAGACTACTACTTCGAAAAGTCCAACTGATCATTAGTTCAGCTGGCATGATTCTGTCTCTTTCAAAGGCTCTTGATACCCTGCCCAACTCTTCCCAAATCCTGTCACCATCAATTTGTTTGAAACTAGCTACTTCAAGCTGTTTTTACTTTTGCTTAAGCTTTGCTTCTTCATTTATTATTTTACATGACTCAGTGGGCTATGAATGTTTGAAAAGGGTATGCCTCTAGTGGGCCACAACTGTGATCTTGATTGTAGCCTGAGGAATGTTGCTAGTTCCTAACTCAATTTAGAACCATGATGATGGACATTTCATAAAACAAATAGGATAAAATCCTTTCTCACTAGGTTAACTAATTTCTCTCTCTCTCTTTTTTTCTTTAAGCAATCCTGTTATTTTTTCAAGCAAAAAAGTGTTTAAACATAACTGAAAAAAAGGAAGCTGCTCTAAAACAATCCAGAATTAAATGCACTGACAGAGGAGTGATGTCTTGTCTTTCATGATTATCTCCAGAATCAGTTTCTAAAACGCTCAATGTAATCCCTTTCTCCTTTTCCACTTCCTGTAGCAGTTACTAGAACAACCATCCTCCCAGTAATGGGGGCCAGAATGCTAGTGTTAAACCTGACTCACATCCAGTGAGACATGAAAGCTAATGACTTTGATTGCCTTAATATTTCCCACTGCATTTTCTCCTACCATTTTTCTTTCTCATTGCCATGAATTGGGCTTTAACATTCCTTACCCAAGTTACTAAAGAGAGACTCTTTCCTGCAAACTTTTCTTGACACAGTTTATTTCTAAAACACAAAACAGGTCATGACTCTCAAATGCTCCCATGGCCTATAAACGGCCAAATTTAAATTCCAGACTATACTGTACTTATCATGACCTCTTCAACTTGATTTCTTTCCATATCCCTGCACTCCAATCCAAGTCACATTATCCTAGTATTTTTCCCTTGACTCTTCTCCATGTTAAAACAGCACAGATAGCACCTCTTCCATGGAAATCCTTCTCAAAACTCTCATATACTTTCAGAATTATGTCAAATTGTTCTGTGCTCCCATAACACTCCATTCTTTTCTCTCTCTAATAACACAATGTTTTTGTTTTTTAAATGTCTATGTACCTGTGGAATATAAAATCCCTGAAGGTTGGGACCACATCTTCACTCTATGTATCTCTAGTGCCTAACCCTTTCCCCAGGCAGATCAGATATGCTCCGTAACATTTGTGGAAAACCACCACCACAAGAAGAGTAGATATCTGGTTGATGAAAACATGTCAGAGTTGATAAAAATTAAATTCTAATTGTATGTATGCTTACACTTTTAGTTATATAAGCCTTCCCACCCCCATCAGTAGCTAAAATATGTTCCAACTACTTATTGATCTTCTACAAGTTTATTAAGTAATTTTTCCCCTATGGAAAATCATGTTAAGATTATTTTTTATTCTATGAGTATAATCATTCAACATATCATGAGCCCCATGGAATAATTAACTTTTAAGCTTCAGATTATACATATGAAAAACAATAAGACATTATAACTAGGTTTGACAGTAAAAACAAATCATTTCAGACATTACATCTTTGTCGTGTTACACTGTTGCTCCAAGAACAGAACTATATTTAGATTTTTTCCAATTCTTCTTTAAATAACCATATTCTTTTAACTTTGTACACTAATTTCCTTTTGTATGCTTTCTACCATCTGTTGTGTGTCTCTTTCTCACTTAAGTATCATTGCTTTGCCTAGCTAGCTTGTTATTCAATTGAGGGTACTTATTTGGAAAAAAAAAAAAAACAAATTTGCAAAACTATTGCTATGTTGCTAAAGGGAATGGCAGAGAGGAAAATTTGGAGGAGGTAGTGGGATTAATAGAAATACCTATTAATCTGTTCTTTCTAAGAAAGAATACACTTGATTTTATCAATGTATTTCTTAACTTTATGTATCACTTACATGGTACTATCATGTTTTAAGCACTTTACAAATATTTACTCATTCAGTCCACATCACAGCTCTAACAAGGTCATTACTATTTATTTTTTTTTTTACATACGAAAACTAAGGCACAGACACTTAACAGTCGCTTGCCCAATGTGTCAAAGTTGAGGATTTGAAGACTGCCAATCTGGCCCAAAATTCATATTCCTAATCACTCTGCTTTGATGCCTCCTTGGGAAGTTGAATTTTTCATAAGGAAGTGAGGTTTGCAGCTGATCAGCTTCCTTTGTCCACTGAGTATTGGGCTTCATTTCCAAGTGGTAATGGTGGTCTCCAGACAAGGCAGTTCTGTTGGCCTTGTTGCAGCCTCCCTCTTCCATTTCCTCTCCTCTCTGATCTATGCATCTCTTTCCTTAGTTTAAAAACAGGTCTGATGGTGAGGTGGGTATGCTCTGGCTGTTTAATGCTGGATAAAGGAGTGGGTTCAAGAATGCTTAACATGCTGCATTGTAATGAGAAAGAAATGTCCCACACAACATGCCAATAACTTTCCCACTGATCCAAAGAAAAGTGATTTTAGCATGCTTGGCCAACTAGACTCAAAGGGCATAGAGATTTAATGCTCTATTTTTGTGCTGGTGGGCCTCCTGCCTGGAGGTGGTGCTTTCCAGAGAGCATCAGCTGTGGTAGTATGGAGACGAACTGGCAGTAGGCAGGTCCCTAGAACTCCCAAGAGTATATGCCCTTTGCCTTCAGCTACCAGGTTGGGTAGGGAAGGACCATCAGGTCGGGCTGGGCTAAGTGTGTCTGAGCTCAGACTCTGCTTGGGTGGGTCTTGCTGTGGCTGCTCTGGGGGATGGGAGTGAGGTTCCTATGTCAATGAAGTTGTGTACCTAGGAGGATTATGGCTGCCTCTGCAGAGTCATGCAGGTTGTCAGGGAAGTGGGGGAAGGGTGCCAGTTAAGGCCTCACCCAGCTCCCACATAAACCAAAGGACCGGTCTTGCACCCACCTTCCCCCGCCCAAACCCCTCCAAAACAGCCCCAAGTCTGTTTCCAGGTGGTGGACGAGATGGACTTTAGAACTTGCCCCAGGCTACCACCTCCTAGCTGCAAAAGAAAAAGGCTTGGTTCTTCCCACACCTATGGAGTCTGCACACTGGATTCGCACCCTCCCCTGAGGTCTGGTCAGGAGGCTTCTTGACCCATTCAAATAATTGTTACAAAGTTCAGCTGGAGATTAACTTCTCCCTGTGGTGTTTCCTGCCCCCCTCACCCCACTCCTCTGGCCACCGTCCTGTTGGATCCCTGTGATTCCAGGCAGGAATGGCCTGCTTTGGGAACTAGCGAGCTCCCAGGGTCCTTCTGCTGCTTCCTCTACCCCTGTATTTCGCTCAGCTCTCTAAACTGACTCAGCTTCAAGTAAGGTCAGAAACTTCTCCCACAAACAGACCTTCAGTTATTGCAGTGGGGGGATGTGTATTTGGAAGAGGAAGCTCTCCCTTTCCCACTTCCACGGCAGGAGCACTCATAGTGTTTGGACTGTTTCCTGGGTCCTGCAGGAGCCGTCTGCTTCCTTCAGAGTTCTATGAGTCTTCTTGGGATTACTGGTTTGTTCTTGCAGTTGATCTGGAACTAAAATTCACAGCGCAAGTCTCCTCATGCTGCTCTGTCCTGAACCACAATCTAGTCCTGCCTCCTGTCCACCATGATAATCTCTCATAAATAATATTGATAGACCTTTAGCAAGATTAACCAAGAAAAGAAGAGAGCAAATCCAAATAACCTCATTAATAAAAGAAACAGGAGATATTACAACTGACACCACTGAAATACAAAAGATCATTCAAGGCTACTATGAATAACTTCACGCACATAAATTAGAAAATCTGGAAAGAGATGGATACATTCCTGGAAAAACACAACCCTCCTAGCTTAAATCAGGAATAATTCAATAGCCTGAACAAATCAATAACAAGCAATGAGATTGAAATGGTAATTTAAAAATTACCAACAGAAAAAAGGCCAGGGCCAGACAAATTGACAGCAAAATTCTACCAGACATTCAAAGAAGAATTGGTACCAATAGTTTTGACACTATTCCACAAGATAGAGAAAGAAGGAACCCTCCCTAATTCATTCTGTGAAGCCAGCATCACCCTAATACCAAAACCAGGAAGGGACATAAGCAAAAAAGAAAACTACAGACCAATATCCTTGATGGATATAGATACTAAAATCCTTAACAAAATGCTAGCTAACCAAATCCAACAACATATGAAAAAGATAATCTGCCATGATCAAGTGGGTTTCATACCAGGGATATGGGGATGGTTTAACATATGCAAGCCAATAAATGTGATATACCACATCAACAGAATTAAAAACAAAAATCACATGATCATCTCAATAGATGCAGAAAAATACATTCACAATATCCAGCATCACTCTATGATTAAAACTGCAAAATCGGCATGCAGGGGCATATCTTAATGTAATAAAATCCATCTATGACAAACCCACAGCCAACATAATACTGAATGGGGAAAAGTTGAAAGCTGAAAGCATTCCCTCTGAGGACTGAAACAAGACAAAGATGCCCACTCTTAGCACTCCTCTTCAACATAGAACTGGACGTCCTAGCAAGAGCAATTAGACAAGAGAAAAAAAGAGCCTCCAAATCAGTATAGAGGAAGTCAAACTGTCAGTGTTTGCTGATGATGTGATTGTTTACCTTGAAAACCCCAAGAACTTCTCCAGAAAGCTCCTAGAACTGATATAAGAATTCAGCAAATTTTCCAAATACAAGATTAATGTGCACAAATCAGCACCTCTTTTATACACCAACAGCAACAAAGCAGAGAATCAAATCAAGAATTCAACCCCTTTTACAAGAGCTGCAAAAAATAATAATAATAAAATAAAATAATTAGGAATATACCAACTAAAGAGTCAAAAGACCTCTACAAGGAAAACTACAAAACACTGCTGAAAGAAATCATAGAAGACACAAACAAATGGAAACACATCCCATGCTCATAGATGGAGAATCAATATTGTAAAAATGATCATACTGCCAAAAGCAATCTACAAATTCAATATAATTCCCATCAAAATACCACCATCATTCTTCAAAGAACTAGAAAAAAACACTTCTAAAATTCATATGGAACCAAAAAAGTGTCCACATAGCCAAAGCAAGACTAAGCAAAAAGAACAAATCTAGAGGCATCACACTACCTGATTTCAAACTATACTATAAAGCCATATTCACCAAAACAGCATGGTACTGCTATAAAAATAGGCACATAAACCAATGGAACAGAATAGGAAACTCAAACTCAAATACTTACAGCCAGCTGATCTTTGATGAAGCAAACAACTTGAAGTGGGGAAAGGACACTGTTTTCAACAAATGGTGCTGGGATAACTGGCAAGCCACATGTAGGAGAATGAAACTGGATTCTAATTTCTCACCTTATACAAAAATCAACTCCAGATGGATTAAGTACCTAAATCTAAGATGTGAAGCTATAAGAATTCTAGAAGATAACACTGGAAAAACCTTTCTAGATATTGGCTTAGGCAAGGATTTCATGAACAAGAACCCAAAAGCAAATGCAATAAAAACAAAGATTGATAGTTGGGTCTTAATTAAACTAAAGAGCTTTTGCATGACAAAAGCAACAGTCTGAAGGTTAAACAGACAACCCACAGATTGGGAGAAAGTCTTCACAATCCATATATCTGACAAAAGGCTAATATCCAGAATCTATAACAAACTCAAAAAAATCAGTAAGAAAACAACAAAAAATCCCATCAAAAAGTGGGCCAAGGATGTGAATAGACAATTCTCAAAAGAAGATATACAAATGGCCAAAAAAAAAATGAAAAAATGCCCAACATCACTAATGATCAGGGAAATGCAAATCAAAACCATCACGCGCTACCACCTTACCCCTGCAACAATGGCCATAATAAAAAAATAAAAAACAGTAAATGTTGGTGAGGATACAGTGATCAGGGAACACTTCCAGACTGCTGGTAGGAATGTAAACTAGTACACCCACTATGGAAAACAGTGTGGAGATCCCTTAAGGAACTAACAGTAGAACTACCATTTGATACAGCAATCCCACTACTAAGTATCTACCCACAGGAAAATAAGTCATTATACGAATAAGATACTTGCACATGCATGCTTATAGCAGCACAATTCACAATTGAAAAATCGTGGAAACAACCCAAATGCTCATCAATCAATGAGAGGATAAAGATACTGTGGATAAAAAACTATATATATATATATATATTTTTTTTTTTCACTGTGTGTGTGTATGTATGTGTATATATATATATATACACATACATACACACACACACACATATATAATGTATATGTTATATATACACGATGGAATACTATTCAGCCATAAAAATGAATGAATTAACAGCATTTGCAGCTACCTGGATGAGACTGAAGGCTATCATTCTAAGTGTAGTAACTCAGGAATAGAAAATCAAACATCATATGTTCTTGCTGATATGTGGGAGCTAAGCCATGAGGACACATAAGAGTGAGACAATGGACTGTGGGGACTTGGTGGGGAAGAGTGGGAGGGGGGCGAAGGATAAAGACTACAAATACAGTTCAGTGTATACTGCTCGGGTGATGGTTACACCAAAATCTCACAAATCACCACTAAAGAACTTACTCATGTAACCAAATACCACCTGTACCCCAATAACTTCTGGAAAAATAAAAAAGAGCATAGAGAAAACCAACATTTGGGAATGATGCTAGAAGTCGTTGGCAGCACAGAGTAGAGGGGTAGAGCCACTGACACTTTTTCTGGCTTAGGTCTGCTAATCCTTCCAATCTGTTTAGCAATGGAGTGACCTAGCTCAGTCAACTTCTTTTTAAAACCCAATAAAGCTACTCAGGTCTTTAAAGATTGAACTCATGATTATTGAGAGGACAAAGTGGTAAAATGAAGAGAAAGCAGTGCATGCGAATATGTCACACTGGATGCTCACACATACACTGGAGATACACACAGAAACACAAGTACACGTATAGGATTATATATGCATATTTATATATGCAAACGTATATATTGTAACATAAAGACGGGTTGAATGATAGATGTTATAAATGCATTAGAGTATATAGAGTGTATAGAACTAAAGGACTCAATATTTCTTTAATTAATAGATGAATAACAGAATTAGCTGACCAAGTCAATTGTTGCAAGTATTTAAAGCAGACTAGGTCTTAATATCAGCAATGTTTTCAGAAATTATTGGAGACTAGAAGGTTTGGAATTGAGGGGAGGCAAACCACAGGTGTGTAAAGAAATAAAATAGTGTGAATTTTTACCTTAAGATAATTAAAAAAAAAGAGATTAAAACCATGATGGAAGTTATTACCAAATATCATATTAAAAGTTGGCTTTCGTTTCCAAATATTTAAGTAATGCTGGATTTTTGGAGTGACTTACTTTCTCCCGTACAACAATGACTTCCTACATCTATTTTTCAGGATTAGACATTCATAAAGCAAAATGACTCATTTGTATATTTTGGTCAGCAGTTCAGGTCATTACCCATTAGAACACACTGTTACTAAGAGGCATCTTTTGGTTTATTTTAATTCCTCAACATCTGCATCCTTTAGTTGCTTATCCACACATTTCCTCTCTGTTTTCCCTTCTTTGATTATTCCTTCATTTAGTGTTCCAGTGTTGAGTGTTGAAGACACATTAAGCCGAGTAAAGCTTATTAAATCTTCCTTTTATATGATGTTTAAAGTGTTTAAACATAACCGAAAAAAAGGAAGCCGCTCTAAAAGAATCCTGAATTAAATGCACTGACAGAGCAGTGATGTCTTCTCTTTCATATGATAAATAAAAGGAGTGGACTTTGCTGTAGAGGAAAAAGAAACTGATTAGGCCACTGATTTTGAAACCATAGAATCAATGACTTGAGGAGAAGATTTACTTACAGGAGTATAAACTGAACGAGGGCATAAAAGCTCTTATTGGAAAGAAATGTAAAGCACTCCAAAAGCTAAACAAATAGAAAGGAAGCAAAAATAGCCTACATATCTTTTGAGAACAACATGCTCACTGTTTCTTTTGTTTGTTCATGTTCCTCCATCTGACTGTTCTTTAGGAAACTTCACTTACTCAACCCATCCTCAGCTCTAGTAAATTTAATATTTTGATCCTACCGTTACTTATTTATTTCTATCCCAAGCTTCCTATATTTTTGCTTTTTACCTGTTGGCATTTTCACAACCATGTTTCAGCAGTTTGGGTATGTCAATTCTTTAAAAGTCTATTCGGAATACTCGTTTCTTCTGTCTAAACCTATCTTGCTTTGCTAGTACCCCTGCCATTAGATCTGCCAGAAATCTTAAAGTTTATAGTGTAACAGCATGCACAAGCTTCTCTCTTGACTTTATATGTGCTTTGTTTTGTACTCCATTCAGAACACGAACAGCCTCTAACAAAGGCTTTTAGTTGTCTCTGCCTTTAGTGGCCATCATTGCTCCTGTTCACTTGGCACTAGCTGGTCAGTCAGCATGTGCTCGATGAGTCAACTCTGTTACGAAGTGGATTGCTGACAGCCAATCCCAGTAACTTGGCTGAAACGTTGAATATAATGCTTCTGTTTCCTACTTAGAGAGACAACATTATATTACATTCTTCCGATAATGCATTTTTCCACTAAGCATACACTGATCTCCACATGGTTGAACTATAAAACTCAATTTAGATAGAAAGGAAATAAATAATATGGAAAATGGAGAAGCGCAGTAAGGCCAGAACAAGTTTAATAGATAATATTATTTAAAGAATAACCATGAATCGTTTTTGCATTTGGAATAAATTTTTATTCCTTGAGGATTATACGGGTCAGTCCAGGCGCAGATTGAACTGTCCAGGTTGCATTTTAGAATGTTTGCCTTCTCAGTTATAGATAATTTGTAATGTTGCTTTATTTTGTTTTTAAATCTATTGCCTTTGCAGTGGCTACAAAATTATATTGTTTACAAAGGAACTTCTATTCTGACATTAAAAAGCAAAAGCTTTGTTTAATTGAAAGGGAGCGTTTGTTTCTGTGAATGTTTGATCTCCTTTCTCTACTTTTAGTGGGTCTTAAATAGAAGGTGTAGTAGGGAAAAGAACGTAAAATAAAACATGTCGTCTGTTCCTAAATCAACTTAAAATGGTAAATATTGGTTTTCTGACTTCTCCAGATAACATGAATAGATGTACTGCATTTATTCAATAGCTATAAAAGATATTGCTGAAGATAAAAGCAGAAAAAAAAGCATTTAGTTCAGTGCAGAGTCTGGAAGTGATGCTATATTCCGTCTATCCAATTACTGCCAAACTAGTCAGGGAGAAGTACATTTCTTTGAAGAGCAGAAGCATAACTAGTACATGGTTATATTTCAGTTTTAACAAACATTCTTGAGAAAGAGAAAATTTTGTTCTTGAAAATGGCCACTTTTCTTTTTAAAATGTCTGTGGTAATTGTGTCATTTAGATAATGAGGAATAACAGTGCTTTAGTTGAACTTCTCTAACTTAAGAATGTTAATCATAGGAAAATTAGATGATGTCTTGTACATGTCATTACATCACATGATCAACAAAAGATTAAGTACACATAAATAGATTTTAAGGAATAATACATGCTGCCAGCTTACGGTGATATGTTACTGACACATGTAGTAGTTATTTTGGATATATATATATATACTTGGTGTATATTTATGAAGAGCAGAAGGTCCTCATAAATGATGGTAATGAATATTTCTGTCATTTAAAGACCTTGAGAACCTATAAATATCATCAATGTGAAGAGCTTTCTCACTGCTTATGTTCCAAAAAGATTAACACACTTATGTGCAGCATTTAAAAAAATTAAAAATAAATAAATAAAGTCTACAAGTCTTCGTTTTCAATAAAGCAGTAAATATTATTAGCCTGTGATGGGAAACCCTGAAAATAGCCAACGAATAGTAGCATACTAAATTCCATGAATGTATTAATATTATACATACAATAGAATGAAATATATTAAAAATTGCAATACGCATAACAGAAATATGATGGATATATGTAATGTAAAGACAGCCCTTTCAAACTGCCAAGAAAAAGCCAAACAAGCAAACTAATTAGCCAAGGGTTGAATAGGGCGTTTACAGGAGATTAAATCTGAATGGCTAAACAAAACATGAAAAGAGACTACTCAAACTAGTTGTCAGGAAAATGAAAGGATATATATAAAATGTTATGGTATATTATAAAGCATATTGTTTTTGCAATTAGTTAAGATAATATGGTAAGAATTAAAAAAAGAAACATTCCATGTGATGTGGAGGGATATTCAAGAGATAAGATTAAGTATAATAAGCAGGATATAGAAAAGCACATACACTTTGATCTTACTTTTTTGTTATGAAATAATTTCTACATAGGTTTGTGTATGTACATGTTTATGTGTTGTATGTGTGTTCTAGGTGAAAATATTGAAGAATACATAATATAAGTGAATATGTAATTATATATTAAATCTTACTTATATTGTATGTGAAGCTTACATATATTGTTAATGTGGAATATGGCAAAGGGTGATGTGGTAGGCAGGAGGAAGGTAAAGCAAGCAAAAGAGAAAAGAAGAAGAAAATAAGAAAAAAGGGAAAAGGTTTAAAAACTTCCCTCAAAATAATATGAGATGACCAATTTTACATGACTGTACAACTCTACAAAATTGAGTAATAAAGGTAAAAAAAAGCATGGTTCCTAATCCAGTGCTCTATTTACCATACTGCCTATGTCATTTAAAAAATGTTTTAAATTTCAAAATTTAAAATATTAAAACATTTACTTTAAAACTTATATGCCTTTAAAATTACTATGATTATAGAGGCTGAGCAGGATTTATTTATTTATTAATTGACATTTTTCATACTTACTATATTTGACTGGTGTTTCAATAAGACCTAATGTTTTCCATGCTGTAAAATTTTATTCACAGGAAATTAAATCTAACATTTGAAACAAAAAGGCCCATTAGCTCAGAGCATTTTTAATATTCTAACCAGGATAGAAATCCCTTAATTAGGCCAAAGGATTAGAACTTTGAAATGGAGCAGTTTATTTCAGTAAAGCTTTTGGGATGAGAGAAGGTGGGGGCATTGCTTCAATCTAAAGTGATACACATTTTAATTTAATCTATTGAAACTGCCTTGGAAAAACACCAAATAAATATAGATACTTCAGAATCTTTATTACGTTTTATGCACATGCTCAAAAATTCTCTTGGGGAACAGGAACTTGAATAGTGGGCAGAATTTAAATAGTGTAGGTTTCCAGGGAAGGCATTCCAGATGGAAATGAATAATAAAAATAATCTAAGGAGAAGTAGCTCAATGATTATATTTGATCAAAGGCTGACACTTCCTATTGAAACTAGTATATTCTATTTAGAGAAAATATATTTGTCTTAATTTTAGAAACATGCCTCTATTTTATACTAAAGTACCTCTGTATTTAAAACACTTACATATTTTACTTATAACAAAATGATATGTTGGCCATTCCTACAGATTCCTAACTTACATTGTCATTCATATTTATATAGTGTCATCTATTCCCTGAAATGTTGGCATCATTAAGGTAGATCTTGGATGTATTCCCTCATGCTTTCTGGTGCCAATTTAACCCGGTGTGTTTAAATATATGGGACTTGCTTGATTAACAAACAAGAGTTAATCCAAAGATAACACATTGTGATGTGCAATTATATTTCTTAATGGAAATAGTATGTACAAGGAAATGCTCTTAAATTTTCTTGTTTTATTCTTAAAATAATGTATTCATTACGAAAAATATTTGCCCAAATCAAAAATGATTAGTCCTCCCATTTTGTAATAGCAGACATACTGATGCTAAGGAAAAAATTCACTCACTCACTAAAAATTTCTGCTTAACACAATAAAACAGCCACATATTAAAAATATCGTATTTTTTTGTCAGGATAGTTGACATCATTCAGACGCACCTGTGGGATAACTGTTGTAATGTTTTGTTTTTGTTTTTCTCTTTCAAGAGAGTAATTTAAATGACACTTTATTACTCTCCCTTGAAAAATAATAGCAGTAAAAGTAGAACAGATGAAACACATTAATCTAGAATTGTTCTTATTACCTTTAGTAATAAGATTCCTATATGGTGCCCATGTCCATTAAGAAGGCCCATTAATGCTAGTTTATTTCAAATATACTTTGTAGAACATCTATACACTAGAGAACTATCAACTCACAATCACATTACTATATAAGAGTTAATTAATCAAGTCATAGTAAGGTAAAAAAAAAATGAGTTATATCCCATTAACTAGTAACACAGAAAACAAAGCTAAAAGGGTCTGTTACATTTATGTTAAAATTTGATTATAGGATAAAATCAAATTTACTGAAGATATACAAAAAGAAATCATATGGTAAAACAGTACATCTTTCCAGATATAAATAATGACACACATCAGGAATCAGGAAAGACCATGAATCATAAATTTTCTTCATTTTTTTTTCTTCTTCCCTCTCCTCATCCCCTTTCCTCCTCCTCCATTTTTTCTTCCTTTCTTCCTCCTTTCCTCACTTCATCTTTTCCTCTCTTTCCTCCCTTTGTCTCTGTTTTCCTTGTTCTCTTAACTCAGCATTGATTTGTTGGTTACCCACTATGAGCATAATTTTAAGTCAGCTTTCCCAGAAATGAGCAGCTCTAAAATAAATGTAAAAGCCTATTTTTACCTAGACTTAAAGAAATAACAAAAGAGTTGCTGATTCAGAAAGTTCGTATGAAATACTTAAATAACGCAGAAAATTGGTTAAAGCTTTACGAGCCAGATGCCAAGTTATTTGCAGGACAGAGTTTAGAGTTGGCTGATTTGTGCCAAAATGGCTCTCTGGAGTGGGTGAGTGGAGCAAGTAGTGGTGGTAGCAGTGCATATGGCAGCCTCAGGTGATACACAGGACTGGCTGAAATCAGTGCAAGCCTAAAATAGAAACTACTTATTGAGTGCTTATGCTTATTGCTTATTACGCAATTTACAAACATTAATGCTTTTGATTGTAACAGCAACTCGGTGAAGTATGAATCATTATAAGACATTTGTGCTTCCAAGAGGCTAAATAACTTGTCCAAGATCTCGCATTTAGTTAGTGGAAGAATCAATGCCAGACTGTCTCTGAATCATCCAATAGGTGGGAGTAGATCAGATTAGCAATGAAAATAGAGATAGGCTGTGACAAACCTAAACACTGAAAAATAAGGTTTGGTCTTTGTCCTACTAGATATTAAGGGAGGTTGTAGGGAAGTTATGTAATCAAAACAAAATTTCCACTTCTTATCTCTGGAGCTTTTTCTCAGACCACAGGGTCACCAGTGTCAGGTCATGTAGGAACTAGTGCTATCTTCTAGTGTTATGGAGATATTCATGGGAAATTAGGCATTTGATATATCAAAATCAAATGAAGACACACAGCTTTTGAAGGCATGGAGACATACACAGGACATATATCTGCTCTTGACCTGGGAAAGAACAATCTAGATAGGTAACTATGCATTTACATAGTGTAGTAGGTACAGAAGGCAGATGATGGTGAACTGAGCACTGGATGAGAACTGAGTAGGCACTGTGCTAAGTCCTTTATAGGAATTATTATATTTAACCATAGCAACCCATTAATATATGTACTGTTATTATCTCCATTTTCCAGTGAAGCAACTGAGTCTTAAGGGTCTTTAATAACTTGCCCACAATCATTTAGTTAGTAAGAGGCAGAGTAGATATTTGAACACGATTTGTCTCCAGAACCACACTTTTGATCCCAACATTAGCATTTCCCCTTCTCATATGACATGGGATATCCCATTTATTTACAACTCTACACCTGTGGACTGTAAGAGGGAACTCCTATGATTAAACCAAAATGCAGTACTCCATAATGGTTTTGTTAAAGTAACGGGAAGAAAATTTTTGTGAAAAATTTGTTCATTAGAATACCATTATTGTATTTTCTAAGAAAAATATACTCAATATGAGCCAACATGCCCATTTTATGTGAATGACTTTTTGAAACAAATGAAGATATTTGGAGAAGAAATACTGGCATTGCTTTTATGTTGATAGGTTGTGTTTATTATTGTAATTTACATGACAGCATTTTTACCTAATAAATCAATGGTATTCAACTTATAGTTTACATGAAAGTAATAAAAAAAAATTGACACACTTCTTGGAAACCAGTCATTGATACTGTGTTACCTTTTACAACAAAGCTGAAAATTCTGCTGTATTTTCTGCTGAACTTTCAGCAATGCTGTAAAAGCCTCTGTGTCTTTCAGATGAAACACTCCTTCAGTAAAGGATGGATTCCGTCATGACAGTTATTTATCTTGAAAGGCTATAAACCTTTGGATTAATTGCATGTTTTGTACAAATGTCAGTTACTGATTTGATTTTGATAGATCTATTCATGGCTTGTCTGAGCTTTAGGTGAATTAAATTATTGCTTATCATCAGTCTTCTTTGTCTGACCCCTGAAAAATAAAAAATCAGATGTCATCAGAAAACCATTTTTTTCTTATAGAGTCTTCTACAGACAAGAAACATATTATTGTGCTGTTAGAACAATGAAGGTAGTAAAGGCATTATGAATGAAATTTGAGCTAATTTTATTCATTCCTACTAAACTGGGTAACTTTAATTGTGCCAATATTTTAACAAAATGTAGTTAATAAGGATATGATTTCATGTTCACATATTCCTTGTTAATTACAGCCCTAACCATTAGGGTCTGCAATCCAGCAGTACAGACATTCTTGTACATTAGTTTGGATCCTTATACATAAATGCTTGATTTTGTTGTGGAGTTTACTTGACACACACAAAAAAATATACAAGGTATTTTTGTCAATTAATGGGGTTTACTAATTCACTACATGTTTATGGTACTTTAAACTATACGGACTAATTTTTATGAGCTTATTTAGTGGTTCTCAGCCACCACAGCCCTCTTTTTTTCCCAAATGAAGTTACTTGATATCTACAAGTAGTAAAATCACCATAACAACTTCTGAAATCAGTCACTATTGAGGGGTGATATGAGAGTTTCTAGTTAACTCAATCTTCCTGAACCTCGGTTTTCTCATCTTTAATGTTCTGATGCTACTGTTTTTCAGGGTTGATGTGAACATTTATAAGTCATGATTATTATTACTGCTAATTCATTAAAAATCAGAGAAATATCACCAACAAAAACTTACTTTTCTTTCAGATCACTATCGTGTCTTTTTTCTTTAACAACATCCCAGCACTTGAATCATACCCTTGTCTCCTCCCACGATAGCATTTTTCCATACATGTCTTGCTCTTCTATGTCCGGGAGCTGAAGACCTGCCCAAGGATTAGAAACCTGTGTTGGAGCCGTGCTTCTTGCTCTCTGATTACCTAATAATTGACTGCTTACCTGGATTTTCCTCATTGCCCAGTGTTAAGTGTCTCATCAGCAGACTTTGCACACCTTTCAGACCACTTCTATGACTTCCTTAATGTCTGTTTGAGGATCCTGGCCTCAGAAATTCTGCAAATAATGCTTCCTAACCACTGGATAGAAAGTCATCTTAAGATTACCTGCTCACTCCTGGAGGGGGTACAGTTGTCTCCATATACCTAATTAATGAATTCAGTTCTTAAATTTTTGCCACACAGGCCAGTCGGCACTCATTCCAATGAAAACTTTTAAAACAGTCTGTCAATTCAGGACCTGCTTTTTTAAATATAATTGAAATAATTCTTCTGGATAGTGCAGAAAGTAAGACTGAATGGATGGGTCTAGTCAGATAGACAGGCTAGGTGCTAATAAACATACTTCTGAAGAAAAATGTAGGACTAGGTGGAATTACCTCTTTAGAGGTAATAGAATGATTTCTTTTCTATTAATTTCTATGACATGATGACATGTCAGTAGATCCTTAATGGATGAATAATTTTAGTGCCAATTTGTAATCATCCTTTCCAAAGATAACTTAAATGCATTTTCTAGCATGCCAATAATCTGTCACAAATGCACTGCCTGGATTCTTATTTGATTTGTAAAATTCTTTTGTGATTTTAGTATGACAAGAAATAGTATAAATGCACACATAAGAAAAAAGATGACCAATTTTGAATATTATGTACCGTGATTCCCCCTTCCCCTTGCCTCATCTTGTCAAATATAACAGTTTTATTAATATTAAAACAAAACCAAATTTTGCTGTGGCCATCTCTTTAGCCTAATTTTTGGTTCTGTTCATTTTTAGGAAATCAGTTCAATTACCTCAGACTTAATGAGGCTTTAAGAGAGTATTCAAATACTCTTCATTTAAAGATAGATGCAGATAGTTGCAACAAATTTATGGAAAAGTAGATAGTTCTTTCCAAGACTACTTTTCTAAGGTCAGAGATCACATAACTAAAAAGCCTACTCAGGCAGGACAAGGAGATAATATAAATAAGTGAATGGTAAGTGTTAGACTATTGGGGATGGAGGTCTTTAGTGAGGTACAGAACTCTTGCCCTGTCTCAAATAGACAAACATTCTCCCATTCCAGCAGATGTTGACAAGCAATTTTTTTTCTTTTTTTTTCTTTTCTTTTTTTTTTTTTTTTTTGAGAAGGTGTCTCGCCCTATTGCCCAGGCTGGAGTGCAATGGTGTGATCTTGGCTCATCGCAACCTCCACCTCCCAGGTTCAAACAATTCTCCTGCCTCAGCCTCCTGAGTACCTGGGATTACGGGTGCCCCCCACAATGCCCAGCTAATTTTTGTATTTTTAGGAGAGATGGTGTTAAACCATGTTGGCCAGGCTGGTCTCGAACTCCTGACCTCGTGATCTGCCCGCCTCAGCCTCCCAAAGGGTTGGGATTACAGGCGTGAGCCACTGCACCTGGATAAGAATATTTAAATGTTGGTAAAACACAAGATATGGGAACACCCAATGTAATTTGAAGGAAACAAGTTTTCAACCTCTGGAATGTATCTAAAACATTGATTCACAAATGCTTTAGGTGTTTTGCATACTCTTGTTTTCAGATCATGGATGGCAACATAATTGAATTAATGAAAAAAGAACAATTTTATTCACTTCATTTATTTTTGGTTATGTATGCAATGAGTATACCCCAGCTAGGCACATATGGCCAAAACTTACACAGGGAGGTATAAATGCATATAAAAATCAAGACATTTCAGTTCTTGAGAGAAACATGGAGGAAAGCTCGCCCAGCAACAGCATGCGTTCATTTCCAGTTTGCAGTCCTTGCAGAAGCTTTGTGTTTCCAAAAATATCAGGCAAAAGAAGCAACTCCGCTTTGTACCACTTCCTTGCTTAGGAATCAAATGTTTTTTATTGTGTTCATTTCACATGTACCAAAAATTAGTTCCAGCATTCCCAAACAGCATGATTTAGTTTGGAAATAGTTGCATATATTTTTAAAGACTCTAAAAATAGTCTGCCGGGCATCCACGAGAAGTAATACTAAAGGTGGCAATTACCAGAAGTTGCTTGGTTGGTACTTATTTCTCAAGTTAGCTTAACAGTGTTCAATATAATTATGTAACATTATTAGGGCTGTGAAAAAAGCAATGGCTGACTATAAGAAATATCAAAGCTCTAGTTTTAACCACATACCAACTCATGCATTATGTGGCCTTTAGCTAACCATTGAACCAAACATTGAAAACAAGCTTAAGAAGCCAAACAAGGATTTGGAGTAACAGGCTCTAAAGAATTAAATCATTTCCCTTGAAAATTGGCTTGAGTTTTGTCTTCATTGGGGTTTGTGTTTGTTAGGAACATCTAGATGCATTGGCTGATGAGAGAAATTAAATCAGTTTGTACGTATAGAAGCCATAGAAATGACAGTGACTATCAAATAAAGGGCAGTGGGACATGAATAGATAGTGTCTGTGCTAATTTAGCTGTCATTAATGTATAGCCTGACCAAATTTCTAGAAAGTATTGCAGTGAATTTCAATGTTTTTTTTTGGCTAAATTTTTAGGATAAAATGAAGCACACTGGATGAATGGTGTGGCTTGATGAAATTAAGGTAATCAGCTTATTATTTATAAGCCAATATCTCTAAGAAGCACAATAATCTTATTCAAGTTTTAGTTAGTTTATATATTATGTAAATTCCCAAGAGGAGATAATTAGTCAAAGGATACTTATTAAAAACCAATGGGTTATATACAAAAGAAATATGCAAAATGCATATCAGAGTGTCTAAAATGCTTCACAATATTTTAAATTTATTCTAACTGGCATGTCCATCACATTATGAAAAATCTTAACACCCACTGATCAAAGGTAGCCTCATGATAAGGTAATCTGAGTTTTCTTACAGGTGATATTGTTCCAAAGGAGGTTTGTTTGTTTTTGCTTTTGTTTTAAACTCTTTTTTTATCCAAATATAATATATATGCAGCAAAGTATACAAACCTTAAGTTAAATTTTATAAAGTGAACTTACCACCTAGAGGTCTCCCACTTGTGCACCCTCTCAAGTCATTAGCTGCCCTCAAATATAACAGTTATTTTCACATTTATAATCATGAATTTGTCTATTTCTTAATTTTAAATGGAATCATTAAATATGTGCTTTATTTTGTCTGAATTCTTTCATTGGCTATATCTGTGAGACTTATCCATGGTGTTGCATATAAAATATTATATAGTAATAAAATGAGTGATTCATCCTATTCATTTCATTATTTTATTTTATTTTATTTTATTTTGTTTTGTTTTTTGAGACGGAGTTTTGCTCTTTTTGCCCAGGCTGGAGTGCAATCGCGCAATCTCAGCCCACTGCAACCTCTGCCTCCTGGGTTCAAGTGATTCT
Organism: Homo sapiens; assembly: GCF_000001405.40. Taxonomy (NCBI): domain Eukaryota; kingdom Metazoa; phylum Chordata; class Mammalia; order Primates; family Hominidae; genus Homo; species Homo sapiens. Next base: position 175,218,915 of record NC_000003.12, read on the forward strand.
CCTGCCTCAGCCTCCCAAGTAACTGGGATTACAGGTGTGAGCCACCGTGCCCAGCCATTCATTTTATTACTGTATAATATTTTATTATATAAATATGTGGCCAAATATTTATACATTTTATTACTAACAGACAATTGAGTCAGCTCCAGTTTTTTACTCTTGTGAGTAATGTTATATATTATTCTAGTAAATGTCTTCATATACATATATATGCATTTTTGTTGGGTTTATACTAAAGACTATTATATATTCTTGCCAGCAGAATATGAGAAATCTAGTTAGTCCATATTTGGCCAACAGTTGGTATTGTTAGTTTTAGTTTGAGTTTTATGGTAGTAGTATGTCATTGTGTTTTTAATTAGCTTCTTGGTAACTAAATATGTTGCCTCATTTTCAAATGGTTATTGTTCATATAACTATTTCTATTTTCTGGGAGACCACCTTAAATCTTTTTGCCATTTTAAAAATTGAGTTTTCTCATAATTTTTCTGGAGATGTTTATATTATCTGGATGAAAGTCTTTCATTACATATATTTAATACAAATATCTTGAACTCTATTGATTACATTTTCAAACTTTTATGGCATCTTTAATGATTATAGCTTTTTAATTTCAGTGAAATCCAGTTTGTCAGTTTTGTCTTCCTCGTTAGCGGTTTCTCTTTTGTCTAACCAAGATAGTAAAGATGTTCTCCTTTGTTATCTTTACTGTTTACCTTTATAATTTAGTTCTATGATTCATCTGAAATATCATTACATATGTTTTAGTCTTTTTGTACTCTATATTCTGTTGCTTTGTTCTACTTGTCTGTTTGGCATCATAGTGCAAGTCAAATCTGGGGAACAATTGACATCTTTACAACCTTGAGTTTTCCAGCTCATGAACATGATATATCCCTCCAATTGCTGAAGTCTTTTAAAATTTCTCTCAATAATAGTTTGTGGTTTTCTTTCTTTTTTTTTTTTTTGCCTATCTTTCAACAAGTGTATTTGATATTTTAATGCTATCATAAATAATATTTTTTCTTAAAATTTTAATTTTCTAATTGTTTGTTATTTTAATGCTCTTTTCCAAACTTAGGGAAATAATCTTTCTTTTTTAAAGTGGTAAGTCAGAATGTTTGATTTTTGAATGTTAAATCATCCTTGCATTACTAAAACAAATGCTACCAGGTCATAATGCACTTGTCTTTTTATATAAATACAATTTATAAATATTTTATTTGTAAGTGTTACAAGTATATTTATAAAGGATATTTGATGATAATTTTTCTTGTAATATTTTTGATATGTTTTGATGTCAAAGTTTTGTTGCCTCATAAAAAGTTTTGGACAATTCCATTTTATTGATTCTTGCATGTGTCTGTTATAACTGATTTCTTTTTGAAATATGTAAAACAATCTAGAGGATAACTGGGTTTGGAAAGTTTTTTTTTCTGGGAAGGATATAATATTATAATTAACTATATTTTTAAGTAGATATTGAATATTTAGATTTTCTTTTGTGACAGTTTTTTAACTTAGATTTTTAAGGACATTTTTCTACTTTACAAAATTTTTAAATGCATTGCCATAATTCCTGTCAAAATATATTCTTATCTGTTTAATACCTGTAAGATCTTTTATGATGCCTTGCTTTTTCTTCTTAAGATGGATAATTTGTGCCTTCTCCCTCCTTCTTTTTCTTTTCATGAATAGTATTATCAGAGCTGATCAAATATATAGCCAGTAATTCCCTTTGATGAGTTTTTCTTCTGTATACTTGTCTTCATTTTTATTCATTTTTGCTATTATTTTTATTTCCTTTTTAAAAATTTGAGTTTTTATATCATTGCCTCTTTCTAATTTATTTAAATTGAATCTAGATCGTTTATCTTTTTCTTTCATTTTTAAAAAATACATTTGCTTAAGGCAATACATTTCTCTAAGCACTGCTTTAGCTGATTCCCGCAAGTACTGTTAGGTATGTTTCCATTATCATTCATTTCAAGATATTTTAGGCTGGGCGTGGTGGCTCAAGCCTGTAATTCCCAGCACTTTGGGAGGCTGAGGTGGGCAGATCACCTGAGGACAGGAGTTCAAGACTAGCCTGGCCAACATGGTAAAACTCCATCTCTACAAAAATACAAAAAAATTTAGCCAGCCATGATGGCGAGTGCCTGTAATCTTAGATACTTGGGAGGCTGAGGTGGGAGAATCACTTGAACCCAGGAGGCAGAGGTTGCAGTGAGCCGAGATTGTGCCATTGCACTCTAGCCTGGATGACAGAGCAAGACTCCGTTTTAAAAAAAAAAAAAAAAAAGATTTTTTAGTATTCTATTTCACCATAGACTTATTGGTTATTTAGAAGGCATTGTTTAATTTCCAAGAAGCTAAGATTTTCTACTCCTTTGTTATTTCTTTCTAACTTAATTCCATTGAGTTCATGGCATATATACTGTGTGGTTTTTGGCCTCTCGAAGTGTATTGAGACTTGCTTTATGGCCTAGCATATAGGCAATTTTTGTAAACATTTCATGTGCACTTATAAAGTTATTGGGTATACTTTTCTGTATATGTCAAATTGGTCGACTCATCTATTTTCTTGTTTTTCTTTTTCTGCTTATTCTATTATGTACAGAGGAGTTTGGTAAAATTTCTAACTTTGATTGCTGATTTGCATTTTTTGGTACCTTCAAGTTTTGCTTTATAAGTTGTGAAACCTCTCTTATTTAACCAGATATCAGGACAATATATCTGTTTTTATTTAATAACTCAACCACTACAGCTACACAATGGCTTCCAGTAGTAGATATTCAGTGGTTATTTTTATTTCTTTATTTTTGTAGAGTAGATATTCAGTGGTTATTTATTTATTTATTTATTTATTTATTTTTTTGGAGATGGAGTCTCGCTCTGTCACCCAGGCTGGAGTGCGTGGCTCGATCTTGGCTCACTGCAACTTCCACCTCCCAGGTTCAAGCCATTCTCCTGCCTCAGCCTCCCAAGTAGCTGGAACTACTGGTGCTCACCACCACACCTGGCTAATTTTTGTGTGTGTGTATTTTAGTAGAGTTGGGGTTTCACCATGTTGCCCAGGCTGGTCTCGAACTCCCGAGCTCAGGGAATCCACCTGCCTTGGCCTCCCAGAGTGTCAGTGGTTATTTTTGTGAAAAAAAATATAGCTGAATATGAGTGTGAGAATAGGTATCCCATGGCAAAGTCCAGAAAAATGTACTTGGCACAGTGTAGGTAAGAGTTGACCATTGCCAAAGAAGTTAAGATGGTTTTGCCAGATTCTCCCATACAGAATCTTTTGTATTTCCTTAGATGTAGTAGATATTCAATAGGTACTTGTTGAAATGGTGAGAGTTATAATACATTTGTTTGTTTCTAAATCTGGGAATATATTAGCCTTCTATTTGTGCTTTCATGAACTAGATTAGTATGACTTACACATAGTAGGTGGTATGAATCTAGGCACTCACATTCACACAATGACATCTTGTGACCTAGACTCAAAAAAGGTTCAACATCTCTAGTATTACTGGAAAACTTTAAATTCTCTGAAATGTTTCCTACTCAGCTATTTTTCAGACTTGATCCTGACAGCTTGCTCTGCCAACCTTCATTAATTGGCATGTCCATAAGCAGAACAGGAAAACGTGTGTCATTCAGTGTATTCTTAGAAACCTCCCATTATTGTCTACAGGAAACATGAAATGGAGCAGTGGTTCTCAACATTTTGGCCTCAGGACTCCTTTACATGCTTACATACTATTGAGATCTTCAAACTGCTTATGTTTTTGAAAGTTATATATGTCCATATTTAATTTATATGGGATTAAAACAAATTATAAAAAGATATTAATTTATTAAAAAATAAAAATTCCATTACATGTTAAGAATACAACATTTTATGAAAAAATATTTTTCAAAGAAAAAACATTTAGAGAGAAGAGTGGCATTGTTTTATATTTTTCAAATCTCTTTACTGTCTGGCTTAATAAAACACTGCTAGATTCTCATATGTGTTTCTGCATTCAACCTGTTGTGGTATTTTTCCTCCAGCTTTATTGAAGTATAATTGACAAAATTGCATGTATTTAGGGTACGCAACATAATGATTTCATATATGTAGACATTGTATAATTACCACAATCAAATTAATTAACACATTCATCACTACCCATAGTTACTCTGTGTGTGTGTGTGTGTGTGTGTGTGTGTGTGTGTGTGGTAAGGACACTGTTCTCTTACCAAATTTCAAGTAAATAATAAAATATTATTAACCATAGTCACGAATTTGTACATTAGATTCCTGGTATTTATTCATCTTATTACTGAACGTTTGTACCTTTTCATCAATACCTCTCCATTTCTTCCACCACCATATACCCCTACCTCCCGGCAACCACCATGCTACATTCTGATTCTATTAGTTTGATTTTTTTTTTTTTTCATTTCACATAATTGAGATGATGCAGTACTTGTCTTTCTGTTTCTGGCTAATTCGATATTAGCATAGTATCCTCCAGGTTCATCCATATTGTTACAAATGGCAAGATTCCTTTATTTTGATGGCTGAATGAGAGAGTTCATTTTATAGATACCACATATTCTTTACCCATTCATCCACTGATGGACACTTGGGTTGTTTTCATATCTTGACTATCATGAAAAACTATACAATGAAGATAGGCATGTGAATACTTCTTTGAGATAAAGATATAATTTTCTTTGGATATATACCCACAAGAAAGTATATAAAAATTTGAATCCAGTGTCTAGAACTGTACATTAAAATATCATGAACTGTTTTGAATTAAAAAGAAAGATGTCAAATAGGAGCTTTATAAGTCCAACCATAAAATGAAGCTAAGTTCAAGTATATTTTCTGATGCAGTTTTTATAATATTCTCAGTACTTGGGACAAATCATTTAGGAAAGAAAGAGAAGAAGGGAAGTTACATTTGTAAATGTCTGGAGGTACTAGAGACTATGCTAAGGACTTTACATATGTTCTAAAAAACTCTAAATGCTCTAAGAAACTCTATAAAATGTTACTGTTCAACATATTACAATGTTGAAACTGAGGGTGGACAATTACAATGTTGAAACTAAGGTTTAAGTTTTGAAGAGAAGGTGAAGGTTAAAGAAAGACAGAGAGAGAGTTGGCGGCTCTACAGCAACACAGGTCTATTGCAAGCGCAACCTGCAGAGGTGGGGACCAGGTAAATGTCAGAGCCCACTGAGGCCTACAGACTGGGATAATTATAGGTCTGGGTGGGAGTAGTCTGGGCGGTTTGGCTTGCTGCCCGGAGGATATTGATTAGATGTTCTTATGATCAGGCAGTTTGGCCCTGTTTCCAGCGGACTGTGATAGGATGTTCCTGGGATGTTTGCCCAGCAGGATATGATAAGGAAGTCAGGTGGCTGGGCAGGATGTGTCTCACAGCCCGAACCCCTGTGAAATGTTTGACTGTGGCCAGGACCTGCAAAATGGCTGAGGACTTACAAAATGGTGCAGCTTGGACTAACAAGGGTTAGAATGTGTTAATATGTATAAGATCATCTAGCTTTTATGCTTAAACCAGAGGTTAAGCCCTCCTTTGCTGAATCCAAAATCTAGAATTATTTTACTCTCCATCCTCCTCTTCCCAAAACTCCCATCTCCACCCACCCACTCCCCACTGCCAAACTTTTGCTGAAAGTCTGCTCTTCTGGTATCATGGATAATTCATTAGGTTCAGTAGACTAGGTCCTGGCCTGATAGGAATAATGTATATCAGAAATATACCATTGTCAATGCAGCTTATTTCTGGTCTAGCAAGAAACCTCTTTTTTCTTTCTTCATGTATACAATAGAGATGAAGCACGTAAATAACTTATTCGAATACCAAAATGTGTAACATGCTTCAAAACACGTTTTATCTCTATTGTTTTAGAACTTATAATTTTCGTTTTTGTTTTCATACTATCATTACTTCCAAAGGCCAGCCATCTCTACAGATTGATTTCGATGTATTTCATAAGTTTGGGTGGGTTAAAAGTTAGTTGTCTCATGATTTTTGTAACCTGACATGTCAAGACAAGTTGATTTAATTGAGATGATTTCAGTGTTTGGTGCTGAAATGAGTCTGCCCAGGAAGGAAGGTAGTCTGGGCTAACAACTGAAAAATAACATGTAAGTTCTTACTAGTTTTAAATATTGTTCTGACATAATCATTATAATTTATTGTTCTGGCATAATCTTAACCTGTTTGCATTGTCGCAGAGAGATGACATCTAAAAATTATTTTAAAAATATATCTTCCCCATTATATAAAATTACCATTACATTTTAGTCAGTCTTGCAGAAGAACTCAAGATTCAGTTTGCTGTATTAGAAAATAAACTAAAATAAGTATATAACATCTTAAAATTAGGTTTTCAATATAGTCTTAAAGGTATATTTACTTAGTAAAAAATATTTCCTGAACATTGATTGTGGTTACCATTTACTAAGTGCTAGACTTCTATAGTTGAATTTTCAGGATGTGTTAAAAAGGGTAAGACTACTACCTGTCTTTTAAAACGCTTAATTTTTTAAGATTACTGAAAGAGATTAATAATCTTTGTGTTAATGACAAGAAAAGGGAATCTTTGTTAGTGTTTAATATGCTTATTTTGAAGTGTGGTAAAGTAAATATGCTTATTTTGAAGTGTGATAAAGGCTAGTCATTTCTATTACAATCTTATCAAAATGGAAAAACTTTCTCCCAATTATTTATTCAGTTATCTATTCACTTACTTGAAAAAAATAGAAATAATGACTCTTTTTATCAAAAGTTTCTGTGTATTGACCACCCAAGTTTGAAGACTCGTATTGTCTTACTGATTGGATTAATTTGTCCATTCCGTGAGTCTGCTTTCAGATACCCTATTGTGTTCTTCTCTCTTGAAATCCAAATATGCACTCACTGTTAACCAGAGATGAAATTATCTCCTGCACAAATGTGTGCAAGAGTGAAAGATGTAGAGTTATAATACTGGATTTTTTTTCTGGCACAGGTAATAGTAGATGTGTTGACAGTTTGTTATATTTCTGTGTGCTCTGGTTTTTAAATCAAGCTTATCTTACTGTCACGTGGAACATAAATTGATATAAATACCAAATCAATTAAAGTATTTGTTGAGTATCAGCTTTTTGCCTGGGACTTAAGTAGAGGGCACTGAGCCCATCAGCATGCCTTCTATTACTTGTAGAGCAGGCAGATATGTACCATATTTTCGTTGATCAGAAGAGGAGAGACTATTACGTTCTCTGGCAGATAATCCATTTCTGAACTGATTTTTAAACAGAATGTATAAAGAATCTGTTTTCTTCTTCTTTGTTCAGATGGTTCCCAAACTGTGAAATTCATTCTATTGTATTTTTTACATTGCTACATTAATTTCCCTGAGCATCATTTTCTCATGAGCATAAAGATTTATTTCCACCTACCTCTTACTATCTAACTTTTATTTTACCCAGATACAGTGCTTTCTAACACTCATCATTTTTATTGCTTTTGGAAAGCATCTCAGATTGGGAAACTAGCTGCTTTTTCTAAATAGCACGGTATAGTGGAAATCTGAGATTCAGTGTAGAATAGTAGAAAACTGACTTATTTAATCTAGGACGTTCAACATCTTGATTGCATTATCTAGCCTTCAATTTCCTTATCTGTAAAGTGGCAACCATAGTAGTTATATCAAGAGTTTTTTGTGATGATTAAGCATAATAGTAGACATTTAATATAAAATTTGTAGTTACTATGTTATTTTAGAAGGTAAGAAGTAGTTGAACAAGAAACCATTGTTTCATTGGCATGCCATTAGTGGCTCTGTTGCAAGGGAAGGCTACGGGATGCTGCCTTTCCCTCTCAACCATTTAATTCCTTGCTGCTATGTTTATTACAGTTTATCATGTGTTTTAATCTTAATATTTTCAAAGCAAAATTATGAGATTAAAAGGTAATTTCATCCTATGTAATCTTTAAATTTATCACACATATATAGTACATGATTAGCAGAATTTTACTACATTGGATACCAATTCAAATAACAACCTAATGAAATGTTTGACTTTTTAATACTATATTAGAAATATCACCCGGTATAGTATGAGTATCTGCATATGTTATTGTAAATACACATAAGAAAATGTTAATAGGCATTAATAAATGTGCTGATTTTTTCCATGTGTACTTCTAGTTCATCGTTCTTTAGATGTTTTTGTTCCCCATTCATTTACAGTATACTCTTGGCATTCAACCTGGTGTTAGGAATACTACATGCCTGGCTTCCTCCAATTCTGACATCACTGTTGCTCTGTGGCTCATACAGTAGCAGGTGTTGAACATTGATATAAACAGAATTTTGTCTACTAAAGCCAAAATTCTCCCATTTCTAATCTCCATTGGCCAATGGAACATTAATGCCAAAGTTACTTCCAAATTCAAGTCTTAGGCATGACAGTTCATTATGCTGCCTGCCAAAACTACTGGCCCGTGGAAACCCTTATTTTAAAAAGTAAAGCACAGTAAAACACTCTGTCAAATAAATACCGTGTGATTTTAGGTTATACCCTTCAATTTTTGCAAATTTCTCTGAAATTAGTAAACTTAGATTATATTGCAGTTAATTCTTTAATAGAATTTCTCATTTAATACAGCAAACTACCTAATTATAGCAGAGTGGTTCACCATAAATCCTGAAACATTTATTGTGGGGAAAAAATGTATAATAAACTGTTGACATTCTCAATAAAATCTATTTATTTTAACATTCTAAATGATTTGAAATGATTAATAAATAGAACCCTTTGACTAAACCATTTGTAGCTGTAAGACTGTGTCAAAGAAGGCTGATTTAAAACAATTTAAAAATTACATAATTGTAGAACTATGAACTCATATGATCTCCTGAAATCATTTTCTTAAACAAGAGAAGCATGTACATTAAACTTGATAAATTTAAAATAAAATTTTAAACGGCATCAGAATTTAAAAGTAATCTTAGGAAGACTACAATTTAAGAGTTATTTTTAAACTTATGATTAACTATTTGAAATATTGCCACTGTTTATGAAGAAATCATATTTTCTAGAGACCAGTATTTCTACAATCATGTGTATCCAAAAACTTTGTTATCATCTTTTAGTATGCATTTTTTATTGATATACTTGTATTTTCTAGGTTTCTATAAAGGTGTGCTCATATTCCCTTGAATCCAGTCAACAACCAGAGTGTAGGAGATTTGAATAATCTAATCTCTAATTGGTGAGATAATGTGCCAAATGGTATCACCTCAATCAATTTTGAACAAGTATCTATTCTATTATGAAAGTCTGTGGAAGAAACAGCTTAGGCCATAATTCTTAACTACTTTTCCAGAGTTTTCCCCCTTGGATATTGTGGGAGTAGCAATCAATATCTACAAAGAAATCATGTCTAAGGTGTTATAGTGCATTTCCATTTTGAGTAATTTGTTAATAGATATTCTGAAAAACGCATATATGCTGAATACATTATAACATAACTACTTTGAAGGACTACTATCCTGAGGTGACAGAATCATAAGAGAAATTCCCAAGGAAAAAAAAAAAGTACTATGGCAGATGATGAAACCAGAAACCTAGAAATTAGAAAATTTATGTAAGCTAGCACGGAGTGCAATGAAAGAGCTGTGATTCAAAGAATACATTTTAAAAAATTCTTAAATTAAAATCATTAAATCAGCAGTTCATAGTTCTCCCATAATGAGAATATCAAGTACAGACAATTTTTAGTATAAGAAAAGTTTGTCTTTTAAAAATTCTAATAATATCCAACCTCTTCTAGAGAGTAGATCGAGAAGGAAGGCTTGCTATCTCATTTTGTGAGATTTGTATATTACAAATCAAAATCAGAAGTGATAGTTGAAAGGAACATTACATGCCAAATTTACTTTTAAAAATGGATGTGAAAATAATAAAATATTTGCAAAATATATCACATGATAGCTAAAATTATAATTCATTATAGTAGTCCAGCTTATTTTAGGAATGCAAGTTTACTATTTAAAAAATTTACTAACGTAATCCACCAAATTAAAGAAATAAAACATACAATTGTCTTAATAAATGTATCGGAATTTCTGACAAAATTTAATATGCATTCATAAAACAGCTGTTAACAACATGAGAATGGAAGGAACATCTTTAACCTGACATATACATTATAACATGGATATCTACTATCACACATTAATATTTCTTTAAATATTTTCTGGAGGTCATAGCCTGTGTAGTAAAACAAAAAAAAAAGTTAAATCTCTAAATAATTAGAAGAGATATAATAAAACCTTAATTATTTTGCATGTGATATAATTGTTTTACATAGAAAAAATGAAGAAAATTGTTATGATTAAAAAGAGAGTTTAGCAGGTTTTCTTTATAGGACAACTGAATAGTATTCCACTACACCAGCAATAGGAAATATTTTAATTTTAAAACATATTTTTATGTTAACATTGACCAAACACTTGACCATTATCTTAATTTGTTCAGGCTGCTATAACAAAATGCCTTAAATTAGATAATTAGTAAACAACAGACATTTATTTCTTATAATTCTGGAGGCTGGGAAGTTCAAGATCAAAGTGGCTGTGGTATCTGGTAAGGGCCTGCTCCCTCATGGATGGTGCTTTTTAGCTGTGTCTTCACATGATGGAAAGATAATATAATATAATCACCTCCCAAAGACCCCAACACTTAATACTATCACCTTGGGGGTTAGGATTTCAACATATGAATAAACATTCAGACTACAGCAATAATATTAAGGATTTATTGATATATTATTATAAGGATGGCATTTCTTCCCAAATTGATCTTTAGTCTCAATGTAATTCCAGTCACAATGTTGGCATGGAAATTAGTGAGCTCATTCCAATATTCATATGGAAGATAAAAGGAAAATAGTTAAGATTTCCTGATGAACAAGTAGTGTGACTTGCCCATTCTGTATATTAAGACCTATAATAAAGTTGTAATAATGAAAACGGCACATTATTATGGATATGGAAGAAAAAGACAAATGGAATTGATTTGGGAACTCAGACACACCCAAACACATATGGCAACTCATATACGACAGAGTTGTCATTGCACATTAATGGGGCATATTTGACAAGGGGTACTAGGACTCATGTTGGAAAAAGGGAAATTGGATTCCTGCCTCCTACCACACACCTGCTCACACATACACACACATTCTCCAAATAAACACTGAAATGTGAAAAACAACTCCTTAAATTTTTTAGGAAAAAAAATGAGAATAACTTCATGACCACAGCATTGAGGATTTCTTAAGCACATCAGAAAATGTGAAAACAATTATATTAAAAGCTCTATGCATTAAAATTATAAACTTTTGCTTATCATAAGACAATACATTGCAAATAAAAAGAGAAGACAAAAACTAGGATAAAATATGTGCCACACATATGACCTAAAAAAGATTATTCAGAACATACAAAAACTTCTATAAATATAGGCAAAAACAAGAGCAGTTATTCTACATGAAAGGAAACATGAATAGCTAAATAATACATGAAAAGCTCCTCACTGGTAATCATGAAGATGCAAATTAAAACCACAATGGGATATAATTTTACCCTCATTGTAGAGCGGAAATTAGATACAGGAGCAGAGGGTGGTAAAGGAAGCCTTGGAAAACTATTTAGTATATCCTGCAATCCGGCAGTTGTACTTCTGAGCTAAACACATAATGAAATATTACTTTACACTCACTACATTGACAAAAGTATAATATAAAATAAAATTTAAAAGTAAAATAAAATAATGGACAATACCAACTATTGGCGAGGAATGGAGGAAGTAGAACTGTCATAAAAAGATGGCAAGAGTGTAATCAAAAATCTTTTAAAGGCATTTTGGCATTTTGGAATAAAGTTACACAGGTGCATACCTTATGGACCAATAATCCCTTGCCTAAAGAAACTTTTGCATATGTCTATCAGGAAACATGAATAAGAATATCCAGTGCAGCATTGTTTACAATAGTGAAAAGCTGAAAACAACTTCAAAATATTTATCTTAGGAAAACTGATTAAAAACCTGGAGGAATCTCAGACACCCAATATTGAGTAAAAAAGGCAAGTATGAAAACCATATATAAGATACCAATTTTGTAAAAGTAAAAACACTTATAATTAAAGAAATTGTTAAAGAGATATACATATATGTATATAAACCTATTAAAAAAAGACAATGGGAAGCAACAAAGTCAGATTGATGCTACCCTGGGGATCAAGGTAAGTGATTGAATAGAGAAAAACTATTCTTGGGGCTTTGATAATATTAGAGATCTTCTTCTTCATAACCTGGGTGGTTCCTTTCACTACTCTTTATACATCGTATACGTTGTATATTATCTATGTGTTTAAATTATTTCATATTATTAAAAATGATGTAATAAAGTACATATCCCATAAATTAAAAGTGAAGTAAAGACTGTATACATTTTTTCACTCATTAATTTTAGCTTAATACTGACAAATATTTAGAAATCCTCCACAATTGGGAAAAATTACTAATTCTTCAGTTGAGCCCTAAAAGAAGTATTTCATTTGCCTTCGAGGCCTTATAGTATAAACATTCAATGTTTTCAGTTGCTTGCACCATAAAGCAACTGAGACCAACAAAAGGAATGGCAGATTAAACATCTTGCACATTCCCTGGTGGATTTATGTTCATCAATTAACAGTGTAGAGGAGCAAACAAAATATAAAGCAGTCTTCGCATTTTTCTTCTCTTTGTCTGTCAATGTTACTGATATATTGCTATGTTTGTATAAATAAAATATATATTTTGAAACCTCATTTTATATGGATTTTAACAGAATAAGGTATTGGTTCACCTTTGTAAATGACTTTCCTGTCAAATTGTGTTGTTTTTAACTCAGTTTACCTGCTCTATCCCAAAAATACAGAGAGAATGCAATAGCAATGGAGAAAGGGGGTAGGAAAAGGTAGAGAACAGATAAAGTAACAACAACAACAAAACAAGGTGGAAGGCAGAGCCCTCTTACTGGTAATGAAAAAGAATATAATTCTTCTCACCAGCTATTCCATAAAATTTAGGTGGCACTGTTGACTGATCCAAGTAGATATTTAAAAAGAAGAAGGAGAAGGAGAAAGAAGGAGAAGGGGAAGAGGAAGAGGAAGAGGAAGAAGAAGGGGGAGGAGGAGGAGAAGGAGCAAGAGGAAGAGGAAGAAGAAGAAGAACAAGAAGAGAAGAAGAAGAAGAGGAAGAGGAAGAAGAAAGAACAAGAAGAAGAAGGAAGAAAAGAAGTGGGAAGAAAGCATGAATAGGAGTAGCTTCACAAAGATAGGAGATAACCGAGAAACTGTTTTTATTGCATCTTCCTGTGTAGGCCACCTTGTAAGCTGTGGCCTCAGACTTACCTTTTATCTTGTGTAATGCTTTTTTACCACTATTGTGTCTGCTTCTTATGTCTTTTCCAGGCATGTACTGTTGCAGGGGTGTCCAATCATTTAGCTTTTCTGAGACACACTGGATAAACACAAATTGTCCTGGGCCACACATAAAATACATTAACACTAACAATAGCTGATAAGCTCAAATAAAAATTAAAAAAATCTTTTACAAAGTCTCAAAATGTTTTCAGAAAGCTTACGAATTTGCATTGGCCCACATTCAGAGCTGTCGTGGGGCCATATGCAGCCCACGGGCCATAGGTTGAACAAGCTCAGTTTAGGAGTTGTTGAATAAACAGGGTCCTGGAGGAAGTAAGTGAGAAAAATAATGTGATGGGCAAAAATAACAGTAATATCAAAATAAACACTTAGGTAATAACTTGTATAGCAATAAGATTCTTTTAAGAAGATACATTTTTGCCCCAAAAGGAAATTTTTCTTTTTAGGTCCCTTTTTATTAATATTTCAGCCACAAAATTAAAAAAAAACTTTCTCAGGATTAAATTATTTTTATTAAGTTCTCATGTCTGATTCTGTTCTAGGTACTATACAAAATTTTTAACAGATTTGTCTGGCTTCTAGTATGTCATAAGCAAAAATCGTGTCATTGGATTATGGGATAGGTATAGAAATAAATATACAAAGTACAGAAAGTACAACACAACATTAATTTCCCATTGGTTTGGCAATCTCTGTTTTTGTTTCGGTTTTATTGGAAAACATTGTGCTCATAGCATCATGTAATTTGGCATAAAATTTGTATCTAAACAGCTCTCTCTGTATTATTTTAAATAGCAATAACTATATGTCAATCATATTGTTTTAAATGAAATCACCTTAACTATAACAAAGAAATGTCTCAACTGGAATGACACCTAGATTTTGGAATGGACTTTTAAGTGTATTATGTTGATGTTGATAGAAGGATCAGAACTAATAGAAGATTTAGTTAGCATTAATATCACTCTTCTCTGCAATGCCATAGTGCTGTATTAGTGGGTTTTTTTGTTTTGTTTTGTTTTATTTGTTTGTTTTTCTTTGGAGAGAGTCTCACTCTGTTGACAAAGCTGGTATGCAATAGTTCCATCCTAGCTCACTGCAGCCTCCGACTCCCAGGCTCAAGTGATCATCCCACCTCAGTGTCCCAAGTAGGTGGGACCACAGATGCATACCAGGACATCAGGCTAATTTATTTTTTAATGTTTTGTAGACAGAGGTTGTCGCTATGTTGCCCTGGCTAGTCCTGTGCTTAAGCGATCCTCCCTCCTTAGCATCCTAAAGTTCTGGGATCACAGGCATGAGCTACCACAAGGGCCGTCAGTTCTTAATTTAAGAAACTAATTCATTCCACTTTGTTTTGTGTTTATGTTTCATGTGATAGGGTCCTGTCTCATTCATCTTTCAATATTCCACAACATCTATTAATATTGTTCATATATTGAGCAGTCATATCTCAAAAGAATAAAGTATTCTCCTTTTTAAAAAAGTTTTCTTTTCAAATTTATTTCAGAAATTTGGTACAACTATATAAAAATGAAGATGACATGGAAATTTCAAAGAAGATTAAGACTCAGTGGACCTCTTTGGGCCTAGAAGATGTACAGTTTGTAAATTACTCTGTGCTGCTTGATCTGCCAGGCCCTTCTCCCAGCACTGTGACTCTGAGCAGCAGTGGTCAATGCTTTCATCCTAATGGCCAGCCTTGCAGTGAAGAAGCCAGAAAAGATAGCAGCCAAGACCTGCTCTATTCATATGCAGCCTATTCTGCCAAAGGAACTCTCAAGGTAATATGACCATTTGTCTCTGTCATTTACAGTGAGATGGAATTAGAAAATAACAGCTTTCATCTAAATTGAACTAACTGTCAAGATGCAACATACAAAAGTAACCATTAAATCTTTTCAGTGTGGAAGTGCCAGGAAAGAGAAGGAAGATGTGGCCCTCCTGACCCTTTTCTTGTCATATTTTGAAAGTGAAAACATGTTAGAAAAATTTAATTCAAAGGTGTTGAATGTGTGACTGAGTCATTCACATTTTGCTCTGTCCATATAGTGCAAGTCTATTTCATTCTACAGCTTTGGAGAGGCAAAATTTAATACACTGATATAGAGAAAGGGAAAGAAATGGAGAGGGTTGTGTTTTGAGATTGTGCACACACAAAAGAAATTAAGTGGAAAATTGATATGATTATTAACACATTTAAGATTTGAAACACAGCGCCCCTACTTTCATGATGGAAAACACATGTGATAAGCCAGGTGTGTATTAGTTCTTCACCTTTTCTGGGTCAGCAGATTTATGATGCAGTTTTTTTTTTTGGCATTGTGGTTAAGTGCAAGGCTTCTAGAGCCACATGGACTAGTTTTAAATCTCAGCTCCCCAGTTAACCACTGTTACTTAACCGTTGGGAGGAAACGGGCTGATTTCCTCATCTCTGTATTGGAGTCAATAATAGTTCCAACTCATAAGGTTGTTGTGAGAAAAAATTACAAATATATGTAAATCTAGGAGGACAGAGCATAGCCTATAGTAAGAACAATATACAAGTTAGATATAACAACGTGTAATTGGTCAACAGTTTCCTTTCTATGGACTAGTTTTCTAACTCTATGTAAAAGTGTAATTTTAAAAAATACACTTAGTTTTTTTTTTTTTTCCATCAAACTGTTGATTGCCTCATTTAATACCAATGAAATAATGTTATCTTTCTGACTGTTGTTAATGGCACAAATGTTTCAGAATCTAACTTATTATTAACTTTGATTGATATATGGAATGTTTAAATCATTTAAAATTACTTTGCATAAATATTTGAAATAATAACAGTAAATGCTCGTTCCTAATAGATCTTGGGGGAGTGGGAGGGAGAGGCAGATTTTCTGGCAGTCCAGCATCGTTTCTATTCTGTATATATCACACTTTGACTTTTAGCCAAAGAGCTGCATATAACTATTACCACCTTGAAATGTCTTACCATTAATTAAACTTCAATATAATATTAAATGTCTGCAATATTTCTACTGTAGGACTCATATAATTTGATTGGATTAATATTATGCTCTTTCTGGCAGGTAATAATGGTAACACACCTGTATATTAATAAAAATAGAGGAAGGCAACTGTCACTCTTTCCTTGATTCAGAAGCTTTGGCCTTAAGCCAAGACTCTAAAAGTTACCCCGATATTTTATCTAAAACTCTTTACTCTGTCTAAGCCATACGCATTTTCAACCTCTTCTTTATCCCAGTTGGCTCAGCTCATGTCTTCTCCTAAACAAAAGCATGTCTTAAACACAGAACATTCACAAAAACACCAGGAACTTGAGTGGATCCTTGGAATCTTCCCCATCTCTTTGCTTTTCAATTTCCGCTGGTGAACATTGATTATTCCTTGAAGAAGGAGATACGCAAAACTCATGAAACTACAACTTGTATCCTTATTTCCTTAGCATGGCCCTCTGTAATAACCCGCTGGCCCAGTGGATTGAAGGTAGAATAAGGTTAAATCAACTAATTTATTTAAATAAGTTCCTTAGATACGGGTTCACCACAAAAACCCTCCCTCAATGCCCGTGCACTTTCATATTGTACAGTTTCCACACTGACCAAGGAAAGAGATATCCTATCACTGTGCAGCTTCTCCGAGGCCCTTATGGGAGCATGTATTTGTTGGTCTTACTGTATAATGGGGAGATTCACTGGATCTGGAAAATTAAATTTCTATGACTCCTTTATACTCCGGACTTACTGCATAATAAGGGAAACATGGGAGATGAACCCTTCAATAACAATTTGTTTGCCTTGGTTTAAAAGGAATACTGGCCGGGCACTGTGGCTCATGCCTGTAATAGCAGCACTTTGGGGAGGCCGTAATCCCAGCACATTGGAGGCCGAGGCGGGTGGATCACCTGAGGTTAGGAGTTCGAGACTAGCCTGACCAACACAGTGAAACCCTGTCTCTACTAAAAAAATACAAAAAATTAACCGGGCCCGGTGGCAGGCTCCTGTAATCCCAGCTACTCCTGAGGCTGAGGCAGGAGAATCACTGGAGCCCAGGAGGGGAGGTTGCAGTCAGCCAAGATTGCCCCATTGCACTGCAACCTGGGCAACAAGAGTGAAACTCCTTCTCAAAAAAAAAAAAAAAAAAAGAAGAAAAAGCGGGGGTGGGTATATTAACAGATATTGTATACTTCTAATTTCTGATTCATACTCACTACCAGCAAACTCTCATAATAATGGAGGTGGTGGTGGAGGGAAGAAAGTCAGGGAGAAGGTCATTTGGAAGAATCTGTTGGGCCCTAGAGTTCCACTATTGGGCAAATCCACTTTCCTGTGATATTTGTGCAGATATTGGACACAGAGTATTGTACGTAATTGTATGTTTGCTTTTTATATTTTGTAAAAGTCTAGGCTGAATCACAAAAATGTTAATCATCCCTTTTATTCTAACAGATGATGCTGTAGGATGGATATATAAATATTCTTCGCCCTTTATTTTCTTTATTCTTTCACACTTCTGCAATTAGATAGCCTCACCTTCAAGTGTCCTGCGTTCAAGTAGTGTGTAAGAGTAATAAATGTTTGGCTATGTAGTGTCCATTGTTAGACTCCTTCACACAACTGAATGTCATCTCATTTTTAATGTAAAATAATTTTTTAGTTTAAAATATATGTAATATTACTAATATGTAGAGAGGTTTAATATTTTAAGAAATAAGTTAAAAATGTGAATTTGCAAAATTCTATAGCTTCAACCTTCTTACTTTTAAAAACTGAGCCTATTCCCTTTCTTCTAGATGTTTTTAGGCCACACCAAATTCCAAGCAGCCACTGATTGATTAGTTTATAGGGACCCTATAATTATGATTTGATTAAAATTAAAATATATTCAGGCCTAAAGTATTTTAATATCTTTTTCAAATTTAGCAGTCATTGTTTGTGGAGGCTAAGTTAGCCTCCATAAATTTTACTTGAGCACCATTTTTATTTCCTTGACAATTTCAAATCATCAGACCTTAGAAACTAGAAATGTGAATTCGCAGGATACCGATGGTGTTCTCCACCCCCAGCCTCTCTCCCATTTAGAATTATAAGTTATAAGGGAGTTGTATTCTCAGCATTTTGGTTATATGTTCGATATGTTCGGTAGCTGTCTTTTTAGATCCCTTTAAATGAAACAGTTGTTTTTCTTATCCAAATATATGTGGTTCTTTCCTCTTCTTTATTTTTTTTCTTTTTCACTTACTTTTTCTTGTCAATAGAGGACACAAAAGAAGAAGCCGGTTTACTTAAAAACACTATATTTTAACTTTCAAACTAATGCACGTGTGTATGTATCTATAACAATGGCCTTTTGTGTTGTTTTTCTGGGCATGTTGTATGACAATTTCTATTACAGCATATGGGACAATTGGGATAAGATAGGGTTCAGTAACACTTTCTTGTATGTCTCCATCTTTCACAGTTAAGGCAATGCACGCCTATGTCTAAGGATTTGACTTTGTATTGAAAGAGCCAATTTAAAAATGAAAAACTTAAGAGAACCAACCAGTGGTTTTATCTGTTTACTATCAAAGAGTACTCATTTATTTTTTAAAAAGTTAATTATTTTTTTCATTTTGCTAATGAAACTGGGTGGGGTGTTTTTTTTAAAATATTCCTGTGTAACCATATCTCTGAGAGTTTTCTACATGTTTATCTTAACAGTTTTAAGTTTTTAAATTTCCTTTTGTTTCACATAAAATAAAATCAACCTCTACTGCAGATTTCTGGAGTTATCCAAATATGCATAGTTCTAAGTCCTTATTTAGTATCCTGACACCATTTGTAAGTGTATTAAAACTGCCTTTTTTAAAATAAAGAAGAGTTTAAAAAAACTTTTAAAATGCAGCTGTTAAAAGGGAGAAAATAAAGTTAACTGTAGATGTAGAAATATACTCCATGTTTGAAATATTAGGGCTAAACAAAAGGGATTGTTAAAGGAAACAAAATGCAATACGGATAAACCTTACACCTTGTATTTGAAGAACATAATTTGAGAAATTAATTATGCAAATTAGATAAAGACACTATTTTAAGATTGTATTAATAATGCAAATCTATTATACTAAATACATATTGATTTAAATATCTATATCAAGAAAGCACATGCTATTGATACTCATTTCTTAAAACTCAGATTATATCAGTATTATAATTTTCAAAAGCAATTTCTAGGTGGCTATTATATATGCATATACAATACCTGCACATATTTTATATGCCTGTTTTAGATATATTATTGAAACTCACATGTTCTAATAGATAAGGCGCTGGTGATTTTTCTGTATCACTTTAAATCATTCCCTAATTCAAATCAAGCTTGAGTGGTTGCTGCTAAAGATTCAGGCATGCCTCTTTTTTTGATTTTGAGTACATTGTGTTTGCATGAATTTCTGTCTTGCAGAGCCATTAACAAGTTCTTAAATTATTCTAGTCTGACTGCCAGCAAAGCTTCCCACAACTTTTTGCTTTTGACAAGGTTATTTGCAGAAGAGGAGTGCCCCTTTTCTTGGAAGAGCTGTCATGTCCATTCATCATAGGACCGTTTTGTGTAAGCTTCCAATTTGTGCTTTCTGGTAACCGTCTAAACAGCATTTCTGATATCTGAGATCTACTTCAAAAACCTACTTAGTGCCAGCATGATGGATGGTGTACTTTACAACTTCTTTGTAATTCATCGTGCACTAGAAAGGTGACATAGTTTACCCCATCATAATGACAGGTGGGTCAGTAAAAGGGTCCTAAGGAGAGTTGTCCTGTCAGATGCAAAATACATATTAAAATGGATACATAAATAATTTAGCATGTGTAAGGTTAGCTTCAGGGAATAAACAGTGATTTGTATTTTTCTTAAAAGGTAAATATCAACTATAATATTATCATAAGGTTAAAGACATTGGTGGTGAGTGCTGAAAATGTCTAGTCAATTTTATTAATAGAACATATGGCTTTTATGCAATTTCTATGCAATTATTTCTTTTGTCCTTTGTGAAACACCAGCAGATGTAGAAAAGCAAATCACATATTAATATTTGCTATACATTGGTCAGATTGGTTCTGCCAAGTTGTTGCTGAGCAAGAGATTTTTTTCTTATTTCCATACATTTTATGGATTTTGTATCTTTTCATTCTGTAAAGCTTCATTTTTTTATCTGAAAGATAAGCCAAGTAATGCAGTTTTATGGAGAAACTTATTTTCAAAAACTCACTAACTGTGCAGAAGCTACATTATTATGAAGATATGTGTCACTACCCTATTCTGCAGAGAGCATAGTTCAACAGCCCAGACTAGCATCCTTTCTTAATAGGTGTGCAAATGTGGGGTGGTCAGGTCAATTCTGTACGACTCAGTGTTCTCATCCATATAAGGGGAATAGTAACAGTAACTTTAACGTTTTTTGTGGGGAAGAAATGATATAAACCATGTAAAGCACCTGACAGTTAGTACTCTATCAATGTTAGCTCTTATTGTCCTGTAAAAAGTCGACACATTTAAATGGGAGAAATTAAGAAACTACCAGAACATCAGAACAATATATCAAGATTTGAAAGAACAAACTTTTATTATATTTATCACATTATCTAAATATAATCTTTCTGTCTTCTCTTTAACAAGACAAATACGAATCATTAGGGAAGAAAATGCCTAGGCCAGTATGAATAAAAATAAAATATACATAATGCCCTGATCCTATGTTTAATTAAAAGTGAAAGCTCAAAAAAATTACAAATGAAATGTTTTATTCTTGAATGCAGAACGATTAATCATGTTGAGTTGGACCAGAAAAGCATTGCTTGTCTTTGTGTGTAAAATATCAATATGTAGTGCCTTAACGTATGAAATCTGAGCACTGTATCAAATATTTTCTCAGAAAGTCTCAAAGAGACAAAAATACAAACACTGCATGGAATCCTTGGATAACCTACAATCAGATGCCTATTTTCTCACAGCTGGAAAAACTTGGTCTTTCTCTTTTATTTTGAATATTTTCAAACAAAAGCAAACTTATCAGTGTTATGGCAAAAGGCAGAGCTATATGCATTTGGCTCTGAATGATTGCTGTTATAGATAACAATATCAGTGAGCTAGAGAAGTGGAATGGAACTGTAGTACTTAAACTTTTGTTTTCTGGATGGTAAGATGAAGCTACTGTCTCACCAACACAGAAATGTGAACTTCGAAGTTTTTGTTTGTTTGTTTGTTTGTTTTTTGAGATGGAGTTTCGCTCTTGTTGCCCAGGCTGGAGTGCAATGGCACGATCTCAACTCACTGCAACCTCTGCCTCCCAGGTTCAAGCGATTCTCCTGGCTCAGCCTCCCGAGTAGCTGGGATTACAGGCATGTGCCACCACACCCGGCTAATTTTGTATTTTTAGTGGAGACGGGGTTTCTCCATGTTGGTCAGGCTGGTCTCGAACTGGAACTCCCGACCTCAGGTGATCCACCTGCCTTGGCCTCACAAAGTGCTAGGATTACAGGCATGAGCCACTGTGCCAGGCCCAGGTTTGAAGTTTTTTAATGGTGACAGTGGCTTTGGATATTATTAGTCTCCCTTATTTTTCTATTGTAAAAATCCATCTTTTGGCAACAGTGCACAAGTGTGAGATAAATGACTGTGAATGCAGCTGTTATTCATTTTTTTTAAATCTGCATACAGTCCCTTGGTCCAGTGTGACCTTCTGTTTCTCATTTTATGAGCTCTGTTCACTAACCAAGTTAACAAAACAATTCCATAATTGCTTCTTTCATTTTTTAAAAAAAATTCATTTTATTATTGTTTGTTTTTAAGACGGAGTTTTGCCCAGGCTGGAGTGCAGTGGTGCAACCTCGGCTCACTGTAACCTCTGCCTCCCTGCTTCAAGCAATTCTCCTACCTTAGCCTCCCCAGTAACTAGGACTACAGGCATGTGCCACCATGCCCAGCTAATTTTTGTATTTTTAGTAGGGATGGGGTTTCAACATGTTCACCATGCTGGTCTGGAACTCCTGACCTCAGGGGATCCACCCACCTCGGCCTCCCAAAGTGCTGGGATTCCAGGTGTGAGCCACTGTACTCAGCCCTTAATTACTTCTTTCATATTTGAGAATAATAACCATGGGGCTAGTTTCTACATATTTAAGAAGATATATATTTTCCCTGTATTTAAAATTTAGACAGGACCATTTACAAAAACCATGATCTAACACAACATATTGTACATAGTTAAATATTTGTTAGAGAGAGTACGTTTTCTACCCGTGAAAGAGAACAGAAGCCTATTTTATGAAATAATAGTTTTAAAGCATAGGTAGCTAAATTCAACTAGGTGGTTAAAGTGCAGTGGACTGTTTTCATTTTCCCCACTTGATTACAACACATGTGGCATTTTTAGTGAGAAAGTATCTGGATGCTGAATTTTTTTTTTTTTTTTTTTTTTCTTGAGACAGAGTCTCACTCTGTCACCAGGCTAGAGTGCAGTGGGGAGGTCTTGGCTCACTGCAACCTCTGCCTCCTGGGTTCATGTGATTCTCTTGCCTCAGCCTCCCAAGTAGCTGGGATTACAGGCACGCGCCCCCATGCCCAGCAAATTTTTGTATTTTTAGTAGAGATGGGGTTTCACCATGTTGGCCAGGCTGGTCTTGAACTCCTGACCTCGTGATCCGCCCACCTCAGCCTCCCAAAATGCTGGGATTACAGGCATGAGCCACCGCGCCCGGCCCTGGATGCAGATTTTTAATTTGACTTAAAGTTATTTCTAAAGACTTTTAGTCACCGTAATTACCATTTGACAGAAAATGCCAGTGTTTTCGTTTTTATTTCTGATTTGATTTAGGCAAACTACTTGCAAAGTTAAGTGATAATGTAATTTTCTTAGCAGATACATGTTTTAATTTATACAAAATGCCTGTATTTAAGTATTTTGTTTACAAATAACACTTACCTCATTTCAGCAGATGCTGCAAATTCAGTCTTTCCAGAACTAGAGAGATCTGTGGAAAAGTTGATTCTTAGGTTTCCGCACTGTTTAAACACATTAGTCCAAGAAAATGCTGTCATATTAGTTTCACAGTCTCCAGGAAGAATTCTCTTGAATGAATTTGCAACTCCTTCAATACACTTACCTCAATAAGTTGAGTATCATTTATTAAATAAAGTGTCCTGTGAATATTAATTTGTTATTCCTTATATTTTAATTTGATACTAAAAGATTAACTGACTAATATAGAATATAGCCAGCTTGGTCTCACTAATATAACAAGAAACATTCAACTTTCAGCAAATACATTTTGAGTACCTTTTATACATTAATCGCAGGGGACACAGTGGTAAATAAGAAAGCCTCGGACCCTGCTGCATGCAGCTGGCAATATAATAGGAGAAACTGGCATTTAAAATTGCTTGGCTTGATACTGCTATAAAAACTAACAAATTATTTAAATATCTAAGCTCTAGTTTCCTCATCTATAAAAATATCTACCGAATATTAGTGTTCTGTAAGATAGACTGGAACAATTGATTCAATCTGCTTAGCAAAATGTCTAGCACAGGGGACATGAATGGTTAAGTATTTGTTTTGTTTTATTTTTATATCCTGCCATAACAGTTCTGTATGGTTTAATCCTTTCCATAACACACACACACACACACACACACGCACACACACACACTATACTCAATTTTCTAATAACTGGAGTTTCCTATGAACCACCTTTTGCCATTATCTCTTTCTTGCTATTATCTGCTTTTAGAGAGACTTCTCTTTGGACCAAGGCCTAATTAAGGACAAGCTTTAACCCCTATCTCTAATGCATAACTGTTTTCTGTTTTCAGCTACCTGCCAAAACCCCTACTAGTGTTTTGTTCTACCACTTTAGAAGGAAACACACACACACACACACACACACGCACGCACACACACACGCCAGCACAAACCAGTTTATTTCAGCTAGTTAGTTTATTTTTTGCATCTTTCCCAATTCTCATGATCTCTCCCACAGTTCCTCAGGAAACAGTGCCCTGTTGGTCATTTGAAATAAATTATAATGAAAATCTTTAAACCATAGAAATTTGCAAATGCTACACATCAGGACTTTTTTTTTTTTTTTTTTTTTTTTTTTAACCCAAGAACCATTTTACTAGCATACAGCTGCCCAGCGTTCAACTAAAAGCAATGGACTAGATTGCCAATTACAGCATGGCCACAATATTAGGGTGGAATGGACAGAGCCAAGAACACTGCTCTGTAGTGTTAGAAAGTGAGAGTGTGCTCAGTGCCCACTTCAGGTCCCCTACCTCTTTCATCTACGGCCACAGAAGCTACTCAAAATTTAATCATAATATTGAAAGGGGCAGGGAATTTCCTTCAGATTTCCCAAGGTCTGAAATGGGAAGATAAAGTTACCTTCTCCACAGAACTAATGGAAAATCAAGAGGGAAGGTAATTTTAAAACTTCTCTCAAGTTATTTTGAAATATAAACCTTCCTGGGATACTTCTGGCTCCTGGAATATTTTGCAAAATAGCTATTGACCTTCCATCCTGCTCCTCAAGCAACTGGGACTGACTGGCTCACAAGCCCTCTGCCTGGACTTTCAACACAGCAACGATGTCTCTCCATTGCCCTCTACCCATACCATAGGAGAGAGATGATTGACTTTCACAATTTCATTCTAGGACCCTTATCTCGGGAGCAATCAGCTAGCATGGTTGTTGATTATTTATTTTGTGTCTTATAATAGTTTTATTCCTAGTTTGCTTCAGGAAAATGCAATAAATATGTTAACCATGGGAAAACTGATAAAGTTGCGGAAGCTCTCATGATCAGTTTTTAGGGACTTTCATGGTAATATATATGGAGTAAGGCTAACCTCTTTTACACTAATTTATTTTATTCGTTCTCATGTTGAGAAACAGTAGTCTAGATTCACTTTCTCTGTACCTCTTTTTTCATTTCTAGGATTTATCAACCAAATGGGTTCAAATAGTTTTAGTCTATGAACATTAAGTCTTCTTTTTGGTAAATGTTGAGCAACCAACCGAGATACTGTCACGTTGTTGAGCTGTACGTTAGCTCAGATCTACCACCCAACTGTTGTTCTTTCTTTCTTTGATAGATTTTCTGAAATTTTATCCGTATCCAATCCCATCGCTATAAAAATGCATAACTTTTTATTTCAAAATTTACTAGTCATGTTTTACTCCTCAGTATGTGTGATGCCTCTGTTTCATTTGGTACAGTTCCTCATTCCTTCAAGGACTATGTACTTACTGCCGTCTAAAAAGTTATTCCCCAGGTCTGTGCATGGCTTCTCATCATTTGGATGTGAACTCCTTAGCAACGTCTTCCCTGACTTCCCCTATTAAAGTAATTTCTCATCACCCTCTATTACATTACCTATGTTTTACTGTCTTTGGGGCATGTCAGCATTGAAAGTTTTCTGAACTGTTGATGTCTATGTTTACTTTTTGTTGTTGTTGTTGATCTCTCAGCAGGAGAAAGTAAGCAGTAGGAAAGGGACCTTTTGTAACTCATTTCCTCCCTATCTTCAGAAACCAGAATACAGTGTGTCACATATTGCCAGAAAATGAAATAATTATCTCTTTAATACCCTCTTTCTTGGACTTCCATAATTCTGTTTTCTCCTTTTTTTCTCCTACTTCTCTACATATTTTTCATAATCTCTTTTTTAAAATATATATTTTTGCTTTTAAAATAACTCTGTGTAATATAAATAGCTAAAGGAAAGATGCTATGGCCAATTATGTTATATTTTTAAATGTTGACCAAATAATACGAAAGGACAGCTATATAATCTCTAAGGTACTATTTATTAAATTCTGGAAAATGTTTAAAGTTTTGCCTTTCTGACAATCTACAATTTTTTACTCTAGCCTGAAATATTAGATTAAACTTGCATTATTTTGTCTGTTGACTTTGGAGACTATAGATGTAAAGTATGGAAATGAAATCCTGACAAAACGGTTTTGCTTTAGCCAAATTTCTATCACAATAATTTTAACTTTTTTTGTCCTTTGGATGTGCATTATATGTTAGATTGTAAAACTGAAGACATTTTGCAAATGTATTAAACAACTACTGTATGCCAAGGCAAGTAGCAACTCTGGTTTATCTATGTTATTTGTGCTATTGAAACATAGTCACTGTGCCATTAAGCACTGCATTTAGTGTATCACTGTAGCAAGTATTTTTTCAGCAAGTGTACATACTGCAGTAAAGAAGAAGTGATAAAATTGAGAAGTCACCCCTTTATCTGGTTCTTTGCAACAAAGACAGCAAAATTGATTGTATATCTTACGCTTAATTCTGAATTCTGCAGGAATGCACCAGTCTAGTCCACTAGCTAGTGTCCCTTCTAATGGATTGGAGGTCCATTTTAACTGACTAGAACTTGTGCTGTACTAGTTACCAAATATTTTAAATACCTCTCCTCTTATGCCAACCCTTGTCTAATTGGTCTTAACTGGAACACTATTTTGATAAAGAGTTTGAAAACATGATGATTGCTTAGTTATGTCTGCCACAGGAGTGGGGGAAGGCAGTGTTGGTTTTCATCCTTCAATACATTGTGGTCTTCATGATAATGACCATGATGGAAAGCCACTGAGTGAACCTAAAACAGAAGCACCAATATAATTCTAACAGTCTTTGAATTTTGAAATCTTTATCAATGCTAAGATTCTAATGATTTTTAGAAAGAAAGAAGGTAAACGTGGATAATCACTGTGATTTTGCAAGTTTTTAATAAATATAACCACTTTAATTTGAAGTAAATTCAAAGCTAGATTTATATATGATAGTAGGAAATTTCTAAAGCAGAAACTCGTTTTTAGGTGAGCAATACTTGTGATAGTATTGTAGTTTGTCATTATCAGAAATGCTTGGGTTTATCATTTCTGAACTTGAGTAGAAAATTACTGTTTTAGTCTAAGCAGGCTTTTCAAACATTTTGTACATTCTGAGTCTCTCTTAGAGAACGAGAAAGGCTCAGAATGATGGATTTGGTTGAAAATGTCAAGTCTAAAAGACTTCAATGCATTAATCATTTCATACACATGAATAATTTTTGCTTCCTCAAGGTGGAGAAGAAACATGGCACTGGAATGTTCCCCTGTGTGGAGTCCCAGCCACCCACAGGTGGACTGTACCGGGGTAATTTTCCTGACTTAGTTACTTTTAATTACTGTTTTATTTATTGTGTTTAGCTGATTGTAGGAAATAATAATTCTGCTTTTCTTTTAATTACTTTTCTGTTGCTTCTGCTAAGAGTGGTTTTTCCATTCCTATATAGATAGGAATGCAAGTTTCCAAAATCTTGTACTCCTGAAGCAAACACCTAGCTTACTTGGTGATGTGTTTAAAAATCTTTACTATTGATGATATTAGGGAAAAGCAAGAGAAAAGATATGACTATCCTAAGAGTCTCACATTTTTAGTTCTATTGGAATGAATGTAAAAGTGATTGTTTTGCCTTTGCCAGCAGTCTTGTGGTCTCAAGAGTCACAGAGGATGTGGAGTATGAACTTTGGGGTGTGGAATTCCCTACGTAGTAATTACATAAATAATTTTTCTTTGCTTTGACCATGTAATGTATTAGACATTAGGTTTCTTTTAGACACAATGTTTTATCCTCATATAAACTGTTAAAGCTATTAACCATTTAACTGGTATTTATTTACTATTGACTTCACACTGTTTTAAGTGCTTGGGATAAATCAGTGAGGAGAAGAAAGATCCTAGCCATAGTGAAATGTAAACATTGTATAAGGAAGAGACAATCAACATAATAAAGAAGCAAATTATGTGTGTACACACACACACACACACACATAAAACACATAAGTAAGTGTATTTAGCTAATTATTTCATTATAGTTAGGCATTGCAGCATGCTGTGGAAAAATAAAAGCAGAGCAAAGCAAACTGATAGTGCTGTTTTGGGGTGGAGTGGTTGTAGTATTGAATGGGGTAGTTATAGTTGCCATAATAGCTGAAATTTGAAAGAAGACCTGAAAATGGCAAAATAATGAGTCAAATGAATCCGGGAAAGAGGGTGTATTTCTAATAACAAGGAACAGCTAAATCCAAGACCCTATGGGACATATACAACTCCAGCTAGTCGCTGGTAGTTGTGCCAGGGAGAAAGTGGAGAGTAATAGGCAGGACCAGCTACATAATTTGTAGACTCAATGTAAAATAAAAATGCAGAATGCCTTGTTCAGAAATTATTAAGAATTTCAAGATAATGACAGCAGAGCATTAAACCAAGCAGGGAGACTTTTAAAGCACAACCCTTGTGCAACTGCACAGGTCACAAACCTCTGAGGCCAGCCCTGGTAGAAAAGATGAAGTCATAGAGCAGTATGAAGAGAGGATTATGTAGGGCATAACAGGCCATGCAAGAATTTTGACTTTTATCATCATCCAGATTGGGTCCCGATGATCTAATTCACTGTTCTATCTCAAAATCTTCATTTCACTAATGAGGACACTGAGATCCAGAAAAGTTCATTTACTAACCCAAGGTTAGACTGCTAAGTTTTTATAGAATCAGCTCTGCACCATCTGCTTAATCTTCAAAAGGGCCCCTGCCTTTCCTTTTACCTTCTACTGCCTTCTCTAGTATACCTGCTTTCTCTTTGGCAAAGAATCGATAACAATGTGATGAAAAATTATATGGGGAAAAATCCGGATTACAGAGTCAGGCTGTCAATCTTTGAATTACTGTTCTACTATTTAGTAGCTCTGTGACTGTGAAAATGTTACTTACCATCTCCTTGCCTTGATTTCTTTATTTGTAAAAAGGGGGGATGATTCCAGTAACTTATCTCTTCTCTTTGAACTGTTGTCATGATTAGAGATGATAATGAATACATAATACTTGTAACAGTGCTGGGTATATAGAATGTACTTAATAAAAATATTTGTTTTTGGTGGTGGTAGTTCTGGATCACTCAATAACTGAAAACAAGTTTATGTATCGATTTATTATTTATTGTCTTTCACCATCTTCTAGGGAGTCCCTAGCTAATTTCAACACATCTTGTCTCACTTGAAGCTCCAAATACAAATCTCTCTCTCTCTCTCCATTAAGTGATTTATGGTTCTTCTTTTTCAGCATTAATTTCTCTGTTTGGATATATACACATATTCAGTCATTTATTCATTCACTTATTTTATTTAGTTCCTACTGTGTGCCAATAACTGTTTTTGGTGCTCAGAACAGAAAGATTGCCGTGGCCACTGTGTGAATGTATGAAGGCGTCCCTATGTGTTCTTATCTGCATATGCCACATCTGTACATAAATATGTATTCAAATATATATCCATATAGTATTATTATATGATTTTTTATAATCAACTGCAATCATAGTTGCAAACAAAAACTAGGAAGCCTAGTTGTTTTGTTATTGCCAAACAATATAAATATCTCATTTTCAATGAATAATATAGCTGTCTGACATAAGGTGTGTAGAGCCATTGTATCAAACAGAATTATATAGTTCTATCAGAATCACCTTTGTGATATCACCAATTTTGGTCTAGAGTCAATGTTTGTTTCTATCTAGTGTGATTATTGACATTTAGGGAGTACAACTGAATAGGAATTAGTAGATTATTTATTTAGTTTGGAAATAGCTACTCTTGTTTATTTTTTGTGTGCGTATATGAGGAAGTTGAGCTCGATCAGTTTGAAAAGTTTTCATTTATTTATTTTCTTTATTAATAAGGTAGACACTTTTTGTTTCTTGGCATTATACTTTATTTTCTCCCAAATTTTATTTATTACCTGAAAAAAGTATTTTTTGTAAGTTAAAATTCTAATTAAAGATTGAATCTTTCATTTGTGAAAAGTTTGATATTTAAAATAATAGAGGATTATCCATATTAGAGAAATTAATGTGAAATAGAAATGAATTATTTTATCCCCATTGCCATATTTATTAAACAATTTGACACAAAATATCTTTGAATCATTTTACTCTACCTGTTTTTTAAAAAAGGTATAAATTTAATATTTGCATTTATTCTCTATCACTGATGATAGATATTTTTATTTTTTATTTGAATTACTTTATTGATCATATTATTTCTCTCTCACATACGTCACATATATCTCAATGAATATAGAGTACTCTTCTGGAAACAAAAATTATTGTGTTGGAAGTTATTTTTTATTAACTTCCAAGTAGTTTTGTTCCTCCCAGTATAAAAGTCTTATTTTGAGCAAAGTGAGAACTTTAGGGTAACTAAGTAATATACATTCTAGGGCCCCTCTATGGACTGACTTGTGTCTTCTTTCCCAGAATTCATCCATTGATCCTAGACCCTCTAGTGTGACTATATTTGAGAATTTCCCCTACAAGAAGGCATTTAAGGTTAAATGAGGTCACAAGGGTTGGGTCCTGATCTGATAAGATTATATTCTTGCCGGGTGCAGTGGCTCACGCCTGTAATCCCAGCAACTTTGGGAGGCCGAGGCAGACGGATCATCTGAGGTCGGGAGTTCGAGACCAGCCTAACCAACATGGAGAAACTCCGTCTATACTAAAAATGCAAAATTAGCCGGGCGTGGTGGCGCATGCCTGTAATCCCAGCTACTCAGGAAGGCTGAGGCAGGAGAATCGCTTGAACCCGGGAGTGGAGGTTGCCGTTAGTCAAGATCGTGCCACTGCACTCCAGCCTGGGCAACAAGAGCAAAATTCGGTCTTAAAAAAAAAAAAAAAAAGAGCGATTAGTATTCTTATAAGAATAGATACCTGAGAGTTTGCTCTCTCTTTTTCTCTCACTTTTTCTGTGTGTGTGTGTGTGTGTGTGTGTGTGTGTGTGTGGTGTGTTTGTCATGTGGGGACATAGTGAGAAGCTGATTGTCCACAAGCCAGTAGGAGAGCCATTGCCAGAAACCTAATTGGCTAGCACCTTGATCTTGAATTCTTAGCCTCCATAACTCAGATAATAAATTTGTGTTGTTTAAGCCATCCAGCCTATGGTATTTTGTTATGACAGCCAATTCTCAGAGATTCTGGTTTGATAGTTCTTGAATGGGACATGGAATCTGAAATTTTAACAATAGTCATTACTCAACAAATTGATTTGCTGTGTTTAATTCAGTGGTGCCCTCAACAGTGTCTTTCTCTAGTGGCCACCAAATGCCCATTGTTCCTTCCAATGAAAAGACCTTCTGAAGGTGACTAGAAACAATCTAGTGCCATCCTTGAATTCTAGTCATATAAGTTGGACAGCTTCTTTTACCTCTCTGAGCATCATTTTCCTTATCTATAAAACAGTGACAATGCAAGATTGCTATCTGAAGAAAATAGGATATTATATGCAATGTTCCTAGCACATAATAGGAGCTCACTAAATGTTTTCTTTTCCTTAGTTACATCTGTTTTACAAGTCTGAAGCTTGATCTGTGTAATAGTACATTTCTTCATTATAACATGGGATCCCTGTTAGCATGCCGTTGATAAACAACATCTTTGTCTGAGTGATGTATTTAACGCTTTATGGCACCCATAAAAAGAAGAGGGCAACCTATCTGATTTGGTTTCCAGAGGAGCCAGATGAGGGAAACGAGATTTCTATAAAAACGAGGTTTTTATTTTAAAATGTTTGTGATCTATGGCACTCAAATTAAAAACCATAGAACCACTGATACATAGAATGCCACTTTAAAAAATTAACTTTTTAAAGTGTGGAAATCTTTGTCACAGCTCTGCGTATGTGGCCCACCACTCTTTGTCGTCATCCCAAAACTTTGATTCCTTTTTTAACATAGAATAAGATATTTTATTTCCTTTTCAATTGTTGCTGTTGTGTTTAGTTCCTTGTTCTTGGTTATAAAAATGAATGTATAGAATCTGAATTAAAAATTAACATGTAGACTTTTAAATATTTCTCTCTGGTAAAATAAAATGTAAAACAGGAACTAAGTCGCACGTCTCAATTACTCTCTCTTATGTGCCAAGGCAGTCCTTAGACTTCCTTTTCATTAGAAAAACTGTGGTACAGAATGGATAGCTTAAGTAACTAGATTTGTGCTCATTTGACATTTCCCATAGAGACCAGTAAGATGTGTCTTAATCATTGGTATTTGGTTGTAAGTTAACATAGTACCCCAACTAGTTGAGTGAACAGTTTTCTAGTGTGACAGAATAAATGCGGAAAGAAGAGGTTCATTGTAGCAACAAGAATATGTGGAAAAAATGACTTGGCATTTTATCATATCATTGTATATTGATTTGTGCCTCAAAAAATTCAATGTGCTTTCCTGCAGCTGTGATGTTCAGTTTGCTTGAAAGTCTATAGAAAAGACTTTCAAAAAGGATCTAGTTTTAAGGCTTGCTTTGAAGGCAATGGATACATTTTTATTATTGCCTGCAAATCCATCAAAACATTGAGACTTCTGTAATTATTGATTTTTAGTGCATAAGCCAAAATAAATTGATACAACGTTGTCTGTATTTAGAACTATTTTTTGTGGGAAAAACTACAAATCCTCTTACATGCTAAAACACTTTGATTTATTAACATGTACTATTTAGAGAAGATGAGTTGAAGAGCTATTTAATTAAAATTGTTGACTCAGCCTATTGATATGTTCCAATATTGTAAATGTCTTTTGAAGAATTTGTATTTTTGTACCTGTCATACCTTTCTGTTATACAGGCATATCTGGATTTATTGTGTTTCACCTTAGGGTGCTTCACAGATACTGTGTTTTCAACAATTTGAAGGTCACGGCAACCCTGCATTTAGCAAGTCTGTTGGTACCATTTTTTTCAGCACCTGTGCTCAGCTCACATCTCTATGTCACTTTTTGATAATTCCTGCAATATTCCAATCTTTTTCATTATGGTTATATGTGTTAGGGTTATCTGTGATCAGTAATCTCAGATGTTACCATTGTCCATTGTTATTATTTTGAGGCACCAGGAAATGCACCCATATAAGACAGCAAACTGACTCAATAAATATTATTGAATTCTGACTGCTGTACCCACCAGCCATTTGCCATCTCCCTCCCTCTCCTGGGCCTCCCTCTCCTGGGCCTCTGTATTCCCTGAAACAAAACAATATTGAAATGAAACCAATTAAGAATCCTACAATGGCCTCTAAGTGAAAGGAAGAGTTACATGTCTCTCACTTTCAATAAGAAGAAATGATTAAGCTTAGTAAGGAAGGCAGGTCAAAAGCCAAGATAGGTCACAAGCTAGATCCCTTGTGTCAAACAGCCAAGTTGTGAATGCTAAGGAAAAGTTCTTGGAAGCAATTAAAATGCTACTCTAGTGAACACATGAATAATTAGAGAGCAAAACAGCCCTATTGCTGATATGGAGAAAGTTTGAGTGATCAGGATAGAAGATCAAACAAACCACAACATTTTATTTAGCCAAAGCCTAATCCAGAGCAAGCCCCTAACTCTTTTCAGTTGTGTGAAAGCTGCGAGATATGAGGAAGCTGCAGAAGTTTGAAGTTAACAGGGGTTGATCCATGAGGTTTAAGAAAAGAAGCTATCTCCATGACATAAAAGTACAGGGTGAATCAGCATCTTCTAATATAGAAGCCACAGAGAGTTATCTGTAAGACCTAGTTAAGGTACTAATGAAAGTGGCTACACTAAACAAGAGATTTTCCGTGTAGACAAAACAGCCTTAGGTTGGAAGAAGATGTCATCTAATACATTCATAGCTAGAGAGAAGAAGGCTAGGCCAGGCTTCCAAGCTCCAAAGGTAAGGCTGACTCTCGTTAGGATGTAATGCTGCTGGTGACTTGAAGTTGAAGCCAGTGCTCATTTACCATTCTAAAAATGCTAGGGTCCTTAAGAATTATGCTAAGCCTACCCTGCTGTGCTTTAGAAATGGAACAACAAAGACTGGATAACAGCAAATATGTTTACACATGGACTACTGAATAACAATATTCAACCTCACTGTTGAGACCTACTGCTCTGAAAAAAAGATTCCTTTCAAAAAATTATTGCTCTCTGTCAATGTACCTGGTCACCCAAGAGCTCCGATGGTGATGTACAGGAGGTTCATGTTGTTTTCAAAGCTACTAACACAACATCCATTCTACAGCCCTTAGATTATAGAGTAATTTCAACTTTCAAGTCTTATTATTTAAGAAATATATTTGTAAGATTGTAGCTTCCCCAGATAGTGATTCCACTGATAAATCTGAGAAAGTACATAGAAAACTTTCTGGAAAGGATACACCATTCTAAATGCCATTAGCCACATTTGTGGTTCGTGAGAGCAGGTCAAAATATCAGCATTAACGGGAGTTTGAAAGAAATTGGTTTCAACCCTTATAGACGAGTTTGAGGGGTTCAAGATTTTAAGGAGGTAACTGCAGAGGTGGTGGAAATAGCAAGGAAACTAGAATTTGAAGTTGAACCTGAAGATGTGACTAAATTGTTGCAATGTCATGATGAAACTTGAACGGATGAAGAGTTATTTCTTATGGATGAATAACGAAAGTGGTTTTTTGAGATGGAATCTACTTCTAGACTCTATCTTTCCAATTCCCGGGAACATTGTTGAAATGACAACAAAGGATTTAGAATACTACGTAAACTGAGTTCATTAAAGCAGCAATAGGGTTTTTGAGATAATTGACACCAATTTTAAAGAAGTTCTATTTTGGGTAAAATGCTATCAAACAGCATGTCATGAGAGATACAGAGAAATATTTTATCAAAGGAAGAGTCAGTTGATGTGGCAAACTTCACTGTTGTCTTATTTTAAGAAATTACCAAAGCCACCCTAACCTTTAGCAACTGTGACCCTGATCAGTTAGCAGCCACTAACATTGAGGCAAGACCTTTCACTAGCAAAAATATAAAAATGTACTGAACACTCAGACCAATAAAGTATTTTTAAATTTGTTTTAGACATAATGCTACTGCACACTTAATAGACTACAATATAGTGTGAACATAACTATTATATATATGGGAAAAACCCAAAATCTGTGTGATTCACTTTATTGCAATATTTGCTTTACTGTGGTAGTATGGAACTGAACTTGCAATCTCTGATGTATGCCTGTATACACAATCTGATCTATATCCTCCAAAACAAGTAAGGTTTTCCTTGACCTCTGCTACATATAAAAAAAGTTCACTTACATTACCAATTGAGTAATAGCCTTATTATAAGATGCTGTCAGTGAATCACAAATAATTAGTAGGTAGCTTAGAAATCAAATGAAAAATAGGAATTTTTCTCACTTTTGCAATGTAATCATTAATATTATGTGATCATTTACTTAATCAGACTTTTAAAATCATATATCAACAGTTATTTATATGGTAATGGTATCAGCCAACTAAAAAATGTATTAAAGGCACTGATTTAATCATTTTTAATAGGAATAAAATTATAATGAAAATCATTCTGACAGAAGTGTTTTTAACAATTAAATTTCCCTGACAAATGCATTTGAAAGTACAGCTTAACTTTTTAGAGATATTGTATGAGCTATAATCATTTTGATTCAACCCTACTGAGTCCATAGCATATGCTGGACACCTGGGCGAGTATGGGTATGTAATGGGCTCTTCACCAAGGAATTTCCCTGTATTGGAAACTGAAACTGGCAGACATGTCTAGTGAGGGCCTTAAGAGAGGCAAAAACAGATTACTCTGGGAGCCAAAGTAGAGAGAGGCCATATTTGGGCAACAGATAAATAAAATTCATCAGGTAGGTGACATTTGAAATGAACGTTAATGTATTCATAGAGTTTTTACAGATACAGATGAATGTGATGGCTGAAGAAATATTTCATGCCAGAAATATTTTCTCTAACAGATTTACAGATCTCTTGGAGGTATTCATATGTTCCTATAGAAACAATGCTCTTTCTTCAGATGAATCTTTTATGGAAGTATTATGTATGAAACTTGTTGAAGTGCATTAGTTTCAATCGAGAAGGATGGAAAGCTGGTGATCTGGATTCTCCATCTTTATTTTTTTCATGATTTGCCATGACTAACTGTTTTCTTTTTTAATCAGCCTCTCTGTGGATATATGCTATAATTTGAAATAGCAGATTTACATTATAATATAATCATTGGAAAGCATAACAACTATTGTTTTAATAATAAATAGATATTACAGAGAGTAAAGCTAAAATCAATCGTCTTGGCCCATAGGAATATATGAATCTGCAGTTCAGTGCTTTTTAAGGAGAAGGAAAGGATTCACTACAAGAGAAGGTTTTTATTGAAATCTCCAGAAAGGCATGAGATTTTTTCTTTTTTGCATTAACACAGAGGACTTATAAAAATGGGTAACATTGAGGTCAAATGTAACTCTAGGTGAGTAGTGGGAAATGTGACAGAAATGATAATTTGGGGCCATGTTCTAAAGTCCTGGGTTGCTAGACTGCCACATGTGGTTGAACAGGTTGTATTCTGCACGACTCAAGGATTTGTCATTCACAGCTGGCTATTGCACAATGTTGAATGGAGCATCATGAGCAGCTGTTCAGGATGACCATGCAAGTGAGGACATTGCACTTAATTTGGATAGCAATAGAAAACCTTTGAATTTTCTTTCAAGCCTGAGCATTATATAATTGCTGTTGAACCTTAAGGAAATTAATCTTTCAATGTTTTGTAAAATGGCTCATATTCCAGAAACATGAATGTAGAATATCCCAAATGTCTGTTAGAAGAATGAACTGTGTTTGTAATTTTTTAGAAGAGAGAGAGAGCAAAGCAAAAATGACTCACACATTTTCTCTAGTGCCCAGAAGAATTGCTGTACCTTGATAGAAATAGAAAGGTCATGTTTATGGTAATTGGGACAGGGTAAGAGATAGAATTAATTCTATATTGAACATTTCAAATTATGATGAATAATTTTGTTATACTAAATGGACAATTGGCTATACTTCTTCCTCTGAGGCTTTATTTTTCTTTGTTTTTTCTCCTCTTTCAGGCTGAAGTCATCGATGTGAGTTATGGAATGGCAGATGATTTAAAAAGGATTAGGAAAATAAAAAACGTAACAAATCAGATCGCACTCCTGAAATTAGGAAAATTGCCACTGCTTTATAAGGTTGGTCCAGTGAATGTTATTCAGTGGTTTGGTCAATATTTTGCCTTGTTTTGTTGGAATTATATGCTTTTGTGAGTGTGGAGTGTGTGTGTGCATATAGGTGTGTGAGAGAGAGAAGGGGAGAGGAAGAAAGAGAGGCAGAGAGTGTCACAGAAAGATGGCTTTTCCACATTAGAACATTTTAATTTAAGATATTTAAGAACAATATATTTATGCCCTTATTTCTTTAGAGAGAAAATACCTTAAGTCAGGTAACACTGAGTTTGTGGGACCTTAATAAAATTGGCATACTCTTCATAATGGTACCTATCTGGAATAGTAAAAAATGAGAACCACCCTGTGTTCATCTTATGACATATGTGAAACTTCTAATCTATTATCAAATGGACTAATTATCATGTTCTCTATGTTAGACAAGTATCTAGATGATTTACACCCTTTAGTGATTATTTTGTCAACTATACAACTACAGTTACTAACTGTGATCAGGATTTTAATTAAAATATAATTGCTAAGAGTAGCAGAATTTTGATTTATTTTATTTGAATGGAAGTTTATTAACACTCATCCACAGATACACTTATGTAATTAAGTTTCTGATGATGAACCAGCACAATAGACAGCCACTACTGCTCATTCTTGCTTCATTTCCTTTTTCTATTTAAAAAAAAAAAAAAAAAAAATTAGTGTAGTTATGTCAGCAAAACTCTCTGCTTCTGAAGATATATTGGATTTCTCCTCATTCAACCTTAAATGAGCTTTGCTAACTCCCAGGTCCAAAAACATTTCCAGGAATCTCTTGGCACACTCTATTAGGAAACTAGAGAACATCCTATGTCTGTTTTTTTTTTATTATCTTCCAATAATACTCTTATCCTTAAATCAGTGTTTAATAGTAGATTAGATGGGCCAGAATTTTAAGATACTCTTGAAAACAGAATATACAGTGATACTAAATTTTTGCTGGATAATTTTTAATATGTATTAAAAGCCTTAAAATAATCATATTTTAACCCAGAATTTCCTGTTCAATCAATGTATTCTAAGGTTGGGGTCAGGGTGGGGGGGCACACAGAGGTGATAAACATAGTAATGCCCGATGATGTGACAAAATATTAGAAATGATATATACATCCAATTTAGTATTTGAAAATCATGCTGCCTTTATACTGATTTTCTGAATATGCTATAACAATTTGATGTAAAGGAGAATATTTAATGACATGTAAAAATCCTCATAAATCAAAAAAAAGATCAAGAGAACATTTATAATAATTACAATACTAGTGATTTTATTATTGCCTATGAAGGTAACATTATTAATGACATGTGCTAGATAATTTTCTAAGCCTTTAAAAAATGTATTATATTAATCTTCAAAATAATCATATTGTTGAGGTAGGGACTATTATTATCTTCAGATTATAAATGGAGTAAGACACAAAAAGAAAAAGTGACTGGCTCAAAGACAAAGAGCTAGTTAAATGAAACGATGGGGCCAGGCGCGGTGTCTCACACCTGTAATCCCAGCACTTCTGGAGGCCGAGGTGGGCAGAGCACGAGGTCAGGAGATTGAGACCATCTTGGCCAACATGGTGAAACCCTGTCTCTACTAAAAATACAAAAAATTAGCCAGGCGTGGTGGCGGGCGCCTGTAGTCCCAGCTACTTGGGAGGCTGAGGCAAGAGAATCGCTTGAACCCGGGAGGCAGAACTTGCAATGAGCCGAGATCACGCCACTGCACTCCAGCCTGGGCAACAGAGGGCGAGACTCCGTCCCTCCGCCCCCACCACCAAAAAAAAAAAAAAAAAAAGAAAGAAACAATCAGGCTTTCAACCCAGGCAGTCTCATTTCAGATCCCGTCTTGAATGTGTATGTATACTTGCCTGTGTGGGGTGGAGTGGTGGGAGCTAGAATACATCAATAGATAGAGAGATAATTAAGAGGCTAAATTAGAATTTTTAGCTAGGATTCCATGATAAAGAAACGTGAACATTTCAAAGTTAGCTACCAAGCATCAATATTTTAAAGGAAATAATGTAAAATAGGTTAGACTATTAAACCTATCACTCATATCTGAGATAGAAAAGGTTTGGAGATTGTGGGGAGAGGATTTTATGAAGAGGAATTTTGGAGAGATTTATGATAAGTTCAGCTGCATGCCTGGTGACTGGGGCTTCAATGGAACCACATGGAGGGCTTAATGTATGTCCCCTGCAATGTGGGGGACGTGATAGAATGGTGTCTGATTTATCTGAGAAGCCTAAAGGTAAGAGATGGGTTTACTAAGCATTTAATAAATAAATACAAAAATAAATTATCTGTGTTGACATTGGCCTGCATCCCATGAGTAGGCAGCAGAAAAATAAATATGCATGCGTTTCCCATGGGTCAGTCATAAGCACATGTGACAGAGAGCCAGTGTGGTCTGCCTTCACGCCTGTACTGAAATTGCCACTTGTAATGGTGACTCATTAGGCAGTGACCAGCCAGATTAAAGCGGCATTTGTCTACATCAAGTAAATTGCAGTAGGTACTGCTTCAGTTAATTCACAAATGCCCAGGAGATCCAAAGGCAGCTTTAAACATCTGTGAGCCCCAGAACGTGTGGAGCTTCCATAGGACAAGCACAGTAACATAAGAAAAATCCTACCCACTGAACCTCTAATTTCTAAGCCTTCTCCAACAACAGATAGGTAAGAGTATAGTTAATACATTGGGAAGGAAATAACAGACCACACCCCTTTCCCCAAAAGCAGACCTGAGCTGGTGGAGGGGCAAGAAGATACGATTTTAAATCAAGAGTAGAATTTTGATCATGATGAGACTAGGAAACCTAATTACTTATTTAAGACTCTGCTAACTCAAATCAATTATAGGACTTTTATTATTAACAATAGTCAGAGGAATAGTGGGACAGTCCAACTTTTTATGTAGGTGTTTCAGGAAAAATGAACCTCTAGGGATACTTTTAAAAGAGTAATGGGAAAGAAAGTTCTATTGCTTTTGGTACATTACATGAATTTTCCTTGTTCAACCTACCAGTGACAAAAATGTGTGTGGTAGGGGCCAATTATATAACTGGTTAGATAGAATTATGGATAATTTCTACTTTTCCGTTATATTTTGCATTTCTAAATGTTCTATAATTGTTGTGTATTTATTTTGTATACAGAAACAAGCTTTTGAAAATTCAGGTTAAAATACAGCAATTATAATTTTTTCTAACCTGGCCGGTCATGGTGGCTCACACCTGTAATGCCAGCACCTTTGGATCACGTAAGCCCAGGAGTTCAAGACCAGCCTGGCCAATATGGCAAAACCCTGTCTCTACCAAAAATTCAAAAATTAGCTGGGTGTGGTGGTGCGCACCTATAATGCCAGCTACTTGGGAGACTGAGGCACGAGCATCGCTTGAACCCGGGAGGTGGAGGTTGTAGTGAGCCAGGATTTCACCACTGCACTCCAGCCTGGGTGACAGAATGAAACTCCATTAAAAAAAAAAATTCTAACTGTGCTCAGAGGTCAAATACTGAAAATCTTCACCAGTATATGATGGATTAAAACAAAGCAAGTTTCTTTGTATTTGCTACAGATAATATTTACATTATAAAACCCTTTGACTATATTTACAAAGTAGTGAGTTAGTGGTTTATCTGGAATAGGGCACAGCTATAAAGATCCTGATATCATTTTCCCTGATAATTTTCCTTCTAGGCCTATTAAATAAATTTAAAAAAAATTTCTGTGTAGAATGCCCCTTGAGACAGAGCCTTGCCACAAACTTGGCATTGTCTTCTAGAAAGAGGAGATAGGAGGTCCTCTCTGCAACCCTGTAATTTCCATTCTAGTCATCTCTTCTGTTTTCTGTGGATTGTCCCAGAGATTTGGGGGAACTCATTGCTGCTGTATCTTTCAATATACATTCCATTGGTAAGAAAAAGGAAGCATGTATTAAACATAGTTATGCAGCATGATTACGGCCCAATTTGCTTCAACTGTCCATCAAATATATTCTGGAGCTAAAATTCAGAAATGAGGTAAAATGTAATTCAGCTGGGTTGAAAAAGGCAGAAAACCAACAGACTTCTTTATGAATCAACAGTTAGTCATGATTCTAAATGAACATTTTGTCTGGGAACATGCAGCTGAATGAGTAAAGAGAAGTTCATTTTATTTTGGCTGTGCAGTAGTTACTAAATCAGCGTTTAAAAATGAATTTGGGAGGGAATCTCTACATCCGAGCTAGGGAGGGCAAAGGGGAAGCATAATTATGATATTAAATTATTAGATTATCTCTTGAAATGAGGAGAAAAATAATCTGCAGTCATGAAGGAGGAGATCTCATTGGTTTGATCATAAATACTAAGAATGTATGTAATTTAATCTCTAGGAAGAGATTGATGAGAAAATCCCAACATTGCAGGGTAGGAACTATGAACTGCAAATGGCTTTCTGATATGTGCTGTGAAATCCACATCTTGCTGCAGAAAAAGCATCGACCAAGTTCCCCAGTTATAGTTGTGCTAGTTTCCTCAAGCTGAAGACTTAGAGGAAAGGCTTTAGGTTCATTTTAGCTACGTATTTATAACAGTTTATTTTTTGGGAGAGTGCTTTAAATATTTAAACTTTTAGACAAACATTAATTCGTCACAATGTACTCACATTTCTCTCAGTGACAACCTGACACATAGTAAAACAGATACCGAGACCCTCACAAAATCCCAAACTGCAGAATAGCACTCTAGTATGGAAATTAATTTTATAAAATTCAATGAAAGCATTTGACTTTCTACTTAGGGTCATTTCTACCAGAAGCAATAATAACAAAAAGTTACTGTGTACTACAAGACAACTAGAAATCAAGGAAATCCCTCTGAAACATGGAGGTTGGGCTGTTGTCTAAATCCACAGTACATATCAACCCCCTTTCCTGTAGAAGCCAATTTTGTGTGCAGTGAAATTACAGATGAATATATATCTTGATTAATTATCCATTTGTGCATAATTAAATTACACAAAAAATCCAAAAACTCTATTGCTTTTTTTTATAAATGCAGTAATATGCATCACTACCTAGTACTTTCTGTAATATACTAAGATATTAGTCAATATTAGCTAGTTTTTTCATTATTCTTATATACTTTTTTATCCTTATAATGACAATTTTAAAGGGCCAGACATCCAAATGATTTTGTAGTTTCCTACAAATGAAACATTTTTGTGTATTCATCAGATAAGATTTATATTTTAATATAAATAGAAACTAGTATAAGCAAATGGCTTTTAGATATGTGACTTGACATCTACATATTGTTGTCCCTTATTGGGCCAGTGTATAACTTCAGCACTGCTTAAGTCCATAAAGCATGCTTAGACAGACAAGCCTTTGGAAAGAGCCTGGAGGAAAATGAGAGATAGGAAATGAGAATTGGTATTTGTTTGTACTTTCAAGTAAATTGCTTCTTGCAAATTACGGAGGAGTAGCATTATTTAAAGAAAAGCAGACTTGACACTCTGAATTTCAAACACAACTGAATCCAGAAAATAATTACATTTAAAATATTGAGTTAGAGGTTTAGTGAGAAAATATTTATATATATTGGTGATTTACAATCAATAGTTAATGAATGGACAATGGGAAGATCAATAAGAAATCCTCTAGTTTTGGCAGCTAAAGTTAATGCTGAGAAATATTACATTTTGATAACTTATTTTACATGAAGCATTTGCATACCTGTGATATTTGCTGAACTAAAAGTTTCATTTATTCTAGTTTCCTTTTTGTTTCCCTTAAGAACATTTGTTCAATCCAAATGATAAATGCAGTCAAAAGAATATTGTTTTATTTATTCTAATTATTAGAAACCAACATTTGCTCTACTTTTCTTGCGGTAGAAGTTGGTGGAACTCTATTTTTTGTTTCCCAAAAATAAAATCTGTAGATGCATTTAATTAGTTAGCCTTAAAGATATAGGGTGCCTAATGCAATGGGCACAAAAAAGGAAATCAATATTTAACAGATAAAATATTCATGTTGTGTGAGTGTGTGTGTGTGTGTGTGTGTGTGTGTGTGTGTATGAGCTGTATGTATGAGCACTGATATGGCCTAATGTAATGAGGCAGTGGGGCCAAAAAGATAGGAAAGAAGAGAAAGACACCTTTCCTATTGAAGCTTTTGATACATCATAATTTTCCCTGGTATGAATGAACTGAAGAAATCTCTTTAAGTGACATTCTATGAATATTTTACATGAAAACAAATCTTTAATTCAGTGTCACAAATGATGTTTTTACATATGATCTGTATAGGAAGGCAAACTTGCCTCTTTTTTTATTAAGACAACTTTTGAAGACATTTTATGAACAAAAATGAAAAGCAAACACTATCTTGGTACTTTAAAATAACATGCTTGTTCACTGAATAATTTAATAAGGCACTTCTTACCTAATTCTCAGAAGTAATTGCAAAAAAAAAAAAAACAAAAAACAATGTCTCCATCTTTTATGATTCTAAGACTCCAGAGCTGCTCCATTTGTCATGGACAACATGGTCAGCACTAGAATACAAAATTGGAAAGTAATAGTTTAATGTTTTGAAAGCTAAATCTGCTGCTGTTTTCAAATCAGACTACTTTCTGTTTTCCAATGATGGAAGTAAATTATTTTTAAATGATTTAAACCAAATATTACTATATCTACAAAGGGTATTTTTTGTTGAGATACAACTTCAAACATGGGTTATAATATAAAGACTTAAGACTGTGTCATTATTCTGCAATTTAGCAATCAAACTTTAAAAAAGTAAATTTAGAGCAAGAATAACTGAAAGTTTCAACTTCTATTCCTGTTTTTAAAGTATTTTCCATGGCTTAAAACCAAATAAAAGTGTGTCTACGAATCTTCAAAGTCTGTCAAGAATTGAATGCATAATTTAGAAGTCATGCATGTGTTTTGCCTACATGAAAATATAATTTAATTGTACTTTTGAACCATTTGAAAATTACGACATCATAGCAAATGGCATCATGTATCAGAAGGTTGATTTTCGCATATTTCTTATT
Source organism: Homo sapiens (assembly GCF_000001405.40). Taxonomy (NCBI): domain Eukaryota; kingdom Metazoa; phylum Chordata; class Mammalia; order Primates; family Hominidae; genus Homo; species Homo sapiens. The sequence continues at coordinate 175,263,595 of NC_000003.12, forward strand.
GTAATATAGTTAGCATTCATAATCCCCATGTATGTATACAAAGTTAACAATATTAAATAAAGGTGCTGAGCATCTTGTTTTTCCTAATTAAATGTTATAAATTAAACAAAGTAAAATAGCAAGGAAGAGAGAGAGAAAACAGTGATGGAGAGATGAAGAAAAGAAGGGAGGAAGGGAAAGAAACAGCAGCTAATCCCTTCTATACAGTTCGCCCCCTAAAAGTACCCATGTTTCAGAAATATTTATATATATATTATATAGTACTCTAAAATTTAAAACAGTAAGCTCTAGCTATATTTTGGTCTAAACTGTTGGGCAATTACTTGGGCTTATCAATATAGATATCTGCTGTGGTGCTTTGTGGTAATACTGACCTCTTCTTTCACATTTCAGCTTTTCCCTCTTCCTCTGTATCTCGTTTAAAATGTCCATTTTTCCTCCTGTTGATAAGCTTCACAGCCCTTCCAATCTTCTGTACTGCTATCTGCTCAACTTGTAACTCATTTTAAATAGTGAAACACAGCATTGCAGGATGCAAGAATGGGAGAAACAAGCTCAATTTCAAGCTCTTCTACTTCATAGTTATGTGATCATAGAATTATTACTGAACCCCACTAAAGTCACACAAGTTTTTTCTTATTTTTTATTTTTTGGTTTTCAAAATCTCTACATTGATGACAAAAATACTCTCAATTCATAAGGTTGTGTGAAGATTAAATCTGAAAATGCATGCATGATAAATTCTTAATAAATATTAACTTTTATATATGAAGCCCTTAATATCTGTATGAGGTTCTAAAGAGAAAGGGCATGAATTTAATGATGGAGAAGTGTGACAGCTCACTCAAACATGCAAACCTAAACTGAAGATAATAATATACTTAATAAATCCATTACAGACAAAGTATTAGTCTCTCAAGACTGCACCTTTGTGTTATTCAGCACTAAGGATTGTGTTGGTGCTTTGTAGCGTAATTTGATCTTTGAGTTAAACAGAAAAAAAACTGAAGTCTTCAAATTGTTTTTGTGGAATAAAACAGATATAAATAAATGAATAAATTAATGTTAAAAATAAATATAACTTGACTTTAAATTATGGAGAAATATAAATAATGTCATAAGATGGTACATGCTTTAGATTTTTACATCCTTCAGTGTTTATTTTTATGCATATACTTTTTATTAAGGTGATGAAATTATATAATATTAGAAAAACAATATTTTTAAAAATTAGAAGTATATTACATTTATAGAATAGTTTTATTCTAATACACATTTTAATTTATTTTCCAAAGTTGAGATATCAAGTATGGTTCCCAAAAACCATATCACAAAATTGTGAATATCGTGTAATAGCCTACATCATAAAGTTGTGAAAAATAATTGAAATAATATAATACATGTAAGTACTCAACACAATGCCTGGCACATACTAAACATTCATCGAAAGTCAGCTGACATTTAATTTAATCATATGGAAAGATTTTATCAAGAACTATATTTTCTCCTTGGATTATATTTTCCTAGTGGTTACTATTCTATGGACTCAAAATGTAAGTTTTGTCATTTGCTAAATGGTAGAACCCCTGCTCTGTTTGTTTTAAGTTGAAACTCAGGACTTCAAGGCTTAGATTTATTTCCGGAATGGTTATGACATTGAAATTCTAGTTCATTGTTTTCTTATGTATTTCAGTTTACAATATCCTAAAACTGACTTTGTGATTTAGCATAGTTACTTTCATTTCTGCATTGATATTTCATAGGTAAGATGGTGCTTAAGAAACAAACAAATAAATAAACCCTTAATTCTATACCAATAGAGTTTTAAAAGAATTAACTTGAGGTCTAATTATTAGTCACTATATATATGGCTCTAAGTTCTCGCTCATTTTCTCTTTTTGTCTGACTGTCTCTTGATAAATATTGCTTAATTATTATTACTATCTTGCTTAAGAACACATTGCTAAGGAGCATTAGGCAGCAGTTTGAATTTTACTATCTGTTACTATAAAATATGTGGAGGCAGAATTAAATTACTTTTGGAAGGAAACATTATTGGAAATTTAATATCTGTTTGGGAAAAAAATACTTCTCCCTAAAACTTTTGTAATTAAAATTATAACTGCCCAACGTATATGGTTTTGAAATCAATCAATGTCTTATTTTTATAACAAATTAGCCTGTAATAAGCTATAAAAACTTAAATCTATACAAACAGAAAATATTTTCAATTGAACTTTGAAAACAATATGCACTCAATAAAATATTATTTTAATAAGTAACTGCTAATATATGTTAATTTATTATCCTCATGAATATTCATTAAATTGCTTTTTAACTGAAAATATATATTTGCTGTATTTATGCAAACACTATTGGGTTTATAGATCATATATATTATAGTTAAGAATAAAGCTTTTGTAGTTTTAATATCGAGCAGTTAAAAAAAGCCTTTATATTGCAGGTAAAAAAGGTACTTCTTATTTACTAGATTTGCATTTCAAAATTTCATTAAGTCTATGTAATTTTATTTTGTATATTTTCTCTCATATTGCATTTTAGAATACACCCGGTAATCTCATTTATTTTAAATATCTTATGAATTTTCCTAAATTAATATATTCATAGTTACTTGAATATTATAACCATCTAACATCTTAATTATTTAAATATTTTAATCATCTAATATTTAAATTTAAACATACAACACAAAATTTTAATCAATATTGGAATAATTTTACATTTTAAATCAATTTTTTATTAAAAAATTAGGAAAGGTCAGATTATATAATCTAGAAATATACATAGTACAATAGAAGACTTAAATTTTGCCTAATATTCATAATTAAGGAAGAACCACCAGAAAATCCTTTAGATAAAGTTATATTTATTCTTCAAGATTTAGTTCTAATTTCCCTTTTGTTTCAATCTAAATCTCATTACTTTGTTAGCTTGTTAAAATGACTATTCCCTACCATTCAGTGAAGAGCTAGTGTGCTTGGGCTTCATAAGTAGATAAAATACTCCTATTAAACTCCTTTTATAATTCTTATACAAAGATAATTTTCAGGAAGTTGTAGGGTAAATTTCGTCATATATAAACATGAGTCATAGAATGAAATTCAGAAATAACTCTTATAGTTCCAACAAGCCATGCTTGCCTAACATTTTTCCAATACCCACATTAATGATTGTCTTAATATAACTTCTTTGTTTATAATAATAATAGCATATCAATAATTAAATAATAGTACAACCTGGTGAAGGTATTATGGATATTAAAACACCTGTGATATAATCCAATATTGTATTCCTGTTCTGTTAAAAAGGACAATTTTGATACTTTGCTTTGTCTTACATTTTGGCTATTATCAAACCTTATGATTGGTTTTATAAATTTTAAAAGTTCAAAGCTTTCTTAGCTTTAGAGTAAAACTAGTAAAAAAAAAAAAGTGTGCTAATTGATCAATTAAAATTCAATTGGCCCTTCTTCCAATTATACTATTAATATAACAGGCAGGCAAGCATTGTTGTAGCTATTTCAAATCTTTCCTTACTGAGAAGTTTTCTGTGACTTCTACAGAAGGTTATAGGCAAAACATATATAAAAGTATTTTCCTTGTGGTTTTAAGAAAATCTTATTATGAATCACTAAATACGTAGGATTTTTCCTTTGTTTTGAGTGGCTTTATAAATTGTGTGCTCTAATTGATTATAAAACATGTAGCTCCAATCCAGTTTAAAAATAAGGAACACACCCTAATAAGGCAAATGCTTAGTTGTACCCAATTAAGTAATTTATTTTTTTTACCTCTGCATTCAGCTTTATAAAAACCCTCTGTTCACATTGCTAACTCAGAGCTCCCCAAACCTTCTTCAGTTTTGAGTAATGCCTGACTCATAGATCCTTTTATGCTCAAATAAACTCTGTTAAATTTATTTTGTCTAAAGTTTTTCTTTTTAAAAAGACAGTTTATATCAGGATAATACTAATTTAGTATGCTTCACATTGGAAAATGGGTGAGAATATAATATCTGGGGTGATGGGAGTGGGGGCAAAAAGAGGTACCTAGAGACATTCTTTACAGTTCTGACATGAGTGGTCTTCATGTGTACATTTGCATCACGTGTACATGAGAGGTCTCCCTGTCCACATTTGTTTATACTTAAAATGAATTTCCAACCTCACATCCCATGAGTAGAGAATCTGAACAATTATATGGGATTTGAGTCCCAGCTCTACTATTTAATTGCTGTAAGTCAGTGGTCAAACTTTTTAAACATTCTAAGACTTCATTTTGTCCTTGTAAAACCAGTGTAATGATAGTGTTGTCTTCATATCACCTAGCCTTTAGTAAATGCTCAATAAACATTTATTATATTGTTATTGTTTTGTAACCATGGTAAGGAACAGTTCCTACTTTCACTGAAGGTGTTTTAAAACATAGTTACTTGAATAATACAGGCATGCATCACTTAACAAAGGGGATACATTCTCAGAAATGCCTCATTAGATGATTTCGTTGTTGTTGTTGGTGTTGTGCTGGTATCATGGAGTGTACTTAGACAAACTTAGATGGTGTAGCCTACTGCGTATCTAGTCTATAAGGTATAGCCTATTGCTCCCAGAATACAGATATTGCCATGCTGAATACTGCAGGCAATTATAATGTAGTAGTAAGTATTTGTGTATCTAAACATCTCTAAACATAGAAAAAGTACAGTAAAAATATGATATAAGAGACAAAAACTGGTATACCTGTATAGGGCACTTAGCGTCAGTAGAGCTTGCAGGACTGGAAGTTGCTCTAGGTGTCAGTGAGTGAGTGGTGGGTGAATGTGAAGGCCTAGGACCTTATTAAACACTACTGTAGACTTTATAAACACTTTACAATTAGACTACAGTATATTTGTTTACAAATATTTTTCTTTTTAATAATAAATTAATCTTATGTTACTATAGCTTTTTTACTTTATGAACTTTTTACTTTTTTAAACTGTTCAACTCTTGTAATTAACACTTAGCTTAAAACGCATTGCACACCTGACAAAAATATTTTTGTTTATATCCTTGTTCTATAGAAGTCCTTTTCTATTTTTAAAATTTTATTTATTGTTTTATTTTTTAAACTTTTTGGTTAAAAACTAAGAAACACAGACACTTTAGCCAAGGCCTACACAGGGTCTGGATCAGTATCACTGTCTTCCACCTCCATGTCTTGTCCCACTGGAAGTTTTTCAGGGACAGTAACATGCATGGAGCTGTCATCTCCTATGATAACAATACCTTCTTCTGAAATGCCTCCTGAAAGATCTGACTTGAGGTTGTTTTACAGTTAACTATTTAATTTTTTTTTTTTTTTTGAGACGGTCTCCCTCTGTCACCCAGGCTGAAATGCAGTGGCATGATCTCAGCTCACTACAACCTCTGTCTCCCAGGTTCAAGCGATCCTCTTGCCTCAGCCTCCCAAGTAGCTAGGATTACAGATGTGTGCCACCATGCCTGACTAATATTTGTATTTTCAGTAGAGACGGGATTTCACCATGTTGACCGGGCTGGTCTTGAACTCCTAGCCTCAAGTGATCCATTCCCCTCAGCCTCCCAAAATGCTGAGATTACAGGTGTGAGCCACAGCACCTGACCAAAATTTATTTTATATATAAGTAGGAGAAGTACACTCTAAAATAGCAAAAATATACATAGTATAGTAAATACACAAACCACTAATATAGTTGATTATTATCAAGTGTGTACATAATTGCATGTGCTATACTTTTATACAATTGGCAGGGCAGTAAGTTTGTTGACAGCAGCATCACCACAAACATGTAAGTAATATGTTGCACTACAACGTTAGGACACTCTGATGTCACTTGCTGATAGGAAAATTTCAGCTCCGTTATAATCTTACGTGACCGCTGTTGTGTACGGGATCATTCCTTGACCAAAATGACCTGTGCGGAGCCACGACTTTGTCTGTATGACGCTAGTTTACTTTCAGATACACACTCTCAGGTAAACACTCCTTATCTTCCTAAAAATTCCTGTATAAGTAGGATGGTCACTGCTGTATGGTAAGTAACTGCTTCTCAGGGAGTTTGAATGTCTTATCCAATGTTGTACATTTATTTTTCAGAGAGCTAGTGCTGTTATTCCAAACCTAGGGCTCTTTATGATCCTCGCAGTTTGTTTATTTATTTGTGTTTATGAATAAATATTTAAGATAGCTTCTCTCAGTATTAGCACCATTGTGCCTTCAATCATGGTTCTTTACTACCAAACAAATATGTTTTCAGATTACTTTCACATGGTTCAGAATGAGAGAGATACACAGAGAAAGATAAAGGAAATGTAAGAAAATTAATAACTGGTGAAGTCAGGTAATAAATATGTGAGAATTTATCATACTATATTTTTCATTTCTATTAAAATCCTTAAAATAAAAATTTTCAAAATAAATAAATGTGGGGGGAAAAGCAGCCAGGATTCCCAACAACTGCCTGAAAATGCCTCTAACCATTTTAGCATTAATTTAGCTTATTTGCTTCCCCCATGGGAGCTGATTGAGTGGTTACAATACATGCTTTCAATTTGGACAAGATTTCTCATTTATGTGGAGAGTGTTTCAGTCCACTTCTGCCCTTAGTCAATCAAGCATACTAATCAGAGGATTCAGACTCACCAATTTAGCTGTCCAAAGCCCAACTTGACTTAAGGGGTGAAAAATATCACTTGATATTCTCCCTGCAGAGTATGGTAAAAATCAACTAGTAGGTTGGATATGGTCATTACGGTTAAATCACTCTTCATCCAAACTGACTGATTTTTTATATTTTTATCAGATTACTGACAGCCAGGGAGACATAGCCTCAGGCACCTAAACAAAAGAATGCTGAATGTGAATTGCTGTTGAATTTGTTCCCAACCAGAGTGCTGGTGAAACCACAGGGCAATTGTATATCGGAGCTCATTTATTATGAGCAAAGAGTTCTCATTAACTTCTCCGGGAAAATGTTGCCATTAAATCTTATCTTGAATGAGAAGAATTTGTAACTTGAAAATGTTTATGAATATTTCATAAGAATCGTCTTAGGGTGCGTGCTTGTGTGTGATAGCCTGGCAAAGGTTGACAGATATGTGGAATACTGTAATGACTTGATGGATGCATATGGAATGTTTAATGGAAAAAGTGAAAAGTGCCTGCTGGGCCTCTGTAAACCTCTTCCAGTATAGTACTGATTTTACTGTGCTGTCAACAAAATCCTCACAAAAAGAAATAGTTTGTGAGTAAATGAATTGAAAATGACAGGATTATTTTATTGCACTAAATAGGCCTATAAGAAATATGTTTGGGATTAAGGGTTAGTTTTTCATTCTGTATTTATTTTTATTAAAACACATTTTAAAAATTCATATATGTATAAAGGAGTTCTTAATGAATAGGCATGCACATTTACTTACTGCTTTGATGTCTCAAAATCCCTGAGGAATTTCACCAAGTTTCACAGTAACAGGGGGATATGAGTAGTTTGGCAATAGAGCAGCAAAGTCTATGAGAATCATAAGGATATCAAAGAAGAAAACAAAAGTTACTGATTTAATCTTAGAGAAAGAAAAAGATATACAAAAGTGGAAAAATAATTTTTTCCCAAGCATTGTTTATTGGTAGATTATCAAGTTTGGTTTGGTTTGCTCTATTTTAAAATGATAGAATAAATTTAGAAATAGATTTAAAAAAAATTGATGGATTAGGAAAACGTGAATTATTTAATTGAGAGTTTTTAAATCTGTTACAAAAAAAGCCTGAGAAGAAAGTCAAGCACAGTCTTCATGCACATGAAAGAGTATTTGTGGGTTATAAAATTAGGACCTTTTCCAATTTTTGCAAAAGTTAAAGCTATAAAATAGGCACTTAGGCCGGTGTGGTGGCTCACATCTGTAATCCCAGCACTTTGGCAGGCCGAGGTGGGTGGATCACCTGAGGTCAGGAGCTCGAGACCAGCCTGGCCAAGATGGTGAAACCCCATTTCTACTAAAAATACAAAAATTCGCCGGGTGTGGTGGCGCACGCCTGTAATCCCAGCTACTCAGGAGGCTGAGACAGGGCAATCATTTGAACAAGGGGGGAGGCAGAGGTTGCAGTGAGCCGAGGTCGTGCCACTGCACTCCTGCCTGGGTGACAGAGTGAGACTTCGTCTCAAAGTAAATTAAATTAAATTAAAAAGCCGCCACTTAAATTGTGCAAAGTATATTAAGATTACCCATAAATAATCTTATAAAATAAGACTGATTAAATACTGGAAAAACTTCCAAAGATGGCTGTCCCTGTCTGTTTTTAGAAATTCTAGAATATCTAATGAATTATATAATATTTCCTGATTCCTTTTAAAATTAATTAGGTATATTTAGTATATGTTGCATACTAGCCATCCACCCTTCTCTTTAGATCACGTTAGCCCCTGGTAAGAAGAAAACTTCCAAACAAAAAGTAAGAAGCCCAGAACGTTACCACATATTAGTGATGGTTTTGTGACCTAAGAGACTAAGGAGTTTGTCATTTTTAGACATCGATGGACTAATTCAATTCATTCCAGTAAGAGAGAAGATGTTAGACATTTTCATTTAACTTATGGCAAATTCTATACTTTTTAAAAAATCTGCTCCAGAAATGCATCTGTCTAACAAGCATCTTTATTTAAAAGAAACAAAGAAAATTTTGTTGGTATTTTGTTAAGAAAATGAGTTTATCATATTAAACTCCCAAGAAAATTATGTGAAGTGAGTATTATTCTTTATTTTAAAAATGAGGACTGTGTAGGTCTCAAGGAATCTTTGTGACAGAGTTAAGATTAATTGGTTTAGTGGAACTGATTACCATAGACCCTGATTTCTGTTAATAGCCATGTTTATCATCTTAATGTGAAATTTGCTTTAAGCAATTTATTCAATCACACAAATGTATGATGCATTGAACCGGCTACATTTGACATCAGATAAATATTGAGGTTTGAGAGGCTCACTTATGCTATAATATGTCACCCCAGGTACAGCCCTCTCTATCCCACAAAATAGTTTAAATTATTATTTTTTAATGTAGACAATAAATTTGAAAAGATTTGAAAATCATATAATATACTTCCCATTTCTCATATCAAATGAGATAATTCTGGGTCTACAAAAACCTGAAGCTGTAGGTTATTTAATCTGTTATCTTGGGTTATTTATCTGACTTAAGGTAAGGAACCTGATATTTTACTTTTAAGTATAACCTTTTCTAATAGAAGGGAAAATCAAAGATTAAAATAGTTGTAGCAAAAATAAATATAATTATGGCAATATAGCAATAACATATTAATGGCAATAATAACATGCAGATAAACTACAAATCAAGATAAAAGGAACAAAATCCGATTTATATTTAATCTTGAGTATTTTTCATTGATGTACTAAATATTTAGTCCATTTAAAATCAAGTTTATGTAATTTTAGAGTCCTATTTAATTATTTTAATATATGTTTCATTTCTAATTGCAAAACATTAGGTTTCATGGAAGCAACATTATTTATAATTTGCCTCTAGGTTTATGAATATATATGAACATGAATGCTTATTGTAGGTTGCAATATAAGTGTTTCATAGAATGCTGCAGTTGTTTGTGTATTTATGTTCTCTTACAATTTATCTCCACACATATGCCTACAGACATGACAAATTGACCTTCCTTATTCACCAGATATTAATTTGGTAGCATATTTGCAAGTAACCAAGGCAATTTATCTTTCTACAAGTATTTCATTTTAAAGTGTTCTATTATAATGAAAATATCTTATTCTGAACCAATACCAAGGATTTTTCAATTGCTACTCTAGGTTACCTTCCATGTTAGTATCTTCCATTCTTCATTCATTTAGTAAAGATTACCAACAGAGTTTATGTATTATACGTTCTTAAATTTAATACTAGAAATTAAATACTTAAATACTTTAATTCTTCGATTTTAAGATAATAAAAAGGTAAAACTTGCAAAAATCAAATTGTTGTTTAAGGAAATAGAAAAAAAATGACAATTTATTCTCTTTTAACCCTAACGTAAGAGTATTTCATAAAGAATATGTGTGTGCATGTGTGTGTGTGTGCGTGTGTGTGTGTGTGTTAAATTATATTTTAACCACATTTTGTTTTAGATATACATCTATTATGGATAAATAGGTGGTTTTTATTATTTTCTCCTTTTTGCATTTTGGTTTATTCAAAGTAACTTACAAAAGAACATGCATTGCTGTTACAGTTTTTAAATTTTTTAACAAATTAAAATCGTTAAGTTTCTTAAATAAGAGACATTTCTTTGTTTTTTTTCAATGTTTTAAGTAAACTGTTTTTTGATTAATGCAGTTAAGTAGAAATGTTTCACAAAATATGAATAATAGCATATAATTTTGTATTAATCTGTTCTCATACTGCTAATAAAGAATAGGCTGGGTAATTTATTTATAAAAGGGGTTTAATTGACTCACTGTTCCACGTGGCTGGGGAGGCCTCACAATCAAGGCAGATGGCGAAGGGGAAGCAAGACACGTCTTTGTGGCAGCAGGCAAGAAGGTGTGTGCAGGGGAACTGCCCTTTTATAGAACAGTCAGATCTCATGAGACTTATTCATTATCATGAGAACAGCATGGGAAAATCCCACGTCCATGATACAGTTACCTCCCAAGGGCTTCCTCCCACGACACGTGGGGATTATTACAATTCAAGGTGAGATTTGAACAAACCATATCACATTACAACAAAAAACTACCTGACAGTAAAATAAATACATATTACATAGACAGTCTTTTACATTTCAAACTTTAATGTCAGTCAACTATTCAGCAGCTAAATAGTCAAATTTCAAAACATTAGTGAGCTATGTGCACTTCTTTATTTTGTTTTAACATGCCCCAGTTTGCTTCTTCCTTTCAGAATGCTCAGCCTATCAGAATTAACCAGTGAGAAAAGGGAACCTAGTGCTCAATGGCTTGGGCTCTGGAGTCAGTCATTTTGGGTCTTTAATCATTGCTCAACCTATGACCTTAAGAAAATTACTTCACCTACAAGTTCATTTATTCCTTTGTAAAATTAATATAATAATATTTTCCACAAAGTGTTCAGTTAGTGAATTGAAGGTGAGCTACCTCTTCAAGATAACAGAAGCCCTTTGTCTCAAGCAAGGGTAGGTGAACTGGGCCCATATTTTTTACATATTTAGAGTTATATTTTCATTTTATTGACATAGTTATTCTTTTCCTGCTCTTGAAGATATTTCACAAAAAGGCGTTATTCCCTTAATTGAGAAAAAAACTTGTCAGGAAGACAAATACTACAAAGTAAACACTCATGAATTCTAAGAGGTATAATGTGAAACACCAGCTATTTCTGACTCATTATTTCACCTTATTATCTGAATTGTTCTTCAGTGCTCAGGTACTTTTTACTGACTAAAGTTAACTCTGAATTTTGGTGGTAGTAAAGATATGTTGGCACTGTAGAAGTTTTTCTAGTATCATGAGATAGCCAGAGTACAATGGGGGGTAGAAATAAAATGTGAAAATCAAAGGCCCATTCCAATTTTATTTAAATAGATATTTGCCCATTAAAGACATACAAAAAGTAAACCCAGACAATTTCTAAGAATGTCCATCCTAATAGCTTGATAAAGAATATATATTCATATAGAATAAGTGACTTTCTTAATGTTTTTAGGATTTCTTAATGTTTTTAGGATGATCTTAAGATTCTTAAAAATTAATCAAGACTTTTTTTTCTTACATATTTTCAGAAAACTAAAATCTCACATGGCCTTTTCATTTATACACATCTGGACCATTTTATGTAGTTGGGCGGGCCATGCAGTTTGTATCTTATGGGGCAACATTCACAACATAGACATCAGAAATTTGTGTATTTTTAACAACCATTTACAGGCAGATGGCAGTAAACTGTCTCCTTGTAACAAAATGACTGTATTATGACAAATTTTAGCCAGATGGAAGTCAAGTGTCTTGAGGACACTTGTCTTATATGTACCTCTTGCCCATATGGTGTCTTTATGCATATTAGTAAGAGCTCAAAATTTAACCAATATAAAATGTTGACATTTTCTAACCCTAAAATGCAAAGAACAAATAGGGTAATGCATGAAAACTCTAAGTACTATCTATACCCAGGCATCCAACAAAAAATTAGTACTCATTTTATTATTATTAATATAATAATTATAATAAGTTTAAGCTTTATAATAATGATAGTAAGAAAACTCCTAAAACTATTTCCTTTTCTAAAATTCATGACCGTAACCTTATTAACCACCAGAAGTTACACCACCATGGCACTTTCATCATATAAATCATTTTAATGTTTTTTCTTCAGTCATAAACAATAAATTTCTACAAAACTATAGCCACATGAAAAAATGGCCTTATTTTTAATAAAAATTATACCCTAATGAAAATATTAACATTTATTAAAAAATTTCTATAAGCTAAGTATACATAAGAACATCATGAAGTAAAAAAAAAATTATGATAAAGTACTTTTCATCTATTATTTAAACAGAATTAATCAATCCATTTCCAAGTTTATTCAACTCTGAAGGTCGCCATTTCTCTTTGTGGTACAATTAAAAAATAATTCTTGCCCTAAAAAGGTTTTTGTCGCTTTGCAAATTTTTTTTTTTTTTTTTTTTTGAGACGAAGCCTCGCTCTGCTGCTAGACTGGAGTGCAGCAGCGTGATCTCAGCTCACTGCAACCTCCACCTCCCAGGTTCAAACGATTCTCTTGCCTGCCTCAGCCTCCCAAGTAGCTGGGACTACAGGCATGTGCCACCACGCCTGGCTAGTTTTTTGTATTTTTACTAGAGACTGGGTTTCACCATATTAACCAGGATGGTCTCGATTTCCTGACCTTATGATCTGCCCACCTCGGCCTCCCAAAGTGCTGGGATTACAGGCGTGAGCCACCACACCCAGCCTGCAAATGTATTTCTAACCCCATAGCTTTCAGCAGCTTATGGCAAGAAAGTAATTTTCACAAGTCATGTGAAAATCACTAAGCAGAAGTGAAAACCTTTCAAATTATACTACTACCTTTATAATTGTAGTACATAGAAATAGAATGGTAAATATATACATTCTTATTTATTTTTTAAATTTTCTTCAAGATGAGATCCATTTCTTTCATTTTTCAATCTTAATAGTGCAATCAAACTAATTTGACTAATCCCATTATTCCCCAACTCACTTCACCTCACCACCTAATCCCATTCTCAATTCCAGAGGCACAAAAATATGCTAACTATTAACAGCTGGACTTAATTCTAGTCAAGAGATGTTGTCAACGTCCTTATGGCAACTCCTAGCAAAAAACACTGATAATTGAACAAAATAAAACTTACAATATGCTCACTCAGAGGCCAAGAGTATAGACATGTTGACGCCAATATATTTTAATATATTTATTAAATTGTCAGGGTTTACTTTTTGTATGTCTTTAATAGACAAATATATGTTTAAATAAAATTGGAATTGGCCTTTGATTTTCACATTTTATTTCTAGCCCCATTGCACTCTGGCTATGTTATGATACTAGAAAAACTTCTACAGTGCCAACATATCTTTACTACCCATATACGGGTACCACATACTAAAATTTTTGTTTGTTAAGATTTTAGCTCTGTTGTGTCAACAAGTGCTCATGTTTTGACTAACGTATCTGATAACGAGCAATAAACTGTATCATGAGATTATCATCAATACTTAGTTCCTAATTTATTCATTTTTGTCTTCCTGAAAGCTGTAAGGTAATGGTAATGCTGTGGATCTAAAAACCAATACGGGACAGTGAAGGACTGTGACCAATCTATTAATGTAGTTCAATGGCCAAACATCCAGAGATACCAGTGTCTTCATCTAGTAGTCTTTTATTTTCCAGTATAACCTTCATCCAACAACCAAATTTATCTTTTCTTAACATAAACCTTATTGTGTCAACCCATACTTAAAACTCTTCAATGGATTTTTTTCATCAGTAGACCATTTGGTCTTTACTGATCATAAAGACCAAAATGCTTAGAATTATTTATGAATCCTTAAATAATCTGAGATTGCATAATTCATCTTGTATAACTTCACTTCTTAGCTGCTAAAAGATACCATTTACCCTCCTATCTCAGGACATTTATCATTCTAGTTTACTTGTATCTTTCTTCTCTTCTTTTACTACTCAAATTCTGTGCTAACTACAGATCACTTACTGTTACTTTCTTAGACAATGCTTCCCTGATCCCACAGAATATTTCAAGCCTCCTGCATAAATGCTGCATAGTCCCCTTTTCCTTAATAAATATCTCAGTTTATAATTTAATGCATTTGTGTAGTCTCAGCTACTCGGGAGGCTGAGGCAGGAGAATGGCGTGAACCTGGGAGGCGGAGCTTGCAGTGAGCCGAGATCGCGCCACCGCACTCCAGCCTGGGCGACAAAGCGAGACTCCGTCTCAATAATAATAATAATAATAATTTAGTGCATTTGTGTGATATTATTTGGTATATGAATTCCCTACTACATGATAAATTCATAAAGGAAGAGGTGTTGTTCATTGTTCTCCACTATTATATCTTCAGCTCTTAGCACCATGCAGTCCTTGATACACAGTAGGAGTGTCTCAAAAATTATATGTTAAATGAGTTAATAACAATGGATGCATCTAGTTGCATCTAGTTAATATACCAGAGAGAACTACCAAACCTAACTTCTATTTTCCACTCTAAAACTGCTTCCTATTTGTTCACTGAGTACCTGCGTCTAACCATGTTATTTGAAGTTCAAAAGAACAAGAGGAATCTTAGCCAGTGTATGATTAGGCAAACACTCACCATAGTGATTTTAAAATTAGAAATTTTTCCATGGTGTGTCAACTTTTTGGATGATTTGCAGCCCTTTATTTTTCCTTTTTTGCTTTTAAAGTGTTCCTTATAAAAAGTTCTTTTCTGGTGAGAAAGTGACTTTGGACTCTACCAGTTGGCATACTTATGTGATATGATTTAAATGCATTCCTTTCCACAAACCTATTTTTAAGGTAGGTAGCATTATGTTCACTGTGCAGGTCGATAAACTGAGGGAGGGCCTCAGTGGTTAATTATATTGCAAACGCACTGTTTAATAAGTGGCAGAACTTAGAGAGTTGGAATCCAGGACTTGAAAATGCATGCTTTTTCTTATTCCAAGTTGTAGTGATTCCATCTATGTATCCAGGGAAACTTATGAAATATTTGTCTGTAGGACTATCATCTTACAATGCAACTTCCCTAAAAGTTAGATTATATTTTTGTTGTGCTATTTGGTGTAATAGGTCTACATTCTAGATGAAGTGAGCATACGGTTTTTTCTCTTGCAAAAGTTCACTTTGTGTATCCTTCATTTCAGAAGAGTTTATTTTCAAGCATGTGCAAATCTACCAGAGCAATTAGAGCTGTATTTTGTTCAAAGAAGTAGATGGATCACCAGACTTACTCCCTACAAGTAATGCGCCTGACAGTGACAAGTCAGATGCAAAAGGAACTCTCAATCTTGGATTCATTTTATATGGGACCCTAGGGCAAGTGGGTATTTAATCTGGACTAACTGAAGACATTTATCCTTATCGTTGCCAAGGTACTTATTGAAATTACTAAAATATTCTAGCAACGGCTCTAGGAAAAGAAAACCTGTCCTACCATCTGAAAGGATTTACTGCTCATGATTCTGCCTGAAAGATAAACCACCTTAATGTGGATTTTAATGACAGTTTTCATTTTGGATTCACATGTAGAGTGCTGATGCTTTTGGTTGAAAATATACCTTTAATTAAAAACATGAGGTTTTTTTTTTAAAAAAATCTCCATTTGGTCTAAAACACATAGTAAATCTGTAGCTTGAATTTTATTCTAGGCATAAAATCATATGTTATGTCTCTTTAAAACCACATACTTTAATTCCTAGTTCAAACCATCTGGGCTTTTTTTATGGCAGTAGATATTACATACTATTTTATTTCTTCCTGAAATTTGAAGCAGGAAGAATGATCTAGAGTGATAATGTCAGGAAGGCCAGCATGATTTTTAAAAATTGGTTCTGAATTTTCCAACAATCGCTGAATAAGATCCTCTGCATAGTGTGTGAGTGTGTGTGTGTGTGTGTGTGTGTGTGTGTGTGTATTATTAATAAAGATGTAAACTGCAGGCTGCACTGAAGAAAAATATATGGGTATGGGAATTATTCACTGAATAGATAAGCACTTCCCTAGAATTTTAGAAGCAAAAATGCCATGCAAATTTATGTTAAGAAATTGTGTGAATAGGATTTTCTCTTTTCTTTCTTGATGGAATAAATAAACTGGAAAGTTGTCTTTTCCTTTCACTCCACTTTAAAAAAAAAAACAGTTTTAAATATACCCTTGGATTTAGAGAAGATCCTGGGAAACAGCACCCACATTCATCTGTTTATTTCTTGGTAGGCATCTGATCTTCCTGGAACTGAAAAGATAAGGAATTTCTGTTTCTTCTTGCCATTCCACTAGCTAGCCAAGTTTCTATTCTTTCTAGTTCTTCAATTTTATATCGATTTCCTTTTTCTCAATGTAATCATTTCCTCCATTTACACCTTTGATTTAAATGTTTCCTAGTTTTTTAAAATAAAGTCTATTTTGAAAAGACCAAGGAGAAGGCAGTTTACTGCCCCTCCTTCCCTTACCAAAATCCTTAAAACCATTAAAGATTTTATCAAGAAATTAATATACTCATAAAAAAGGTTTAATGTTGTTAGTTTGTGATTAACCTCCTCAACTACATTATACATTCGTAGTAAACTGTGTTGGGAAGAAATCCTATTGCACCCTGCTAGGACATAATGAGAGAATAAGATTAGGCAGGTTGTTGCATCTCAGCAAAAGCTATTGGAGATGCTGCTTGAAGTACATATTGTTACCACTGAATAATTATGATCACTTGCTTCGGAATCTTCCTATGAGATGGAAAAATAACCTGTGTTTAAGAGACTCAAATTTTTCTTTCCTGTTCCTGATAGGCTTAAACACATTCTGCCACATGAACAAACAGTGTATAATCAAAGCTTAGCAAAGTACACAGGAGGCCCTTCAGAAATGTTGGCTGAAACAATGAATAGATGTCTGTTCCCCTCCAAACAGGGAGTTTTGAATCATTTTTGTTGACTTGTTTGACCATTTTTAATCTTTTTATCCTGATGCTACATCAGCGTATAAGTTTAAATGAAAATAAGCAATTTTAATCTGTTTTCTTTACATTGATGAAGAAAAATGTCTCTCCATTAGCTCTGGGAGCTCTGGGCCCACACCAACCCTCTTCCATTAGAATCTGCATTTTAATAAGTTCCCCAGGTCATTGATGTGTACATTAACATTTGAGGTGCAGTGAATCTCAGTTTTGTTTTTCTTTTGAATTTATATAATACTAAAATAATTAAAACTTAAAAAAAATATATATATATATAAATGGATTGGTAATTGTCACTTATTTAAATTAACTCAATACATTTAGTTATTTTTTAGAACTTCTTTTCTAAGACTATCTTCCGTCCATAATCCTGGCTTTATAAACCAATTTTAAATAATTTTACATGGTATATATTTTTGTGTTACTTTCCTTAGAAAATTCTTAAAACTTTTTATTGCCAGTTAAGGTTTAATTGCCTCTTATAGTAATATTTTCCATGTATAAGATTCTTAAAGTAAGCCATTAACTCTCTCACTTTTTCATATCATTCGTTTAGATAATAGGCTAAAACACCTTTGCAATGTGTGTATTTTTATGTTTATCACTTTATCCAAATTTATTGATCAATTTGATAAACCTCACATTTTAAAAAATATTAAAACCGATTTTCAGTAAGACAGTATATATACATGCTCAAACTCTTTTGTGTATCTGTACCAGTGAGTTATTTTCAAGTTGAACACCTATATGCTTTAGAAGCCTCCAACATTATCAGACTTCACATGAATACATTACATAATGTATGCGATTAAATTTTTTTCTAGAATTTGAGTTTTCAGATTCCTTCAAGAAGGCTTCATTTATACTTGTGAATATTTCAATATTGTTTATACAAGTATCTTATGAATATTTCAATTTTGTTTATACAAAGAATATTTTTCTACTCTTGTTTCCCAAATATTTTCTATTTCATTTCCCATCTGGAATGCTCAACTTCTTCTCTGTCACTTAACAAAATACTTTATGAGTTATTTTAAGATTCACTTCTTAAGACTTCCCTATTTAAGCTGACTTGGATCTTTTATTTAAAATTCAACTGTTCTCATGTTTTGTTATTATTTCACACATATTATTTGCATCTCTACATGATGAATTAATATAGGGATCATGTTTTATACTTCACCAAAATTAAGGAATGATTAGTTACCTAAAATTCTCCTTAAAATATTTTATGATTGAATTATTTTATAATAAATACTACCAGATAGTAAAAATTTAATGTTTTACAAATGAATAAATAAATGAAAAGACTGAAACAGTTTTTTCTATACTTCACTAATTAGAAAGCCCTAAAACCTGACTTATGTATCTACAATTAACCCAAATCAATATGTGATGATTATAGCATGAGTGGGGTTACTAGACAATTATCCTTTACTGTTCTGTTACTTGATAAAGCTGGTCAGAGAAAATTTTCAATTCTTTGTCTGCTTTAAAGAACACTTAACAGACTACAGCTATATAGGTGTTCTGTATCACTGGAAAATCCTGTGACATCAGCTGCTTTTACAATTTTAAAACCACAGTAACAGCCTTTAAATTTCCTTAAATGCCTTAAGGAGAAAGAGGAAGAGGGAGGGAGTAAAAAGAATATCATCTGAATAAAAGTAAACTAACTTTGAAAAAAATGAAAGAACTTCTTCAAATTCTCACCTATCTACCTGTCACCTGCCCTCCAACCCCCACCAAACTCTACTGGAAGGCCTAGCTACCTTAAGGATCACCAGATGCATGAAAAGTTTTTATAAGGAAAGTTTGAGTAATATTTATTACATTTATTCAACAACTCAGCAGCACTTAATGAAGGAGAACCTTCAGTAGTTGGAGGGGGCAGGGATCATTATGCAGTTCTGCAATCTTGTTTCCTTTAAGCTTCTGTCTCCATGTCCTTGGGTTTTACGAGTCAACTTTTAATTTTTATTTTATTTTTATCTACTTTCAAGAATGAAGTATACAGATACTACATCTGGTTTGGTAACTACCTTTCTGTCTTCTTTTTTTTTTTTTTTAAATCCTCAAATTATTTGGGATTTGTTCACTAGCAGAAATGCTCCTTGTTGGAAGTATTATTAACAGCAATGACAATGATCAGTAACAACAAGACTTTTAACTTTGAAAAAATCAGGACCATATAGTATTATAGACACAATGTTTGTTCCAGCATTGATAATTATCTAAGGGAAATGGTCTCAAATTGTTTCTAAAACTTGATAACACTCTTCTAAGTATTCAGATATACTCAATATCTATGTGCATTAATATTTTAAGATTAAGTTTACAATATACTAAAGACTGCACGGTCACCTCTTTCCATCTTCTTCCGTTTACCGAGTGACCAGGTAGGCAGGAAGCACAAAGAAGCATGGATCTCAAATCAAATGTGATTGACTGCAGTTTGCATTTTCTACCTTCAGGATACCATTGTATTTGCTGTTACCCTTTAGACTACCTAAAATAATAGAATTTGTGAAATTAACAGTTTTTTCAATGTTCTTTACAAAATGTTTTTGTTCTGTTAGCCAGGTCTGACATGCATTTGGCACTCATTTTATGGCAGTTTTCTTCCTTCTGTTGGGGAAACTAAACAATCCTACCAACATAAAGAGCCCTCCGTAGCAATGTTATGAAAAGAAAAAAATAATTTATCATTCTGTACACATTAACATCATTATTTGCAGTTAAGGTAGCATGAATTCAACATAAAGTTATGGTAAAGCCTCACATTCCATACAACAAAGCAGAAATAACAGTAGCTTTTCTTATGTGCTCAAGGGATGAGGGTCTGCACCTGATATCAGGTTCCTGTGCGGCTTGTGAGAGACCCCTGAACTAATTCCAGAAGTGTGTTTTTTATATATCCAGTGGTTATTTGGCCACCACATTGAAAATAGTTCTACATCATAAAATCTGGACATGAGCTTAATCACTAGAGAGATTTATCTCTATACCAAACGTTCTAATCTTCCTCAAGGAAGGCCTCAGATTCACTATGTCTCAAGGAAACCCATTAAAGAAAGAAGGGAGGACAAAAATGTTCTATTTGCTTTTTATAAACAGGAAAAAAAATAATTTAAATTTATCCTTGCACCCTCAAAACTTCACCGGTCCCATTATCAAAAAACTCGTGTCTTTGCTGAAATCGATTGGGTTTCTTCCCAACAATATTAGTGTAGTTTGAAGAAGAAACACAGTTATAAGTAAATGGAACTGGAATGCCCTGGAAATGGAAAAGAAAATGGCAAAGGATAATTTTTTTCCTTTACACTGTGTTTTTTTTTTTTTCTGTCTTGCTTTAAATGTGCTTTTGTGCTGGTGTGCATATGTGTGTTACAGAATATAGGTATAAGGATGGCTTAGGCTGCCTTTCTTGGTCCTCCTTCTAGAAGTTGATACTGACAAAAGATGCTATAATAAAACATTCATCACCAGGAAACTGAATTTTTGGGGTATCTTGAAATATTTCATTTTCTTATACTATTATATTCTGATTATATTATGTCTTCCATTTGGAAAAGGAAAATAAGTCTCATATTTCTTAAATGCAAGACTTAATGTATGGCTTAGAAGAAGCCAGGATTATTTGTATGGAGGCCTGATTTAAAAAAAAAAATGAGCTCTTAGTTAGCTTATCAATCCAACAATTTGTTTTCTTTGTCTCTTAAAATTTCTACAGAATTCACATTCATTTGGCAGTGACTATTCTTGTAAGGTGTGAAGAATCAGATTATTCCATCTTACAGAATTAATAGTGTTTCTTAACAGATAGGAAAAGAAATTAAAATAATAATTAAATTACATAACTAAATTAAAATAATAACGGCACCTGTTTTTGTAATGTATGACTGGGGACTAACTCAGTTGTCCTTGTATTTGAGAACAAAGGTATCCTCCTACATGTGGTCTCTGGTCTTAGATGATTGAATAATCTAAAAAAGGCCAGGCTGAAGATGCAGCATCTTCATTCCTGGCTGCCAGTCTAACTCCAAGATTGTAACATAAAGTGCCCAGTGTTGTTGGAGACAGTGCATCAAAAGACAAAGTATATCCTTAAAACCATGGTGTAAAGGTAACTCCATTAACTCCAGCTTCTATGGGATACTTTGCCTCCCATATTATGTGCACCTTTATGGATGGCATAAATTAAAGATGCCAAAACAGTCTCTTCATTATTAGAAATATTTGTTTTCTAGATTTTTTATTCTTAATTTTTTATAGAAAATAAGAAAAAGTGCATTAGCACAGGTTCTGAGAGAGGGCAAAGGTAATATTTTAAAATCCTATAAAACTTTTTAGTTACTCACTAGTCAATAGGAGAATTTTCCCCAGAAATATTGGTTACTTGTTTTTTAAAAAGGTATGGCACCTGCTGTACCACATGTTACAATAGGTACATTGCACAGAATACTTCATAATAGAAAAATCTCATCTTCTTAGTCTATTTTGAAATGTCATCATCAGTACTTCCAAATTTTGTTAAAGTAAAACAATACTGTGATATTGTTGATTATTTTCTCATTTTTAAATAAGAAACCTTTAAGTGGCTATTTATAAGGAATACTTTGAGCTCTTCCAAGATGAAGAAGTAGTATACATTCATTCCTATTTGACCTGATAGTGTGACTCATTCATGTGGTAGTTTGTTGATAGGAAATTAGCTAAGAAAAGAAATAATAATGTAATTTTCATTTAGCTACTTGTGCTTTGTCCTCAAGTTTTTCTTTTATTTTTAAGATTGGCATATCAACTGTAAAGCATTACATTTAAAGCAGTTACATTTCAGTATCATATTTTATAAACCGTGCTATCTATATCTATATTTTAAATGTCATTCATTGTTTATGTATTTAAAATGCAAAGCATTAACATGTTATTATGTGTATCACATTAGGAAAAATACCTATTTAATGTATTAAATCACTAATATATATTAACCACTCCAGTTATTTCTACCCTCAAAGATAGTAAATTTGATTAAGAAAATAAGTGCTATGTATTCATAAAATATATTATCCAGAATATACTATGTCAAAGTGAAGTTTAAAAGTGCACATTTTATTTGTAATTTTACATTTTTCAAAATACGTTGTAAAAACTTGTTCAAAAGAGTGTTGAATTTTTATTCAGAAAGAGAATACAAGCTGAGGTTACAGGAAAACAAGTATGTTTATGAAAGATAATTGCAAAATGCACTTATCTGTTGACATTAGAAGAAAATAATTTTATTATGCACATTTTAGTTATACAGGTTGCCATATTAAGTGGTGTAAATATTACTCTTGAATGGTGGAAAATGCTATGGCAGTAAGGCAGATTTATTCAGACCAGAGGGAAAAATCAAGCCTTGTGTCTCCTTTCTCTGATTACCAGTGGAAAAAGGAGGAGGAGGAGGCTGGCAAGGAGATTTACTGTGCATCCTCTTCCTGAGCCTTGATGGGCCACGATGGGCAGAAAGCTGTAACTTCAAGGTTATAGTGTGAACCAGGGTATTAGCATAGGCACCTGTTTAAGGCCTTGGCATTTACCCAGAAAGTGAGAAAGGATTTTACAACAGAGACTCAGCAGACCTGGAGCTTTAAAAACTTTCAAATTTCCAAGATCCAAAATAATGCTTTCCAACAACGTTTACTAGATTCGTTATTTCCACAGTATTTGTAGAACTACCTCTATAATACCTATGGATCGACTTCTGGAGGGTCTATTTTATTCTCTTGTTTGATTGTTTCTGTAATAAGGCCATACCTTTTATTTTTATGGCTTTTTAATATCTGTTTTATATTTGATAATGCCAGTCTTCTTATTTCTCCAAATTGTTTGTCTATACTTTTAGAAACATTTGAAGATTAATTTTAACATTTATTGCATGTAAAATTACCATATTAACAATGTTATCTAGGCTGGATGCGGTAACTCATGCCTGTAATTGCAGCCCTTTGGGAGGCCACAGTGGGAGAATGGCTCGAGGAGCTTGAGACCAGCCCGGGCAACATAGTGAGACTCTATCTCTACAAAAACAAATCAGCAAGGCAGGGTGGTCTGTGCCCCTAGTCGGAGGGTATGGTGGGGGTGGAGGGGTGTGGGGATGGGGCGGAGGTGGAGTAGGAGGATCCCTTGAGGCCAGCAGGCTGAGGCTGCAGTGAGATTGCACTACAGCCTGGGCAACAGACTGAGACCTAGTTTCAAACAAAACAAAATAAAACAACAACATTATTATCTCGTTCCGTATAGTATCCTTATGTTTCTTCATTTCTTTTAGTAGTGTTAACTATTTCCCCATGAAAGTGCTATAAATTATTTTAAAATTAATTCAAAGAAGCTTAATGGTTTGTTATAAACAGTACTTAATGTTCTCTTGAATTTTTATTTTAAAAAATTATGAATAAACATTTCACATATCCAGCAATGTGCAAAAATAATATAATTAACATCCATTTACCCAGCAACAGGAAACATTTAGCTACCCCCAAACAATGAAAATTGTAAACATTTTAAAAGTGCATACACCATGCACTTTATAAATACTTTTTAATACATTAACTCAGTAACCCTCATAACAACCCATTGAAGGAGGTACAGTGAGCTTTACTTTAAAGGGAACTGAAACACAGAGAGGTTACATAACTTGCCCAGGTTACACAGATGATGACTGTGGGAGTTTGAATTCAAGCCCATGCTGTCTGACTCCAGAGTGTGTGCTCTTACCCACGATGCTATGCTTTTTCCAAGTTTATTGTTACAGATAGAGCTAAAAGTTTATCCAGAAAGCCCTACAATATCTGGTATTGCAAGTCTCCGTCTTGTGAGTTGGAGAGGGAGGAAATGACAGATTCATGAGAAATGGAATGGATACATTTGCCTTTGAATCTCCAGTGTCTAGAACACTGTGTAGAACAGAGTACATTCTTAGAAAATATGTGTTGAATCACCCTTTCTACATCATTGCAAGTGAATTTTTTCAAAAAGGAGTAACTTGCTCTATTTTCCTAAAATTTTCCCCAAAAATGCTACCGATATCTATTGATATTATTATACAGTTAACTCTCTAATTATTTGTTTATTTCACTACTAACATTGCATGTTTATATGATCATATAACATCTTATGATACATCAGACAGAATTAACCAATGTTAATGTTTAATTCGTCAGGATTCAGACATGTCTACATGTTTTTTTGTTTTTCTTGAGACCAGAGTCTCACTCCGTCTCCCAGGCTGGAGTGTAATGGCGCAATCTCAGCTCACTGCAACCTCTGCCTCCCGGGTTCAAGCAATTCTCCTCCCTCAGGAAAAATTTGATGTCCCAGTTTAAAAGTAGTCAAGCAGGAAGAATCCTCTCTTACTCAGGGATGGTAACATTTTTGTTCTATTCAGGCCTTCAATTGATTGGAAAAGGCCCACACACATTAATGAGAACAATATGCTTTACTCAGTTTCCCAATATAAATGTTAATCTCATGGGAAAGCAGCCTCACAGACATACCCAGATTGATGTTTAATGAAATATCTAGGTACCCCATAGCCCAGTCAAGCCAACACAAAGTATCCATCATAACACCTCAAATTAAGCATTTAAGGAAAATATGCATGATTCTTCAAGTAATCTATCAAAAATCTTGTCTATTTATCATTAGTCCAATTATCTAACCATCCTTTCATCCATTGCTTTTCTTGCTGCTCCTTAGTCAAGGGTGTTTCTGTAGACTTACGTCCAAGTGGTTTCTCAGCCAACATACCTCAGTCTTCCTGAGCCAGTTGCTTAGAATCCATTCTGACTTGTCCGTTCCATGGGATGCGGTAGTTAAATACATTAATATTACCCCTGAATATAACCTAGATAATAGTCTGGTAGCATACTTGCATTATTGTGGGATGTTGAGTGGAATGCTGAGCTCTATGCTTGCCAAACTATATCAGCTACTTATGCTGTTCTCATCAAACATTTGAACTCTGGATGTCTTCCAAGAAGCTTTTTTCTACTATTTCATTTTGGTAAAACAGGCTACTTAGGAGGTCAAAAGAGACAAAACTGCTGATTTATGGGTCTTCCGAAAGTGATAAAATAAGGAGAGCTGAAAAACCTGGTAAAACTTGATCTCTTTAGGGATTAATATATTTGTTACTTTTTCAAAATTGTGATTTAAATAACTCTTTTGTATGGTTTATGTAAGAATTTGAGCTGTTATCTTAAATATTAAATTTGTAATTTTTATGATGCAATAATTAGAAAAAAATTAACATTTTTGGCATGTCTTTCTTCGTAAGTATCAATTACTATTTTAAAAATTTAAATAGCTCTGTGAAATTTTAGATTTTAAGGATCAAGCAGACATTCTATTAAGGTTTACGTGAGTATGTATTACATTAAAAATAAACTTAAATTTGGAGCATCACCGCCATCTGATTTTAAGACTTCTATAGAGCTGCAGTGTAGTACTAGTATAAGTACAATAATAGATGTCAATGGATAGAGTCCAGAAACTGGTATGCACTCATATGCTTTATTTTCGAAAGGTGCCAAAAAGAGAGAACCTTGACCCTGAAATAATATTATATTCAAAAATTAACAAAACAGATCTTAGACTTAAAAGGAAATACTAAAATTAAAAATATTCTAGCAGAAAACACGTGAAAAAACCTTTATAACCTTTAGAAGATTTTCTTAGAACACATATAGCCTCCCTCCCCCCAAAAAAATAAAAATAAAATTTTATAAGAATTTAAAATTTCTGCTCTTAAAATGACAACATTAAGAGAGTAAAAAGAAGTTGGGATGTGATTGCTGCGCCTGTAGTCCCAGCTACTCAGAAGGCTAAGGCAGGAGGATCACTTGAGCCCAGGAGTTTGAATCCTGCCTGGGCAACATAGAGAGATCTTGTCTCAAAAAACAAACAAAAGAACAAAATAAAATGAGAAGCCACAGACTGGGAGAAAATATTCTCAATATATAACTCTAACAAAGGACTTATATCCAGAATACAACTGTAAGAAGAGAAAAAGCCAGTGAAAAGACTATTTAAACAAACAAATTATACAGATGACAAATAAGTCTATGAAGGAATACTTAATATTATTAATTGTCAGGGAGATAGAAATAAAAAGCATAATCAGACATCACTATAAATCTATCAAATGACTAGCATTAAAAGGCTGTGTGATAAGAATGCAAGCAACTGGAACTCTAAAACATTGCTGCTGAATGTAAAATAATACAATTTCTTTGTAAAACAGTTTGGCAATTTTAAAAGTAAACCTACTGTATAACCTATAATTTCTAGTCCTGGGTTTTTATCCAAGAAAAATGAAAACATAGCAGCTTATTCATAAAAGCCCCATACTGGAGACAATCTAAATATCCATCAACAAGTGAATGAATAAACAATTTGTAGATATTCATACAATGGAATGTGAATGAAAATGAGACAAATCCAAAAGAGTACATACTTTATGATTCCATTTATATGAAAATTTAGAAAAAGCAAATCTAATCTAGGGAGAGAGAAAGTAGATCAGTGGTTTCCTACAATTGGCAGTTGGGGTATTGACAGAAATGGACATAAAAAAATTTGGGAGTTGGGGGATGATGGAAATGTTCTATACTTTGACTTTGGTGGTGGTTACATGGGCATATATATGTTTTCGAAACTCCTTGAAATTTATGCCTTGAAACTAGTGGATTTTATAATATGAAAATTATATCTTAACCCATTTGTGTCTGAGGTTGCAATTTTTTGAATTTTTGCAATCAGACCTTGGCGATGACCTTGAGCAATAGGATATAACTTCCACATGCTTAGTGTTCCAATAATGGAACGCTAGGCATAAAGTTTATTTAAAATATGAAATGAAGTATTGCAAACCTCACTATAACCACAGGAGACAATGTTATATCATGAATAGGCTCTTCCCAGATCTCCATATCTGTTTGTCTTCTTGGTGAATGGAAATGTGTATCTTCAGTTTGAATAGAGAAAGATAATGTGTGTGCGTGTTTTTTTTCTACTTCTTTGAGTATTTCCTCAAGACAATAACTTTACTAGAGAAGTAACAATATAAATTTCCTTGGGCAATGGTGCTAAGGTGATTTATTTTATGTATACATTTATTTCATTATATATGTATGTATGTAAAAGCATTGTAATTAACTATTTTACCATTTCTTCTCTGCTGCTTCCCTTTAAACTGAAATTAGATGTGTAAATGTGTCTATTTGGTTCGCCAATATGTATGTCAATGGATCAATATTGGAGTAAAAAATAAATTCACATATGTTTCTTCTAAAGCCAAAAAATCTACTAACTTGCTGTGAATCCCAAGATATGTGATCTCCTGAATGTTTAAGAGTTCACTGAATGTTTCTTGTAATTTCATTCTAATAATATTCTAGCAACAGTTCTTTCGATCTAAATTAGACTTTTCCAATTTGCTATGCTTATTATATATTTGCATGTTTTTAAGAAGAATGATAAATAGGTTTATCTTGTGGTTTGATTTACTGAAAGATAAGCTTTACCAAGTAATTAGACATTGCATGTCTAGTTTTTTAAGTGAATATAAAATATTAATTAACTGATTAACTTATTCCAACTCATATATACCTAGCCATACCTGGGGTTATATATGTTATTCAAGCTAGAAATAATTAAAACAACAAAGTTTCAGTGTTTTACAAAATAATGTGTCAACTATGAAATACCAGAGAAATATGATGATAATATTAAGCAGCTTTGGAAATGTAACATATAAGAGCTTTACCCCAAGGAATGAAGACTCCTGAATATTCCTTGGGTTTTATGAGATAGAATATCCACTAATGCAATTACATCAATGCAATGATGTAGTGAAGAGAGGAGAGTTTCCACAAACCAAGACTGCTGAAAATAATCACCATGAAAACATACAATGGAGTTTCAAAGCTGCAATTACCCAGTATAGTAAGTATGCCTTGAGTGAATAAGAGGCTGAGGATAATTATTATTTATACATGTTTTAAGAATATATACTAATAATGGTTCATTTAGCCATATACACAAAGCAAATACAATTTCTAAATTATTTTCAGTCTCATATTAGTCTCCAAAATAGTTTATATGTTAGCTTTACAGGTATTTTTAAAAAATAATTCAGAGAATGCCATTTGAAAAACAGAATTTGCATTGACTTTTTTCACACATTTTGAAACGTGCTCTCTCTCTTCCCCATCTGATGCCCTTCTTTTGGTGCGTTTGTCATTTGAGTAAATGCACCAGGCATCAGTCTGTTGACTGTATATGCACAGTTTGCCACCAGCACAAATTCTTACATGAATTTAAATGAACATGAACAAAAATGAAAAGCAAAACCCAGCAAATAACTTTTAAGCCTGAGGAAGGATTCTGCCCACTTGCCTAAAGTCTTCGAGGACTACTTTGATTTATAGTTTTAGATCATGGGAATATGAGCCAGTATTTATCTTTGTGGCAGCTTTAAAATATAACTGCACTTTGAATGATAGAAACTTGGTATGTTTGTGTAGAAAGTGATTTTGTGGGCTGCCATTTTTTATCTTGGTATATTCTAGCTGCAAAATGCTTAACACTTTGGTTTGGCCCATTGATAATATTTCCACCTATTGTCACTATTTGTCAGTGATACATTTAAAATGGAGACTCAATAAATGCAGTCTGATTGTGAGTTGGGATACACACACACACACACACACACACACACACCTGAGGGGATTCTAGGTTTACCATATTCATTCTGGAGTTCTGATAATTCAGTCACCCATTCAACAATTTTTTATTGATCACCATGAGGTAGGCTGTGTACAAAGGTCTAGGGACATAAAAATGAAGAAAACGTCCGGGCGCGGGTGGCTCACGCCTGTAATCCCAGCACTTTGGGAGGCCGAGGTGGGTGGATCTCGAGGTCAGGAGATCGAGACCATCCTGGCTAACACGGTGAAACCCCGTCTCTACTAAAAATACAAAAAATAAGCCGGGCTTGGTGGCAGGTGCCTGTAGTCCCAGCTACTCGGGAGGCTGAGGCAGGAGAATGGCGTGAACCCGGGAGGCGGAGCTTGCAATGAGCCGAGATAGCGCCACTGCACTCCAGCCTGGGTGACAGAGCGAGACTCCGTCTCAAAAAAAAAAAAAAAAAAAAAAAAAAAGGGGGAACTCGGTTATTGTTCTGAAAAGATTTAGTGTAATTTTGGCTGTGTTAAGTCTAGTAGGGGAAGATATAGCCCTTTCAAGATCCTAACTCCAACTAATTATCTTGGCGTGGAACTTATTTATGTAAGTAGACAGGCTTTGCAGAAGCAGAGCTACAGGGTAGTTACCAGATAGACATGGAGTTAAACTCTGACTTTGACACTGAATAACTACAAGGCTTTAGAGTAGCCACAGCTCTGAGCTTTAGTCACATCTTCTGAATGGTGTGTGTAATATATATTGTTACAAATTTATTTTCATGTTTAAATAACATATAGAAAGCAGCTAATAGTAGCTATTGTTAGCACTATCGATATGGAAAAAAAAGATGGGCAAACTGTTTTTTCTTCTGAGCATATATAAATATTTTCCAAACAGTACATTTTTTTGAGCAACAACTGCTATGGTTTGAATATTTGTGTCTGCCCCCCTCCAAATTCCAACATTGAAATGCTAACTCTCAAGATGATAGTCTTAAAGGTAAGGCCTTTGGGAGGTGAGTCAGTTAGAGGGTTAAGTCCTCATAAACGGGATCAATGCCCTTATTAAAGATACCCCAGAGACCTCTTTCACTCTTTCTGCTATGTGAGGACACAGCTAGAAGATGACATCTATGAACCTGAAAGTGAACCCTCATCAGACACAAATTTGCCATTGCTTTGATTTCAGGTTTCCCAGGCTCTGGAAATATAAGATATAGATTGTTATTGTTTATAAACTGCCCAGTTTATGGCATTTTTTATATACCATAAGAAACTAAATAATTAATATGCAGACTGAGGTTTGATAGATCAAAGTGAATACAGAGTTAGACTTACTTGGCCTTTAGTATTCATACCATGAAGCCAAAGGAAGTTGTAAAGAAGACATCCTAGTGCAAAGCCACACAGTGCCAAGCACAGTGCCTCTAACAGCTTAGTCCAGGTACACCGAGCAGGCGGGTTACAACAGGTAATAGGCAAGAGGAGTAAGATCCAGGGACATAAAATTCTAACCAGGGAATTTGACGAGGATTCTGCAGAAGTTCTCTGAAAGCCTAGAATATAGCCAGTAAAGCAGAAGCTGCTAAAGGCACCAAGCCAGCCTAGACAAAAAGAAAAACATAGTGAATTATTTGTTTACTACATATACTTTTCAAGTTTGTTGTTCTTCTATTCCTTGAAGATTTAATACCTACTTATTTGCTCTCAAGCTTGCCTGGCCAGCTATGGTGTATGATACTTACTTACATTTTTAATATTCACCACTGTGTATAGAAAAAAAAAAGGATAAATAAGGCTGAAGTTCGCTGGTGTTCTGGAAAACAACCTTATAATAAAGCTTTTCTGGTAAACACTTTGGTATATTGAGAATTTACAGTGTCCTAAATATGCACTTCCCCTTGTCATTCTCACAATTATCCTAAATGGGAGACATTAGCAGTCACCTAAAGATATGACCTATTGCTTTGAGAAGTTTTGCAACTTGCCCAAGATCACGTAGCTTGGAGGTTGCAGAGCCAAGGTTCAAGTCTAAGACTGTTTAACTCTAAAGTTTAAAATTATCTGTAGTTTCAAAAAAAATAAGTTTCACTTTTTGGAATTAGAAGTAAGATAATTTATGAAGATAAATTTATAGACAACCTTCTAATGGCCATATCCAAAGGAGCACAAACAAGGACCGCTGTGTCAAGAGTATCAAAAACGTTCAGTGCTGTTTTATTTTCATCTGACAGAAAAATTATTCGGGAGAGTTAATTATTAGGATCAGTAGAGGATCTGCCATGCATGTGAGTCGCTATAGTGCAGTCCACCCTCTGCAGTCTACCTGGGTCAAAGCATGATTGCTTCTTAATAGCTGTGTGACTGAGTAGAAGTGAGAAGGTACTTAGTTCCTCTATGCTTCTGTTTTCTCATGTTTAAGATGTGAATAGATACTAAAATAACCTTTCTCATAGGGTTACTGTGAGAATTGCATGTGTCAATACATGCAGTCAGGTAAAAGAGTGTATGGCACAGAATGTGTCTAGTAAATGTTAACCTGAGTATATATTTCCAGAAATTCAGAAATGAGATAATATCCAATGAAGAAAATATTACCTGATTATGTGCAGGCCCTGTATGTTCAAAGAGAGTTTCCAGTTCTTCATCCTACAGAGGACTAGCGTTGACCTTATACCAAAGTTGGCCAAGTGGGATTATCCATTATAGTTCAACCCACTGAGTGCTGGACAGACTCATTTAGACATTTCAGAAACACCTTAGCTCAACCTGGCCAAACCTGAATTCGTTTCTTTTCCTGTGCCCTTTCTACTTCTGTGTTTTTTTCCTCACTGACTGGTACAGCAATATACCTCCTTACACAAGTTATAAATCAGTAAGTCACCCTTGATTTCTCAGACTTCCTGCATGCCCTCGTACAAAAAAATTACTAAGGCTTTCAACTTTTACTGCATGTCTTTAATCCTTCCTTTCCTTTCCAACTGTGCTTCTGTTTCACAAGTCCAGCTTTCCCTGGCTCTAGTCTTCTTTCATTCACACATGTCTTCTGTGTTGCTGCCAAAGTGTTATCTGAAAACACAATCTGACAATCATACTTCCCTACTTAAAATCTTTTGATACACATGCACACAAACACACACACACACACACACACACACACTCCCTCTCTCTCTCTCTCAGCACTCTCACACACCTTTCAGACAATTTCCTAAAGCCCTAAAACAATCATACAATGACTTTTATAATCTGACTCTGACCTGTCCAGCCTTATCATTTATCGTTCCTTGCCTCATACTTCATCATGAGTTGGAATCTAACTGACTTGAATCCTCATGCCAACCCAGGCTAGTCTCACTTTTGTGTTTGCTGATGTTGTATCTTCTGTTTGGAATGCAGGTTCTTGGTGGCCAAAAAAGTCAGCCAAGTGGGTTTTGATAATTTCCAACTTAGTTTACATTCTCCTATCAGGGGAAGCTTTCCTTAACTATCTGCCTGATTAGTGAGTCTCTGCTACAAGCTCTCTGAAGATATAGTCCATAACTAACTTCTCTGTATTCCTTAAATCAACGGCCCACCACCATATCCCATTGGAAAAATGTAGGAGGATTTTCAGTTGCCATAATGACTAGGAGGTGCTACATGTGTTAAAGTAAATGGCCAGGGGAGGGGATCCTACATCTTGCATTGGTTGCGATAATCCCACAAATGGAAGAGCTGTCCTGCTCAAACTGCCAATAATACTTCCCGTATGAAATTCTGCATTATTCACATCATGAAGACAATCTATCTCAAGGGCTCAGAAGTAACTGGGTTTCACCATAGACTTGCCACGCTGGATCTCAAATAAGATGATCTTAGGCATGCATATGTTTAAACAGGTTCCCCGTAACTTTGATATTCATTTCTGCTTAAAAGCCACCATTATAGCCCTTTGTTTTTCCCTTTACCCTGGCTGACAGGAAGCTCAGACTTAGTTTCCAAGAGGACCAGTATCTCCACCCTCCTTTTGGGAGATATATTTATTCTTCAAGTCCCATATAGATTTATGAAGAGAAATCTATAGACAGCCTTCTAACGGCCATATCCAAACCTTAATGTTTATTCTGTGTCAACACTGTATTTTGAATATGCTCACGGTAAAATTGCTAAGTAATAACATTAAGTACAATTAATTTTATTAAGAAATTGAGTGAGGATATTCATTGGGCCCACTATTGCTTCTCAGAGGTTTACTAACAGAAATGAAGTGATTTGATTTTGAGCATTTCAGGGGATGAACTGCTTCATTTTCTGACTGAGAGGTAGGCAGAGGCAATGGAAGAGCAGCAGGAGCAGAAGACTCAGAATGGCCATTAGAACTTTTGGATATTTCCCCTATTAGGCTTACAGAAGAGGCCACAGAGGGGTCCTGTAGCAGGAGTTGAATAACTGGAGGATGAGCCAAATCTGACTCACACACAGCTTGTTTTTGTAAATAAAGTTTTATTGGAATATACTTACTGGCCTGTAGGTACTATCTATGGCTCCTTTTGTGCTACAGCAGAAGTCAAGTCGTTACAACAGAGACCTTATAGCCTGCAAGGCCTAAAATATTTACTATCTGGCCCTTGAAAGAAAAGGTTTGCCAACTCCTGCTCCTAAACAATAGTTTTCGGCCAAAAGCCAATAGGTAACTAAGTGTTCAACATAGCACTCCTATGTTTTATTTAGCCGTGTTAGTACATTAAAATGAATTATCAGCTACCATCACCAGAATAAAATTCCAAAACATGGGATAGTTTTTTCCATGAGTGTTGTAACCTCAAACTGCAATTTTCACCATGGACTGCCAAAAATGTCCTCATCTTCTGGGAATACTTTATGATTTATTTTGTAGAAAAGCATTTATGAACCAGCCATTAATTCCTAAGCAATAATTATTTATGTGACAAAATTGCCTTTCCCTATTTGTGTAAGTTGGTTAGTATGTCTTTATCACATTCTCTCCAATTTTCAGTCATGTTTTGCTACATTTTCAGACAACCTTATTATTGTGGTATTACCCACTAACCATTGGTAATTCACATTTTTAAATTGCTCTGTGTTGCTTATGGACTGCCATTACAGCCCATACTGCAGGCCAGTTATTGAGTCCTAATAGTGATACTAACATACCCACATGTAGACTTCATTTGGTTATATTATTGTCTGTGCACATACCCATAACAATGTAGGTTGGAATAAGTTAACTTTCAGAGAAGCAATGGGCATGCTTTTCATTTTACATAATGAATATTTAAATTTCTCCTATGTAAAAATCTGGTATTGGCACATATGATGAATTCTGAAGATTTAATAACTATGAATACATTGTCTCCCATTGAAAAGTGGCTGAAAGGAGTTGCATATTCATATTTGCTAATTGTTGTATTCCAGATGCTACAACAATGCTTGGCATATAGGGATCCCATATAAATACATGTTGAATGATAGTTGAATTAAAAAACTATGCATTTTCATTTTATAACTTTTTCAAATAAGACAGGGAAACAAAGTGGCTAAATACTCATATTTAATGAATGAATTTTTCATATTCTCTTCTTGGGCTTTATTTAGGTCTTTAGTGAAACTGTTGCCCATTCAAAATCAACCTGTGGTAAAGCAACTCTGCATGGTGACCTTGAGGAGCAATGAACTGGAGGGATGCGGAAACTTGTTTAATTATTTTGTTAGTATAAATTATCAGACATAATATTCCTGACCAAACACTTTCATTTCATTGCTTTTGATGCCAGATTTTACATCTTAGTTGTGACTTCTTGGAGAATGAAGATCACTTTTCAGGAATCTGATAAAAATCAACAGACTTCTAAAAAGTAATAATAACTTTCTTTAAACTTTGAAATGAGAATCTCATAAAAGAGAGAATAAAAATTTATTATTGTTCCATTTGAACTTCATATTTCTTGGGTTAATATTATCCAACTATACATCTAAAAATCCATCAAATTTTCAAATCTCTCTGCTTGCTCAAACCCTCACTCCCAGTTCTGCTGGAACACTCTGTCTCAGCCCAAAATTGTTATTTTCTTTCCAGTGGCCTTGCCTTCAGGAAAATACTCCCTTTCTTTCAGTTGTATTCTGTGCATTTCTATATTGGGTTCATTTAAATCAGAATTAAGCTATCTTGTCTGAACTTAACCAAGAAAACAGTTTTGAGGCTTATAAGAACTTTCATGTATATGGAAAATGTACTTCTGTGAAATACGTTATACCTTCATGAGGTGCAAATTGTTGTTTATTTTTATCCTTTGGTTAAATCTTTCTATTTCCCTTAAACTACATTTGGGGCTATATATTGGAACATTTTTAAGTGCAAGTAAAATGAAATACATCATTAATTTTGAAACTAAGTTTTAAGCAGATTCTTTCAAAGTAATGACACCAGTGTAAGCATTAACAGAAAATGCGGAACAACTTAAATACTACAGGTTTGTCAAAGATCAAATGGTTGTAGATGTGGTGTTATTTCTGAGGCCTCTGTTCTGTACCATTGGTCTATATATCTGTTTTGGTACCAGTACCATGCGGTTTTGGTTACTGTAGCCTTGTAGTATAGTTTGAAGTCAGGTAGCGTGATGCCTCCAGCTTTGTTCTTTTTGCTTAGGATTGTCTTGGCTATATGGGCTCTTATTTTGGTTCCATATGAAATATAAAGTAGTTTTTTTTGTTTTTGTTTTTGTTTTTTTTAATTCTGTGAAGAAAGTCAGTGGTAGCTTGATGGGGATAGCATTCAATCTGTAAATTACTTTGGCCAGTATGGCCATTTTCATGATATTGATTCTTCTTATCCATGAGCATGGAATCTTTTTTTTTCATTTGTTTGTGTCCTCTCTTATTTCCTAGAGCAGTGGTTTGTAGTTCTCCTTGAAGAGGTCCTTCACATCCCTTGTAAGTTGTATTCCTAGTTATTTTATTGTCTTTGTAGCAATTGTGAATGGGAGTTTGCTCATGATTTGGCTCTCTGTTTGTCTACTGTTGGTGTATAGGAATGCTTGTGATTTTTGCACATTGATTTTGTATCCTGAGACTTTAGTGAAGTTGCTTATCAGCTTAAGGAGTTTTTGGGCTGAGACCATGGGGTTTTCTAAATATGTTGTCTCCAAACAGAGATAATTTGACTTCCTCTCTTCCTATTTGAATATGCTTTATTTCTCTCTCTTGCCTGATTGCCCTGTCCAGAACTTCCAATACTATGTTGAATAGGAGTGGTGAGAAAGGGCTTCCTGAACTTGTGCTGATTTTCAAAGGAAATGCTTTCAGCTTTTGCCCATTCATTATGATATTGGCTGTGGGTTTGTCATAAATAGCTTTTATTATTTTGAGATATGGTCCATCAATACATAGTTTAATGAGACTTTTTAGGATGAAGGGGTGTTGAATTTTATTGAAGGCCTTTTCTGCATCTTTTGAGATAATCATGTGGTTTTTGTCATTGATTCTGTTTATGTGATGGATTATGTTTATTGATTTGCATATGCTGAACCAGCCTTGCATCCCTGGTATGAAGCTGACTTGATCGTGGTGGATAAGCTTTTTAATGTGCTGCTGGATTCAGTTTGCCAGTATTTTATTGAGGATTTCCGCATTGATGTTCGTCAAGAATATTGGCCTGGAATTTTCTTTTTTGTTGTTGTGTCTCTGCTAGGTTTTCGTATCAGGATGATGCTGGCCTCATAAAACGAGTTAGGGAGGATTCCCTCTTTTTCTATTGTTTGGAATAGTTTCAGAAGGAATGGTACCAGCTCCTCTTTGTACCTCTGGTAGAATTCAGCTGTGAATCCATCTGGTCTTGGGCTTTTTTTTGGTTTGTAGGATAATTACTGCCTCAATTTCAGAACTTGTTATTGGTCTATTCAGTGATTCAACTTCTTCCTGGTTTAGTCTTGGGAGGGTGTATGTGTCGAGGAATTTACCCATTTCTTCTAGATTTTCTAGTTTATTTGCGTACAGGTGTTTATTGTATTCTCTGATGGTAGTTTGTATTTCTGTGGGATCAGTGGTGATCCCCCCTTTATCATATTTTATTGTGTCTATTTGATTGTTCTCTCTTTTCTTCTTTATAGTCTGGCTAGCAGTCTATTTTGTTAATATTTTCAAAAAACCATCTCCTGGATTTATTTATTTATTTTTATTTATTTATTTATTTATTTATTTATTTATTTTATTTTATTTTATTTATTTTGAGCTCACTGCAACCTCCGCCTCCCAGGTTCAAGAGATTCCTCTGCCAAAGCCTCCTGAGTAGCTGGGATTACAGGCATGTGCCACCATGCCCAGCTAATTTTATATTTCTAGTAGAGATGGAGTTTCTCCATGTTGGTCATGCTGGTCTCAACCTCAGGTGAGGTGGTCCTGACCTCAGGTGATCCGCCTGCCTCAGACTCCCAAAGTGCTGGGATTACAGGCGTGAGCCACCACACCAGGTCTGATTCTTTGCTTTTTTGAAGGGTTTTTCGTGTCTCTGTCTCTTTCAGTTTTGCTCTGATCTTAGTTATGTCTTGTCCTCTGCTAGCTTTTGAATTTGTTTGCTCTTGCTTCTCTAGTTCTTTATATCTTTCCTGCTTTCTCCTGTGGGCATTTAGTGCTATAAATCTCCCTCTGAACACTGCTTTAGCTGTGTCCCAGAGATTCTGCTATCCCTCCCCTTGTTCCCAAACCCCCCGACAGGGATAGCATTAGGAGAAATACCTAACGTAGATGGCGGGTTGATAGGTGCAGCAAACCACCATGGCACATATATACCTATGTAACAAACCTGCACTTTCTGCACATTTATCCCAGAACTTAAAGTATAATAAATAAATAAATACATAAATACTGCAAAAACGCATGTAGCTGTCTTTTCTGTTTTGCATTCTTAAAACATTGTTAATTCCAATTTCTGTATTATACATTTCTGATTCACTGAATATGAAAACTCATACTAAAGCATAGTCAATTGGCTGTGATTTAGCCCATTGATGTAATGAGAATGGGTGCAGAAGAGAAATAGGAAGAAAATAATTACTGAAATACAGAATTTTGGCAGGATTGATAACAACTGATGTATACCAGAAAGAAAGTGAAAGATGAAATTCTACTGGACCAAAATAATCCTCTCGTTTTCTTAAGTGAAGAATGGAATATATCTCTAAAGTAACACCAGTAACAGTGGATATTCATTGTGGATTACTCAATAATTTTGATGCTTCCACAGTCTGAGGATATGAAGCTGTTTGCTTGGAACCTGGAGGGAAACAAAACACAAGAAAGATATGCATATATGATAAACTCTGTTGCCCTTCCAGTTGGGGACACCGTTAACTAATTAACTCTGCTCTTGTAACTGGCCAGCTGCTAGCCAGAGGCATGAGGGATGGTTTAATTTACTTTAAGAAGATAAAGCGTAGAATGAATTTGATCATGGTGATGCAGAAAGCAGTAATCAATCCTAAGGTAAGAAGGGAAAGAAATAATTTCTCATGTTTAAATGTGGGTAATTATTTAAGTACTCTGAGTTATCCGATCTATAATTCTCTATTAAGAGTCTTTCTGCTGAGCCTAAGTTATTACAATCTTCAAAGCATTATAGTTTGGACTGTATAATTCCATAGGAATTAAGTAATACAGAAAGAGGAAGACAATTAATGAATTTTTAGGGTGAATGATGGGTAAGAATAAATCCACGGCAAACATTTGTCTCACTGACATATGTATTTCAATGGATTCACTTTTAGATCGTTATTATTTGTCCATCCTAATTGATGATAGTCCAGTTGGGGCTTAAGGGATTTTACAATAATAATTATGATTCATCTGGCACTCTAGTAAACTTTTTCAATAAACTTTTCATACCATTTGAAATATGGAGTAGTTAATATATGCTTTCTTCGAGGAAATGCAAATAGTACATTCATTCATCTCCACATATAGGCTAAATTGATAGAACAGACATTCTGGAAAGGTAAAGATAGATTTTAAAATATATTAAATATGCTGTATTACTAAAAATACCTTCTACTTTAACATGAGATTTTCTAAAATAATAATGTATGTTAGAAAATACTATTTTCTAGTATAGTACAGTATGTTAAAAATAGTACGTAGTAGAGAGATATTTTATAAGTACTGGGGCAATAGGTGTGGTACTTACTCAATTTAAATGCAGTCACAAATATAAATGTATCTGCATGTGTGTGTTTATTGACCTGTCGAAACGTGTGTGTATATATGTGTGTGTATGTGTGTGTGTGTGTGTGTGTATATTTTTTCATAAATATTTGTGAGTAAAGGATTGAGAGGATATATGAAAATTAAAGGAGATCAAGAGGAAGAGAAAAATTATGTTTCAAAGATTACTTGAAAGGAAATATTTGAAGCAATAAACATTGATAATAAAAGACATTGACAGGTACAATGAATAATTTGTAGATATGGTTTTAGGTGAAAATCATTTTGGGGGAATACATTTAACATACACATAACATACACATGGCATGACTGAAAAGACATGAGATTTGAAAACAGACGTAGTTTTGTTTGTGTTTTTTCAGCCCCACTACTTTATGCTGATTGATTAGACAAGTTACTTAAATTTTTGGCCCCAGAAATCATTGGCAAAAGGGGATTAATAACACCTATCTTTTAGCATTGTTGTGTAGATTCAACTGCAAAGAATATATAAGGATATAGACAGATATTCAATAAATGGTGGTCATTTCCAAGGATAAAACCTTGTATTTAAGTAATTAAGTTGTATAAAAATCATATGATTTTTAAGACTACTGAAACTAGTAGCTTCATACTTTAAGAAGTTTTTGAGTTTTGCATAGTTTTAACAAGGAGTATGCCACCAAAAAAAAATTTCCCATATTTCTGATCTTAATCTGATTTTTCTACTTTCTTACTCCTAAAATGTATAGCTACATCTGACATGAGTCTCCATATTAGATAACCTCATGGTTATATATTAGTTTCTTTTTAAGATTTTGTATAAAAATTCAGTTATCATATTTCCCTTAAACTACCGCACATAGCGTTACTTGCAGAATTTTTGGTTTGGCCTGCATTCCCATTTCCATTCCCCTTAGGGAGCATACTACCAGAGAAACTAAATAATAACCATGATTCTCATATTTTTCACAGGTTAGAAATAAATATTACAGCAGTTTCTGTGAAAAAAATTTACAAGTCTGAAATGATGTGACTTTTCATCCACTTGATTTCACAATTTACCAATTGCCTTACATTACTAGAGTCCTTTCTAGAAGTTATATGAAGCCAATAGGACAGCAGTGGACAGCAGGCTGTGGCTTAACATGGGGCTTTTCCTTCTGTGCCCGAAATCTTTGTAAAATTATGTTAGCAGTGTGAAGGGGGTGGATAGTTTCATACCATTAGGATTTTTTTTTTTTTACATATGAAAATGAGAGAAAGGTAAAAGACCTATACAACCAAATCCAAATGTTGATTTTCTTATTAACAATTTCAAGACAAAGTAATCATTATGAATTCAAGAATGAAAAAGTATCGTTATTTGCTCCAGACAAGAGAAAAGAGAAAGGGAAGAGAAATACCACTCCATGCAAATTATCTGTCTGGTTTCTTTCACATCAGTGTCTGTCATAATCAGGAGTCATAAGCTTTTGGATATGCGGAAATGAATTTATTAGTGGATACTCTCCTTCTTTTCAACTCTCCAGATATGGAACATACTGACCCTTCTTTCTTTTCCATTATCTTCTCTCTGGAGAAGTTACAGCTATGTATGTATGTCCACATGCTTATGACCTAAATATTCAATAATTGAAACCCTGTATGCAAGTCTGGCATGACTCTCTTCTTTGCAGATTTGGCTTTTATAATTGAGACAAAATGACACATGCCTGTACTCATTTCTATATTAGTTTGGCATTGTTTCTGCCTGTTGTTGGCTTTATTAAAGGCCTTTCCTGTGGCAGTCTCCTCTTTTGTTTCCCCATGAAGCCGGTGCTCATTTCAACTCGCAGGGTGTGCTCAGCAGCTGCCAGACCAGATGCTCCACTGCTGGATATTTTGTCTGATTTGAGTCTAGGGACATGGTCAAACTACTCTGGAAATATTTAGTTTATCCAGATGCTGCAACCTTCAGCTAGCTGTCAGTTGTGACAAATTTGTTCCATTCTTAATGCTGCAGATACTATAATGTGCAAATACTTTTCAGACTCATAAATTTTGAAATTTTATGCTTTTCTCCTTTATTTTCTACTTTATTTTCTGCTTTTATATTAAATAATTCCTTTATCATACTTAATTTTGAACTGGTTTTTCTAATTTCTTAAAATGAGAATTAAGTTCCTATGTAAACTATACGTGAACTAAACTATAAACATAGGTTCCACTGTGTTCCAAAAGTTTCATTGTTACATATTTTACTTTTCATTGCATTCTAGATGCTGTTGATTTGCTCTGTGATACAAAGTTATTTGAGAATCAGTTAATTTTGTTCATTATTTTATTATTAATTTCTAATTGGATATGTTAAATAGATAAATAATATGGTCAATAAGAATCTAGTTATACTTTTTACAAGGTTCCCCTTGTGGCCACATGTATAGAATATTTTGTAAAATGCTTACATGGTGTGTGTGTGTGTGTTTGTGTATGTGTGTGTGTGTGTGTGTGTATGTGTATGTGTGTGTATGTGTTCTCCAAGGAACGTAATTCTCTCTCTAACTGAACTTTATTATTAAACTGTTAAATTCCTGTATGTTCTTACAATTTTTGACTTTCAGAATTTGTCCAATTCTGAAAGATGTACATCTCTTGTGTAATGCTATTTATGAATTCTATCATGAATGTCAAATACATGTTTACTTTGCCTTTAGGTTTGTTTAGTGCTTTCAGGTTTATGGCACATTCTTTATCTTTTTCTTTTTCTTTTTTTTTGTTTTGAGACAGAGTTTTGCTCTTGTTGTCCAGGCTGGAGTGCAATGGCACAATCTCGGCTCACCGCAACCTCCACCTCCTCGGTTCAAGTGATTCTCCTGCCTCAGCCTCCCGAGTAGCTGGGATTACAGGCATGCACCACCACGCCCGGCTAATTTTGTATTTTTAGTAGAGACAGGGTTTCTCCATGTTGGTCAGGCTGGTATCAAACTCCTGACCTCAGGTGATCCACCTGCCTCGGCCTCCCAAAGTGCTGGGATTACAGGCGTGAGCCACCGCACCTGGCGTATTTATTTCTTTAATGTTTATTCATTACATAATATATACCTTCCATCTTTATTGCTTCTAGTTTAACATTTTTATATGAATTTGTTTCTCTGCCTTTAATTTGCTGGCGTCTATTTGCTTATTTTCACAAATCCTTAATTTTTTTAAGATTTTTTTGATAAAAAACATATTGCTAGGATTTCATTCTCTTTATATCCAATTCAAACATCTTTGATTTCAATACAATAATTTATCTATTTTCTTTTAGTGTAAAAATGTATATGTTTTATTTTTCTTCCAGCTTACTCAATGTTCATTAAAATATTTACCTCATGATTTTGGGGTTTTCTTCTATTTTCTGATTTTATGTGCCCATCCAACATTATTACACACACTTTTTTATTTTCTTAAACATTTTGAGATCCTTTGGTAAAAAGTACATTGCTACATTAATGATGAAAATGATGCTATTTTACATATTCCTTTTTCAAAGTATTATTTTATATTATCTCATTTATCTTATTTATTTTACCTATATAAGGCAAATACCATTAGAAAAATGTACTTAGATAAAACTACTACCGAGTGCCAGGGTGACTTATGAATTCCTTCACAGGTGGACATTCCTCCTACACAAACTCTTATCTTCTGAAAAAGAATCCATACTCATTTTGTCTCCAGACACCTCCAATGATCTGAGTCTCTGTTCTTATATAAAAATCCAAAGCGGCCAGACGCGGTGGCTCGTGCCTGTAATCCCAGCACTTTGGGAGGCTGAGGCGGGCAGATCATGAGGTAGGCGGATCACGAGTTCAGGAGATCCAGACCATCTTGGCCAGCATGGTGAAACCCCATCTTTGCTTAAAATACAAACAAACAAACAAACAAATAAAAATTAGCCAGGCGTGGTGGTGCATGCCTGTAGTCCTAGCTACTAGGGAGGCTGAGGCAGGAGGATCGCTTGAACCCTGGAGGAGGAGGTTGCAGTGAGCCAAGGTCATGCCACTGCACTCCAACCTGGAAGTCCAGAACTTCTTAGAGATACTCTATAGGACTATTCTAGAATCATTACTCCTTAATCCAAGTTTGTATCCATGGAACATTCTTACTGAAAATGAAGCCATTGCATATGGAACCTACAGATTTCTCAGACTTGTGGTAGGCCCACTGTGATCTCAATCTGAATCCTCATGTACAAGAATTGGAAATGCAAAGACAGGAAGATTTGCTCGCTCTTTGCCCAATAGTATACTCTTAATTCCTGTTAAGGTTATTTTTCCATTTTAAAATTTGTTTAAAACCAGTATTCTATTGTCACTATGAAGAGATCTGTAACCATAGAAAAATCACAGCCCCTCCCAGGGTGACAATTTATTAAATTAAAAAAATATACAAATAAGAAAAATAATGAGTAATCTTAAAAATCCCCTGGAGTAGTTGTGACAATTAAATAAGTCAAGGACTTTGGAATAAAAAAGGACTTTGGAAAAGTCCTTTTTGAAAGTACTAGTTCAATTAGAAAAATAAATTATAGTGAAATATAATAGTATTTCTATACCTGTTTAAATTTTTAAATGTTAACGTATGTTATGTATGGGGCAG
The DNA here is from genome assembly GCF_000001405.40 of Homo sapiens. Classification (NCBI taxonomy): domain Eukaryota; kingdom Metazoa; phylum Chordata; class Mammalia; order Primates; family Hominidae; genus Homo; species Homo sapiens. The sequence goes on from NC_000003.12 coordinate 175,307,404, forward strand.
TCCTAGTAAGTATACGTATAGAAATTGAGAGTAATAAAAATAAAGGTGTCTGGAATATTCTTGTACCCTTGAACATTTGGAGACATAAATATGAAACATGCAATCAGCTGTGAACATTTGAAAATAGAATCAAATTACCAAAGATTCAGAAGCATATATTTCTTTAACACTGTAAGCATTTTTTGTCTTTGTCTATGAGCAATTCAATTATTTTCTTTCTGAAATAAATTAAGTAAAGCTTATTGAGTCTGATCAGCCCTTGTTTCCAGGGAATTGCAGTTCAATTTCATTTTTAATTAGAATTGAACATTGTGGATTTCTTAGCACTGGTAAGCAAGATCTAGCAACAAAGTATGTACTTAATTTGTATTAAGTTTCTGAAATTTAGTGTAAAGAGTGAGTAATATGTCTGGTTAATATTTAAACACCTCACAATGTTCTGTTGTAGAAGTTTCCATTTATAAAAGCTGCTGTCCTGTAACAAATTACTTTCACTTTCAAATAAACCTGTTATCACAACATGAGCAAAACTTATTCAATTAAAGCAGAAAACAAAGTAAAGTAATTATTTACTCCCACTTGATGTGCACAGTAACTTGTAAAGATTCTACAAATGCCTATGAGAGGTAGATATGCTGGCTTAAACATCATTTTTGCTTAAATATTATTGTTTTAATCAAGTTTAGATGTATTCATGTGGGATAGACATTTTTACAGAGAAAACCATTTTTTTTATGAAAGAAGAGAGACATAATTTCCATTGTGATAAACCCACATGGAAAGAAGCTGTGAACCGTAAGATCAGTTGTGCTGACTTTTTATCTTTCAGCTTTTCACACCTGTTTCTGTTTTGTGTCTTGTTTGCTCAATATCTCTCTAATGTTGTTCATCACATTGGGGATACTTGAGAGCTGTACGTCTAAGTATCTGTTTTCATCATTTCTTTGCACTCAGACGTTAAACTGCGTATGTTCTCTTCCTAGCATCCTGTCTTAATACAGTACCAAAGCAATGGAAAGGAGGTAGGGGGTTGCGTGGCAGGGGACTGGCGGTAGATGCCTAAGTCACCTGGGATATAGTCCACTGAAATAATACTCGGAACTAGAAACCCTTAGATGTCTGTGATGAAAAATGTAGCATGTTGGTTTAACAGTGAATGTCTTGTTCAAAAGGTAAATTAGAGCCAGGATGGGCTTTTGTTATCTCATCTCTTTAAATAATATCTAGGATTTGAATGACAATATACATGTGGGCAATTTATTTATTCACCCCAGATGGAATAGGGATGCCTTTCTGGACTAGGGAAGTGGAATCTCTAACTTTGACCTCTGATGGGTTTGTACTGTTAAAAGAGTTTATCAATTTCTACCAGACAGGATTGCAAAGGCAACTGGTAATCTATAAACTATACAGACAAGTGACATGCACTCTGACCCTTCTTTGCCAACTATAAATCTTTCTAATTAGTGAAATTCTTTCTGTTCTTAATTGAATTCTGTACATGAACTAGGCATCCAATTTGCTCCCCTATAAAAGAAGCTAGCAATAATTCATGGTCATGTATATGAATCCTTGAGCATGCCCAGGAGTGAAAATATCCCTTAGCTGTTTGTATCTGTACTCATCCTGTATAATTATACAATTAAATACATTAATTTCAAGAGGGGTTGAGAAATTACATCTCTGTGAAATAGATCCCTTCTTTTTAATGAAGAAAAATGAATAATAAAGTAACAAATTTATTTCCCTGATTGGTAAGGAAAATGTAATAAATCATGTATCTTTTTTTTTCTTTTTTTGAGACGGAGTTTCACTCTTGTCATCCAGGCCGGTGTGGAATGGCACGATCTCAACTCACTGTAACCTCTACCTCCCGGGTTCAAGTGATTCTCCTCCCTCAGCCTCCTGAGTAACTGGGATTACAGGCACCCACCACCATGCCCAGCTAATTTTTGTATTTTTAGTAGAGACAGGGTTTCACCATGTTGGCCAGGCTGGTCTCAAACTCCTGACCTCAGGTGATCCGCCTGCCTTGGCCTACCAAAGTTCTGGGATTACAGGCATGAGCCACTGTGCCCAGCCCATTATCCTATTTTTAAAAGACAAGCAATAAATTATAAAATTGTAGAAAAAAAAACGTGGTTTAAAAAAATTATAGAAGAACTAGAAGACCTTAAAGAAACTTTTGTTTTTCAGGATAACTGTTTTTTTTTTCAGCTTCCCTGACACTACTCCCCACCCTAGACAAATGCAAAGAAATCACATAACCTAAATTCTCAATCTGGTTTCCCTCTTTCTCTTCTTTATCATAACCACCAAAATAAATAAATTGATTAATAATAAAATAAGGAGGAAAAAATAATTTGCATATTACGTAGCATTTTACGTTTCTGAAAATCCTTCAGATATATTACCTCCTTTGAATCTGCTAGTCATTTTCTGTATTTGGCAGGGCAGATGTCATCCCTTTTTATGAATGAACTTCAGAGCTTTTCAGTGTCATGCCCAGCATGTCTCTCTTAATTGCTGGTTCAGGACAAGACCCTTACTCTCAGTCCAGTGTTTTTTCATCTGCTAATGTTGCTGGCAGGCCAAACAACAGAAAAACAAGTAGACAAATTCAAATGTACTACTAGTAGCTTATAATATCATACGGAACTTGCAAGCAGTGTAAGATTTGAAGTTTTTATGATAAAATTTCCAAAGTGATTTGACATATACCTTTAATGATAATACTCATTTGCTTTTTTTCCAAATACATTCTTTTTATACCCACCAGCCTTGGAGGAGAATTACATATAAACATTTATTTAAAGCAAATAATGCCAAAATAAATGACTTTATTGTTTTCTTTATCTTCATAGGATGATTCATAATGCTATAAATTACAAAGTCATTGAACATCAAATATACATTTAGTCACCATTTTTTTTTCTTTTATATATAAGAAAATTGGAAGCTCCATTTAGTATTTCAGTTATAAAGACAATTTTGAAGGCAGTAGAAATAGAAGAATGTTGATTCTTATACACATTGACGTATCAGAAAATGATGTATGTCACTAAACCTAACCAATAGCTAATCTCTGATATTTTATTACCTTTAGAGATATTTTATACTTATTAGTTATTATCTGTAAGTTTCTCCCCATTTATTATGGCTTTATTATATATACTCTTAGTTAAGAATATTGGTAGCTTAATAAAAAATTTAAATATAGTAAATTTTCACAGACTAAATGATGAAGAGCTCTATACTTTTTATTTGAGCTTGCTTACTCAATGAAAAAAAAATCTATAATCCCAGAGGTTCATGCATGTCACTATGGTCATTTTTTATCTCCTCACCCCCATCTCTTCCTCTCTGTCTCATACGATTACATATATAAGCACTAAAAATAAATAGTAAGTTGGTAAATCAGAAGCCTACTGTCTTTATGATTTAATATCAAACATATAGTACTAATATTATTTTCTGTTCCTTTTGAATATAATCTGTTTGGTTCAAAAGAAGCAGCATGTCTACAGATGAAAAAAAAAAGTGCATGCAGTTGATAATATTAACAATATATTTACTAATAAGGTTTGTATGTTTCCCCCGCAATATTGGCTGTGAGGAGTGGAATCACCTTAGAAAACTTATTAAAGATGAATGCTCTTTATTCTTTTCACTTCATAAACCACCGTAACAGGAGTTTATAAGCACCTTAACTGTGCCACTGTGTTTTCAGTTCCTCGGATACTTCTTTCTGAAAATAAAAGAAATGAGGAAAATACTTTCTGGTCCCCACTCTGGAACTATATACTCAATCTAGAACATGGATTTTTTTTTTTTTTTTAAGGCTGGGCTTCTTCCATGCCACAACCATTGCAAAAATTGTCAAATAACATTATATGAATTTAAAAAAGAAATCTATAAAGTCACATTATTATTTTCCATTACTTGGAAGCAATGTGGCTTACTGGGAGAAAAGTACAGGAAAATACCTTATGAAGACACATTTCTGTCTATTCATTTCCAGTCCGAAATATATTAACTGTGTGGTCTTGATCTTGTGATCCTGACATCATGGTTGCTTTATTTGTAAAATAAGAATAATTCCACAGTTTTATTTTGAGGCCACAATGGGAAATTAGTTTAAGGTGGAATCAGTATATCTTATGAAACAGGAAATGCTCCCTTCCCTCCTCCCTTACCCACCCTCTTTCCTTCCTTCTTCCCTCCCTCCCTTTATCCCTTCCTCTCTCCCTCCCTCCCTTCTTTCCTTCCTTTCCTGCTTCCTTCCTTCCTTCCTTCCTCTCTCCCTCCCTCCTTCCTTCCTTCCTTCTTTCCTCCCTCCCTTCTTCCTTCCTGAATTATGATAAAAGCTGAAGATTATATTCAGAACTCTGCAGCAGCCCTAACTTTCTAAATAACTTCAAGTATTTTTTTCCTTTACAAAAGCAGGAGGTCATTGCTTCTTATTAATCTTGCTAGAATTATTTAAATAACTTCAGATACATCAAGTAAAGCAATTTGAAATCCTAATTAAAGGTGTTCAGTGAATTTGAAGAAGAATGATGTGATTATGCCTTGGATATACTCAGTCTGATTACAGTGAATTTTCCTAATCATAATAGTCTTTTTTTAAAACTAACAAAGAAAAATGAGTATATTTCTGAAATATAACAGAGACACTGGAATCTTACAAGAATTTTTAGTGGCATTCTTACAACACAATACATAAGTAAGGGGCCAGATGGCAAACCTATTAATAGAAAAACCATCTGAAAAAGAAAGGATAACGTAATATTTGAGCTTCGGAAGTAAAAATATCTGCCTAAGAAGTGATTATATATTACGTGTCCAGTATTTTTATTTTTCACATATGCTAGACCTATTTAATTTGAATAAATAAGAATGTACTATGAGATGTCAGGTTCATGTTTTTTTAAGTTTATTTTTTATGTTACTATACGTATGAAATTTTAATCTAAAATGTCCCAATCTATTGTTTCTATGTACATTAATCCCCATGACAGGGCTTTGCAAAAATCCAGTTCTTTTTTTTTTTTAACCATCTAAATAAACAGGCATATAACTCTCATAGTATTGATTTCAGTGTCTTCTTAGAAAGCAGATCACTGTAAGAAGCATTTGATGTGTTTTATAAATTCACCCTTTAGCCAGTCTGTTTGTAAAGGATGGACGTATAATTGAGAGGAAAGGCATACTTCAGTGAAAAGATTACGAGACTTGAATTCAGAAAACTCAAGTTTGATTCCTGCCATTACCACTTACTAGCTCTGACCCTGGGCCATTCCCTTAACCTTCATGAAGCACAATTTCAGTGACTGGATAAAGAGAATTATAGTAACTTATATCAAATGATCTGAGTAAAAATCAACAAATAAGAGATAGTGCCTGGCACATGGGAAATATACAGTTAAGTACTTGATAATTTGACCTAAAGTTGACTCAAAGATCCAGATCGTAATCACAATAATGTTCCTAAGTCTTTGTATAGTTTGGCACATATTTGCCTTATGTGGATTTATTAGTTTGCTAGGGCTGCCATAGTAAAATACCATAGACTGGGCGGCTTAAACTACGAAAAATTATTTTCTCACAGTTTGGAGTCAAGAAGTCCAAGATCAAAGGCTGATAGGTTTGGTTTCTCCTAAGGCCTTTCTCCTAGGCTCAGTGTGTCCTCATATGGCCTTTTTATTCTGTGCACATGCATTTCTGGTATCTCTTCTTTTGCTTCTGAGTACCTGAGTCATATTGCATTAGGGCCCACCCATTCGACCTCATTTAACCTTAATTACTTCTTTAAAGGTCCTATTTCCAAATATAGTCACATTCTGAAGTATACTAGATGTCAGGACTTCAACATATGCATTTTGAGGGAACACAATTCAGTCCATAACAGTGAGACTTAAATTTTTCTGTAAAACTAAGGTCTTATTTTTGTTACTCTTCTTATCTACATGAAGATTCAGAAAGCTTTTCTAGCTATAGAGGCCAGGTGGACATTCCTTGTGCTGGACCAATGTTTTGAAGGAGCTAAATGATGGAAATAATACAAGCTTTTCCGTTTGGTTCTTGATATCCAAGTGGTAGTTCAGGATGCCATATATTCTGACCAGCAAAAGTAAAAAGATCGGGATTACATTTTACTGGCTCAAAAGGGTGAGAAGGCAATTTAGGAGCATCTGTGAATGGACGAAATCCTACCTGTGGAATTCAACTACTATTCCCTTGCTAGACACTGTGAATAAGTAGACTGCCCAAATGGCAATAACAGCATCCTCCTTCCGAGCGAGAAAATATGTTTTGGTTAAAAGTAACAATAGAAGTTAATAAGAAGAGAAGTTGGATAGCAGGAATCAGAAAAGTGGTCCGGGCATGGTGGCTCACACCTGTAATCCCAGCACTTTGGGAGGCCTAGGCAGGTGGATCACGAGGTCAGGAGATCAAGACCATCTTGGCCAACATGGTAAAACCATGTCTCTACTAAAAATAAAAAACTAGCTGGGAGTGGTGGTGCGCGCCTGTAGTCCCAGCTACTCAGGAGGCTGAGGCAGGAGAATTGCTTGAACCCGGGAGGCGGAGGCTGCAGTGAGTCAATATTGTGCTAATATTGTGCCACTGCACTCCAGCCTGGGCAACAGAGTGAGACTCCATCTCAAAAAAAAAAAAAAAAAAGAAAAGTGAAAAGTGTCCTTTCTCTCTTACCTTCTCTGGCATTAATTTTCCTTGAATAATAAAATGTTACTGCCGTGTCCTGCCCATATATTGCTAGTACCATGTATTTCAGAGCTGATTATTTGGCAATTGATAGGACCTATAGGTTTATGTACTATACATCAAAAGAATGTCTTAGTATGGTGCCCTGCAAGAAATATGGAATCAGCCACCTTGCAGTTGGCCAAAAATATTTTATTTATAAAAATATGTCAGCAAGATAAAATTACACATTCAAACTTCGTTGGGCTAGTCTCCACCACACTCTTCATCTCTACTCTTAGATAACAAAACAAAAATCAAAATAAAATAAACCTATTTTTAATTATGTATTTTTACAGAAGGATAAAGAGAGAACATAACACATTTAATTAAATGTATTGTGTCTCAAATTTCAAGAGCAAGCTGATTAATACTTACCTTCACATTCTAACTATATATATATATATATATATATATATATATATATAGGCTATACATACTGTAAAATAGTTTTGAAAAGTAAAATTAGCGTTTTCTAGTATATATAGTTCTAACTATATATATATATATATATATATATATATATATATATATATATATATATATATATAGTTAGATAAGGTACCGCAACAAAATGTATTGTATAAGTTTTCTTGCCAGTAGGTGTTAATGGTCAAGCAAAATAGCATCCATGTAATACACTTGTACCATATACAGTATGTTTTTCATTCATTCATTACTGGATACATATCATAATTTATTCATCAACTCGACAACAATAGAAATATTATTTTCTGCTAGGCACTCTATGAGGCATTGGGTAGAAAAGATGAAGCTATAAGGTTCCTGCTTCAAGCCAGTCACAATCTAGTGCCACTGCAGTTACCTACCAAGTCCTTTTTAATTGCTGGGAAGAAAGACAAAATACAATGTCACTTGGTTTACTGTGGGCATACAAATACTTCCAATGATGCATTCTTTGTTATTGTTGTTGATGGAGCTATAATGTAGCTTGATGGGAGTTGACTGACCTTGGGTGTAAAAACTGAAAAGTGTCGCAGCATGACTAAGGACTATTTCTCAGTTGCTAGTCTAGCACCCTGTATCAGGCACCTACCTTGCTCATGTTGGGATGTTAGCACCCATGAAAACTTGGACAAGGATTACATTGAGTTAAGCACTTAGTGATTCTTTGAGCTAAATAATAGAGGGTGGGAGGCATATGTAAAGGAGGTTTGTTTAACGATCCCTGTATTCATTGAAAATGTAATGTGAAATATTTATATATTTTTGAGGGAGAATCATTAACTATGGAAGGATTAGGAATTATCAGTAATGGACATTTTGTATAAACATGTTAATAAATTTATGTAATATTTAACTTCTCTCCTGGGAATAAAACACTTTTTGAAGAACTTTTAGGGTAGAAATATTCCCAATATAAACAGAATATTGAAAGCTGTGTTAACAGTGTTCATTTAACCCTGTATGATTATGCAATTGTCATATACATGCAGCAGCATATTTTAGGCTATAAATACTGTGAAATAGTTTTGAAAAATAAAATTAGCATTTTCTAGTATAAAATTAGAGCTGAAAAGGAAGAAAGGAATAGTTTATTTACTCAGAAGAATTTTAATGGGTAGATTCTAAATATTTCAGTTTTCTTTATATTGTGGCTAAAAGAAGTTTAATACAAAATTAAAATGTTCTTACTATATATTCCCATAAACCACATCATAACACTATTTTAAGGCTTTTTTAACAATAGAAATTTTGATGTTTTGGGGGGAGAATATATTCCTCACCAATAGTTTAGAAGCAAATTTCATATATGACCCTATATTTAAAAATGCAATTAATGTGTCTTTGTAAACATTTAACAAAATCATTGAGTTAGACTACATGGTTTTTCATTTAGAGCAGAAAGGATCTTTGGGAACAATATAATTCAGTCTTTGCATTCTTTGGATGATGAAACCAAGGCATAGAAAAATTATGTAAGTTGTCACATAGCTATTTAGTATCAAGGTTGGTACCAAATTTCTGAATTGTTTCCCCTACTAATGATTTTTTACCTCTCTTGGTTATGATGTATTTTCAAGTAACAGAAGCCTTGTCAAAGAAAGGGAGGAAAATATTACCCAGTTCAAGTAAAAGGAGTACAGCAGGACCTGGAGTCTGTGCACGGTATTCCCTCTTTTGCCCACCCTCATCTACATTTTCTCTGACTGTCTGCTCCTTTTTTGTCAACAGTTTCCATCAAAAGGCTCATAGTTTCTGTACCCTGAGCAAGGTGGTTATGTCGTTGAGCATGGCAAAGGACCTCCCAGCCTATCACATATAGTTATTTGAGAGAGATAAGTCAGGAATAGTTGAAGTTCAGTGTCAGGAAATCTTGGCGTAAGACTTGACCCCGTTTTTCAGGAATTAGACCCCCATGTAGTCATCGTTCTATATCTTAAGCTATCTCAAACCCTAAGAGGTACTGAGCAGGACTAAATACTTTTGCCAAGGGACAATCTGCCACCAGCTGAAGCAGATAGCCCAGAGACAGCAGATTTCACCCCTTTTATGTAGCTTTGTCTTTGAATGCATTTTAAAAAATATAGTCCTTCCAGAGTAGCATATTTTTTCTGAACATTTTAGACAACCCCAACCTCAGCATGTTCAAAATGTAGTTAACAATACAGAGGAACACTTCTCATTTGGTTTGGTATAAGCAGTGTCTTTTATTGCCAACTTCACTGGAAATCCAAAAATAGATAATTTCTGAAATTAAGTGTCTTTATTTCTAAATTAAGAGCACTATGATGGCCAGTGACAGATGCCACCAGGAGCCAAATTTGACAGCATTGAACAGGTGTTCATCTCAGGTCAAACCATTGCAGGCAGACAGTGGAAGAGGGAGCTAAATCACATATTGGGCTGTATCCCTTCAGGGCTGTGGGTGAGTAATCTCTAGCCAAAAATAGTATATGATTACACCCTATTGCTTAATTATAGGCCATCAGCTATAGAAAAATTCACGTTCTGTATTGATTATAAAAGGGGTCACAACATGTTACCAAATATACTCAGAAGAGACACAACTGGCAATTCTAGCTTGATACTTTTGACTTAGCTCTAAAACACTAGGTTTCATGAACATTGAACAGTCAAATAGTTATTGTACTTACCTTTACAGAAGGAGTTCTTGAGGATATTTTGACTATCCCACCAAAGCAGGGTTAGCACATTAAAAAAAAAATGTGGATTCCCATATCCCTTTCCTCTGCTTGTGGAAGACATCACTCATAGAACCACTTTTGCAATGACCCTGAACCTGACCTCACAATCCCTCCCTAGACAGCTATTCTTTCCCAGTTAATTGGAGTTAGCTCTCAAGATAGAAATATTTGGCCATCCCGCTGGTAAACTGAACTTCCTTAGATGTTCACAGACCTTGTCCTACTTCTCTCCATATCCCAATTCCAGTGTTTTACTTTCAAAAAAGTGACACCCAATATGTGGTTATAGATGGATAAGTGGCCCAGAAATCTTAAAAATAGTTTTTCACAACAAGTAATTCTCAAAAAAATATGTAAATAGCCCAAATCATACAGAAATAGGTTTAACTTGACTTGTAATTAAAATATATGTTTTTGACAAATTATTTTTGGGTACATTGGTAAATATTGCTTAAAAAGAAATAATGTTAATTGTTGGTGAGAATGAAGAGAAGCAAAAACATATATAGCTAGTAAGACTCTAACTTAGCTCCTCTGAAGGGAAAATAGCTTATCAAAAATCATCAAAAAATGAATGATTTGACCCGGAAATTCCACCTGTGGAAATATATTTCATGAAAATAGATATTGTTGCAGAGATTTTGCTACAAGCATGTTTATTGCATATAATATTGAAAAATTATAAAGAGTTTAAAATTATTTTAATTAACAAATTAAAAATTAACAACTGTTATATGACTAACAGTCAGGGATTCGTTAAATAACATGTATGCCTCTCTTTATAGTAGTATTTATATTATATATATGTAAATGTAACAGTTTATGGCAATTTAAATTATATAAAATTGTATTTATCAACAGACAAATGTTTATTTTGTACTGATAAGCAAATGAAAATGCAGAGTAGCATTTATGATGTGGTTTTACTTTGTTTTAGTGTACGTATGTATGTTCATAAACCCTAGTAAAAGGGTCTAGACACCCCATCAAGTTAACATTAACTATTTCTTGACAGAAAAAATGATGGAACTTTTTTTTCCTTTGCCTACACCTTTTTCTCTGTGATGATCATGAATTACTTTAGTAATAAAAGGTAATTTTTTAATATTTAGAAACTTGCTGTCCAGCGAAGTTTTTATTTTTTTCCTCAAAAAACTTTTGTTAGTTTTTATTTATTTAAAAAGTAATACAGAATACTGAAAGAAGATATAAAAATGAACAATACTCCCACCTACAGAATGCCACTCTTAACATTTTGCAGTATGTACATTCATTTATTTACAAACAGATATTTTTGTTGTCTATTGAGGCATATTTTGCATACAGTAAAATTAACCATTTTAAGGTGATGTGTGTATGATATATGATGAATGTAACAACCACTACAATCAAGATACAGAATATTTCCATCTCCCTCAAAATCCCCTCCTCACCTTTGTAATTAAACTACTCTCCCCAACCGCTCTCTAGCAATCACTGATCTGATTTCTGGTCCCAGGGTTTCAACTTTTTGAGAATGTCATGTACATGGAATTATACAGGAAGCAGCTTTTTTAGTCTGCCTTCTTTCATTTAGCATGATGCTTTTGAGATTCATCCATGTTTCCCTTTTAATTGCAGAGTTATATTCTATTATATTTTTATATATTCTTCTATAGTAAGCAAACATTCAAAATCATTCAATTGATTATTCTTTTTAAGAATAGCTATTTCTGCATGTAAACATTAGACTCTCCCTCCCCCACATGGGTGGGGGTGAGGATTTGAAGAGTAAGTCTTAAATGCAGCTCTCTCATTCACACATTCTTTGCTCTTTTTCCTTTTCTCATTCCCCATTTCTCCTTAAATTCTTCCCTCCTTTCTACTAAAACACTGAAGGGAAAATAATGACAAAAGTCTGATATGCATGGTTGTTATAGAAGAGAAATTAGTCATTTGTGTTTTACTTAGGTTCTCAATGTTAGTTTATTTAATCATAAAAATAATACATGCTGTTCATTACACCAAAAATTGGAAGAGCATTTTTAAAGGACTAGAAAAAATGCCATTATTGTGGCATACTTAAATTCTATATCTGTTTCTATTTTTGGCACATTGTTTTAAAATCATGCTATATATGCAATTGTGTTTTATTTTTCCTAATAGGAGGGCTTCCCAAATATTTTCTCAGGGCTCTCCTTTCTTTAAGAATTGCTGGGCAGGGCGCGGTGGCTCACACCTATAATCCCAGCCCTTCGGGAGGCCGAGTCGGCAATATCATTTGGGGTCAGGAATTTGAGACCAGCTTGGCCAACAAGGTGAAAGCACGTATCTACTAAAAATACAAAAATTAGCCATGCATGGTGGTGCGCGCCTGTAATCCCAGCTACTTGGGAGACTGAGGCAGGAGAATGGCTTGAACCTGGGAGGTGGAGGTTGTGGTGAGTCGAGATTGCACCACTGCAATCCAGCCTGGGCGACAGAGCGAGACTGTGTTTCAAAAAATAAAAATAAAAATAGCTGTTGTGCCTAGGCTGCATCTGTCTCATTCATTCTCTCATTTAGCAATACTCTTGAAAGCCTGCTAAGTGCAAGGTGTACAATGATAGAGAAGGTAAGCACAATCCCTGTCCTCAGCGAATGGTGCTGCCTTGCTTACTCCACTGCAAAAGTTAATACGCAACATAAGCAGTAATTGGGGAGTGAAGTATGGTTGTTAACTAAAGTCACACAACGAGCAGTGACTGCCTATATTGAATATGACCTTCAGTCATGTTCTCCTTTATTATCTTTATGTTCTCTAATTACTTTTCCTCTCTCTTGAAAAACTAATAGAATTAGCAAATCATGATTATTGTTTTTCATATGAGATAAGTCATACTAAGATGACTAAAATGAATAAGCTTTTTACAAAAAAAAATCAATTTAAAGAGTTAAAATAAAAAGAAACTTAGTATATTGTCAAGTTCTTCTGTTCCATCATACTTATGTATTGTGTGCTTACCAAGGAACAGAGAGGAATCTTTACGTTAAATATGTCTCAAATGACAGGGTCTATTCTCAAAACATTTAACGACGGGGGCAGAACAAGGGTTGATCTTTCAGAAGGAGACCCCCATAAGGTTACGTGTAAATTCCTCAGTTGCTATATCTGGGAGGTCTGGCTGGTACCTCCAGGCAGAGACCAAGATGACTAGTATACTGGGGTCTGTCAGGAGGTTCAGGACAGTGGCTATTTTCTAAACAGTGTGACAGTATTTCAACATTTTAATGACTGGTGTGACAGGCTCAGCCCTGGAAAAAATATGTTACAATACTGCAGGTGATTTCTGCTTTAGGGAAAGACATAATGGTCACAACAACTCTCCTTTTAAAATAAGCAAACACCTCTACGCAAATAAACTAGAAAATCTAGAAGAAATGGATAAATTCCTCGACACATGCACTCTCCCAAGACTAAACCAGGAAGAAGTTGAATCTCTGAATAGACCAATAACAGGAGCTGAAATTGTGGCAATAATCAATAGTTTACCAACCAAAAAGAGTCCAGGACCAGATGGATTCACAGCCGAATTCTACCAGAGGTACAAGGAGGAACTGGTACCATTCCTTCTGAAACTATTCCAATCAATAGAAAAAGAGGGAATCCTCCCTAACTCATTTTATGAGGCCAGCATCATTCTAATACCAAAGCCGGGCAGAGACACAACCAAAAAAGAGAATTTTAGACCAATATCCTTGATGAACATTGATGCAAAAATCCTCAATAAAATACTGGCAACCCGAATCCAGCAGCACATCAAAAAGCTTATCCACCATGATCAAGTGGGCTTCATCCCTGGGATGCAAGGCTGGTTCAATATACGCAAATCAATAAATGTAATCCAGCATATAAACAGTGCCAAAGACAAAAACCACATGATTATCTCAATAGATGCAGAAAAAGCCTTTGACAAAATTCAACAACCCTTCATGCTAAAAACTCTCAATAAATTAGGTATTGATGGGACGTATCTCAAAATAATAAGAGCTATCTATGACAAACCCACAGCCAATATCATACTGAATGGGCAAAAACTGGAAGCATTCCCTTTGAAAACTTGCACAAGACAGGGATGCCCTCTCTCACCACTCCTATTCAACATAGTGTTGGAAGTTCTGGCCAGGGCAATTAGGCAGGAGAAGGAAATAAAGGGTATTCAATTAGGAAAAGAGGAAGTCAAATTGTCCCTGTTTGCAGACGACATGATTGTATATCTAGAAAACCCCATTGTCTCAGCCCAAAATCTCCTTAAGCTGATAAGCAACTTCAGCAAAGTCTCAGGATACAAAATCAATGTACAAAAATCACAAGCATTCTTATACACCAATAACAGACAAACAGAGAGCCAAATCATGAGTGAACTCCCATTCACAATTGCTTCCAAGAGAATAAAATACCTAGGAATCCAACTTACAAGGGATGTGAAGGACCTCTTCAAGGAGAACTACAAACCACTGCTCAAGGAAATAAAAGAGGATACAAACAAATGGAAGAACATTCCATGCTCATGGGTAGGAAGAATCAATATCGTGAAAATGGCCATACTGCCCAAGGTAATTTACAGATTCAATGCCATCCCCATCAAGCTACCAATGACTTTCTTCACAGAACTGGAAAAAACTACTTTAAAGTTCTTATGGAACCAAAAAAGAGCCCGCATCACCAAGTCAATCCGAAGCCAAAAGAACAAAGCTGGAGGCATCACGCTACCTGACCTCAAACTATACTACAAGGCTACAGTAACCAAAACAGCATGGTACTGGTACCAAAACAGAGATACAGATCAATGGAACAGAACAGAGCCCTCAGAAATAATGCCGCATACCTACAACTATCTGATCTTTGACAAACCTGAGAAAAGCAAGCAATGGGGAAAGGATTCCCTATTTAATAAATGGTGCTGGGAAAACTGGCTAGCCATATGTAGAAAGCTGAAACTGGATCCCTTCCTTACACCTTATACAAAAATCAATTCAAGATGGATTAAAGATTTAAACGTTAGACCTAAAACCATAAAAACCCTAGAAGAAAACCTAGGCATTACCATTCAGGACATAGGCATGGGCAAGGACTTCATGTCCAAAACACCAAAAGCAATGGCAACAAAAGACAAAATTGACAAATGGGATCTAATTAAACTAAAGAGCTTCTGCACAGCAAAAGAAACTACCATCAGAGTGAACAGGCAACCTACAAAATGGGAGAAAATTTTCGCAACCCACTCATCTGACAAAGGGCTAATATCCAGAATCTACAATGAACTCAAACAAATTTACAAGAAAAAACAAACAACCCCATCAAAAAGTGGGCGAAGGACATGAACAGACACTTCTCAAAAGAAGACATTTATGCAGCCAAAAAACACATGAAAAAATGCTCATCATCACTAGCCATCAGAGAAATGCAAATCAAAACCACTATGAGATACCATCTCACACCAGTTAGAATGGCAATCATTAAAAAGTCAGGAAACAACAGGTGCTGGAGAGGATGTGGAGAAATAGGAACACTTTTACAGTGTTGGTGGGACTGTAAACTAGTTCAACCATTGTGGAAGTCAGTGTGGCGATTCCTCGGGGATCTAGAACTAGAAATACCATTTGACCCAGCCATCCCATTACTGGGTATATACCCAAAAGACTATAAATCATGCTGCTATAAAGACACATGCACACGTATGTTTATTGCGGCACTATTCACAATAGCAAAGACTTGGAACCAACCCAAATGTCCAACAATGATAGACTGGATTAAGAAAATGTGGCACATATACACCATGGAATACTATGCAGCCATAAAAAATGATGAGTTCATGTCCTTTGTAGGGACATGGATGAAGCTGGAAACCATCATTCTCAGTAAACTATCGCAAGAACAAAAAACCAAACACCGCATATTCTCACTCATAGGTGGGAATTGAACAATGAGATCACATGGACACAGGAAGGGGAATATCACACTCTGGGGACTGTGGTGGGGTGGGGGGAGGGGGGAGGGATAGCATTGGGAGATATATCTAATGCTAGATGACGAGTTAGTGGGTGCAGCGCAGCAGCATGGCACATGTATACATATGTAACTAACCTGCACAATGTGCACATGTACCCTAAATCTTAAAGTATAATAATAATAAAAAAAAGAACCTTATGTATGGTAGATCCTCTATTAATCCAAAAAAAGTAGAAAGTTAAAATCCACTTAGTTAAAAATCAGAGAGTGAGGAATTCCATGAATAGACAATTGAAATAAAATATAGACATTATAGCAATGCTGGTAGAGATAGAGAAAAACCGGAGGAAAAAAAAAAAGGCCAGTAGAAAAAGCTTCTGGGCTTGATAGAAATCTAAAATCTCTGCTTATTTTAAAAGAAAAGGCCGGGTGCAGTGGCTCACGCCTGTAATCCCAGCAGTTTGGGAGGCCGAGGTGGGCGGATCACGAGGTCAGGCGATCGAGACCATCCTGGCTGACACGGTGAAACCCTGTCTCTACTAAAAATACAAAAAAATTAGCCGGGTGTGGTGGCAGGCGCCTGTGGTCCCAGCTACTCGGGAGGCTGAGGCAGGAGAATGGCGTGAACCCGGGAGGTGGAGGTTGCAGTGAGCTGAGATCACGCTACTGCACTCCAGCCTGGGCGACAGAGCGAGACTCCATCTCAAAAAACAAACAAAAAAAAAAAAAAAGAAAAAGAAAAAGAAAAAGAAAAAAAAACTGGAAAAAGAGTCATCTTATCATAGCCACATTGGCAAAATGGCACTATATGAACTTTTAATGTGCATGATAATATTTTTAATAGCTTGCTTCCCTCTTTTAGCTTTCCTCATTGGAAAAGGCTGGATTTGGAGGTGTTCTTCTGTATATCGATCCTTGTGATTTGCCAAAGACTGTGAATCCTAGCCATGATACCTTCATGGTGTCACTGAATCCAGGAGGAGACCCTTCTACGCCTGGTTACCCAAGTGTCGGTAAGTTTGTTGGTCATCATTATTATACTTGTAAGTAAGCATTACAAGGTTGCAATTTATAAATAAATGCTATCTATCAGGAATAGTGATGTCAAATAATTCTTAGCATCCCATCTTATTATTTTAAAAAGCAATTTATTTTTTATCTTCTCATAATTATAGACTACCAATTTGTTGGTATAAATTGGATTTAGACTGTAATGTATTTTTATCTCAACAAATTACAGTGTGATGAACAGACAGAAATGTATTTTATGTGTTATTGTTGATTGACTGATAAGACAAATTAACACCAGGTGTGACAGGTACTCCAGGTAAGCCAATAGCATGTACAGATACCCAGGAGCATGAAATGTCTGCTGCTTTGGGGCAGCTGTAATAACTTTAAGTCCAGGGTTTAGAGGTACATATGATCAAGTTAGGTGAGTAAAGTAGTAAGAAAAGATGCTGTAGAAGAATGGATTTAATATGATTTTCTGGCTGTCTTAAGAGAAGGGACCTCATTGTTTTGGCCAATCACTGGAAGTATAGAGATGGCTACTTTGCAGCAAATATCTTTCTTTTTCCTAGATAGCTCTGTTCATGATAGTAGGGATCATGTGGGAGAGAGAAAACAATGGTGATTTTGGCAGATGCTCACCGCATCATTGAATTTCTGTCCGATGTGTCATTGGCGGATATTCTGTTCATTCAACCTGGCTGAGGAAAAAGCTCTTTGAATCTTCTTGCAGGGTGATACTGACCCATTAACCGTGACAGTTCAGTCAGTAATTAAACTAACCCAAAAAATTATGTAATTATTTATGTGTTCTGCCAAATTTTTTTTGTTTTTTTTTCCCCAAAAAATCGCAAAAGAATTTACTGGTTATCTTACTCAAATCCAGCTGCCTATTCTATGTTAACTTTACCAATTAATTAGCAACTTTCTCCAAGAAGGAAGCAAATTGAATCACATATGAATTATAACTTATGAATTTTGTTGCATCTACTGATTATTGCTTTTTCTTCTATATGCTACAAAAGTATTCCTTTAATAATCCATGTAAATTTTCTCTGGGATCTCACAGATCTGTACTTTGTACAGTCCCATGTCTTATCGTTACAATTTTAAGTTAGAATTAGTAGGCATCTATCTACAATTTCTAGACATCACCTAAAAGACCAGTCAGCTCTCTCATTTGCAAATACACTCACTGTCCTGCATTGTAATTGCTCAGCTTCAGGAAGCTGCGTTTGGCAGTGAACTCACTGTGGCAAGTCAATGGGCTACAGTGCTACCAAAAACAGACTCTGTAAGAGTGCTCTAACCTAAGTTGGTAAGTTGGTAAGTTGGTTGGCACCATTACTCAACATTTTCTTGCCCCAGGTCATTTCATAAATACAGAATTCAGTCATAGCTAGCAAGTGTTGGCCAGAGTTGTAAGGAGTTTCAACATCCTTTTTTTCTACTTTTGTTCTAAAATAATCTAAACTTCCTAAAATAGTTGCAAGTTTAGCATATATAGAATCTCTGAAATGGCTTTATTCTGCCATCACCTTGACGAATAGTGTCTGGCTTCTTTTCATCCATACTAATGTTCTTATCAAATAGTGGCACCCTTTCTTTCTTCTCCTAGAAATAATTTTTCATTTTTTACATTACAAGGTTGCAATTTTCCAAATTTTTCTGTTCTACTTCTCTTTTAATTAAAAATTCCATTTTAAAACATTTTTCACTTCTTTCATTTTACTGTAAACAGTCAAAAGAAGCCATGTAGCACCTTGAACACTTTGCTGCTTAGATATATTCTTCTGCCACATAACTTCATTTATTGTTTTTAAATTCTACCTTCCATAAAGCCCTACGGCATGGACACAATTCAGTCAAATTCGTTGCCACTTTGTAACAACGATGTCCTTTACTTCAGTTTTCAGTACATTGTTCCTCATTTCTGCCTGAGACCTTATCAGAATGGCCTTTACTGTCGGTATTTCTGTTAACATTCTGATCATGACCATTTAAGTAATCTCTATGAAGATACAGCCTTCCCTACAGCTCTTGTCTTTTTTTAAATACCTCACCAGAATTGCTGTTAATAATCCTAGATTTGCTCACAACAATTTAGGCTTTTTCTAGCCTGTTCCTTTAAGTTCTTCCAGCCTTTACCCATTATCCACTTCCAAAGCTGCTTCTACATTTCTAGGAATTTGTTATAGCAAGAACCGCACTTCTGGTTTCAATTTTCTTACTCCATTTTGTGTTGCTATAATGGAGTGCTTGAAACTGAGTAATTTATAAAGAGCGGAGATTTGTTTCTTACAGTTCAGGAGGCTGGTCAGTCCAAGGTCAAGGGGCTCACATCTGGCAAGGGCTTTAATCATTTCATCCAGTGGTGGAAGGCATAATGGTAAGAGAGCATCCATGAGAGCAAGAAAGGGCCAAACTCACTTTTATAACATGCCCCTCAAAATAACGCGCCTGCTCTCATGATAACAGCATTAATCCATGTGTGAGAATACTTCATGATCCAATCGCCTCTTAAAGGTGGCACCTTTCAACATGGTTACTTTGGGGATCAAGTTTCCAACACATGAGCTGTGGGGTACACATCCAAATCATAGGAAATGATTATTAGAGGGACTAATCTAAAACTACCTTTTTTCAATTTAAGAACTTTGTTTTATTTACCAATTTAAGGGTGATAAGCTGTAAAGAAGTAATTTAGAACAACCCAAAATACAAGGAGGTAGTTTTTGTTTGGTTTTTAATATAAACAAAGTAAACACAGTCAAATAATGAACATTCCATACGCCTCACCCAGCTTTATCAACTGTCTACATTTCTTTTTTTTTTTTTTTTTTTTTTTCTGAGATGGAGTCTCGCTCTGTCGCCCAGGCTGGAGTGCAGCGGCACAATCTGGGCTCACTGCAAGCTCCGCCTCCCGGGTTCATGCCATTCTCCTGCCTCAGCCTCCCGAGTAGCTGGGACTACAGGCGCCTGCCACCATGCCCGGCTAATTTTTTGTATTTTTAGTAGAGACGGGGTTTCACCATGTTAGCCATAATAGTCTCGATCTCTTGACCTCGTGATCCGCCCACCTCGGCCTCCCAAAGTGCTGGGATTACAGGCGTGAGCCACCGCACCCTGCCTCAACTGTCTGCATTTCTACCATTTTTGTTTTTTTATATGTACGTTCCCACAACACCAGTATTTTTCAAGGTAAAATTTACATAAATTAAAATCCAGCACACATACGTATAGGAGAAATTCAGTGATGGGTAACTCAGGGTTGTTAGTACTTAGCTTTTATATAATATCTTAAGAAAGAACAAGAAACGTGTAGAGAAGTAACAAGACAAAAGAAAAGAGATTTAGCCTTTCAGGGGTAGCAAACTATGGGAAGATAAATAAATGGGGGGAAGTTAATGAAAGATAAAAGTTTTGTTTGAGTAAGGTTTGTTATGTAGTTCCTTTTCCTCTGCCCCTCTGGGTTAGTAAGAGTCTTCATTAAAAGTCTATGTGAATCCAATTTTAAGAGTTAAAAGTTGTGTCAATGCCATGAATCAAAGAATAGATATTTATAACAAAAGATCTGTATGAAGTGATGCATAATAGATGGTGATGGCTGAAGCTGCTGAAAATTGATGGTCTAAATCAAAAGGATGGATTAGGAATCTTTGCGGAATTATTACACACCTGCAGTTTTGTGAGAAAAGCAGGGAATGTCAAGGTCTTTTACTTCAAGGAGGATTTGAAGTATTTGGGGGTATACATTATTGTATTAGCTTAGTCAGTTTACACCTAGCTAGACAGTGCAAACTTGTGAAGGAGGATGTTTTCAGTATATCACACTAGGATCATGGCACCAGTCCTGAAGAAGTAGGTGGAACTTTTGATCTCCATCATACCACATACACACCCATGTGTGGGAATGCTAATGGGATAGAATCTGATACAGTTAGGGTCTGAAACACTTTGAGTTCCTTATGGTACTTTGAATCAATATTTAGTTGAGTACTTCTTGTTCATTTATTTGTATTATCCTCATTAGATTGAACCTGTATAGGTTTATCTTTGAAACTAAAGATTAAATTGAATGTAAGTTCTACTGTAAAAAAAAAAAAAAGTCTAACCCTGACTTTTTGTAAATTGCGGGGGAGGCAGAGAGTGTTTCGTAGGGCACGGGGAGCATCTTCTGTTTCTCAATTATCTTCAGCTCAAAGTAATCTTGCTATAAGTATTTCAACTGCACTAAACTGTGATCCGAATAAATCTGATTTCCCAGGACCATATATTTCTGGAATTCTAAGAGACTTTAGTGCTTATATAGCAAAAAATCAATTCTCAATCTTGAAGCACAAGAACCCTGCATTTTAGCCAAAGACTGAGGTAAATTGGGCATCCAAACTGATATTTACATATCTAGTCATAATTATAATACCAGTGATAGGTTGTAGTTGGAGTTATATTTGGCCTAAAATCATAAATCAGCTACATAGGGTAAGACCCAAAACAAACAGAAAATCAGAAAGATATGAGGTAAGCATAAAAAATAAGAAAGTAAAAAATATGTATCTTTAAGTAGTATTCCATTTGGTCTGTGTTGAAACATGGAAAAGAAAACCCTTTCCAAATTTCTCAGCAGTAAGATTGTCTGAAATCTGAAGAACTGAAAATAGTATTAGGAATAACAAATCCTTTTCTTCCATCTACTTTCTTTAATAATTTCTCTTCTGAATTCTGTGTTGACTACAGTGTTGATTTTAATTTTAGTAACACCTCCAGGTAACTGGTAATCTATTTACTACCAGTTAATTGTTTGTCTTGACTTAGACTTGAATTTCCTTATGTACCATTTTCAGAAATCCATCCTGATTTAAAGCTTCGTATCTATGTCCCTCTCTCTGTCTTTCTGCTACAATCCTTTTTTTCCTTTTTATTTGTTTTAAATTCTGGAGAGAAAAGTCTTTTCAGTGGCTCTATTCTAGGGAAATGTATCAAATGACACAGTTTATTTAATATTCCCAGTGTTACAATTCAGTGGATCTCTGTGTTGTTTATCTACTGTCTGTTGAACATCACTCCTGCCAAACAAAACTATTCAAAGAATAAAGAATATCACTGTAATTTGTGACAAGTCATTACCAGGTATTCCTGGTCCAGTTACTTGGACAAATATCGAAAGACTGACTTGAGTTGGCACTAAATCAACTAAGACAATGTTGAACCATTCCCTGACTAGAATGGCAGAAAATATAAATATGTGCCTAGTTGTCAAAGCAAAATGTTAGATATTCACAGTATGAATATCTGTCACTTGGTTGGGGAAAATAAAGTGTCTGAATTCTTACTATTTCATTGTAAGTGTCTGGTGGTTCTTATATGTGCTCTGCAGGCTTCAGATTTACATGTCATATTATTCAACTTGATTCTTAGAACCACTTATGGTGTGGCTCATTGTTAAGCGGCAAAATTTTTCTGAAAGTTTATTCATAACATCTTGAAAAGATTGATTGTTTAAATTCAAACTGCTCCTTTCAAAAATCTAAATTTTGTTTTGAAAAATAATTTTGGCGACGTAAGTTCTCTTGGCCCCACAGAGGGAAATTTGCAGTTGATTGTTTGAATGTCTAGGATTATAGCCTACAGAGAACATTTTTGAGTGGTTATTGTTCATAAAAAATCAGTGTACCATATACTACATTTATCATTTAGAATGTTGTGTACTTGTATTGGAAGCACTCTACTTTAAATTAAATGTGTGCTTGATCAATAGAGACAATCAGTTTGTTTAGTTTAAGAACTAAAGTTTCCACAAAAATCCATGATGAATTCTGAGGATGATAAAATCCACTGCTAAAAAAAAAGATTTACTAATGTTTCTATCTTAAAGAATATAGAAGCTATTGAAACAACGATATGATTAGTTTAAAAATTTTGTAGCACTTCTTATTTTTTACCTTGTATGGTTGCTTCAACAAGACAGCAGTAACTGGCTACATTTTGCAGATGCCTTTGGTCCCAGCTACTTGGGAGGCTGAGGTGGGAGGATCACTTGAGCCTTGAAGGTTGAACTGTAGTGAGTCATGATCACAGTACTTCACGCAAGCCTTGGTTACAGAGCTAGACTCTGTCTTAAAAAAAAAAAAATTGAAATCATATCAAATATCTCCTCAGACCGCAATGGAATAAACCTAGAAATCAATAACAAGAGGAATTTTGGAAGCTATAAAAATACATGGAAATGAACAACATGCTCCTAAATGACCATCAGGTTAAGGAGGGAAAAAATATTGAAACAAATGAAAATTGAAACACAACATACCAAAACCTATGAGATATAGCAAAAGCAGTGCTAAGAGGGAATTTCATAGCAAAAACACCTATATCAAAAAAATACAAAGATTTCAAGTAAGAAATCTAATGATCCATCTCAATGAACTAGAAAAGCAAGAATAAGCCAAACCCATACTTAGTAGAATGAAACAAATAATAAAATATCAGAGTAGAACTAAAGGAACTAGAGTCTTGAAAAAATACAAAACAGCAATAAACAGAAAGTTGGCTGTTTGAAAAGATAAAATAGATAAACCACTGATTAGATTAACAAATAAAAAGGAGTTAAGGCCCAAATAAACAAAATCAGAAATGAAAAAAGACATTACAACTGAAACCACATAAATACAAAAGATCAGGGGGACTATTATGAACAACTATACACTAACAATCTGGAAACCTGAGAGAAAATGGATAAATTTTGGTCACATACAATCTACAAAGATTGAATCAGGAAGAAATAGAAAACCTGGACATACCAATAACAAGTAATAAAATTGAGTCAGTAATAAAAAGTCTTCCAACAACAACAAAAAAACCTAGGGTGGGATGGCTTCAATGTTGAATTCTACTGACCTTTCAAAGAAGAATTAACACCAATTCTCCTCAAACTAGTGCAAAAAATTGAAGAGGAAGAAATTCTTCATATCTCATTCTATCATGCCAGCATTACTTTGATACCAAAACCAGGCAAGAATGCAACAACAAGAATAAACTACAGATCAATATCCCTGATGAACATAGACACAAAAAATCATCAACCAAATACTAGCAAACCAAATTCAACAGTACATCAGAAAGATGATACAACATATGCAAATCAATAAACATGATATACATGATAAACACTGATAAAACGAAAGACAAAAACATATGGTCACCTCAATAGATACAGAAAGCATTTGGTAAATTCAACACTCCATTGTGATAAAAATTCTGAACAAAGTAGGATGAAAAGGAATATACCTCAATGTAATAAAGGCTATATATGAAAAACCCATACTTAATACCATACTAAATGGGGAAAAGCCTTTCTTGTGAGAACTGGAAAAAGACATGGATGTCCACTTTCACCATTCCTATTCAACATAGTACTGGAAGTCCTAGCCAGAGCAGTCAGGCAAAAGAAAGAAATAAAAAGACATCCACATTGGAAAAGAAGAAGTCAAATTGTCCCTCTATGCAGATGACATGGTCTCATAGCTAATAAAACTCAAAAATCTTAGATCTGATAAATTCAGTAGAGTTGCAGGATACAAAATCAACATACAAAATCAGCAGCCTTCCTGTAAACCAATAACAAATGAGCTGTGATAGAAATAAAAAACGCAATCCCATTCACAGTAGCTTTGAAAAATACCTAGGAATAAATTTAAACAAGGAAATTAAAGACCTCAACAAAGAAAACTCCAAAATACTGATGAAATAAACTGAAGAGGACACAAACAAATGGAAAGACATCTTGTGCTCATGGACTGGAATAATTAATATTCTTAAAATGACCAAACTGCCTAAATGAATCTACAGATTCAATGCAATCCCTATCAATGTCATTGTTTCTACAGAATTAGAAAAAACAATTATAATATTTGAAGGGAACCATAAAAGAGCCCAAACAGCCAATCCAATCCTGAACAAAAAGAAGAAACCTGGAGACATTACAGCACCTGACTTCAAAGTATATTACAAGCATATAGTAAACGAAACAATACGGTATTGGTATAAAAACAGAAACACTACAGTTCAACCTTCAAGGCACAAGTGATCCTCCCACCTCAGCCTCCAAGTAGCTGGGACCAAAGGGATGTGCCACCATGCCTGGCTAATATTTTTATTATTTGTAGAGACAAGGTCTCACTATGTTGCCCAGTCTAGTCTCAACTTCCTGGGCTCTAGCAGTCCTCCTGCCTTCGCCTCCCAAAATGCTGAGATTGTAGTTGTGAGTCACCACACCTGGCTGTGATTTTGATTTTTTTCTAAATTTGTTGAGACGTGTGTTGTGCCTTAACATATAGTCTTTCATGGAAAATTTTCTACATGCTGATGAGAAGAATGTGTTTTCTGTAGCTGTCGGATGAAATGTTCTGTCAATGTCTGTTAGGTCGGCTTGTTGCAAAGAGCAATTTAACTCCAATGTTTGTTCATTTTCTGTCTAGATTATCTGTTTTTTGAGAGTGAGGTGTTGAAGTCCCCAACTATTATTGTACTGGAGTCTATTTCTCCGTTTAGATCTAATAATGCATGCTTTATATAGCTGGGCACTCTGGTATTGGGTGCATATATGTTTACAATTGTTACATTTTCTTGGTGAATTGACCCATTTATCAATATGTAATAATATATCCCTTTACTTTCATTCTATATGTGTCTTTACATGTCAATTCTTGGGTTTTCAGGCTTGCTTGGGTGCTAGCAGTAGCATTGGTGGGTTGGACATGTAGCCCCCAGGCAGTGGGCATGGTGTGGACAATGGCAGTAGCAGTGGCAGGATAAACCTCTCTTTGTGCTGGTACTAGTGGTAGCTTCAATGGGCCAGTCCTCTGGCCTGCAGATGTTGTGTACAGGTAGATGTCAGCTGTGGTGGTGGTGGCAGGTTGGGTGAATCCGATCTCAGGTCCCCAAGAGGAGTGCTCAGATACCATCAAAGGTGGATGGGGCAGCAGCAGCTGTGTTGCAGCCCTATTTCTGGTGAATGTGGGGCTTCTTTTAGTAATAGTAGCTGTAGGTAGGTGGCTAGGGAGCATGTGCTTCAGCCCCAGGTGGTGGCTGTAAGCAAGATAGCTTATCCTCAAGGTGCTTGGATAAATAAAAT
This sequence comes from Homo sapiens, assembly GCF_000001405.40. NCBI lineage: Eukaryota > Metazoa > Chordata > Mammalia > Primates > Hominidae > Homo > Homo sapiens. The sequence continues at coordinate 175,333,454 of NC_000003.12, forward strand.
GTGGTATATATGCACAATGGAATACTATTTAGCCATCAAAGAAATGAAATCATGTCATTTACAGCAACAGGGGTGGAACTGGAGGTCAATATGTCATGTGAAATAAACAAGGCATAGAAATATAAATATGCGTGTTCTTACTCATATGTAGGAGCTAAAAAATTAGTTTATATCATGGAGATAGAGAGTAGAATGATAGATATCAGAGGCTGTGGGTAGAGGTGTGGTGGGCGCCGGGGGGATGAAGAGAGGTTGGTCAGTTGGTACAAATACATAGCTAGATAGAAGGAATAATTTCTAACATTCAGTATCAGTGTTGGGTGATTATAGTTAACAACAATGTATTTCATATTTCAAAATAGCTGGAAAAGAGGACTTGAAATGTTCCCAATGTACAGAAATAGTAAATACTCAAGGTAATAGATACCCTAAATACCCTGACTGGATCATTATACATTCCATGCATGTAACAAAATATCACATGCATCACCATATATATGTATAAATATCATGTATCATTAAGAAATAACAATAAAAATTGTCCAATATTTTGACATCTTTGTATGTTTGCATCATCTTTTGAATGCACGCTTACTTTCTGACACAGTACAATGTTTTAGGCTTATCTTGTATTTTCTCCACTCATACCTAGAGTCAGCCATTTCTCCAAAAATCTCTAGATCCTTTTCGTAGAAAAAGATATTTAGAATCAATATCTGGGTGCTAGACTTATTGACTATTGTTGCGTGTTTTAAGTCCTCTCGATGGACAAAGCTAGATTAGGTAGATTAGATAGACAGATAGATAGATAGATAGACAGACAGACAGATAGTAGAGGTAGCAATCCATATTTATAGATACTGATAGCTTCAATTCCAACCCAGCTTGTATAAGGTTTATTCTGCTTTTTCCCTCTTCCCTATTTGTAACTCCCCTCACCAACAGTGAGAGACATGGCTCTCATGATGATCAATGTATCTATTCATTTGTTTATCTTTCCCCCTCAATCGACCACCTCACTTCACCTACCCCCTATAAGAAATCTATCTTATTTATTTATGGTTTGTCTATTCTGTGTTTCTTTTGGTAGGAAATAAGCATATACACATATTCTTCTTATTTATCCTTTGATTTTACATAAAATGCAGCATACTATAAATATGCATTTGTACTTTGTTGGAGTTTTTTTCCCCACTTGAAAGTTATTCTACAAATCACTCCACATCAGTTCTTAGAGACTGACAATGGTCAGATTGTCCAGAAGCAGGTACTGAGAGCAAGTTTGGTTTGCAAGGGTTTTATTAATGATCAATACCTGTGGAAAACAGGGAGCACAGCAGGATTGGATAAAGGGAGAAATGGAACTCCCTTTGTGTTCCACTTTGTGTTATTGGGACCGTCAAACCACACCTGAAGATACGACCTATCAGACTTGTTCACTGGTAGTCCAAATGGCCCGGTCTGTATGCCGTTTCTGCAATCAGTCATTGGAAGTGTGCCTCCCCCAGAACGTTGTGCCGTTGTGTGAAGACTGGATGACTGAGGCAAACCCTGAAAATCTTAACAGTGGGAAGCTATCTGCTGACAGAACTCACAGCAGCTGAGACAACAGGCTCTCTCTTGACAGGATGGGGCATCACAGTGGAACATCTGGACAAAACCTCACCACGTCTACCGCGTCTACTGAGTTAGAAGGGCTAGAGCTGTGCTGTCCAATATGATAGCCACTAGCCATATATGGCTATTTAACTTTAAATTAATTTAAATGAAATAAAATTTAAAAGGCAGCCATACCAGTCATATTTGAAGTGTTTAATAGCCAATATGGCTTTACAGAGAATTTCTGTCATCAAGCAAAATTCCGTTGGAATGAGTGCTGCAGAATAAATAGATGTCTAAAACAGTGTGATGTTTGAAAAAATTCGGTGGTTATAGATCATCCATGAGATAGTATCTGCACCTAATCTTGATAACTGAGGATTGTTTGCATTTTTTACCATTTGAAAGTTGTATTTACAAAGCAGACTCTAAGAACCACATGTTAGGTATGCTTCATGAATTCTTTTATGGTTTAGTGTTGAACCAAAACATAGATGAGTGCTCCTAAAGTAAATATTTTCTATTTTTAGAATTCTCTGAAGAGTTTTTGAATTTTAAGTATGTAAAAATAAATCTTGTAATGCCACTTTAAAGTGTTATTGCATTTACTTCAAACTGCTAGCATTGTAAATTTCAGTACCATACAATTTCATTTGAGAGATGTGTCTTGTATGAAAAATTGTGTTGCACTTTTATTTGCCTATCAACAGCCACTCAGTTCCTAAATTTTTCAGTGAGAATTAAAAAAATTGAATCTCTGGAATATTATGTTTTTTTGAGAGCAAATCATCTAAGTGTTAGAGTTGAAGAGTATAAATGTGGACTATTTTTAAGTAAATTAAAAGTGAGGCTTTGGTCGCTCTTTTAAATGTGAAAATAGCTCTGTCTGCTGGAAACGTGTCAGGTAATTAACTTTCTTTCCCTGACACTGCTCATTGAGTAATGAGCAGTGACACCACCTATATATTTACAAAGATTGTGACTTATATACGTGCATACCCCTCCATATGATTATTGAATACCCTCGCTGCTTCCTTTTGGGTACAGGGCCTCCCGAAAGCCTTTCTGAAGCTTCTTTTTTTTTCCACCTTCCGTTCTCTTTAATTCCTCAGGCCATTATTTGCTAACATTTACAAAAGTATCTGCAGTAAATTTGTTAAGGAAATGGAGAATCCAACTAAGCTACACTACAGATTTCTTTACTACAAAACTATTAGACTTATTATTATTGTAATGTGTTTTCAAGTCTCTAAAAGCACTACAGTCTGTAAAATCTCCCAAATGTATCTAACCACGGAGTCATTTTTGAGGAATATCTGGAATTACTACTACACAGTCAAACCTACTGTGGGATTGCTGGCATGAAATATCTGGCCTTCCTGCTACGAATCCTTCTCCAGTTTTATGCCCCAACATAGAAATGTATGGTTTGTACCTCAGCTTTTGCAGATTTTGTAGCTTAAGATGTGTAAAAAGTAATACAGAAAGTAGGAAAGGGCAGGGCTGATTAGATCACATGGTGATGGCAAAGTATACACCTGCAGGTGCACCTGCTTATGAGTCAGCAGGAAACAAAACAGCCAGCAACAAAAAATAATCTGGTTGATTGTTTAACAATTGAAGTTGTAATTAGATTTATAATTGAATTTTTGGTATAGTCTAGAGTCTGGAAAATCAGTGTATCCCAACTAATCTTTTCCTCAGCATGATCTGTTCCAGTTCATTGCTAACCATGTTCAAAAGTCTGTGTTTTTTAAACACAAATTTGAACAAACCTCTTAAACAGCCTTCTCTAACCAGTCCCTTGGGTGATTTTTCCATTTCAGTGACAGAATAGAAAATGCAATTTTATCTTGGAAAAAAATGATAAAGTGACAGTTTTTATGATAATACAGATACGCACATTTTCAAGCAATAGGCTGAAAAGATAATGTGCTTTAGGCAATTATTTCTAGAATACATCTCATTGAAATTTTTCACCTGCTCCACAAACACACTTAAGTTGTTACCATGGTATCTCTTTGAAAGTCTCTGTCATTTCAATATTCCAAGAAATTGGAATTACAATTCTTATGTAATTGGAATTACATAAGACAATTACATATTGTCTTATGTAATTACTGATAGCAACCCCTTTTACTCTCAAAAGAGTCTTGGTTGGTCTGTGTATTAGGTGGTAAGGTGGTATTAGGTCTAGGTGGTATGGTGGTCCTATTTAGAGTCAGACTAAGATTTCTTGATATATTTGACCATGGAATCCATGTGATATTCAGTCAAGAGGTGTTCTTGGCTGAGTTATCTTTTCAAAATTAATATGTTCAGTAAACTCTAGCCCCTCAGAATAGGATTGTATTTGGAGATAGTCTTTTAAAAGCCAATGAAGTTGAAATGAAGGCATTGGGGCATTTCCCAATCAACCATGACTGGTGTTCTAATAAAAAGAGATTAGGATACAGACAGACTTGGGGGGGCCATGTGAAGCACGAACAAAATATGGTTATCTACAAGGCCAGGAGAGAGCCCCAGAAAGAAACCACCCCTGCCAATACCTTCATCTTGAACTTATAGCCTCCAGAATTTTGAAGACATAAATTTCTATTGTTTTAAGCATCTCACTCAGTATTGTTCTGTTATGGCAACCCTAGCAAACTAATACAAAAACAAACAAACAAACAGCTTCTTTGACTTTATCATATAAAGTACAGAAGAAAGATTTACAATTTTTCAGCATGCTCCTATTTTCACCATCTTCTAGAAGAAAAACAAAGAAATGCTGACTGTAGCAACTATTAGATGTTTCACTAGTCTCTGTTCCTGATTAGGTGTAAGTAACCTGTTTTGGTTAATGCTTTGATATTCATTTGGACAAGTTAGTATAACGAGTAAGAGCCTAGCAAACTACGATGAGAGTGGTGTATGGAAACCCTGCCTAATAATTCAGTTCTGTTCTTCTCCTTCACAGAACAAACTGAACTTTCACAGCTTTTACACTAGTAAAGCAATTAATGAGTTTTTAGATACACCAAGCTATGTCAGGAGTGTGGTTCTGGTATGGAAGACTAAATTGTCATGCTTTAGGAAGTCGTGGGAATCTGAGAGTGAAGGTACAGGAGGAAGAGATTTATTTTAAAAAGAGAGAGCTGGGAGTGAAATCGCTGGTGTTTAGCTGACCCTAAGAGAGGATATGGCCTAAATGAAAATCCATGCGATGGGAAGAATCTGATCCATTTTAAGCATTGTGATGGTTCATATTCGATTTTAAATTGTTACCTCTTTTGTGAGTGATCCCAAACCTTTTTTTAAAAGCCTACTGAAGACAATGGGTCTATATTAAGATGCTGCAGGGCGGTATAAAAAGGCCAAGATTTGCATGAGAATAAGGAGATAGGAGTTGGGGACAACTTTGCCATTGGTTCTGCGTAGGTCCCCGTCCCTGTGAGGAAATTATTAAACATTTATCAGGACCCCAGTTTTATAGCAACAGAGGCACCAGGAAGGTTGTCAATTTAGGAGCAGCAGAGAATTATAAAAATACAAAAACCAAAAAAAAAAAAAAAAAAAACACCACAAACACACACACACACACACACACACACACACACACACACACAAACAAACAAAACACCAGGAACTGAGTTCCAGAACTGATGTGAAGAGTTTAGGAACTCTGGCAAAACCACCCACTAAAGTGTGAGCAGGAGTGCAAGAGTTCCTTGAGTTTCCCTGAAATAAAGTTAGGATTGGTACTATCCTTTGGCTGGGGCTGAGCCTCTTGGGCACCTCTCAAGTCAAGTGAGGTGAAGAAGGAGGCGAGTTCAAGAAAGTGAGTGACTCATCACTTGAGCTGCAGGACTAGCAATGCTGCACAGAAGGGAGGGAAGGCAGCAAAGTAACAGCATTGGTGTTGTACAGAGTTGAAGAGCAGCAATTAGAAACAGGGCAGGAGGAGTTTGAAAGCGTCACTGAAACAAAGCCTCCAGTGCAGCCTCTGGCAATACAGCAGAACCCTGAAGGAGTGGGGAACAACTGCGGCAGGCACACTGTGCTGGCACGCAGTTCAAAGCCATTCTTCAGCAGACTTGAGGAGGATAAAGTTAAATCTTGGATTTAATATTGCAAATAGTGACAGTCACATCAAACATTGTCTAGAATCACTAATCGAAAGATAGAGAGCCTGTGTGAAATAAGTAGGTTGGACAGGAGGATCCTGCTTTAGGTATCTTCTAGCTTGGAATTGTTAGGTTCCATCGGCTGAGTGCCATGTGAAAAGTTTCAAAGGTCCTACGTTGTTTGTTTTTCCTCTCTTTTTAACTCCACTGCTGTGTGCCAATAATGATTCACAATTTGAGATTTCTATCACTGGAAGGGATCTTAGAGGTTATAAATACAATCTGTTCTGTATAAAAATAAAGAAATACAAGTCTCATCTCTTTAATTCCACAATGAAATACCTGAGTTCATGAATGATGTCTTATATTTGTCTTTAATTCTTTGTGCATCTAGCTTGATAATGAGGACATACTAGTCCTGAGCAAAAGAATGAATATGAGAATGGGCACAGAATATAAGTGGTGTTCATTACATAAAGTGCTGACGGCTTTGAGAAATGTGCCCTCTTCCCAGAAAACTACATGTAACATACTTTTAAAATTGCCTATAATTTCAGAGGACTCATGGATACCCTAGACAAAATATCTTTTGATATACCCCTTTCAGACCTTATCCATTACCTATCTGGATAGACACTATGTTCAGAGATAAAAGAAGTAAAATATAATTCTGGGGATGAATTTCTCTTGTGTAAAAAGGCTCAAAACTAATAAGGAAATGTGTTAAAATCTGCACACTGAGATGATATTTCAGGAAAGAGTTGTACCATTTTCTAAAAGAGATATAACCTCAACACATCATTATTTAAAAGTCTGTAATTTAGTTACATTGATAATTATTTTTAGGATTTTGAGAGTTTCATGGGTGTGGCATATGATATTCACTGTTACTACTAACTCTCTAATCAGTTTATTTTCTCTTCCCTGAGCCAAGAACTAAACAGGATAGGAACCATTTTGGTAAATTTAGCTCAAAAATTTATATTTTCACTTAGCAGGTTGTATAAGTCATAGAAGAAATGTTACAAATTTTCTCTTGTTAAGTATAAGGAATGCTACAAATTTATAAATGTTCGATAACTATGATATAATTAGGATGGCTATAAAATCACATCTGAATATAATGGGATATTGGTGAAATATGGCTGTCTTTTCCTAGATCATACTTTTTAGTGCCCAGGATGACCAGATGATTCATATCAGGATGGAAAACAAGGACAGAGATAAGTGAGATGTATGATATCTCTAAATTTGCACTCTATTTACAGCTGACAGATGGGATAGGAGCCCTCGATTGCTGGGATAATGCCCACTGGTACCTCCTGACACTTCTCTACTAGAGGAATGTCTATGGGACCTAGATCAAGTTGGACAGCTCCTTGTCCCCTTCTCAGTTCTACAAAGAGAAGGCAGTTCTCAGCAGGGAGTGTTGGGAGTAGCTTTGTGGCAGCATGGCTTCTTCAACTGGCCCTAGAGTTATGAAAGCAAGCCCCTGCCACAGTTAAGATGCTCATCATCAATTATTTGGTAAGGATACAGATGCAATTAACATGATCATGGCTTCTTTCTTTCCTCATGATGTGTATCTGCTCCTTAAGAATGACTTCCTTTGTTTGATCAATAAGCATTTCTCAAATGACCATAAGAGAAGCACAAGGAGACAAAACAAAGAGTCCCTCTATTGGAGAAGCCAAAGATCCAGAAGGACAGAGATACATAGTGTTAACAGTGAGTTCAGAATAGAAGAATAAGATGTTACAGGAATGAGATTCGGCTGAGGTGGACATCTTCCTTAGCCTAGAAAATCCATTTCCAAGAAAGTGTGACTTCAACTAAGGTTTTTTTTTTTAATGAGATATGATTCACATACCATAAAATTCACCATTTTAAATACTGTTTTTTGTAGCGTATTCACAGAGTTCTGCAAAAATCATCACTAATTCAACCTATTTTCATCACTCCCAAAAGAAACTCTGTACGCATTAGCAGTTGTTCCCCATTCTCTCCTCCCTCCAGCCCCTGGCAACTACTAATCACTGCTTTCTATAAATTCCCATACTCTGGATGTTTTCTATAAATGGAATCATACAATGTGTGGTTTTTCATGACTAACATATTTTATGTAGCATAATACTTTTAAGATTCATTCATGTTGTAGCAGGTATCAGTACTTTATTTCTTTGCATGGCTGAATACTATCCCATTGTGTTGATACACCACGTATTGTTTATCCATTTATCAGCTGATGGACATTTGGTCTTTTTTCACTTTTTGGCTGTTACAAATAATCTTATTACAAATATTCACATATACGTTTTTGTGTGAACATATTATGCTTCTGATTCTCTTGGGCATGTACCTAAGAGTAGAATTGCTGGGTCATGTGGTAACTTTGTATTTAGTTGTTTGAAGAACTGACAAACTGTTTTCTATAGAGGATGCACTGTTTAAAATTCCCACCAGCAATATATATGAGATGTCCAAGTTTTCTATATCCTTTCTGTCACTTGTTATTTTTCTGTTGTGGTTTGTTATTTTTTAAAATTATAATAATCCCAGTATGACCCATTGTGATTTTTATTTTGTTGCCTATGCCAACATCATAGACATTTACACCTATGTTTCCTTCTAAGAGTTTTGTAGTTTTAGCTCTCACATTTAGGTCATTTTGAATTAATTTTTGTATATGGTATGATGTAGGAGTCCAACTTTATTCTTTTGCATGTGGATAGCAAGTTGTCTCAGTACTGTTTGTTGAAAGATTATTCTTTTCCCATTGACTCTCTTGGCATTTTGTTGAAAATTATGCCAATTAAGCATAGATGTATGGGTTAATTTATGTATTATTTCTATTCATATTGATCTATATGTCTGTCCTTATACCAGTAATACACTGTCTAGGTTACTATAATTTTGTAGTAAGTTTTAAAATTGCTAAGAATGAGTTCTACAACTTTGTTCTTGTTTTGATAATTCTTGGTCTCTTACATTTGCATATGAAGCATCTACTGTTTTAAAAGTCTTTGATGAAATGCTTTTAAAAAGAAGTGTCAGAAAAAAATATATATGAAGTCTATACATGTGATAGGTTTCAGATAAGAAGCTACACAATCACAAGCACTGAGATAAAAGGAGCAGGTACTTTGTGATTACTTGTGGGTGGAAAGTAGGATGGGGAGTTATGTGAGATAAGGATAAAATAATAAGCTGAGTCAGACCACAAAGCATCTGATCCTTAGGCAGCATTTTAACCGATAGGTAGTGAGCATTATTAAAGTTGATGACAATCCTTGTTGTTTCAGTGTTAAGCTGATTACTCCCTCCTGGCATTTGCCAAATATTGCGTGTGTGTGTGTGTGTGTGTGTGTGTGTATCACTATCTCAAATAATACAGAGCTACATTTATACAAAGTGAATCAAGTCTCCGGAGGTGCTCTGGATATTTTATAGTTAATTTTCTAATGTAGATGTTCAAACAAACTGTAATAGTGACTCTGACTTTCTTAAATTATGGCAATGACTAAAAAATAGCAATAAATCAAAAGAAAAATGCTTTCCATTATTTTTATTACTACCTTCCAACTTCCTTTTATGTTTCTTTGTTTCTGTTTTGCTGCCTAATCAAAACTTCACAACTGGTATTGTCCTCAGATACAGCTTTTCATCATGTCCAATGTTTGATCACCCAGGGTGAGGGAAGCTGTGACTTATACTTTAATCCTTTTGGAAAAGTCTAATACAATATGGTACCAATCAGTTACATGTGTCGCTTTAGTGTAGTGAAATTTAGCATAATATTTCTTTTAGATACCCCAGATTGAACAATAGTTTTAAAAGTTTAAAAACACATTTTCTGTAGTATGCATAAAAAATTCTGAGTAGTAGAATTGTGTTAATAAGAAATAGCAGCCACTATTCTTTCTCTCAATAGTCTCATGCCAAATAACTTTCAAAGCAGTATATGCTTTGGGAAGTATAGAATTTTTCTATTGTGCACATTAAAAAAATGAAATTAGATGAATTATAATACCTTTCCCCTCTACCTACAATACATTGCCTGGTAATTTTTCTTAACAAACTATATATAGTTATTAAAACCCTTTGCTACAGCAGTAAATGCTTTGGCATATATAGAGTTTCTCCATTGCACACATGAAAAAAAATGAAGTTGGATGATTTAGAACACTTTTCCTCTCCACCTGTAATGCATTTCCTTGTTATTTTTCTTAACAAATTATATGTAGTAATTAAAGTGCTTTGCTATAGAAATTACAATACCTTAAAAAACTTTCTGAATTGTGTTGATGTTCACCTTGACAGCCAAGAAACCAAGAAAAGATTAAATTATGGAAATTAAGCAAGGACACTTAGACAGATCCTTCTACAATCTGCATTTCTTTGGTGATTTCTAGTTCACTGCGCCACCTGGTCTTTCATGCATTATGTGTAAGTCTTCTACGGGTCTGCCTGGAGTTCCTGTGTGTCTTGATCATGTTTTTTTTTTTTTTTTTTTTTCCCTTCCCACTGATCAAACTAGGAAACTGGGGTTGGGAAAAGATTGATAAAGAAGAATTGACAATGAAAATATGCCATGTATGCAGGGCAAAGTTAAAAAATAAAATTTCTGCTAAAACATATTAAAAGTGAAAGAGGGCAGTAGAAAGGCAAAAAACAGAATTACAAGTTGAATGAGCAAATCAATGAATGGAAACTGTGTTAGAGTGACCTATGTTTTTGTCTGTAAAGAGGAAAGAGAAAGCAACTAAACCAGTCTTCTTTAAAAAAAAAATTCTTCCTTCTATGCAGCAAGATGCTGTAGCTTATTTCATTCTGAAGTAAGTCCATTTCTGTCTCCTAAACCCAGTTCTGAAAAAATACTGGTTTAATACCGACAAGCAATCTGTTATTTTTTCTGCCAGAATCACCCATGATCATGGACTGCTTTTATAAAATCCAGAAGAATTCTACTAGCGGTGAAGTAAGAGGTCAAAGTGTTTATGTGTTGGCATCCAGGTAGAGCCCATTGTATTTGGCAGTTTCTTTACCAGCTGCATAAAAATCAGCATTTCTTTCAACAGTACTTCTTTGGTTTCTACTTTGGAAGTTGACTTACATCCACCTTTTCAGCACGCCTGGAATTCAGTAGTGCAAAGGACAGGAAGTCATGCTCTGGTTTTCTACTTTTACACAATATGGTAGAAGTAGACTACCACTACCACTACTTCTCCTTCTGGTTTCTACATTTACACAGTGGGATGTCTGCTGATCAAGTATGCCTAGTGCCCAGAGTAACTCCATAGATGGGGATGCAAGAAACCTGCCTTCTGCCAACCTCTTTCCCTTTGCCTTTTATGGGTTAATTGGAATTTTGGAAATAATTTGACATAACTTTAAAATTTTCATGTTTAAGTGTTTTTATCTTTTATCTTGGTATATATTATTTACCTGCTAACTATGGACTATTGACACGTAAGATTATCGTGAAAATAAATGAAAGCACTGTTCCCTGCCTTATCCAGAAATGTTGGAGAAGTAGTTATGGATGGTACATTATTAATGCTGGTAACAAACTAGATTTGTAAAACGTTTCAAGATTACAACTTTCATATTAATTTTTTATCATTTGATGTCAATTCTGAAAAACAATAATTTATTAACTACATTAGAAATAAAATACTTTTATAAATGTTGTACAAGTATTTACTCTTACAACTTCATAACAATAAATGATGTACATATTTTTATTATTATCGCTGTTATTAATCCCCACTTTACAGATGAGGAAACTAGAACAAAAACATGTTAAGTAGGTATGTTAACATATTAGTACCCCAAATCATACAGATGATAATAGGTAGAAAAATTTAGATTGAATTCAAGTGTTTTGAGTCCAAAGCCTATGCTGTTATTCATCTTATTGTACAATCAAAGTAGGCTAGTCAGTCATACATTATTACCACCATTTTGAAAAAAATAAAAATTAAATAAATATAAGTAAGCTAGTCAGTTATATATTATTGTCACCATTTTGAAAATAAATAAAAATTAAATAAATATCAGATAAATTGAGTAACCTTCCTAAGGTACTAATACTTCATACGTTTTATTCCATGATTCCATGGAATCATGATTAATACTATAGCCAACCATTAAGAAGTACTCAGTGAATGTTTGTTAAATAATATTAAAAAGAAGTAAGGAAGGGATAATATTTTAGTACCGTCTGATGAATCTTCTTTTTGACATCAGTTTTTTTCCTAATATCATCCATACAATATTGGACCAGGGAATGAAGGCATCAAATACCACTTCTTAGAGAATGAGCGTGTGATGCAAAGGAAATTTCTTTCAGAGGAAAGGAGCTTTCTGTTGTAGGGCAAAGAGAGAGTAAAAGTAAGAGTGGTTTCTAAAATGGCACTGTTGGTGTTCCAGATTCTGGAAAGAGATCACCTGGCAGGCACCACTCCAACTTGATCCCACACAGTGATCACAGTGGAGGAGAAATGGTAGCATGGTCTATTTGGGCAAAGAGAAGTACCAGAGTGACATTAAGAAGTCACCCATGGCATTTATGTAGCATGGAATGGAGCCCGCAATTCCATAGTGATTGTCAATAGGATGTTTAATAACCAGATGACACAAGGGAAATTGCTGTTGAGGCTTGCAAAATGATAGAAGACAGCAACATGATCTTCATGTGGATACCAGACCCACTTTCCTGCAGGGGCAATAAAAAGCTTCTCATTGAACCAAATACTGTCTTTGAAAATTTACCCTACCCAGAATAGTATTTACAAGAAACAGACTGTGATTTATTTAATTGGCAAATTTGTTCTTCCAATTGTTCAGGGACAAAGGAAATTCATGAGAAAGTGTATATCAGCTGCAATAATGTTAAAAATTCAAGCTGCCTTTTTGTGCATATTTGACTGTAACATTTATATATTTTTCTTATCTCAGTGTAATTGTATTATATTTTTCTGAATATATAAATGAAATATATTCATTATAAAAATTCAAACAGTATACAAAAATATGAATAAAAGAAGCCTTCTGAAATTCTGCCACACAGAGATAAACTTCACTGATTTTTTTTAGCCACTCTTTTCTGTATTTTTATACACACATGCATACACACAAACACACACACATATGAATATAAATTATAAACACAAATGCATGTACAAATATGCATGTGTGTAATGTATGATTTTACCTAAATGGAATATATACATTCCATATGCTGTGCCCATCTTCCTCAATGAGCGCACCAAAAAACTTCATCCTTACCCCACCATAGACAGTGAAATTTTCTTTCTTTTATTTCTATCTAAATGTGTTTTTACCTAACAAAAGATGCCCAGTGAAAATTAGGGTTTGACTTTTGTTAATTAACCTTTCTAGTGGGGTCAACATTATGTTTATTATATACACAGGCAGTTAAAAAAATGGTCAAATTGGTTCAATGACCCCAAGATAGAATGACAAAAAGAAAACTGACATTTTTTCAGTTTCTGTGTGCTACGCTTAAAATCACACAATGTGAAACGACTTCAACCCTCTCATTTCACAGATAAAGAAACTGAGGTCGAGAGGGTTAAACGACTTGCTGGAGCTTAAATGGCTTAGAAGCAGAAACTGTGTTCCTTGTATGGATTTTGCTTCTTTGGCTCTATTCAAGAAACTAGATGCATGTTGTGAGTTGACCAACTACTTTACAAAACAAAATAAAAATAATAACTACAATAACAGTAATCATTTATTGAGCATCTAAGAAATGTTAGAAACTGTGTTGGGCCTTTATACAAATTTAGTCTTGCGAGACAAGTATTACTGTTAACATTTTATGGATGAGGAAGATAAGGTGCACAGAGGCAAGTCATTTGCTCATGTTAAGCAGCTCATGACTCTCAAGCCTGTGCTGCTGCTATTACATTGGGCTGCCTTCCAACACTAGCAGCACCCGGAACCGGCACACTGGTGACTCAGAGCTTGTTAAGCTACCCTCAGCATTAATTTTCAGTTTTCAACTGATACTGCTGACATCTCTCCCTTTCGTCAAGTGGTGAATTCAGCCAAATAGGCCTTGAATTGTCTAATCTCTTTCCAATTGGCTAGCCCAGGATCCAGTAGCTGGTAAAGCAATTTTATGCTTTGTATTTTATAAACAGAATTGATGTGATGTAAATTGACTATTGACTATGCACTTACATAGGGTATTTAAAACTAAATATACTGGGTCTACCCCATAAGCCTTCATATTAGACTCAGAGCACAGAGGGATAAAATAGTGATTGAATCAGCTACTTTTAGATTTGAAAGGAATATACTACACAATCACACAGCTAAGCTAAGGTGGGAAAGGAAAGAAAGCAAGCAGGCACTGTCATCTAGATAAATAACCCCGTCACCACCCCCCAAAATAACAATAAATGATGACAGTGATGATGATATGATCCATGTGATTTCTTGGTCATGGCTTTATGTCAAGATTTCCTTTAGAAAGTGAAATAAGTTTAGGTAACACACAGAACAAACACAGCAAGAATTGATGACTTAGACAATACCGATTTCTTTTTTTATTGTTATTATACTTTAAGTTCTGGGGTACATGTGCAGACCTTGCAGATTTGTTACACAGGTATACACGTGCCATGGTGGTTTGCTGCCCCCATGAACCTGTTATCTACATTAGGTATTTCTCCTAATGCTATCCCTCCTCTAGCCGTGCAACCTCCAACAGGCCCCAGTATGTGATGTTCCCCTCCCTGTGTCCATGTGTTCTCATTGTTCAACTCCCACTTACAAGTGAGAACATGCAGTGTTTGGTTTAGGTTTCCTGTGTTAGTTTGCTGAGAATGATGGCTTCAAAAAAAAAGGTTAGGTTTCTTTTGTTTTGTTTTGTTTGAGACGGAATTTTGCTCTTGTTGCCCAGGCTGGAGTGCAACAGTGTGATCTTGGCTCACTGCAACCTCCACCTCCCAGGTTCAAGCGATTCTCCTGCCTCAGCCTCCTGAGTAGCTGGGATTACAGTCATGTGCCACCACGCCCAGCTAATTTTGTATTTTTAGTAGAGTCGGGGTTTCTCCATGTTGGACAGGCTGGTCCTGAACTCCCAACCTCAGGTGATCTGCCCGCCTCGGCCTCCCAAAGTGCAAAAGGTTAGTTCTATACATAAAATACATTTTCTTACTTAGTAATGTTCCTAATTTAAAGAATACTTGTAGAGGATTACCATAGACTTGTGTATTAGTTTTCTAGGGTTGCCATAATAAATTATCACAAACAAAATAGTATTCAATACTGGAAAAGTGTTCTCTCACAGTTCTGGAGGTTACATGTCCAAAATCAAGGTGTTGGCAGGGCCATGTTCCCCCTGAAGGTTCTAGGGTAGGATCCTCCCTTGCATCTTCCCAGACTCCTGCAGTTGTCAACACTCCGTGGTGTTCCTTGACTTGCTGCCTCACTCTAATTTCTGCCTCCATCTCCCCATGGCTGTGTTCCTTCTGTGTGTGACGGTCTCTATGGTTTTTCTTTAAGGATACTAGTGATTGGATTTAGGGCCACCCTAATCTGTATAACTTACATCTTAATTACATCTGCAAAGACTCTTTTTCTTAAGAGGGCCACATTCACAGGTTACTGGAGGTAGGACTTCGACACACCGTTTTGGGGAACACAATTCAATCCGTTATAACGTGTATCTATTTTTAATTGAATTTTTGCATGATTACAGAATAACCGTTTATAAAGTTTTGAAAACCCAGAAGCAAAAAGAAGAAAATAAAGCATCCCTGTTAATCTTACCAAATGGATACTTATTCTAGTTTTTACATTTTCCCTATGCATATACGTAGAGGAACACACATACATAGTTGAGTTTCTTTTTCTTTTAATTAGTCTTTTGTGGGGGACATGTTGTTGTACTATGGATATATAGGGGTGACTGAAAACATGGCCCCCACCATCAGAGAATAAGAATGAAAGAGAGAGAGAGAATCCTAATCACACAAATAAACACATAATTCCACTGGACAACTGCTATTAAAAAAAAAAAAAAAAGATGTCCAGTGTAATCCTAGCTTGTTCCAGAGACTGAGGAAAGCAGTTGAACCCAGATCTGAAGTATGTTAAGCAACAACTATGTGGATAAGAAAGAGTGAGACCTACTAAACAGGGGAGGTGCATGTACCAAGGCCAGGTGGCAGGAAGTAGCAGGCCAAAGAAGAAATTCACAAAAAACCACAGAGACTAGAGTGTGCGGAGGGGGAAATGAGGCATAAAGCTTTAATTCAAGAGGTAACTGGAAAAGGCCCATAGGCCATGTTAAGAAAGAAATTCTGTCTTCATCCCAAAAGCTTGGGGAAGTCACTGAACTCTCCTATGCGGAGTTTTCCTTTTTAAATATGACTCTTTTTTTTAAGAAAACAGACCCTTGCTTCAACCTTTTCTTCTCTTGCTCCTTATCTTTAACTGTGTTTGTAGAAGGTGAGAAAATGTGAACTACAGAAAGTTTGAGGAGACTGATACTCAGTATTTCTCTGTTTGGGAGAGAAAGGATAGAAAGCCTAAACCCCACTCTATTTGCACCATAGTAGCCATATACCCCCGTTTTTAAAAACTATGTCAAGAACCTGATGAGTGCTGAAATCAAGGCCGATGACTGGAAACTGTCTACCTGCTTGTTTCTTTCCCTCACATTAGAGAGAGCCTGGCTAGCATGTGCAGTGGACTTATTGGATGGAAAGTTGGATGACTGTTTATTCTACTCTCAGAAAGACATGACTGTCATTAATCCCATGGGTCTTCTTCTATGTTTGTGACTCCTCCGAAGGCACTTCAGGCACACTTACAGTTTTTCATGCTTTCCAGTTACAAACACAAGGCTTGATTGAAAAAAAAAAAAAGGATAAACTTAATAGTCCTTAATTAAGTCTTTCTTTCAATCAGAAAAGAATATTCTTGGCAATGTGTTTTTCCCTTGTTTTAGTAGGCTGGCTTTTATCCTTTTCCTTTTGGTTTTGATACTCCTTGCTCTCTGTTATATTTACTCATTTATTAAAATATTAGACAAGATAAAGCAATAAAGGCAGTAAAAATATACTCCTGTTGCAAACAATTTATTCTGATAAACTGATTAAAAATAAATTCCAACTTAAGTCCTATGTTGAGGTAGAGAAGCAGTGAGAAGCAGATATCTGTCTCTGAGGGAAAATGAGAAGTGTAGGTAGAGAAAGGTTTTTCTTCCGTTCATACTGCTAATTTGGATGGTGTGTTCAGAATGCACATGGGCCTCTGAAACTCTGATGGGCAAACATGTTTCAAAGGACTCAACAGCAGTCAGAGAGGCAATTCCAGAAGGGTAGGGGTGGGAGAGTCTAGAATCAGAACACTGATGCAGCCATATCTACCTTTGTGTATTGTACCCACATTAGGCGTCTCTTTTTCTCCTGCTAAAGATTCAGGTGAGAGTTATGGCTGATAAATGGGAAAGGAGAGGAGTGGGAAGACAAAGAAATCATGAATTTTTTGTAGGGAGAAGTCTCTCACTTTAAGACATGTGTGTGGAAGAGCCAAGAAGTATTAAAGTAAACTGTCTCTCCTCCCTTTTATTCCTCTAGTTAACTCAATGGCCTCTGGGGAAATGTGTTTGTGTGTTTGGGGACAATTAAAATTAAATTAACTTACTGAATTGTAAATAAAATTATCTCTGCTAAGAATTCAATCTTTTTTTTTCTCAAATGGATACTTTCACATACATACAAATTATCCTGGTACTTTTTTTCATTAAAAACAGAAATAGATGATTTTATAATTACCAACAGCAGATAGTTTTCCTAAAGGAAAAAAAGTAGCTTTGAAACATTAAAATTATCAATTGCATATACTTTGGAGTGTGACTTTAATATGTTCAGTAAATGTGCTGCAAACTTGTAAATTGTACAGTATGCATCATAGAATAACTTCAATGAGTCTCACTTTTCAAGGTCACTTAGGTGAAATGTAATAATTATTGGCTTCAACACAGCAAAACTCTACTCACTTTAATAATGTTATCTATGATATATTTTTTGATTTTTAAAAAAATAGCTGTGCATTTCTCAATAAAATAAATACTCATGATCAAGTAAATTGACACTATATATATGTTCATGTGTATATGATAAAAATCTGATGTGCATATATATGTGTAATTTTAGTTTCATACATGAAATACTTTATATATGATATATATACATATATGATAACATTATATGTATGTATATGCACACACAATCCACGTCCAAACAAGTATTTTCCAAATAATTTTTTTTTGCTCACATACAACTACTACCATAGATTCAAAATGTTGAATAAATCAGTAGTTTTATCATTTATTTTGGACAATAGAAGATAGACAGTTGAATGTAAGGTATGAGGAAGGAACGTATAGACAACACTGACTGCAGTAGGTTTTCCCCATATTGGACTGGCAGGAAAGCTGGTGAATTTGCGTACGTGTGGCAATCAGTAGGTCACAACCAGCGAATTGCGATATCTTCAGGGTATTAATGAATCTGGTACAACTTATCTAAACAATCAAATTTGAGGAAAGATGGCAATGAACTAGTTGGAGAGGAAGGGAGGGGAAAATGGAGAGGAAATAACAATGGGGGTTTTCCAGGAAGTTCCTAGTCATCCATTTGGGGGTGGCGAATGTGTTTATCTGATCTTAAAGCAATTACATCATAGAAATAAAGGAGACACTCCACTAAACCTCCAGTCATTTTATCCAAACCAGCAAGTTGTGTGATGCACACTGCAGTAATAGGATTAACCCTCTGCAATAACAGGATGGACCCACACACAGAATTTGATTTGGATGTTGATGCTCACAGTGACACGCATGCATCGAGAGGGTATGAAGAGGTTTCTCCTGCATAGAATGAGGCTCTCTGTGGATTTCAGGTGGCTCTCAAACATGCTCTATATTGGTGAGAGACAGAAGGAAAGGAGACTGGCTTGGATTTTTTTTTTTTTTTTAATGGGGGCTAGGACATGGGACCAAGCTGTGGCTTCCTCTTTGTGGTTTAAACTTTCATTGGCAAAGGAGATATCACCTGGGCTTTCTTCACAGCTTGCCCATAGGTGAGGCTGAGGAGAAGAAGGAAGGGTGAGGCTTAAAAGCTGTCAGCAGTCAAACAACAAAAAATGGAGTTGGACTCTTTATTTACACAAAGGGATCCGAATGTACTGTGTACTGAGACCTCATCTGTCAAATTCACTATCCCAAAATTACAATTACAGATAATTTTGTCCAGAGTTAAGGTGGGTTTAAAGCATTCCTTCAAGTTTCTTACCTTGTTAGGTGAGGCCTATCAAATCTTCAAATATTTTCCTTTCTGCCAATCATAGGATATAAGGTGCTGCCATTCAAGAACTATTCCTAGTGCCTCAAAGTCTCAAGAGAAGGAAATACTCAGATATTTCAATAAACGATGCCTTAATAGTAAGCAATTTAACAAAGGTGTGAAGCTCAGTGTTTGTTTCTGGACTAAGAGGGAGCAGAGAGAATTGAACAGCAGCTTGAAGCAATGGGCACAATGACATAATAGATTTAAAAGAAAATAATGTTTTATGTCAAAATTGTGCTGAATTACATTTATGGGTATGGGTATGGGTGTGGGTGTGGGTGTGTGGGTGGTAGAAAAGGAAAAGACAAGAAGAATCTTTCGTCCAACGTGAGCTCTCACAGGTAACTGAGTGTTAAACCTGCCACTTATACCTAGCCTGCCTGGACTCCAGCAGGTATTCATTATTTCTTCAGCTATTGTTTTCTTGAAATCAACGAACCCTGAAAGACAGGGCATTCTCACTAATTCAAAAGGATGATATGGAATTTCTGTTATTTTTTTAAACTTCCCTCTGTTTTATTTACTCATTTATTCAAATATCCATTTAATAAAATGTGTGTGTGTGTGTGTGTGTGTGTGTGTGTTTGGCTCTGTATTGTTATTAATTTGCACAGTCTGATACTGCTTTTAGTTTGTGATTTAAGAAACTTTGAATTAGAATATCAGTATTGTTGAGTGTGATGGCATGCACCAGTAGTCCCATCTACTTGAGAGGTTGAGGTCGGAGGATCTCTTGAGCCCAGGAATTTGTGTTCAGCCTGGGCAACGTAGCAAGACCCTTGCCTCTAAAAATACAAATAAAACATATAATATTAGTATTCGTTCAGCACATATTTACTTAATATTTAATGTATTCTCTCATCCCAAAATTATTCAAAATCCTTAAAACCTAAAGATAAAAGGGCATAGTTTCTATATAAATAATGATTATGAATTGCTACTGCATTAAACAATTTCAAAGGTGAGAAGACTAAGACATGTCAAACTTAGGTGATTTACTCAAGATCACAAGGAGACCAAATAATATAGCTGGTTTCTTGCTTTTCAGTGCATTGTTGTTCTACTATCATTTTGAGTTTCAAAGACTCTTCAAAGAAAATGTAGGATTTGTTGATAGGCAAGCTAGCTTGAAAGGAAAAGATTTGAAATCTAACAACCACTGATTTTCAAATATTTTATCTAATTCCCTCAAACCTAGTTTCCAAATACAGCAAATTTTTCACTCATCATATTTTGTCACACTGTTTAGTGGATAAAAATACTTTCAGTGTCTATGAGAGAAAGAGTCAAATGAAAACTAAAACTACCAAAGGTGTGCCTTCATGATAACCAAGAATTTAGTGGAATTCTGTCACTTGAAATTACCCAACAGCTGGAAGATTGACATCATATATGTAACACATTTGTTGTTTGTATACTTATAAATTGTTTTCAGAATGAGAATTATGGAGCTATTTTTCTCTTATAAACTTGTGTACCACTGCAGCTTTTTCTATACCTGTGTCCCATCTTCACTCTCAGCCTTCTCAGCCTTTGCTCCCAGCCCTTATTTCCATTGTTTTGTTAAAAGCTTAATAAATCATTATTTAATTTTAAAGAAAGTTATCAAACAAGAAGAGCAGTAGTAATGTACCTTATCGATGACACCTTGATCATGATTGACACTTCAGGGTAAGAAAGAATTAGTATGGTCCAACCTAACTTTAAATATAAATTATGTAGAAACCATTACTCTTGAACAGACTAAAGGATATTCTGAAATGTATTATAGATTCAAAAATCAAGTGAAACATTAAATATTTGAAACAGGATCAATTTATAAACTTACAACTGATAGCATGAAGATAATATTTAATAAAATCTTAATACTATTAGTAATACTCAAGAAATAAAGACAGAAGAAAATATTTTTTCAGAATCTTGTCATATTCGCATGTTATTACACTCTAAAAAATGTTGACTTCCTGTTCAGGGATGATTCTATCACATATACATTTTTTCCATGTTCTATAAAAAGGTGAGTTTTTAAAAATCGAAAATTGATTTACCTTTTTTCATTAGATTTGAATTATTTAAACTTAACATATACTATTATTTTTGTTTTTAGAGATGGAATCTTGCTATGTTTCCAGGCTAGAGTGCAGTGCCGATTCACAGACACAATCATAACTCACTGTAGCCTCTAACTCTGGGTCTCAAGTGATCCTCCTGCCTCAGCCTCCTGAGTAGCTGGAATTACAATGTGTGCCACTATGCCCAGTTGCATATATTACTCTTGTTTGCAATTGACTTATAGGGCACTATACATACATACATACATATATATACACACACACACACACACACACATATACACACATATATATGTGTGTATATGTGTATATATATAATTTGTGTATGTGTATATATAATTTTTAAATATATAATTTTTCCAATTTTATTTATATATATAATTGCTATATATATATGTGTGTGTGTGTGTGTGTGTGTGTGTGTGTGTGTGTATACATATATTTTTTCTTTTTTTCTTTGAGGCAGAGTCTTGCCCTGTCGCCCAGGCTGGAGTGCAGTTGCATGATCTTGGCTCACTGCAGCTCCTGCCTCCTGGGTTCAAGCGATTCTCCTGCCTCAACCTCCCAAGCAGCTGGGACTACAGGTGTGCATCACCACACTTGCTTATTTTTGTATTTTAGTAGAGTCAGGGTTTCACCATGTTGCCCAGGCTGGTCTCGAACTCCTGACATCAAGTGATCCAACCACCTCAGCCTCCTCCCAAAGTGCTGTGATTACAGGTGTTAGACACCGCGCCCAGCCACAGCACAATAAAATTTTGACTATGAAATGAGATGTCTGTTCAAGCAATCAACCAGCAAGTGCATGAGACCTGATATTGTAGGCACTGTGGAAGACAAAGAGGAAATATAATTACATTAAACTACCTTTACTGATTGCGCTCAGGCTGGCTGAAGTGTCAACTGAGGCTATGTATCAAAATTCTTGAGTCTCAGCTTGGACATCAGAAACTTAGGTTTATAATCTAGTTTTGCTACTTACTTTGAAATTAGGAACTTTATTTAAACACAGAAATCCTGCTCTTTCTCATCTGTAAGGTAATGATAATAATAACAATAACAATACCTACTTCAGAAGATGCCTGGGAATACTTCATGTAAACAAAATTTTAACATACTGCCTTGCTTCCAATGTGAGTGTAGTAAATGGTAGCTGTTATTGTTGTCATCACCAGAAATGAAGTAGAGATTAATTAACAGTTTACTTTTGGTGGGTGTAGTAGTTACTAGAAGTGTTACCCAATGTGGCAAGTGAAGCTTGAACTTGAACAAGACCTTGACAAATGGGTAGGCAGATAACTAAAATATTCTTCCTAAGTTAAGAATTATAAGCACAAGTAGGGAGAACATGAGATTTTTGAGGGTACTGAGAACAACCAGCTTGGAGTGAAAACTCCATATCTTGGATAAAAACAAACAGTTTCAATAGGGATTTAAGATCACTTTGAAAGAGGACCTTGGAAACCGAGGAAGAAGAACTGAAACAGTGTTTACTAAATGCCTTCTCATCACTGCACCAAGCCGGGGGTAAGAGGAGTAGGTGGTAAAATGCAGAGGAAAAAGAAAGTCTTTAAGTCCCTTGAGGTATAGTTCAACAGAACTCTTTAGAATGATAGATAGTAGAATTTTAAGGAATGTCAATTGCCTTCAGCCCCAAAGAAAAAAATAATATCCACCGGGCAAGGTGGCTCATACCTGTAATTCAAACACTTTGGGAGGCCAAGGTGGGAGGATTGCTTGAGCCCAAGAGTTCAAGACCAACATAGTGAGACCTCATTTCTACAAAAACTAAAAATAAATTAGCTAGCATGGTGATGCCTGCCTGTGGTCCCAGCTACTTGAGAGGTTGAGGTGGGAGGATTGTTTGAGCCCAAGAGGTTGAGGCTACACTGAGCCATGATCACACCACTCTACTCCAGCCTGGATGACAGAGCAAGACCCTGTGTCAAAATAATAATAATAATAATAATAATAATAATAATAAAGAAATAAAAGAAAATACCATTGTATTCATATTGAAGAGAGAAACATAAGGAGCCATGAAGAAGTTCTTGAGAGTTCTAATTGATGTTATAGAAGAAAAGCTAGGCACCAGAGTGCAAGACGAAAGGAAGACAAGACAGTAGACATGAGAAAGAATTTGAAGCCACAATGGAAAAAGTGACTTTGAGGATGCATGATGAAGACCTGTAACAGGTGTAAGTTCTTGGCCAAGCATGTTTTTGTATGTTGACATGTGAAAGAGGTCTGAACATGTTCGTATAATTACTATTGTTATTTTTCCCTTCTCAGTGCTGAATGTGAAAGTGTGAGGTCTCGGGAGACTGGATGGTCTCAATAGCTCAGTTCCTTCTTGTTTATTTTGGAGTCTCTTTGCTTACGTTATTTTCAAACCGAGCTGTTTTCCTAGTCAATCATTTATCTTAACTCTCAGTGAGTCATGGAACCTTTTCTTTTTAAAGTGCAAAATCATCCTTTAAACATTTTTATATCCTCTCCTCACTATTTTTTATTCCACTTGGCTTGCTTTCATAGACATCTTCCATCCACATGGGATCCATTTTCTTCTTGCTCTTTGAAAAATAAGAAAAGTAACCTACACTAAGGAATAGGTCACAAAGATCAGTGGAGGAAAAGTGACAGGCTATGCTGCTGTATTATTTAGGCTTGACTCATCTTAAGTTGGTTACATGTATCACAAAAAGTAAGAAATGTATTGGAGAAAGGAGTTTTATTCATAGGAAAATCAGACTTATACTTCTGCCAACATTCTTAGTACATTATTTTCCTTTTCTGTATTAAAGATAAGGATCATTCAGAGATCATTTGAAAATTATAATTAAAAAGAAAATGTCTTCTTATCTGTAAGAAACAACTGTCCCATAGATTTTTCCTTTTCTTTATTTGGTATCATATTTTGATGTGAATTCTAATTCTAGTAATCAGCAACCACCCTACAAATATTCCATCACTCATGTTGACAAATTTCTAATACAATATATGCAACAAACACACAAATATCAAATGGCTCATAGTTCTGAACCTAACAAGATATGTCAGAGGCAAAGAAATATGGAGAATTATGCATTTTCTGTCTTCTTTGCGTAAAAAATTGATAACTTTGTGGCTATATCAGTCAAAGTAATGGTAGGTGTGCCTAGGGAGGTTCTACTTTATACCTTAAGTATTATAAATGAATGGATTAGAATAAAGGGAATTGGGTTTATAGAGGCCAGTGTAGGAAATGGTGAGGAAACATAAGTTAGCAACATCAGGAAGTCATTAATGCCAGAAACCAGCTGACAACATGGAGCAGACACTGGCAAAGGTGGGGAGGTTACCTAAGTTCAAACTGGCCCTGGGGGGCAGCAGATAGCTTAGTTTATGGAATTATCAAATGTAGAAAAGCTCTAAGAACTGAAATGCATGCCATTGATGATGAAAACCATAAAATCGCAAGTGACATAAATTTTTAAATAATTGGTTTTCATAAAGTTCATAGAGCTAAGCAATAGAAGAAATGGGTTATTGATTTTGTCTAAGTTTCCCACTTGTGGGCTTACTGTCCCTTTCTAGATACATACACATACATACAGGTTTTTTTTCCTAATTTTGACATGCAATCATTTTCTTCTTATTTATCCTTATAACTTTGTTACATTAGCTTATAATATAAAATTCATCTTTTTATGTAATTATGATAGTATTTTGGATTTTTCATTCTTTTTTACAGAAATGATTACTGCCTTAGGAGTCTGATTCAATTACTGGATTAAGAAGCCATTCTATTTTTTTATTTTATTGTGAAATCAACAAGCTAAAATGCTCTAAGAAAGCTAAAGAATAATCTGTCACGGGAGTAGTTTAAAAAAAAAAAGCTAAGGAAGACAGTCTCAAACAAGTTTAATGAGGCTCAGAGCTTGAGCTATTGTCTTTTAACCTATGAAAGTGACAGAATATAATAATTAAGATATAGAAATGTTTTAATGTTTTTCCAAAGGTAGGAAATAAACTCAATTTTTCTCTGTACTATACTGTGTTATCTTACTCTCATGTGCTCCCAGCACAGTGAGGTAATAGTTCATGACAAGACAACATGGTAATCTGGCAGCCACACATTTTATTGCTGATTGCCACCATTCTAAATAGCATATCTTTAAAAGATAAATGAAGATTTGAGCACAATGCAAAACATGCTTATCCTTCCAAATTTGGCACAATAAGTCAATAGGTTAAAAGGTTTAGGGCCATGCCTCTGGGAAACTGGTCCTGGGAGAGAATTAGCCCCACAGCTGTCAAGTGATAGGAAGAATGGAAAGGACTGTGAAAATGACAAGCCATGGAACTGTAAAACAAAAATACTTAGGGACTGCTCTAGGGTTCTAAATGCTGGCTCAACACTTATTATTGAAGTAACCAATTATTTTTTTAACATATTAAAAATGTAGATTTAATTCCTATCCACCAATGCTCATTGCAAGCAGAAAATGGAGACCAGCAGTTATTGCACAATCTCCAAAGTAGCAATCTCTTACTATCAGTTAAACTCATTACCCTGAAATATTCTATTCTTGCCAATATACAATCATCATTTAAAATAATTAGTTAACAATTATCTAGAATACTAAAATGACCTCCCAGAAAACTAATCACCTTGAGGGAGCATTACACTTTTTTTGCAAAGGACAAATACCACTTGAATTAATGATTTTTCCAAGATCATATTAGAGAAATATGGTGTGATTATCCATTTTAATTAGAACAACAATGGCAATAACAACAACAAGCCACTCCTTTGTGTTAAGTGCAACTGGGAGAAAATACTGAGTGGTAATAACTAAAATTCATTTCTGCCTTCTGTGTAGGAAGGATATATCTAATTATTTAATGGAAACAGAGAGAAATAATGACATTTTTAATTCAATTTTATCAAGTCATGAACTGTTTGTTTGTACAAACTATGTGCCTTTAATTTAATAGCTTGATACTGAAAAAAATTACCAACTTTTTATTTATGAGTAGTAACAATTACTTTTTCCTTTTTATGATTATAATACAATGATAAAGCACTACACTCCTCAAAGAATTAAACATTAAATTATATGGAATAGAGATATATCATGACATTAAAAGTGCTATGGGTTTATCTTTTATTTTTCTTCTTTGAATTAATAGATGTACATAGTTAAGAAATGAATTATTACTATAAAACCTAGGACCAGAAATGAAGAAAGGAGGGAGGAAGAGCAAGCAATTTGTTGCCCCACCTTTTCTGAACTCTCCAGCCAGTCCCCTAAAAGGGGCCACTTTAAGTTTTTTTAACTGTATCTTTTCTCATTTAGCTGTGTTTTCAATTACCATTTTATAATGCTATTTTGTGAATGTTAAATTGATGTCTTCTTAAGAAAGGAGATTATTGAGTATCCTTACATCCAATACTCAATGCACTTCATCTCTACTCCCTATCTCCCTATCTTATATATCTCCTATGTTTTAAACAAATCAGTATTTAGTGTTATTGCTTGTATGACTATGTAAAGCATTGTTCACAGATTAGCCATGTGGTATTATTTATTTCCATTAATTTCCTGCATGAAATTTCAATTTTCTAAAAGTTCCTATTTGTTTCTCTACTTGTTTAGTTTTCAAGGTATCTTTCATGAATTATTTCCCAAGTTACACAAACTTACTGAAAAATCTCTAAATGCCTACAAATATATCAGATGTTCTTTCCATTCCATTCTTTTAAGCTGAAGATATTGAAGCATGTTTCCCTCTTTCTTTCTCTTCTTTTTGTAAACAGCCTAATAATTCCCTTTGCCCCTCCCTCTTGCTTCTTTTCCTAAATCCTATGTATTCCCCTTCATGTTGGTGTCTTCATTTTGGAGGAAAACATTCTCCAGTAACTTCTCAGAAAGAGTGGACAGGAGATATAAGTGTTGAGATACAGCAAATTTGGAAATTATTTAGCCTATACTTGGCTTGTTATTTGGCTAGGTATGAAATACTGGGGTAAAACCAATTTTCCCTCATAATTTTCTAAGGTTTTTTAGTTTGCAGTGTTACAGATTCAATCTTTTTTCTATATATGACACTCATTGGTATAACTCTTTCTTCATTTATTTTCCTATAGCTCTCAGGGTATGTTAATTCATTCTTTTTTATGGCTGAGTAATATTCCACTGTGTGTGTGTGTGTATGTGTGTGTGTGTGTGTGTGTGTATCTCACAATTTCTTTTTTTTTAATTTTTTTTATTATCCTTTAAGTTCTAGGGTACATGTGTACAACGTGCAGGTTTGTTAAATATGTATACATGTGCCATGTTGGTGTGCTGCACCCATTAACTCATCATTTACATCAGGTGTATCTCCTAATGCTATCCCTCCCCACTCCCCCCACCCCACAACAGGCCCCAGTGTGTGATGTTCCCCATCCTGTGTCCAAGTGTTCTCATTGTTCAATTCCCACCTATGAGTGAGAACATGTGGTGTTTGGTTTTCTGTCCTTCTGGTAGTTTGCTCAGAATGATGTTTTCCAGTTCATCCATGTCCCTACGAAGGACATGAACTCATCCTTTTTATGGCTGCATAGTATTCCATGGTGTATATGTGCCACATTTTCTTAATCCAGTCTATCACTGATGGACATTTGGGTTGGTTCCAAGTCTTTGCTATTGTGAATAGTGCTGTAATAAACATACATGTGCATGTGTCTTTATAGAAGCATGATGTATAATCCTTTGGGTATATACCCAGTAATGGGATTGGTGGGTCAAATGGTATTTCTAGTTCTAGATCCTTGAGGAATCGCCACACTGACTTCCACAATGGTTGAACTAGTTTACAGTCCCACCAACAGTGTAAAAGTGTTCCTATTTCTCCACATCCTCTCCAGCACCTGTTGTTTCCTGACTTATTAATGATTACCATTCCAACTGGTGTGAGATGGTATCTCATTGTAGTTTTGATTTGCATTTCTCTGATGGCCAGTGATGATGAGCATTTTTTCATGTGTCTTTTGGTTGCATAAATGTCTTCTTTTGAGAAGTGTCTGTTCATATCCTTCGCCCACTTTTTGATGGGGTTGTTTGATTTTTTCTTGTAAATTTGTTTGAGTTCTTTGTAGATTCCGGATATTAGCCCTTTGTCAGATGGGTAGATTGTAAAAATGTTCTCCCATTCTGTAGGTTGCCTGCTCACTCTGGTGGTAGTTTCTTTTGCTGTGCAGAAACTCTTCAGTTTAATTAGATCCCATTTGTCAATTTTGGCTTTTGTTGCCATTGCTTTTGGTGTTTTAGTCATGAAGTCCTTGCCCATGCCTATGTCCTGAATGGTATTGCCTAGGTTTTCTTCTAGGGTTTTTATGGTTTTAGGTCTAACGTTTAAGTCTTTAATCCATCTTGAATTAATTTTTGTATAAGGTGTAAGGAAGGGATCCAGTTTCAGCTTTCTACATATGGCTAGCCAATTTTCCAGCGCCATTTATTAAATGAGGAATCCTTTTCCCATTTATTGTTTTTGTCAGGTTTGTCAAAGATCAGATGGTTGTAGATGTGTGGTATTATTTCTGAGGGCTCTGTTCTGTTCCATTGGTCTATATCTCTGTTTTGGTACCAGTACCATGCTGTTTTGGTTACTGTAGCCTTGTTGTATAGTTTGAAGTCAGGTAGCGTGATGCCTCCAGCTTTGTTCTTTTGGCTTAGGATTGTCTTGGCAATGCGGGCTCTTTTTTGGTTCCATATGAACTTTAAAGTAGTTTTTTCCATTCTGTGAAGAAAGTCATTGGTAGCTTGGTGGGGATGGCATTGAATCTATAAATTACCTTGGGCAGTTATGGCCATTTTCATGGTATTGATTGTTCCTATCCATGAGCATGGAATGTTCTTCTATTTGTTTGTATCCTCTTTTATTTCGTTAAGCACTATATATCACAATATCTTTATCCATTCATTGATTTATGGGCATTTGGGCTGGTTCCATATTTTTGCAATTGCAAATTTTACTGCTATAAACATGCATGTTGAAGAATCTATTTCATATAATGGCTTCTTTTCCTATGGGTAGATACCCAGTGGTGGGATTGTTGGATCAAATGATAGTTCTCCTTTTGGTTCTTTAAGGAATCGCCACACTGTTTTCCATAGTGGTTGTACTAGTTTGCATTCCCGCCAGCAGTGTAGAACTGTTTCCTGTTCACTGCATCCATGCCAACATCTGTTGTTTTTTGACTTTTTGATCATGGCCATTCTTGAAGGAGTAAGGTGGTATCACCTTGTGGTTTTGATTTTCATTTCCCTGATCATTAGTGATGTTGTTTTCTCCTGTTTTCTGATGCAACCTTTGAGTATTTGACTACCTGTATTGACATCTCAGTTTCTTTACTTTTCTCTTCTGTTATCTTTTCTGTGTATCTTATCTTGTATTATCTTATTGTATTATCTTGTTGTATTCTCTTATCTTGTTTGTTTGTTTCTGTCCCTGGAATGTACCTTGATTTTGTCTTTCAGCTTTCTATTTAGTTGTGATATCTGCTGTCATATCTTTGATTTCCAGGATCTCTTTCTTGAACTCTGATGTTTAATTTTAAAATAACACTGTCTTGCTTAATGGATATAAAATTTTTCACAATATTAATTATAAGGATGTGTTCTTTCAAGTTGTTTTCTTTATGTACAATGTCTTTTTTTGGTGCATTTTTTTCCATTTGTTTGCTTTGTTTATTTCGTATTATGGCTTTTCTTCCAATATTATTGATTCTATGCTAGACTTTCTATTTAAACATAAAATACCAAAAATATAACTGGAGACTTCGCATGGCCATGGGGAAGAGATGCTTGTCTGTGGATTTTGTTTCCTTTTATGAGATAGAATCTTCCTTGTGTCTCTCTGTCTCTGACTCTGTCTCTCTGTGTCTTTGCTTCTGTCATTTTCCAGTGTCAAATGTTGGTAATTTCCCTTGGTTCAACTAAACACACGCATACACATAAACATGCATGTACCTTAATATGAAATCATTCTCTTTTACATTATTTTTATATCACTCTCATTTTACTCTATTTTCTCATGTAATTAAAATAAATATTTGCCACTATTCTTTAAAATATCTATAACAGCATTAATGAACTGGAAAATCTGTAACAAGTATCTCAGTCTGTAACTAGAATATTGCTTTGACTTTAACTCAAGACATTCTTCTGGGTTTTGTAATCTCTCAAATATATTCACAAAATAAAACTGATATTGGGAAATAATGCATATTGAACTATCCTGTGTATTAGAAATTAGTTTCCTAGTTCAGAAGCTGCTTTGAAAACAGATTTGACATTCGATTTGAGTCCTTTGGGAATTAACACAAATGCATTTTCATCATCATTTCATTAGGATTTGAAGCAGTTATAGTTGTGATTTCTGGTAGCTGTATTTCAGAGTAAAGTGGCTGTGTTAGTGAAGACTTACCCCTGACCAACCCATGTAATTAGATTTACTGATTCAAATAAAGAAAAGAGTGATAAATTTCTGTGTGTGCACACTCACAAACTTGTGTGCTTGCGTGCCCACCATCTCTCCTCTCTCATTCCCTTTTCTTGGAAATATATAAAGGGTCCTAACTCATTTCTTTTATCTTAAGATCAGAAAATATGTCTTTTTCCTCTGCGTAAAACAAAACCAAAAGAACAGTTCCACTTTAAGACCATCAGTGGTGAATACTGAAAATCAAAGGAAGAGAATATGATGATGGGTGAAAAGAAGGCAAGAGAAAAGATGGCAGGAGAAATGTAGCAAATTTCAGGTTCTGAGGAATTGATTTGAAGTCTTAATAGTGCTAGAATTCCCTTGGGTTGTACATTCGGGAGTGATATTACCAGTTATCCGCTGTTTTTTAAATTCTTGTTTAAATTACTCAAACGTTTTAATATTCCCTCTGAGTCAAATAATACATAACCTACAGTGAGGGAAATTATTTTTGGAATGCAGCAGCTGAGACCCAAGCTTGATGTTCCCAAAACACATCTACTCCCACCAGTTCCTTCTTGCCTAAATTAATGGAGTTCTAATCTCCATTTTTGAAGACAAAGAGACCCTTTTTTTTGAGTCAAGTATAAAATGGCAGATAAATGTATTGCCTTACATGAGGAACAGATTATAAATTTGTGTTTGTGTCAGTATAATTAAGGTATTTATGAGAATAAAATACATACTCAAAAGACAGATCACAAGTTAGTCAGTGGAGGAAAGGAGACATATCTTGGAAGAAGAGTCAAACTGACATTTTTTGACAAATATGTTTTACTTATATTCTCTATGACTATCTAGTAACTTGGGGAAAGTACATTTCTGTTGGAAAATCTGATACTGTTAGTGTATGAAAATAATCTTTCTCTTAAATTGTCAAAGGAGAATTATGCATCATATAGCACAGCTTTCCATATAACTTATTTAAGTCACTATTTGGAAATTTATTCTATGCCAATTGGGTGGATGATATATTTGATTCCATATTATTAACACTACTTTGAAGGAGAAAAACAAAGTGAGTATATCAGATAATTATACTGTAAACATTTTCAATAAGTCTCTAAATTTTAGTCTAGAGCATATGGAGAAAGATGAGTGTGTGGGCTACAGTAATGAGTTACAGCAATAATTTGTTTTTACATATTAATATAAAATAAATATTGACATGATATTCTTACATATTACATTATTTCATTATTTTGGTGAATTTTTGCAAAAATCTATTTAGATAATATTATTATCCTCATTTTACAGCAGAGAAAACTGATCCGAATTCACAGACTATTAGTAAATTTTCTTAAACTGCACTACTAGTAAATGGAATAGAAGTCGCTTGGTTCCAAATCATATTTTATTTTGACAAAGGTTAAATCATTATGACCCATTGTATACTTTGATAAATTTATGTAAAATTAGATTTTGTGGATTTTTCTGATTCCACGAAGGCAAAATAACATGTTTGGTGGTCATCCTTCTCAGTACAGAAATCAAAATACCAGGTCTGAAATTGTGTGTACTTTTGAGTGTGATGAGATGGAACATTTGAAATTGTATGACCTAAAAAAATCTGAGATACATAGGATCCAAGACATGCTTAACATTAATTATGAGGCTTTGATGTATTTTCAATGGAATTTATAATTTTGCAAAATATTGTCTGATAAATTTGAAAGCAACTGTAATGAAAATAGTTACATTTTTTTTAAGCATCTGAACTTTATTATCTTTTTTTAATTATTATTATACTTTAAGTTTTAGGGTACATGTGCACAATGTGCAGGTTAGTTACATATGTATACATGTGCCATGCTAGTGTGCCGCACCCATTAACTCGTCATTTAGCATTAGGTATATCTCCTAATGCTAACCCTCCCCCCTCCCCCCACCCCAGAGTGTGATGTTCCCCTTCCTGTGTCCATGTGTTCTCATTGTTCAATTCCCATCTGTGAGTGAGAACATGCAGTGTTTGGTTTTTTGTCCTTGCGATAGTTTACTGAGAATGATGATTTCCAATTTCATCCATGTCCCTACAAAGCATATGAACTCATCATTATTTATGGCTGCATAGTATTCCATGGTGTATATGTGCCACATTTTCTTAATCCAGTCTATCATTGTTGGACATTTGGGTTGGTTCCAAGTCTTTGCTATTGTGAATAGTGCCTCAATAAACATACGTGTGCATGTGTCTTTATAACAGCATGATTTATAGTCCTTTGGGTATATACCCAGTAATGGGATTGGTGGGTCAAATGGTATTTCTAGTTCTAGATCCCTGAGAAATCGCCACACTGACTTCCACAACGGTTGAACTAGTTTACAGTCCCACCAACAGTGTAAAAGTGTTCCTATTTCTCCACATCCTCTCCAGCACCTGTTGTTTCCTGACTTTTTAATGGTTGTCATTCTAACTGGTGTGAGATGGTATCCCATTGTGGTTTTGATTTGCATTTCTCTGATGGCCAGTGATGATGAGCATTTTTTCATGTGTCTGTTGGCTGCATAAATGTCTTCTTTTGAGAAGTGTCTGTTCATATCCTTCGCCCACTTTTTGATGGGGTTGTTTGTTTTTTTCTTGTAAATTTGTTTGAGTTCATTGTAGATTCTGGATATTAGCCCTTTGTCAGATGAGTAGGTTGCGAAAATTTTCTCCCATTTTGTAGGTTGCCTGTTCACTCTGTTGGTAGTTTCTTTTGCTGTGCAGAAGCTCTTTAGTATAATTAGATCCCATTTGTCAATTTTGTCTTTTGTTGCCATTGCTTTTGGTGTTTTAGACTTGAAGTCCTTGCCCATGCCTATGTCCTGAATGGTAATGCCTAGGTTTTCTTCTAGGGTTTTTATGGTTTTAGGTCTAACGTTTAAATCTTTAATCCATCTTGAATTAATTTTTGTATAAGGTGTAAGGAAGGGATCCAGTTTCAGCTTTCTACATATGGCTAGCCAGTTTTCCCAGCACCATTTATTAAATAGGGAATCCTTTCCCCATTGCTTGTTTTTCTCAGGTTTGTCAAAGATCAGATAGTTGTAGATATGCGGCGTTATTTCTGAGGGCTCTATTCTGTTCCATTGATCTATATCTCTATTTTGGTACCAGTTCCATGCTGTTTTGGTTACTGTAGCCTTGTAGTATAGTTTGAAGTCAGGTAGCATGATGCCTCCAGCTTTGTTCTTTTGGCTTAGGATTGACTTGGCGATGCGGGCTCTTTTTTGCTTCCATATGAACTTTAAAGAGTTGTTTCCGATTCTGTGAAGAAAGTCATTGGTAGCTTGATGGGGATGGCATTGAATCTATAAATTACCTGGGGCAATACGGCCATTTTCACGATACTGATTCTTCCTACCCATGAGCATGGAATGTTCTTCCATTTGTTTGTGTCCTCTTTTATTTCCTTGAGCAGTGGTTTGTAGTTCTCCTTGAAGAGGTCCTCCACGTCCCTTGTAAGTTGGATTCCTAAGTATTTTATTCTCTTTGAAGCAATTGTGAATGGGAGTTCACTCATGATTTGGCTCTCTGTCTGTTATTGGTGTATAAGAATGCTTGTGATTTTTGTACATGGATTTTGTATCCTGAAACTTTGCTGAAGTTGCTTATCAGCTTAAGGAGATTTTGGGCTGAGACAATGGGGTTTTCTAGATGTACAATCATGTTGTCTGCAAACAGGGACAGTTTGACTTCCTCTTTTCCTAACTGAATACCCTTTATTTCCTTCTCCTGCCTGATTGCCCTGGCCAGAACTTCCAACACTATGTTGAATAGGAGAGGTGAGAGAGGGCATCCCTGTCTTGTGCCAGTTTTCAAAGGGAATGCTTCCAGTTTTTGCCCATTCATTATGATATTGGCTGTGGGTTTGTCATAGATAGCTCTTATTATTTTGAGATACATCCCATCAATACCTAATTTATTGAGAGTTTTTAGCATGAAGCGTTGTTGAATTTTGTCAAAGGCCTTTTCTGCATCTATTGAGATAATCATGTGGTTTTTGTCTTTGGTTCTGTTTATACGCTGGATTACATTTATTGATTTGCGTATATTGAACCAGCCTTGCATCCCAGGGATGAAGCCCACTTGATCATGGTGGATAAGCTTTTTGATGTGCTGCTGGATTCGGGTTGCCAGTATTTTATTGAGGATTTTTGCATCAATGTTCATCAAGGATATTGGTCTAAAATTCTCTTTTTTGGTTGTGTCTCTGCCTGGCTTTGGTATCAGGATGATGCTGGCCTCATAAAATGAGTTAGGGAGGTTTCCCTCTTTTTCTATTGATTGGAATAGTTTCAGAAGGAATGGTACCAGTTCCTCCTTGTACCTCTGGTAGAATTCGGCTGTGAATCCATCTGGTCCGAAAATAGTTACATTTTACAAACGAATCTCTAACACATTTTGGTATCTTTTTTTATACTTTGAAAGGACTGTAGCAGGTGTGTGTGAGTGTGTGTGTGTGTGTGTGTGTGTTTATAGCCAGTATGTATATATGTAGCAAATACGTTCATGTGCCATTTAATAATGGAGATGCTTTCTGAGAAATGCATCATTAGGTGACTTCATTGTTGAGAGAACATCATAGAGTGCACATAACACAAACACATTGTGTAGCCTCCTAAACAACTAGGTTATGTCGTATAGCTTATTACTTCTAAGCTACAAACCTGCATAGCATGTTATTGTACTGAACACTGTAGGCAATTACAATGCAGTGGTATTTGTATATCTAAACATATCTAAACACAGAAAAGGTACAGCGAAATATGATATAAAAGATTAAAAAAAATTGCCACCCCTGTATAGGGCACTTTTCATGGAACTTGTGGGAGTAGAAGTTGCTCTGGGTGGATCTGTGAATGAGCAGTGAGCAAATGTGAAGGCCTAAGACGTTACTATGCATTACTGTAGGCTTTATAAACACTGTACACTTAGGTTACACTAAATTTGTTTTAAAAATTAAGTAATTGCACTAATGTCACAATGAGAACAATGCCACTAGAGTTTTTCAGCTCCACTATAATCTATGGAACCACCCTCATGTATGTGATTTGTTCTTGAGCAAAATGTCATCATGCAGCACCTGACTGTATATATATGTAGCAAGTATGTGTGTGCCTGTGTGCGCGTGTGTATATATAAATGTTACATTTACATACACCTGATATGTGCATGTGTAATTATATATGTAACAAGTATGTGTGTGCCTGTGTGCGTGTGTGTACATATACATGTTACATTTACATACACCTGATATGTGCATGTATACATATATAGGTAACAAGTATGTGTGTGCCTGTGTGCGTGTGTGTACATATACATGTTACATTTACATACACCTGATATGTGCATGTATACATATATAGGTAACAAGTATGTGTGTGCCTGTGTGCGTGTGTGTGTATGTGTATATATACATGCTACGTATGTATACACCTGATATGTGTATGTGTAAATACATATCCACACACATAGCAGGTGTATATATAGGTAGCCTGTGTGTGTGTGAGTGCATGTGTGTGTATGTGTAGCAGGGGTTTTGTGTTAGAACCAAGAGCTTGGAACTGGTACAATGAAAATATTTTGCCTGAAAGATATGCTTAGTAAAAGTCCCAAGTTTCACACATTTTTGAGGCTCAAAGTGAAGAACTCAAAGTGAATTATTAGGTAATCATATCTACTTCTTCCTAAACCCTTCATCTGATTGTGTGCTAAAATTTAATACTAACTGATCTTTCCATCTCCATAAAATTCTTTGAGATAACAAAATCCTACATTCCGGTTTCTGAAGGATGGTATTCTGCAAATGTGAAAGTTTCCCTTAACCTCCAAAAAATAATTGGGTTAATCCAGCTACCACAAGTGTGAAATTGAGAAGCTGCTTGCTAAGATTGAATTTAATATTGTCACATGTCATCTGAGAGCTGCTTGTCTGATCATGTTGCCACTGGACAAAGTAAGCCTTACTACAAAGGATAAAAGAATGATTATTTCAATATCCAGTCATAGTTCATCATCAAACTCTGAGTAAAATGGAGAAAAAAAGACGTTTTATCTTATATGACTCTATGCATTTCTCTGGGAAGTCATTTATCTGGTTGCTATCCAGGAGAGCAAAGATAATGGGAAAAATCTTCCACTATTCTCAACTATAATTTTAAATATCAAATTTTAATAAAATAGGTTTTGGTTATTTCTTTTAAAAGCCCTCAATATAAGAAAATGAAATGTTAGAAACTTATTTTATAAAATATATTTGTGAACCATAAAACCCCATATAAAATGGAAATTATTATCACCATTAACTACTGATGCTTCTAATCTTATTCTGTAATGGTTAAAAAATGACTAGAATTTAGAGTTACTGCCAATATATGGGGGGGGGAGGGATTTTATAAAAATAGCTTTATTCATTTGCATGTTAAGCAAGAGTGTGATTACTGATGGCCGTAAGAGTCACTTGCTGCTTTAAGCTCTGCTCTGCTGCTGACTCTACATGTGTAGCTTTGAGAGGTCCTTTAGCCCCTCCAGCTTTCCACATAGGCAGGATGTGGCTATTGTACTTGATGATATGCCAAACATGCTTCTGATTCCAACATTCGATGGTTCTGTGATATTTCTACCTTATTACAAAAGACATTCACTTTAAAAGTATAAACACCGTAGTAACTTTTTTTCTTTCATTGTTTTCAATAAAAGGGTAATGGAAGTAAACTGACAAGTTTAGGAGGCTTTCAGAGCATAAAGGAGAAAGGCTGGCAGCTCTTGAGAACCTCTTTGCTTTCAGCTGAGAGCAAGTAGAGAATGCTTGCTCTCTGGCCCTGAATGTCATAACATTATGTTCAGAATCATTGAAATGTCTGACAACACTGTTGATTAAAAATGAGAATCATTAGGCCATGTCTGCCGTTATAGGATGAAGGGTAGTTTGAACAGTATGGAAAAAAACTATCCCAAAAGGATGATTTGTCTTAGACAATATTACCAAAATTTCAAATTATACTATGTATAGTAATTTGCAGTAATTCACTTTTTTTTTATATTTAGCTTCATCTTAAAAGTTCTCCTTCATTGGTAATGCTTTGAAAAATGCTGGATTTAGAATTATGAAGAGACTATCAACTAATATTATGGATGATATTATTATTATTATTATTTTTTGAGACGGAGTACTCGCTCTTTCGCCCAGGCCGGACTGCAGTGGCGCTATCTCGGCTCACTGCAAGCTCCGCCCCCCGGGTTCTCGCCGTTCTCCTGCCTCAGCCTCCTGAGTAGCTGGGATTACAGGCGCCCGCCACCGCGCCCGGCTAATTTTTTGGATTTTTAGTAGAGATGGGGTTTCACCGTGTTAGTCAAGATATGGATAATATTATTTAGAAACCATTCTGTGTGCTACAAAAGTCCTTTGAGAATGATATGAGCTGGGCACGACGGCTCATGCTTGTAATCCCAGCTCTTTGGGAGGCCAAGGCGGGTGGATCACCTGAGGTCAGGAGATCAAGAGTAGCCTGGCCAAGATGGCGAAATCCCGTCTCTACTAAAAATACAAAAATTAGCTGGGTGTGGTGCAGGGGCCTGTAATCCCAGCTACTCAGGAGGCTGAAGCAGGAGAATCACTTGAACCCAGGAGGCGGAGGTTGCAGTAAGCCAAGATCATGCCACTGCCCTCCAGCCTGGACAACTCCATCTATTAAAAAAAAAAAAAGATAACCACTAAAATGGCTATTATTCATCTTTCAAAATCTGTAATACCTGGAAGTTCTGCATGACCTTTAGGAAAACTACATCCACAAAGCGTTCCTTCTAGTTTCCTAATAAGTTTTAGAAGAAATATTGCCATTCTGAGCTAAACTAGTTCTACTTCCTTAGGGCAAATTCCTACCATAACATGAAATAGACAAATATAATTACTCTAAAAAAAGTCCAGCCATAGCATCTTAGAGTTTAAAGGAATAACCCTTAGGAGTTCACAAAATTTTTTTTCCACTGCTTCCTAGGCAGACCTCATTTAGTGTAGCTGGCGTGTTGCCCTGCAGACTTTACTGAACTGCTAGTACAGGAGTCGCTATGTTTTTAGCTAGCCCATTCAGTTTTTGTAAAGCTCCATCATTACATTTTTCATCATACTGACCTAATACCTAGCTATATTTAGCTTGCTCACGCTCTGCCTTCTGGAGCGAAAACATGCATGTCTGTGCATTCTCTATATCTACCTAGTATCAGTTAGAGTTTCGTGTTTTCCTTCATGTAACAGAAAACTCATTAACAGTGGACTTCTCCAAATACTTCTCTAAATATTTTTCTCACAAAATGAGAAATCGAATGAAGCGTTGGTGTTAATTCAGTGTCTTGAAGATATTAGACCCAAGCTCTCTGTCTTTTCCTCATGGTTGCTGATAAAGGCTGAAGCTATAGTCATCATTGTAATATTCCACTTGGAGAAAGAAGAAAGGCACATGCCCACTAAGGCTAACTGATCTTTTAAAGGGTCTGTTCTTAAAGTCCTGACCAACATATGCCTCATTGGCCTTAACTAAAATGGGATTTGATGAAATACATTTTATACCTGGGCACGTTGCCATACTCAATAGAATTGTAATTCTATTAATGAAGAAGTAAGGAAAAATTGGGGTAGTATCCAGCAGTTTCTGCCACACTAACCTTGCAGTATTTTAGGATGGCTGTAAGATCCCAACTAAGTTTTCCCTTTCTCTGGCTAAAAGCAATTCCAGTTACCTTGAGCATTCTTTTTGCCATCTCTCATTATGAGCATCATCATCTTCCCAAAGTGAAGTGCTTTCTTAAAATATGTTAGAAAGAACAGGACATAGTATTACGTTTGTGGCCAGACAGTGGTCATACTGTCTCCTGATCTGTACTTAGTGTGTTTTTGTTCAGGCAGCCTCAGAATGAGGAATAATTTTGGTAACTACTTGGCTGCAATTGAACATGCAACCAATCAAAGCCATATGAAATTGTTTTACATGGAATGAATTGAAGCTCAGATTTCCCTGTTCCATATTAATTTTTTGTGAAACATATTGAGAAGTAACTTAAATATAAAAAAAAGCACCCAATTAAATGTAAAATTTGTTGAGTTTGGCCAGTGTAAACAGTTGTATAATCATGACCACAAACAAGATACAAGGAACGTTTTTAACACCAAAAATTTATCTTATGTTCCTTTTCTGTCAATCCACTGCCACCTAATCTAGTCTAACCGCTGATCTAATTTGCATTAATAAAGATTTATTTTGTCTATTCTAGAACTTCTTATCTATGGACATATGTAGTAATATGTCCTGTAGTAATATGCCTGGCATTTTTTGCTCAGCATGTTTTTAAAATTCATCCATGTTGTGTTTATCATTAATTTGTTCGTGATTATTGCTGAGTATATTCTATTTTATGCTCATATCAGTTTGCTAATCCATTCTTTTGCTAATTGTCATTTGGACTGTTTCCAGTTTGAAGCTATTATGAATCAAGGTAATATGAATGTTCACGTACAAGCCTTTTTGTAAACATAGATTTTCTTTTCTGTTAGCAAATATGCAGGAGTGAAATTGCTAGGTCACATAGTAAGTGTATTTTAACTTTATAAGAACATGCAAATCTATTTTCTAAAGTGGTGGTACTGTATTACACTCCCACCAGTAGTATATGAGAGTCTCCTTGCTCTACATCCTTGAAACACGCATATTGTCAGTCTTTATTTTAACAATCTAATATGTGTGTATTTGACTCTGATTATAGTTTTAATTTTCATTTCTCTGATAACAAATGATTTTGAGCATGTTTTTTATGCTGATGGACTTAGTATATCTTTTTATGGAAGAATCTGTCTATGCATATTTCTCTGTATATATGTGTACATACTTTTTCTTACTATTGAATTTTTTTATATATTTCAGATGCAAGCCATTTGTCAGATATACATATTGCATATATTTTCTACCAATTAGTGGCCTGAATTTCATTTTCTTTATAATTACTTTTTAAAAACCAGTTTAGAGTTTCGATAAAAGATAAATTTATTTATTTTTATTTTATTGCTCATATTTTTAATATTGTGGCTTACAAATCCTTCTCCTTTCCCTATCATAAATACGTTTTCTTATTTTTTCTTTTAAAAGTTTTATATGCTTGGCTGGGCACGGTGGCTCATTCTTGCAATCTCAGCACTTTGGGAGGCCGAGGTGGGAGGGTCATTTGAGATCAGGAGTTCAAGACCAGCTTGGCCCACATGGTGAGACCTTGTCTCTTCTAAAAATACAAAAATTAGCTGGGCTTGGTGGCGGGTGCTTGTAATCCCAGCTACTCAGGAGGCTGAGGTAGAAGAATTGCTTGAACCTAGGAGGCAGAGGTTGCAGTGAACTGAGATCATTCCAGTCTGGTTGACAGAGTGCTGAGTACCACTGCATCTCCAGAAAAAAAAAAAAAAAAAAAAAAAAAAAAAAAAGAAAGTTATATAGGCCAGGTGTGGTGGCTGTAATCCCAGCACTTTGGGAGGCTGAGGCAGGTGGATCACTTGAGCCCAGGAGTTTGAGACCAGCCTGGGCAACATGGAGAAAACTCATCTCTGCAGAAAATGGAAAAATCAGCTGGGCATGGTGGTGCATGCCTGCAATGCCAGCTATTCAGGAGTCTGGGGTGGGAGGATTACCTGAGCCTGGGGAGGGAGAAGCTGCAGTGAGCTGTAATGACACTACTGCACTCCAGCCTGGGTGACACAATGAGACCCTGTCGCAAATAAATAAATAAATAAATAAATAAATAAATAAATAAATAAATAAGTCAAGTTGTGTAGTTTTACCTTTTACCTTTAGAATGCACATTTGTGTAAGGTGTGCTTGAAAATACATTTTTTCCCATATAGTTAGAAAGTTAGCCAACAGTATTTACTGAAAAAATCTTACTTTTCTTATTGATTTACCTTGGCACTATTGTTGAAATCAATTGCTCATATAAGGTTCAGTCTACTACTGGACTCTCTATTCTGTTCCAGTGAGCTGTTTGTTTATTCTTATAGCAATATAACCAAATTGATCACACTAGTTTTGTAGTTAGTCTTGACATTTTTTTAAAAAGTGCTAGTATTCT
Source organism: Homo sapiens (assembly GCF_000001405.40). NCBI lineage: Eukaryota > Metazoa > Chordata > Mammalia > Primates > Hominidae > Homo > Homo sapiens. Next base: position 175,375,227 of record NC_000003.12, read on the forward strand.
TAATTTTTTTCTCTTTCAAAATAATGTTAGTTCTTAAATGCTCCTTGAATTTCAATATAAATTTTAAAATAAACGTGTCAATATCTATAACATAGCCCATTAGAATTTTTACTGGGATTGTGTTGAATGTACAGAGCTATTTGGAGATGACTGAAATACAGCATTAGCAGTGTTGTGTCTGCCAACTTATCAACCTGAAAAATCTCCTAATTTATTTAGGTATTCTTTAATTTGTTTTTCAGCATTGTGATTTGGAGCTCTATTATTATGTGTGTACCTATTTAAGTTTGTTATATATTCTTGATAATTGAACTCTTTATTATTCTAAAATGTCCAGTTTAAATCTCTATTAGTATTTCTTATCTTGAAGCTTTGTCTGATATTAGTACAGTCACTCTAGCCTTTTCCATCCTTTTAACCAATCTGTCTTTATATTGAAGGGAGTTTTGTGTAGATAATATATAGTGAATTCCGCTGCTTTATCTACTTTGACAATTAATTTGTATGTTGTTCTCATTGACATTTAACCTAAATATTAATATGTTTGCCTCACATTTACCGTATTCCTATTTTCTATTTTTCCCATTTGTTCTTTGTTTTCTTTTCCTTCCTTTGTATTATTTGTTAATTGAGTATTATATTTTAGTGTTCATTTTACCTCCTCTATTGACATTTTAGCTATGCATCCTTTTTCTGCCCTACCCTCAGTGGTTGCTCTGTGGTTTACAATATGCATTTTAAAATTATTTCAGTCTACAAATAAGTTGTTTTTCTATTTCATATATAATGTAAAAACTTCATGACTGTATACTTTCATTTTTCTCTCCCATATTTTGTTGCATTTTAGAATGCTTAATTCAGCAATTGCTATAGACCAGATTATATATTGTTATTATTCTCATTTTATACAGCCAACTATCTTTTAAAGAAACTGAAAGAAAAAAAGTATTTTTATACCCTCCTAGTTATCAATTTCTTCATTTCTTTTCGTATCTCTGAATTTCCATCTGGTAACCTTTTTCTTCACCCTAAAGAACTTATTTTAACATGTCTTGTGGTATCAGTGACTAATTCTTTTTTTCTGCTAAAAATTGTTTTATTTTACTTCAATTTTTACTTGAATTTCATTTTAAAGGATATTTACTTCAATTTTAAAGGATATTTATAATATAGAAGGCCTTTTTCCTTATTTTTTCTTTCATTGCTTTAATGATGTTGTTCTATAGACTTGTGGATTACATTGTTTCTGGTAATTTGTCTCTATCTTTGTTTTCCTGTATGTGGAAAGCAACTGTTTTATTCAGGGAGCTTTTAAGAGTTTTTATTTATTATTGACCTTAAGCCATTTGGTTATGATATAGCTTGGTGTTCTGTGTGTTTATCTAACTTCATGTTCTTTACACTTTTGGGGTTTGTGGACTGTTATGTTTCATCAGAGTTGGGTATTTTTTCTAGCCATTTTTATACTCAAATATTTTTCTCCTTCCCCCATTTGAAAGTCTGGTACTAAGTTTACATATATTGGATAGCTTGCTATTATCCCACAGTTTACTGAGGCTTTGCTCTTTTATATCAGCCTTTCTTTTTATTTTACCATGCTTCAGCTGGGGTTGTTTCTGTTACTATGACTTTACATTTACTGAACTCTTCTGCAGTTTCTAATCTACTGTTAATCCCTCCCAGTAAATTTTTCATTTCGGGTATTCTGCTTTTTTGATTTTAGGAGGTTCATTTGATATTGTTAATAGTTTGTATTTATTTGCTTACCTGGCCTTCTTTTAAAAAAAAAAAATTATTGAATTTAGGCCAGATGCAGTGGCTCACACCTGTAATTCCAGTACTTTGGGAGACCCAAGCAGGCAGATTGCTTGAGGCCAGGAGTTCAAACCCTCCCTGGCCAACATGGTAAAACCCCATCTCTACTAATAATACAAAAATTAGTTGGGCCGGTGGTGCACACCTGTAATCCCAGCTACTTGGGAGGCTAAGGCTCGAGAATCGAATGAACCCAGGAGGCAGAGGATGCAGTGAGCTAAGATCGTGCCACTGAACTCCAGCCTGGGTGACAGAGTGACACTCTGTTTCAAAAACAAAAACAAAAAAATCATCAAATTTGTTTATAATAGTTTGGGGTTAATTCATCATCTCTGATATTATCAGTTTTTTTTAATTGTTGTTCTTACTTTTTTCTTAGGATTGTTACTTGTTTTTGCTTCTTCACATCTCTACTATTTTTGCTTAGATACTGAACTTTGTGAATGTTACATGGCTGCACATACAGATTTTGTCTCATTCCTTTAATGTTATTGATGGGGACGGGGGCAGAGAAATTCTAGGCAGACAGGGGCCAGTCCCTGGCAAAGCCCCACTCTCAAGCATAAAAACCTGTGACCATGGCCCACAGTGAGAACTTATATCCCTGTTTTCCTGCTGAAATGTGTCCTTTTCCTAAACCACCCATGGCCTGTACTGCACCCCATCCTGTGTCTATAAAAGCCCCAGAATCAGCTGACAGACAAGGAGCAGCTGGACATCAGAGACTATGTCTGGACATTAGAAAGAAGCAGCTTGACTTCAGAGGGACAGCTTGATGGTGTAACTTCAGAGAAGAATCCAGCTGGAGACTTCCGGACTTCAGGGGAAGATTACCTTCCCACCCCATCCCCTTTTCAGCTCCTCTTCCTACTGAGAGCCACTTTCATTGGCAATAAACCCCGCCCCCTGCATTTACCATCATTCAAATCATTCCTGTGACCTCATTCTTCTGGATGCTGGGCAAGAGCTTGGGATCCATGAGTGCAGATAAAAGAGGGCCCTCTGAGCTGTTAACACTTAAGCCGTCCACAGATGGCAGAGCTAAAGGAGCACTGTAACACTCCCTCTGGGGCTTCAGGGGTCACAGGCACCCCCAAGTCCAGACACTGCCATGGGGCCTACACAGAGTTTGCTCTTGCCGACACCCAAAAGCACTCACCCTGGCTCCTGCACCTGCTTACCTGTGCGCTCACTCCCACAAGGGGTGGAGCAAAGCAGGTGGGAGTTAATGGAGTTCACCTCTGCTCCTGCACTCCAGTTCCCGCCTCATTCACTCACACACTCCCTCCTGCAGGGAGTTGAGAGCTGTGGGCTGAGTAAACTAGGCACCCTCTTCGCAGGTCCTGCAAAGGGGTCAAGTAAATATCCTGCTTCATTATGTTGTGCTTTGTATTGCATGGTGGTTCATTTAGTCGTGAACCTCAGTAGTCTTTCACTTTGTGTTCCTTGATAGTGATTGTTCACTTGGCCTTGTTGAGTCTCACTCAGTGCATGCACAGCTTAGATTGCATCTGAAGTCTCAAGGGCACCCTTATGCAAATTTCTGGAGTACTTTCTATGTGAAGCTCCCACTTCCTTGTACCCTGTCCTGCAAATACCAGCAGTCATAGCCTTTTCAAACTCTGATATTGTCTTTTTAGCTCAACACAACTGGAAAGTGTTTCTGGGTGGAAAACTTGGACAATCATAAGACTCACCTTGTTGCCTCATTTCAGGATTCAAAACATGTTACTGTCTGAAAACAATAGTGTCCCGGTTTCTAATTGTTTACACTGGGAGAGATAATCCTGCACCTGTTAGTTCATCATGGCTAAGAGTAGATAAACTTTAGGCACTTATAAATGCAGGACATCACAGTTAGTCTTAGTAATTTGTAACTTGTAGGTTGAAATCCACCTTTTCAACATGTCCACATTATTTGGCTCTTACCTAACACTCCAAGATTTTTATTGGTTGCATATTTTCAAGTGCCCAGCTTGTTTCTACCACTGGAGAATAGGCCCATGGGTGCTGAGTACAAAAGTAAGCTCCATGACTCTTTGTGATTAAGTGTGAATTTTGTGGACAGATTGCCTGTCCCCAAATTTTGGACCCACTGGTTAAGAGATTGCATCCTTGGGCAAGTTACTTAACCTGTTTCTTCCTCTCTCTTTTTTTTTTTTTTTCCTGTAGAATAGTCTTCTTTCATTATTTTCAGTTAGCTCATAGGCATGTTGTGAAAAATAAAGGAGTTAAAATATATGCAAAGCACATAGGACAGCATCTGCTACATACAGTTAAAACTATTATTATTAATTCTGACCCAAACTACAAACTATCCATATTCTCACTTCTTATCTACCTGTCTTTTCAGCTCAACACAACTGGAAAGTGTTTCTGGGTGGAAAGCTTTAGGCACTTACAAATGCAGGACTTCACATTTTGACTTAGTCTGTTTTTACGTCTCGTATGGTTTCTGGTAACAGTTGTCCACAATCCACATCTTTTTGTTTTTTTTTTTTCCTTTTTTTAAGATGGAGTCTCACTCTGTCACCCAGACTGGAGTGCAGTGGTACAGTCTTGGCTCACTGCAACGTCTGCCTCCTGGGTTCAAGCGATTCTCTTGCCTCTGCCTCGGCCTTCTAAAGTGCTGAGATTACAGGTGTGAGCCACCACACCTGGCCCACAGTCCACATCTTAATTCCCTCATTTTTGTAAATATTCCTCAAAGGTTTGTCTGATTGAATATGGCTTATTATCAAGGCTGTGATCCAGATAGCTTTATATTTCCCATCCAAATTTCTGATTAAAGAGTACCAAGAATTAAATTTTGTAGAATGCCACAGAGGGATTGGTGGAAGGTTGTGTATGTTTACTCAGAGAAGCATATTAAAATACTGACATCATTCTCAGCAAACTATCACAAGGACAAAAAACCAAACACTGCATGTTCTCACTCATAGGTGGGAATTGAACAATGAGAACACATGGACACAGGAAGGGGAACATCACACACCAGGGACTGTTGTGGGGTGTGGGCAGAGGGGAGAGATAGCATTAGGAGATATACCTAATGCTAAATGACGAGTTAATGGGTGCAGCACACCAACATGGCACATGTATGCATATGTAACAAACCTGCATGTTGTGCACATGTATCCTAAAACTTAAAGTATAATAATAATAATTAAAAAAATAAATTAATTAAAAAAATACTGACATCCATGTCCCCTTTTCTTCCTCCACCATCATTCTTACCATCTACCCCACAAGGTTGCCCTAGAATGTGCATTTTGAAAGAATGTCTGTGTGTTTGTTATATGTATTTTTCTCTCTATCCACAATGTGAGAAATATAGCAACAAATGCATTTCTCCAGCTTGACACTTTTCAGTGTCAGCATTCAATAATACATAAATTTTACCATTTAGGTCTCATTTTTCCATTTTTTTCCGCAAAGAATTACAGACAAAAATAAAGTCAAAATTATTGCTGAAATTTCTGTATAAAATACCTACAACATCCTTTCAAGCTCTCAATTAAGTATCCTTATGAAAATAAAGAAAATAATACAAACTTTTTCATAGGTAAGCCCATACCATGCTGTATTTTAGAAAACAATCCCTTTTTTCTAGATAGGCAGAAATGCAGAAATCATATATTTAGTAATATACTGTAGAATTTTAAATAAAGCTTTTTATGTTTTGAGAAACTGCAAAAAATATACTGTCTGAAAGTATATATTACAGATGCCATTTAACTACATGTCTTTGCCTATGACACTTTCCATTTTACAGAGTATACGAACTCTGTGTCTGAAAACTGAATATGATGAAATCTGAGTATTACTCAATTATAAAGCTTTAAATATTGTTTTTTTTTAAATTTTCAACATCTTTTATCTATGGAGATATTTCCAACTTATGAGACAAGAGGTGCTAAGGAATTAATAAAAATTACCCTTTACTGTATAAGACATTTGTTATGAGAATATGTCTCTTTTTTAACATTACATAAAACACTAAAAGAAAGGTTTTATAATGAACAACCTGAAAATATATTTTATTGCATAATAGAAATACTTTGTAAGCATCTTATAGTTCAGATCAGATTAATAAAATATAATTTAGTATCCATTTGTACAAACTTTCTACAGTTATTATGGCTGAATAAATGTTTCTTATGCATTCTTAAAGTATTTTGGTTATTAAATTCAAAAACATTAATGTTTTACTTGTTTTCTATGCAAAATAATTATTTTAGTTCTATCTGACAATTTAAACTTTAGTTGTAGAGGGGAAAGCAAATAAATGCAGTATATATTTCTCCCATGTAAAAAAGATTAGTTACAGATCAATTTTGCATTTTTTATTGTCTAAAAATATTTTCTCTATTTAATAATTCCTGAAGTATGTGTATTTTAATATTTGTTTTAAGCCTCAAAAAATCATATTTATTAGTAATGATTCATAATAATCTTCTTAAATTATTTACATATTTTAAATATCTCATTTAATATGTTTTAAGTGCTCTTTTTACTAATGCATATTTTAATTTCTTAGCACATTTATTTACTGAATTTCTGTCATGATAATATTATAGAGCGATAATGAGTTTAGACAGTTTTTCAGTTCCTTTAAATAAGAACTCACAAAAAAATTAATGATTTGGCTTATATGGTTAAATTTTTTGTTTTTGTCTTAGAAGGTAATTGATAGGTACAATTTCATGTGAGTAAATTCAAAGAATAGCTGAGTGTAAGTTTTTGTGTGACGTGTGTCTCATTGTGGAGCAACAAGTGACTGGCGGGTTTGGGACAGTGAGAACAGCCATAGGTAGTGGCAGCAGCGGGCCTGCATGCTGGGATTTTGATGCCACCTGTCAGTGTGATGAGATTGCTCTTTTGAAGGATGGTTTTTGGTGCCCTAGTTTTCCTATTAACCCACTTACTACCATACTGCTCACTTTCCCTTCTCTGGGACTAACTGCTGTGTCTTGTCCTGTCTTTGAAATAGAATCTTAAACACTCAGTGGAAGCTCTTAATTTAGGATATTGGTACCACGGGAGGGGAGCGCCTTAGAGAATTGAAGTACTCTTGTATTTTTTCACCTTCCAGGATAAAAGCATACTGTTTGGATAAGCACTGAAAATGGTTCAAGGAAAGAGTCCTAGCTAAAAATAGAAAAATAAATGAAGTCAAACATGAAGAAATTTTTCAAATGGTTCATGAAACAGTATGACATTATTTTACACTTCCTTAAAAATTGAAGATTTTGAAGGGTAAACACATGCCTGGTGGTCTGAGGCAAAAGTCCTCATGCTTGTGAAATAAATATTTGTAGACAGGAATCTTTCTGTTTATTTGTTTTTTTAAATATGTTTTGAGAAAATAATGGAAACTCTTAAACACTGCACATAAAATTTAGAATATATTAACATTTAAAATAGTAATTTGCCATCTGTTCTTTATTGAATTCAGAAAAGATGAATATCCACAATACAAATGACCCATGGTTATAAGAAAGTATCACTCTTTGAGCCAAGTGAATTGCAATGAGACTGATAGATTGTCGGATCATATGGTAACAATTTTACATTTAAACTTTTGAAGAACATTCCAAATGTTTTTCAAAGTGGCTGCACAATTATATATTGCCACCAGCAATATATGAAGGTTCCGACTTCTCCACTTGCTTGACATTTACCTGTTATTATCTGTCCTTTGTATTATAGCCCTCTAGGGAGAGATAATTTAAGAAGTTATGGTTAATTATATACGTATTCTCCTTACCTGGGGGGAACTCGAAGAAGATATACTTTTTTAAAAAAATAAGAGGAATGTACATTTGACAATAGCCTTTCAATATTTGTAGCTATCCAAAGATTTACACACTTGAGTTAAGGAATCACTAATACAAGTAAATCATCTTAGAATTAAAAATTATACTTTTATTAATTTATTCAAAAGATCCCATTTAAGTTAATATTTCATACGTTTTGGATCATATTTTTTCTTTTTAAGTTTTTAATTATGGATACATAATCACTATATATTTACAGGGTATATGTGATATTTTGATACAAGCATACAATGTGTAATGATCACATAAGAGTAATTGGGATATCATTACCTCAAGCGTTTATCATTCCTTTGTGTTAGGAGGCTTTCAGTTACAGTCTCTTAGTTGTTTTGAAATACATGTTGTTGTTGTTGTTAACTATAGTCATCCCTATTGTGCTACCAAACATTAGATCTTATTCCTTTTATTATATTTTATTAAGTAACAAATAATTTTATGTAACTATGGGGCACAATATGATGTTTTGATATATCTATACGTTATGGAATGATTAAATCAAGCTAATTAATATATCCCTCACTTCACGTCCATATCAGTTTTTTGTGATGAGAACATTCAAAGCCTACTCCTTAAGCAATTTTGAAATATGCAATGCATTATTATTAACTACAGTTACCATGTGGTGCAATAGACCACTGATACTTATTCCTCCTGTCTAAATAAAACTTTGAATTCTTTAACCAGCATATCCCCTAGAGATATATAAATCTGTTTTGTTTTGTTTTGTTTTTCATCTTTTTAATGTGTTTCTTGCCAATTTGATTCAAGGGCCCAGCTGGTAAACCTAACAGAGTATAAGGGAAAAAAAATGTTCTTCCTCTCCTACACTACAATTAAACCAGAGAAGTTCTTTTACTTAAGGTATTATGAAGGTGGTTGTAGCATTTGTTGAGAATTATCAAACCCTTACTCTTTAATGAACAGAGAGAAATATAGTTTACTATGTGTTTATATGCAGCAAACTAGAAAAGATACGTAGTGGGCTCTACTATTCTCTAGTTCTTTCTCAGTAATCAACTGGTAATAATTTTTACCACTGTGACTAAGACAATAATTCTGATTCTGTCAGATTTTTACCGTGTGGTTCATATAATTCTTGTTTCATGCAACCCTGTTTTCATTAGGATGCTTACTTCTTGCCTCAAGGCTCTTACAATAAATTAGATATTCTTATCATTTGCCTATTTATTTTTGTAATAGCTGAGTAATGTTGAATCTCTCTTTTCTCCCCTGCCTTATTGCTCTATTTCTATATTTATCCTCTCTCTGAGAACTTGCCTCTAGTGAAGAAATTTTCTATTTGGGTTTACGAGCTGCATAATTCTTTTTAGTATAATGGTAAATATTCCTATTGTCTGCATTATCTTATTGACTATAATGATAATTTCTTGTTTTGAATCTGAGTTGGCAAAAGGCTTTTGCTGGTATCCTAAACTCTCCTAGATTTCACTGATGACACAGATTTTGTATTCATTTGAGGACTTTTCTTGGAATGTTATATTGGAAAATTTGAACAGTGCACACAATTTGGAAAGATGCTTTATCATTATATCCTCAGAATTGTCTTGACAAATAATACTTTCGGTTCTTTGATTGATTTAACTTTATCATTATAAATTAGGTTTTAGTTTCTTTGACTCATTGGATAACAAGAAAAAGTAGTCATACACTTTAGGCTTATATTTTGTGTAAAAATAAACTTTTAAATGCATGCACCTCCTTTCAAATAAGAATTATCCACACACCCATTGCTAAATTATAATTTCTCTTAAATTTGTTTGTGCAATAATATTGCATTATTACCAATTTTATTTCCAGAAATTATTACCAATATATTTATTTATTACCAATTTTATTACCAATTTTTGTTTTATTTATTTATTTATTTTTATTTTATTTTACTTAATTTATTTTTAATTTATTTTATTTTATTACCAGTTTTATTTCCAGAAATCACTTCATTGTTATTACCAATTTTATTTCCAGAAATTAAGAATAAGTATGAAAGTAGAGAATGCAGTGTTTTTTTCACCATGCAGAAAAAAGTAAAATAATGAGCTGCTACTCTTGGGCCTTATTTAGGTCATGTTGAACAGACTTCGGCCAAGGACAGAGTCCTATGTCAACTGGGACCTCCCACCAACTCAACATCTATACATAATTAAGAAACTTTGAGTGTAGTTATTATTTAATGACCATTTAGTATTCTGATTAACCTGAACATTCAAGCTTCAGGCACTTATTTCATCATCTAACTCATACATAAATAGACCACATTTGTCTAAATGAAGGCCCAATGCATCAATTTCCATTCAAAGCATAAGGACAAGAAAATTATAAACAGAAAAATGATAAAACCTATTTTCATGAATGTCTCCCAATTTACCCCAATTTTCCTGGTAAGTTTGATTCTTGTCTAATCTACCCTGAAATTTAAAGGAAGCCTTCAATAATAGATTCCATTGTGAAATTGTTATTTTTGTCTTACCTTACTTTTAGTTTGTCTCGTTTGCAATAATATGTAATTGTATACATATTTATGTGCTGTCGGCAAGTGAAAGATAGCTTCCCTCCACCCTTCTAGGTTCTTTGGCTAGGCTACCAATTAAATTGAAAGAAAAAAGGTAGACTAATGGGTACAATTATACACTTACAAGAAAGAAGACTTGGTGTTCAATAGATTAGCAAAGCGAATATAGTTAACATTAATCAATTGTACATGTCAAAATAGCTAGAAGAGAATAATTCAAATATCTCTAGCATAAAGAAAAGATAAATATTTCAGGTGACGGGTCTCCCAATTACCTTGATTTGAGTATATGAATGTATCAAATTATCACATCTACCTCAAAAATATGTACATCTAATATGTATCAATGAAAAACAAACAAATAAAGATTTAAAAAATCCAAAAACAGATGAACAGAAGAAAAGTTATATAAAGTTATTACATGCATGGGGGCATCACATACAAGAGAAGTGACTACCCCAAAACCCAGTGACATCTAGAAGCTTCTATATGCCCAAGGAAGAGGGGAGGGGAGATTTAGGCAACTTAGGGGAGAATAAAAGATTTTTTGAAAAGACCAATGGCCCCTCAGATAAATAGTCGATAGCCTGTGATGAAGTCTGTGTGAGCATCGTATGACCTCCCATCTCCTCTCCTGTTATAAAGTTACTCTTTCTTGGTTGATGGGATTATCTGGGAGGCGATTCTTGACAACTGAGGCTAAAACTCTAGACAATCTCTTAATATCATCAAATATTTCTTTGCTTGATTGTTGGTTTGATAGAATCATACAAACAAGGTAGGTTTACACATTGAATTTGGTTGATAGATCATCTTTTTTTTTTTATTCTGTAGGCCCCCCTCCCACTTTGTCCTCCTCTGAGATTTATTTTCAAAGAAGCTGTTCATTTGTTTTGTAGAGTTTTTCACAGTACAGTTGTTGCTGCATCCATCCTAATGGTATTATTTAAAATCTTTACCTGACCTCTGTGTCCTCTATAAAATAATTCTTAAATCCAGAGTCCTGATCTGTTTAGATTCAAATTTTTGACAAGAATATTTCATAGGTGTAATTGTGTATTTCTGTCAAGAGGCATGTATCATCTTTTTTTTTTTTCCCCTCTCCCTCTCTATTTATCTTATTAGAGTTGATTTTGGGAATTGCCTGGATTCATTACAGTAGTCCACCCTTATCCCCAGTATTGCTTTCTGCAATTTCAGAACAGATCAATGGCAGTCCAAAAAATATTAAATAAAAAATTCTGGAAATAAACTTCATAAATTTCAAATTGCCCACCATTCTGGTTAGAATAATGAAGTGTTGTGTTGTCTGTGCCTTCCAGCTCTGTTCTGCCTGAGATGTGAGTCATTCCTTTGTCTAGCACGTCTTATGCTACTTGTATGTTAGTCACTCTGTAGCCATCTTGTTATCAGATCAACTGTTGCGGTATCCCAGTGCTCGTGTTCAGGCCACCCTTACTTTGCTTAGTAATAGTCCCAAAGTGCAAGATAAATGATGCTGACAATTTGGATATGCCAAAGAGAAGCCATAAAGTGCTTCCTTAAAGTGAAAAGGTGAAAATTCTCCAATTAATAAAGAAAGAAAAAAACTTATTCTAAAGTTGTTAAGATCTATGGAAGCAATGAGTGTTATATCTGTCAAACTGTGAAGTGGGAAAATTTTTTTTTACTACTTTTGCTTTGTACTTCAAACTGCAAAAGTAACAGCCACAATATGAGATAAGCACTAAAAGTGGGAAAGACTTTAGATTTATGGTTGGAAGACATGACAAGAAATGTGTTAAAATTGACTGCAGTAGTGTTCAATACTATCTGCGGTTTCAGGCATCCACTAGGGGCCTTGGAATGCATTCCCTATGGATAAAGAGAGATGACAGTATTTCATAAGAGTATTACAAAATTAAAGTGTTTTATTTTTATCATTCCTTCTTCATGTATTAGCTAGAATACTTCTATAAAGAGAAAATTCTCCTGTGGTACAATTGGTCTAGGATAGTCAAGGTTAAGTGCTTGATTACTTCTCTTGTATCCATTTTCAGATTGATACATTACTTCTCTAGCAACCTCCAAAGGTACCCAATGGATTTATGTTTAGTATCATTATAAATTTAGGAACTGTTTTACTTTTGAATATGTAAGAAATCATTCAAATTTAGTGATGCTAAGGTGATTCAAAATGTTAAACCAAAACCATGTGTACAGTTGAAAAGTAATGTAAAAGAATAAAACAAAACACTAGAGAAAGATTTGTTGAATATACTAAAAGAATGATTTGTGTTTAAAAACAGAATTTCCTCAGTTTTTGGAATGCTAATAGTACTAACAAATTGATAGTAAATAAAATAGAACAATAAAATTCCACTAATACATTTCTTTCCTAAAATCTACAATGTGTTGTCTATTTATTATATGCAGGATCTATTCCAAACACTACAACTAATCATAAAGAATATTCTCAACTCTATGAAGAAAGTATTATTATTACCATTTTACATTTGAAGATATCTAATCTTCTTAGAAAGCTGATTGACAGTTAATATTGTAGCTATTCCCTGTTTAACCTTCCTAAATTCCTTAGGGGATTTATGAATGGCTCCAGGAGATCCACCATTCTCGGTAACTATCAATGTGCATGTACATTTTTCTAGAGAGACTTTCCATAGCTGTAACCAAATTTTGAAAGGAAACTATGATCTCCTATCCTCCCAGAAAGTCAAGAATCAGTGCAATATCTGAGTTGATTAGTAAGTGTATGATGAAGACATTGAGAATTCAGAAGAGTCTGGTCATTTTTTATTTGCACAAACATTATGAAGATCTATCTGATAGTAGAGGCGCTAGCTAGCCACCTTACTTTGGATGTATACATTTTTCAATATACATGATTTTCTATCTAAAAACTTATATAGAGTCTCAAATATATCTCCTGTCTTAGTTTAAATGTTTTCTGGTGCCATGTGAAACTTAGTGTAGACATTGCTAGACATTATGTATGCTAGCTTTAAAATTTCAGTAAGTATACATTTCTCAATGCCATAAAATACAAAAATCGATGTTGAGTGAAATTATATAGGAAATGCTTACAAATATTTCAGAGGATAAAGATTGCTAATGAAAACACAACCATCTAAATAAAATCTAAAGATTGTAAATAACCACCACCCATTTTAATGTACGCACTTGATAAGAGTACTGAGAGGGAAATTCAGGCTGATTTCTCCCCCATCCCCAACAGTGAATTCCTTTTTAAACACAGACTGCCAGTCCTTTTTTCACATACCTTTTCTATATTACTCATATAAATTTTGGTTTCAGCAATATTATTGATGCCATCTGAACTATTTCTTAGTGGATTGGTCATTTTTTATAACTCTGTGTCCTTCATCCTAGACTCCACCTCTAACTGTCAGAACCAAATCATAATATCAGTTACTCACTATTAATAGAATTTCAAAAATACATTCATCAACTTATCTAAAGTTTTAATACTGTATTCTAAATACTGTATTTTAAGCACAAATTGTTCTTTTATAGAAAAAAAATTATTCTGCCCTGATGAGTATTCTATTTTGTTTCTGTTTAATGGTACTTTTTATCATTCTGTTCATTAAGATAATCATCCTGGAACCATAAACACACTCAATAAAATGCTTCAGGGGACAGATTACCAATATTTCTAATTAAAGATACTGTTGACCATAAGCTAATTAGAGTAAGCAACATTTTAAGCATGGTACAGAAATTATAAAGTTATAAATTACTAAAATTAAAGACAGTGTACAGTTGGAATTTTATAAGGCTACATAAAGCATTTTTACATTGAAGTAAAAATAATATAGGGTTGGATTTTTTCCAGTGAAATTTTATTATTTTTAAATTCTCTAATTACTGGCAACGACGCCACCTGGCAGAATTTACATTTAGATCCAAGAAGGAATAAACACTGTACTCTACCTTCATCCACATTCTATTTGTTTATTTATTTATTGTTCTGGCTTTATAAGTTAAGTGTTAAATTGAAATATTATCTTATCAATATAAGCACAGTTCAAACCTTCACTTAAATAATTCAAGTGGAGATTTTTTCTTCCTGCTTGAATTAATCTACTGTGTTTTATGATGGAGAGGTCATTGTTAATGCCCACAGTGAGGAGAAACATTAGTAAATGAATGATTTATCCTGTCTTTGCATTTGCGTAAACAAGATAACTGTGAATAAATCTTTCCTATTTTACCTTGAAAATGCAATTCTAGAATTTATTAAGCCTTAAGCTGGAAACTGAAAGGACTGAGACAAGTAAAGTCAACCCTTTGGAAAAGCAGAGGCTAGAAGAGGGGCAATCCTGGCTCCAGAAGTCAGGTCAAAGAGGAGGCTTTGCTTGTCAGGATCACACTCTGTGACTTCACACAGTGGCTCCAGGGGAGAGAACAATGTTTCTTACAAACACTAGAAGAATATTTGTCTGAAGCTCAAGAAGTCAAAGACTAATTGAATTCTAAAGCAGAATGAAACCCTTAAGATTCCATGGTAAACTTGGTACTATATGCAAAAAGCAGAACAGAGGTGGTTATATTAATTCTTAAGTAATTCTCAAGTTAGCAGGGAATAAGGAATAAGATTTATTGTCACCAGAATTATTTGTGCCAATATATACACATGGAAAAAAATAGAACTTTAAGAGCCAAGGTAATAAAAATTCACTTCCACTGTAAAAAAAAAATAGAACTTTTAATTCAAGATTTAAAAGTGTTCAGGTAATGCTGAAAAAAATTATACTGTGCCTTCCACTCCCCCACTCCCTCGCAAGGGGACAACTCTAAAACAAAAAATAGGGCTCAAATTCCATGATCATTTTACTGTTTTATATTTGGCACATTAGATATAAAGATTTCTTCAAAATTACCTCTGGCCATTCTATAGAAAATCAGTCCATTGAGAAAGAAGTGGTAGTAGATATTCAATATAACCAGCAAGCCAAACGTTTAAATTTTTAAAGCAAGGAAATTGGTAAATTCAGGAAACTATTCTGGTGAAACTACCGTGTACATAATTCACAAAGAAATGAAAACACTAGGATGCGGCCAGATGCTTGAAGCTTATATACCATCTTTAGGCTAAACAAGGGGAAAATGGTTTTGAGCTTCGGGATGAGAGAAGCAAGTTGTAAGAAGTGAAGGAGAGGAAATGTGTGGTAAATAAGGGTTTTTTGTTGTTGTGGTTATGCAGCTATCAGTTGGGTGGTAAGAGTGGTCTCCAAGAGTAGCTTTTTTTCTGGTAAAAAGACATTTTTATAAATAGAAACTCCCTTTATAAACATAAATTTCTTTTGCAAAAGAGGAAATGTATACTCTAGTTCAGGCAGTTAGCGGGTGCTAAAGAGCTTTTTCTATATTACTGGTCATCAATTGCCTTTAGTCAAAATAATCTGTATGCCAAGCAGAAATATTTTGAAGTGGTATATTGTGGTACACTTCAATCTGCACCTGTACTAAGTAGCACCTTTATCAGCAACATTCTACTGTTCTGAGTAGGCAACACCAGATAATTGTTACTCTTCCCACAATTATGTCCCAATGAGGCCTATTTCTGTCAGGGTGTGTTTTGATTTATATGAACCTTTATGGAGCATCTGGTGCATGAGACTTACAGTGTGTAGTAGAGTCATAAGGATTATTAGAGTATGTTCAGTAATTTTCCTCACCAATGTAGACAAACCTAAAAGAATACAGTGGTATGCTCTCAGGTTCTCTGTTTAGCATGTCGAGATTCCCTCATTGAGAAACCCTTTCTCTTCTCTATAACCACATACCTCATGTTGGGATTATTTAGCTATATCTTTTCTTCTATACTAGAAGGCCACTAATGTACTTGCCACCCTTGATTGTGGGCTGGACTGGAGATTCCTTTCTAATTAGAATACATAAAAATTGTAGGATGTCACTTTCAATATTAGATTACAAAGAGACCATAGCTTCCTTCTGTGGGCCCTCCCTTGATCTCTCGCTGTCTCACTCTGAGAGAAGCCAGCTGCCATATTGCAAACTTCCCTTTGGAGAAGCTCATGTAGCAAGGAACTGAGAGAGGCCTCAAGCCAAACACCCAGTGGGGGAAGTAAGGCCGTCAGTCTGATAGTTTGTGAGAAACTGAACATTGACAGCAAACCATGAGTGAGCTTGGAAGTGAATACTCTTGAATTAAGCCTTCAGAGGAGATCTCAGCTGAGGTAGAGGTTAAGTCATTGAATTCTTGACCTAAAGAAACTGTAAAATAATAAGAATTTATTATTAAGCTGCTGAGTTTGCAAATGAGGGTGGAGACTTGTTATATGGCAATAGATAACTAATGCACATACTAAGGCAGGATCTTTTTCTGAATCATTTCTTTATTCCCCAAATAACTGCATAATCCCATGCTTTACTGTGGATTACCTGGATTATACTAGATGCTCAATGAATATTTCTCAGATTACACTTTGAATAATATCAAAATCTATTAAATGCTAACAATGTGTCAAGCATTGTTCTAAGTGTTTCACATATATTTATACTTTGAATCATCGCAACCTCCCTATGAGGTAGGTTCAGTCATTCTCTCCATTTTACGAATGAAGAAATTGAAGTTTGGAGATATTAAGAAATGTTCTCAAGATCACAGTTTCTAAGAAACAGCGTCCTATATTTGAACCCAAATAGTCTGGCTCCAAATGACATGATTTCAGCCTTCATGCTTTTCTGCTTCTCTGTGAATTGATGAATACTTGCTCAATGAAAGAATGAATCACCTAATCATTTATAACACTGAAACTTACATATTTAGCACTTAAGTTGTGTCTTTTATTTTTCCTGGATGTGTAATGAACACTACTTAGAAACGTTAAAGCTGTGGTCTACAAATTTTTTTTGTAAACACACTATTTGCTTACAAATATTTGACTACACATGAAGAATCAGAAATAGGTAATTTTAAAATAAAGAAAAATCTGTCTAAATTCAGAAGACAAATCTTACATTCTAGTGAAATAAGAATTCTGGAAATATGAAATCATAGCTCTTCCTCCCTTTCTTCCTCTCTCTCCCTAAAGAACACCTATACCTTTCCAATAAAATACCTACTTTTAGATGTAATTCTTGAAAGCATGAAAATAAAATTTATTTCCCTCATGATTTTCTCAATTCTACTTGTCTAACATTGACTTTTTCTATTTGTAATGCAGCACAACCCAATAGGATTTCCCATTGTTTCTTTCCTAAAACGGTGCACCTGCACCATCGATTATGCCAGGAAGAGCTAGCACAACTTTGGAATGAAAACCAATAACATGCTATGAAAATAGAGACAAGACAGCTTAGAAGATTGATTCTGAATTACAGAGCTGCTTCCTGATCTGCAACCACCCAAATTCTTACAGCTTGACAGCTGGTTAGTGAGCACAGGACAAACCACAGGCTTGCCTCATGACCTAAATGAGGGCAATTTGCACAGTTTGTGGTGTAGTTATCACAGAAAAGACTACAAATCAAAATCTTTTGAACTAAGGAACTGGAATAGTTCTGTTTCCAAGTTTTTTCATCTTTAAAATGGGAATAAAGACATTTAAAATTGTAGAGTTGTCAGCACTTTGGGAGGCCGAGGCGGGTGGATCATGAGGTCAGGAGATCGAGACCATCCTGGCTAACAAGGTGAAACCCCGTCTCTACTAAAAATACAAAAAATTAGCCGGGCGCGGTGGCGGGCGCCTGTAGTCCCAGCTACTCGGGAGGCTGAGGCAGGAGAATGGCGTGAACCCGGGAAGCGGAGCTTGCAGTGAGCCGAGATTGCACCACTGCAGTCCGCAGTCCGGCCTGGGCGACAGAGCGAGACTCCGTCTCAAAAAAAAAAAAAAAAAAAAAAAAAAAAAAAAAAAATTGTAGAGTTGTTTCAGGAATAAAGTCAAATCATGTATTTGGAAGCTTTATTAATATAATAGTTAATATACAAATGCAAAGTATTACCCTAATTATTATGATTATCTTTGAAATCATATTTTTTTAATTTTACTACTATGCAAATTTGTCTTTTTATAATTTTTTAGGTTATAATTCTCAGTTTATGAAGAACTACAAGTATAGTGCAAAAATGCATATCCTTTTCTAAGATTCATCAGTTGTTAACATGCGGTGAATCTATTTTACTAGATCATTTTGTGCTCACCCTATGCACTCTCTCAGGCATACTTTCTCTCTGGATTATTTGAGAGTAAATTATCTCAATAACCTGAGGATAAATCAGAGACATCAGTTTTTTATCCTAAATACTTCAGAGTGTATTTGCTAAGAGAAAAGCTGTTATTTACGTAACCACAGTTAAATAATCAAAATCAGAAAACTTAGTATTGATATAACGCTCTTGTCCAACACACTATCCATACCCAAATTTTGAAAATTGTCCTAAAAATGTCTTTGGTAGCTATGTCTTCAACCCAACCAGTCCCCCTTTTTGGAGATGAATTTAAGCCTTTTAAAAATGCTTTTAATCTTTCATGATCTTGACACCTTTTTAAGTACACAAGCTATTTTTTTCTGTAGAATTTCCCTCATTTGTCTCATATACACTGTACCTTAATTTACATATTTGCAGAAAAATGCATTAGGATAGAATTTCTAAGGCATTTTTGAAGAAGTCCAAGAAGCAGATAGCCAATATACTCTTTGCTATTCCTGAGGAAAAAGAAAATCCTTTGGATTTCCAACAAATAAATTTTACTTTGGTTATCATTGAAAGCTGTTAATATTTTTTACAAAAGCAAAAACAGACCAAATGAAATCAATGATGGTTGAGAAGATGAAAAAAAAGTCGGTTAATGGGCACAAATATACAGTTAGATAGAAGGAGTAAGTTTTAACCCTTGGTAGCAGAGTTGGAGGACTATAGTTAACAATGCATTGTATATTTTAAAATAATTTGAAGGGAGGACTTCTACTTTAGGCGATCATATTCTGGAGGTGATGGATAACTTAAATATCCTGACATGATAATTTTGCATTTTATTCCTGTAACAAAATATCACATATGCCTCATGAATATGTACAAATATCATGTGTCAATTTAAAAAACACTACCGATATTTTTTAAAAAAGATACATATCACCTTGAGATTCATTGTGTTTTACACAACATATTGAGAAACAGAAACTAGATTTAGACACAAATCTGTAAACTGACAGTTGTGTTTTTTATGTTTTTGATAACCTCCAGACATAGATTGTACTACAGTAGTCTCCCCTTATCTGCAGGGGATATGCTCCAAGACCCCAAGTGGATGCCTGAAACCACAGATATTACTGAACGCCATTACAGTCAATCAGCACGTTTCTGTTCATGCTAATGCCTTTTCCATATTTACTAAGCACTAATCATATACTGTGACAGTAACTTTCCAAGTCTGAGGTGCAACAGCAAAACTAGCACAATTTTTTTCCCTTCTCACAATTTGACAGACAATTCATTCTTACCTCCGATTTTAGCAATCTCAGCATGTGATTTTTTTTTTCTTTATTAAGTTGAGAACTTTCACCTTTTTATTCAAGAAAAACACTGCTTATCTTTGGCATGTCACAATTGCCAACATCACTACTTTCATGCTTTGGACCTATTACTAAGTAAAATAAGGATGATTTGAACACAAGCGTTGGGATACCAAGACAGTTGACCTGATGACTGAGATGGCTACTAAGTGACTAATGGGCAGGTCCATAATGCATACAGCATTATATGTATAATGCTGGACAGGGAGATCATTCACATCCCAGGCAGGATGGTGGGGGACAGTGCAAGATTTCATTACACTACTCATTACACCACTCAGAAGAGTGTACAATTAAAAACTTATGATTTGTTTATTTTTTGAAATTTTCATTTAATATTTTCAGATTGCAGTTGATCATGGGTAACTGAATCTGAGGAAAACTAAACTATGGATAAGGGGAGCCCACTGTTATTCATCTTTTCTATCATGCCTTGAAGATTTATTCATTCCCCAAAAATGTCATACTCTTGAGAAGGGCAGCCAGTTTCTCAGTAGCTATCCATTAACAAATTGAAATAGACTAATGGATTGGCAAGGTGATGTGCTAAGTATGCATTCCTTTAGGAATTCCAAGATCCCAACAACAGCCCTGAATCTATAGGAAACTGACCCATCATTGTGAGTTAAAATTTCAATATGACCACATGCCTGGAATGTTAATTCAGCAAAGATCAAGGCGGAACTTCATTTGCCATTTTCATGTAATTTTGTGAAGTATTAATTGCTGATTTCTGTATAATCTTTGCATACTCATGATAATAATGATAGCTATCCATCTCTGAAAAAGGCCGCTGTTTTCAAATATAACTTGCTACAATAATAACAGCTGCCCCTCTCATGAGGAAGTTTGCTGTATTATTTTATATTTTATGAGCAATGAAATGGCAGTATGAACCAATCCTTGACCTCTGACTTCAAGAAATATATGAACTGCTTCTCTTCTAGTTCCTTTGTTACTTTGCATATTACCAAGCATTGGAACAAAGCAAGCATGGTTTTAATTTTCACCTGCCAAAACTGCTAAAATCAATCTTGCTGTATTCAATAAACAACTCACTGTGCATAGATGGGTAAATTTTATTAGTTGATGAATAGCAATGGAATCCTGCCGTTAAATCATAAAATAAAACCCATATATGTGACAAATATCTTTCAGTCCATGACCGTCTTCCTAGGTAACCATATATAGTATGAAAGATGAATTTTCTTATGACCTTATGCGTACAGGACAAAATACAATGATGTTGTAAGTCATGAGCTTCATACAAAGTAGTTCATTCTGAGTAAAGTGTTAGAAAATACTCCCAAGAGTAGGAGGCCATCTTTCAGTACTGATTTTAATTTAAAAACCAGATTAAAAATTAAAACCATATTAAAAATGCCAAGATTTTTAATATGATCAATATTTGATAAGTAATGTTGAATACATTTGTTATTGAGAGGTACATCACTAATATTTTATTAACTTCTTTCCTTCTGGATAATACATCCACGGTGTGAATTTCCACTGGGACCTACAGTTATTAGATCAAGTAGATTGAAGCACACATAACCAAATGGATTTTTTTTTTCCTTGCATTAAGTCCCAAAGCAACTGTCATCATGCACTAGAGACGCCAGAAATCTAGGTCTTTGGTTATACTTACTGACATGGTTTGGCTGTGTCCCCAACCAAATCTCATCTTGAATTGTAGTTCCCATAAACCCACGTGTTGTGGGAGGGACATGGTGGGAGGTAATTCAATCATGGGGATGGTTATGTCCATGCTGTTCTTGTGACTGAGTGAGTCCTCACAAGATCTAATGGTTTTATAAGGAGCTTCCCCCACCACCTTCACTCTGTGCTTCTCCTTGCTGCTGCCATGTGAAGAAGGACATGTTTGCTTCCCCTTCTGCCATTATTATAAGTTTCCTGAGGCCTCCCCAACCCTGCAGAACTGTGAGTCAATTAAACCTCTTTTCTTTATAAATTACCCAGTCTTGGATGTCTTTTTTAGCAGTGTGAGGACAGACGAATACACTTGCTTACTGAATTTGAGACCTATTTTACATTTAAAAATATATATTATAGTGCCTTGATACTTAGTGGCATTTTCGTATTATGGAGTCATTAACAGTGTGATTGCCGTTCCATGGAAACAACAACAACAACAACAACAACACCTATTTGTCTATATTGCCCACTTGAGAATTTAGTTTCAACCTCCTGTTAATGAGATGCTTTTATTGCCACAATTTTTTTAGTTGTTATTATTTTATACATTTTTAAAAAAATATGCTTCACAAATTTGCATGTCATCCTTTCACAGAGGCCATGCTAATCTTCTCTGTATCATTCCAATTATAGTACATGTGCTACCAAAGCAAGCAATTCCCACCATTTCTAAACAGTTCTAAATTTTTTTTTTGAGGTACGCAAGGGAGTGAAGTGGGGCACAGGTATAACAGAGGGATTTGCCCACAATCCATAGCCAAACATAGAGGGCACAATAAGGTCACAGCTTCATGGGGTGAATATTTATTTCTGAGCCCACTGAATTCCCCTAGGGACAGGAAGGCTGAGCAGCAGTGACATCCAGTTATAATTCTGTTATCTTGTTGAAAGCAGGTTCAGTGAGCTGGACAAGTCCCTTCTTATTCTCTAACAGCAACATTAAAACATGAAGCGAGTGTGATTTCTGGATAGAAAGATTCTCCTGAGAATTCTGTGGGTACACCGTGTTTTATTTGTTGTAATATATGCACTTCAAGTTTCTGGGTCAAATGCACACATAGCTTCATGTGGCTTATGTAAGTATCTTGGAAAACAGTTTACAACTTACTGTTTACAGTTTCATAGCCCTTGAGAGAAGTGATGCATTAATTTTCTGGTGAAGATTAGGGGCCTTTTTGCTTTATAGGGGAATTGGGCTAAGAGTTTCCCTAACCACCCAGGTTGTAATCCCTGCCATGTTATTAACACAGTAAAGCCAGTTTATTGTTTTAGTCTTATCTCTTGATTTACAAAATTGAAGTGTTGAATTGGATGTTCTTTAAGGTATTGTGCCCCCAAAACAAACAAAAAAAACTAATGAACAAACAAAACTATGACTTTTCTTGTTAAATATTTCAGTGAGAAAGTTTCTGTTCATTTGGAGTGAAGGGAAGTGTGTAACCCATCATGCTTGTTTAGCAGGGACATTGACAAAGCCAAGGATGATTTTTTTGTGCATGCAAGTTAGATTTCCTGGTGAAAGAACAAGAGAAAGACACTAATTAATTAGAGACACAGAAGGAAGTAAAAAGACAGCCCCAGACTTGACCCTCAGCAGGATTTGAAGCTGACATCCAGGAAACTTTCATTCTTAATTAGTGATGCTTCTGCTACTTTTTTTTTTTTTTTTTTTTTTCCATCCTTTGCAAGCACGGATTGCCCCGGTCCTTTAAAATCTTCTAATTCCCCTCCTCTGCTAATCTGTATCCACATGATGAAAGCACTGTATGGTTCTCATTGTATTGTTTTCAAACTCTGTTATGTGCTTTAGGGCTAAGTTACTCTTAGAGAGACCACTAAAAACAACTATAAGGAAGTTTTTGCAGAAATTTTTCTTAGGATATCTTTTCAGAAAAGGAACTGCTGAGTTGAACTACTGTAAATGACACTTAAAGGTATTGATAAATATTGTCAAACTAGCCTCCAGGAAGATTATACCCCTGGAGGAGAGTGCCTGTTTCCTGGAATTACATCGTTGTTTTATTTTAAACATTTCCACATGGGTTTCATTTTAATTTACATTTCTTTGATGACTAGCAAATAGAACATTTAAGTTTATTAGTCATTTTATTTATTATTGTATGAATACACTATTTATGTTACAGGATAGGGGTCCCGATCCAGACCCCAAGAGAGGGTTCTTGGATCTTGCGCAAGAAAGAATTAAGGGTGAGTCAACAGTGCAAAGCAAAAACAAGTTTATTAAGAAAGTAAAATGATGAAAGAACAGCTACTCCATAAACAGAGTAGAGCATTCTCGAAAGTAAGAGGAGGAATGTGTCCACCCTAGGTACAATTTTTTTTAACCTAGTTAAAAAAATAAAAAATAAAAAAAAGAGAATACTTTTTTTTAACCTAGGTACTTTCTTTTACCTAAGTTAAAAAGAAAAAGATCATGAGGAGATGTGCTCTGCTACAAGGGTTTGTGATAAAGGATTAATTTTCTTAATTACTATATTTTGCAAGAATTAATATTACTGACTTTAAAGCAAAATTAGGAATGCCTTTGTTCTCAAGTTATTGGGATATCAGGACACTCCCAAGTCTGGGTCTGTTTAGTAAACATCATCCATCTGTTCCCTTAACCTGAAGCATGTAGAGGCTAGGAATACCTAACTTTCCGGGAATGCAGCCCAGCAAGTCCCAGCCTCATTTGTGCCAGTTTATTAGGAAAATAAAGGAATGAAAGTATAGCTACTCCATAGACAGATCAGCCCTGTGGGCTGCTGGTTGACCATTTTTATGGTTATTTCTTGATGATATGCTAAACAAGGGGTGGATTATTCATGCCTCCCTTTTTAGACCATAAAGTGTAACTTCCTGATGTTGCCATGGCATTTGTAAACTGTCATGGTGCTGGCAGGAGCGTAGCAGTGAGGATGACCAGAGATCACTCTCATCACCATCTTGGTTTTGGTGGGTTTTGGCCGGCTACTTTACTGCAACCTGTTTTGTCAGCAAGGTCTTTATGACCTGTATCTTTTGCCGACCTCCTCTCTCACCCTGTGACTTAGAATGTTTTAGGAATTCTAAGTCTGGGAATGCAGCCCAGAAGGTCTCAGCCTTATTTTACCCGGCTCCTGTTGAAGATGCAGTTGCTCCAGTTCAAACACCTCTGACGTTTATGTCTTGCCCACTTTCCTTTTGGTGTATCTGTTCATTTTCCTATTTAATCCAACTCTTTATGGTAATGCTATAGCATAGATTCCAACATTTTATGTAATGAATCTCTGAAGTGAAGATATTAATTGATATGTTCCAGACATCAAACATGTTGAGAGCAAAGTTGATTTTTATTTGAAAGATAAGAGGTATGATTATTTTTGTAGTTTTGAACAAATGAAATATACCCTCATTCTCTATATGAAAAGGGACTGAACTGAGCAGTCAATAAATATCTGAAAGAGGGATACAGATGTGAATTCAGAAAAGAGAAAAAAAATCAATCTGCGTTATTCCCACAATATTCTTGGGCTATATTTCATGCTAGGATAATTTGTCCTGTTTCTCCTAAGTCACAGAGACAATGATTTTTAAGGTATTACTGTCAGTCTTTCCCAGGTAACAAGCACAGGATCAAGGGCTTCATCGGTACTGGCCTTGTGATCTCTTTTATGTTGCAGAAACTCCTGTGTAAAGCTCACAGGAAAAGTGAACACATTTAGCTTCCTCTAGAACCAGGACCATGTTTGTCTGTGTCCTTCTTTGAGGCCATTTCTTAATCTCTACTGAAAAGTGAAAGATAAATGGGAATAAAATAAGCTACATATTACAAGATCAGTAAAAAGAGACAAAACAATAAAAATAAGCACCTACATTGAAAGCACTGAGTCAAGCAAAATGAACTACAACAAAGCATTAAGGTGGGTTTGTCAGCTGGATTATTTATAACCCAAAACAATAAAACAAACCTAGGATATAAAGCTTAAAGTTCAATTCTTAAAATAGGTTTAAAGAAAGGGTTGCAGAGTATATATTTTATGTTGTACAATCAACCTTATGGTCTGGGTCAGTTAATAATGCCACTCTTCCCTACTGTAACTATCATAAATGTCATTCATCAATCCAGCATTATTTTCAACTGGGCCTAGACAAAGCCTTAGAATGTCTCCCAACAGAACTCTCCAAGCAGCTATTATCAATCAGGAAGTTGGTATTTGAATTAGCACGTATTACCATTTCAATGCTGGACTCATCTGCTGAAGGTATGTACAGTTTTATTAATTTAAAGATAGAAAAGCCAATCAGCCTTTATGCAGCAAGTTAATTCTTTCTCTAAAGTTAGCGGCTTTCTAGCAAAGGCTTCTTTCTCAGCTCTTGAATCTTCTTTAAGCCAGAGCTTTCCAACTGGAATACACACCAGTAGGTCAAAACAGGTACAGGTACATAGAAGTTATTGATTCCTCAGCCTTGAGAAGGCCAGGTGGGGTTGAAGATACCAGAAATCCTGGGCTGTTATTTACAGCCATAAACAGCCACATCTGTGTACTCCAGTGTGCAGATATTATTGTTTTCTATACATATTATGAAAAAGATGGAAAGTTTTGCTTTGAATTGTGGAACAATCCTGCCCTAGTCAGAGACATTTACTAGTACATGGGTGGTTTCTTTTAACTCTTACTCAAAATGTTAGAATTTTTCAAAATCATCACAATAAAAAAAAGTCAAAGGATTTATATTTTGAATGGAATGTGTGTATATTTATGTACATACAATCAAGTGTCACTTAAAGGCAGGGATATGTTCTGAGGTAATCCTTAGGCAATTTAGTCATTGTGTACCTATCAGAGAGTGTACTTACACAAACCCAGATTATATAGCCTAACACACACCAGGGCTATAGGTATAGCCTATTGCTCCTAGGCTACAAACCTGTACCTGTAAGACATGTTACTGTACTGAACATTACAGGAAATTGTAACACAGTGGGAAGTATTTGTGTGTCTAAACAGCTAAACACAGAAAATGTGCAATATGAGACCACCATCATATATGTGGTCTGCCATTGACCAAAACGTTTTTATGCAGTGCATGACTGTATTTATTATATGTATACCTATTTTTCAGTCTGAGACACAACTGATTTTACCTGGAGTGAAATACATCGCTATTTTTCGGTGAAGCTCCTTCCATGTAAGCATAAAAGTCCAGTAGACGATCATGAGTATTTAAGGAGCATTATTTGATAATGTAGGTTATTTTGGTGGCAGGAGATGTTAAAGCCTAGTTGAGATTAACTTCATGGAGTGACTTCCTAAGGCACTTATATCTTCTCTTTCTCATTCAAATCTATCTAACTTTCATCTCTCTAGACACTTATAATCATGGTACTAGATTGATATGAATTAATAGGTTGATGGAAAATATTTCTTAATAAATTTAAATTTTTCAGGTACAATTAATCTTTAATGACCAGGTATGTGTATTATGGGGCACTGAATGGGAACCAGTTTGAAAACATAAAACAAATTGTAATTTACACATTCAATACAAACAAAACTATAAAGTCAATAAAAAGCAAATTGACAGTTAATTTAATGTGACAGATGATTACTTTTAATAGAAAGCAATCACATTTAACATCACAAATATGAGCTGATTACCCCAGAGCAATTCTTTGGGCCAAGCAGACTGATGCTTCTTCTTGCCTCATAACTGGGTCTCCTTCAATCCTTTCTAAAATTGCTTTTAGAGTGATCATTGCAAATGATTCAGTTCTTTCAATGGCTCCCTACTGCTTACTATAATACACAAATATAAGTTAGTGAACAGAATCCTTTTTATCTGAGTCTTGCTTACCTCCAGCCTCATCTATTTTAATATAATCTATAATTATATAAACAGGTGTATATAATTTTTCCAGCTATACTATACTAAGTATTTGTAGTCTCCATAGATGTCATCCTGTTTCTCTCTTCAGAGCCTTTCCAACGTGCCATTCCCACTATCTATGAAGTTTATACCAGCTAATGGTCATTCCTTCAGAACTGGATTTTAGTATCTTCTGGGAAACCCTTTGTAATACACTCCCTCTCCTCCTCCAGCTCTGAAAAAATTGGCTCCCTCTCTGTGCCCACCACAACAGCCTATGCATTCCTTCTTTGACCAGACTTAGCACTATGCTGTAAATGATTGGTTGATTCTACTTGTCTGTGAGCTCTCTGAGAGAAGGGCAAGGTCATATTCACACCTCTTGCATTTTTAAATTCTACTTTGACACTTTTAAATTCTTCATAAATATTTTTGAAATGAACAAAACGAATGAACTCATGCTTCTGGAGTTACCGCGCATGCCAGTTTCTGGTTTGAGCTTTATTTTTTTGTTTGTTTTATTTTGTTTGGGGATGTGTGTGTGTCCTCAGAATGCTGAATGCGAGAAGGATAAGCAGAGGTTTGGTGTGAGTTACTTCCCTCAGAGGGCTTCCTGTGAGATATTTTTCACCTTCCTTTTCTTTTTTGCTTTGTTTTCACTCTTATTTTTGTGTCTATTCCCCAGCTCTCCCTCCTGTCTGAACTTTATTAGACCTTTCACAATTTCAGAGTCTTTTTTTATTTTTTGAAGCTGTGCAGTAGAGGTATACAGAAGTGAATTGTCCCTTGGAAGTAGATTAACCATTTGTTTTGTAGATGTCTAAGAGATGCTTTTATTTGGTTGCTACAAAATGTCAGATCAATATGGTGTGGATATTCATTTAGTCCTTTGAATGGGTACCAGGTGGATATGCCAACATAAAGCCAAATAACAGCATTAAAGCCTTGGTACTAAAATAGATAGCTCAGTAAAGGAATATCGTATATTTTTTTTCTGTTTTCCGCCCACTTTATTTTACTAGTCAATAGGCATTGTCTAAAATTCCAGAGTCATTCATATAGTTAAAAGGAAAATAATGACAAATTTGAGTTATTTTGACAATAATAAAGTAAGAAATGTCTACTCAAATCACAAACTTTGATATATTTATTTTTGCCTTATCTTTCATTAAGTTTGGTAGAGAAGAATAATTTTTAAGGAACTCATTAGACATCATTGACATTACTTAAGAAACATTGGCTGCCACAAAGATTTGGTTGTGCAGAATTTCTAAACTCGCACGGCATTAGAACTGAATCAGCATTAGATGCCACATCCTATGAGTTCATTAATATATAAACTTTATGTATTTGTTTATAAAACAAATATTTATAAAGTGTTAAACATGTTCACAGCTTTCTTCCAGGTCTTGGGAATAGTAGTATGAGAAAAGAGCCTATAGTTTTACAAAATACAGGCTCTCTCCAGCTTGTTTGTATGCATTTTATTATACATACTCAAAACATTTGGGGGACATAGATGGCATATATTAAAACATCTTGGTTTAGTTTCTGAGCCCCAAGCTGAATTATATAAAGCCACAATTTCTCACAGTTATCTATGATCCACTTTCTGGCAATATCTGAAGTAACACAATGTAGTGGAAACAGCAAGTACTTGCTTTGGAGCCAGAATGCCTGGATTCTGATCCTCATCAGTTCTGCCAGAAACTCATTGTGCAATCCTAGATAAATAGCATGACCTCCCAGGTCTTCAGGAAATAACATTAGATTTTCTTTAAATGTGCTTCTACCTATGATTTTCTGCCTACAGAATATAATAATTTGCTAATGAAAGTGCCCTATAATCACCAAATAACTGTTACCCATCTGTATTCCTGAACGTCGAATAGCCACAACTTCTGAAGGAAGATCAGTTGCAAAAGCCGTGTGAGTCTAAGTGTCCTCCAAACAAGAACATACATATCCAAAGCAATGCAATGTAGAGAGTCAGAGAAGGTATATGTTGACTGACATTACACATGATCTACTGGTAACTGTACATGTAACACAATAACTAGATTTAAATTCTTACTAAGTCGCATGAAACCTTTAATATGGAAATACTAGCAGTAGCTATGACACATAGAAAAATGTAAAGTCCTTTTTCCCTGCTTTTGTAAACTGCTGAGAATATCTATGGTTACAGTTCTAAATGGAATTTCATTAAAGCTGCATCTGAACCATGTACAAGTTGACCTCATATATCAAGGACCATCAGCACTTTACTACTATCCATGTGGTGAGATAAATTACTTTGGCAACACACATTTCTGGGAACATTATATTTACTGAGGCTAGCAATTAATCACTTGCAGTTGTATTTGAATGAAATATGTTTCCAGGAAAATATTTTAATTTTATTATCTTTCTTATAATTTCACTAGGCAAATTAGATGACTTGAAATAGAAATGGATTTTCACAAAAACTTATTACTTAATAGTACAATCTATACAATCACCTATATCCAACTTTATCCTGTGGGGCTTAATTCATTGTAACTCATGAATATATAGATTTTGATTCATTTTAAGCTGCACATGTCTATATTAGCAATAGAAGTAGTGTTCTTCAAGATTTAAAATGCAACTTTAAACATCTTTTAAACATAAAGTTAATTTGAAGATTTTGCTTTGATAATTACCTGCATTTAATTTATAATTTTATCTCTGTAAGTTATTTTTATAAGACCCTCTTATAATTCAACATAATAAATAATTATTGTGGTGGTGTTCAGGTAGATACATGATTCTAAATTGCCAAAGAAAGTGCCATGTATACTTTAGTAAGCTCATTTTGAGGAGGATATGTAACAATAATTTAACTCTTTTGAACATTAGTAAATATGCACAAACTTTTAATGTTACTGAGATGAACTTAAGGTTTATATACGATAATTTTTTTTCAAATATGAAATTTTCCATAAATTATTAATGTTATTTAAAAACTTTGCAGACTTTCTTTTGATAATTTCTTATGCATAATTAAATGTGTTAATATTTTCTTTCTAATATATTTTCTTTCAATATATTTGGCACACATTAAAATTTATCAATCCTGGTGACTTAATAATTTCTTTACACACATTTTGCTGGAGAAATAACAATGAACAATGAATGAAAAGAACGTTTCTTGAACACCTATGTTCCTGGCTGTCAGGCCTTGTGTTACATTGTTTGTGTGCATTGTCTCATTTAATCTGCCAATAATCCTATGAGGTTAAGTACTATGCTGTAATTAACTTCGTTTTAATATTTTCTTAGTGATTTTAAACATGAATACTGTGGTAAAAATTATTTCATTTTTTATTCTTGATTCTAGAGATTACTTGCATATTTCTTTTTTTATTCACATTTATTTATGTATGGAGCACCGGCTAAGGTCCAGGCAGTGCTAGAAGTGCGGGGAACATAGTAAGTGCTGATGATTTGGTAATAAATAGGACAGACAAGGCGCTTACCCTCATGGAGTTTATAGCCGGTGTTGCAGTACAGATACTAACACTTAAACAAATAATATCATAATTTCCGGTCATGATTACTACTAGGAAGAAAGTAAACCAAGGTAATAGCTGCAAAATGACAATGGAGTGAATGAGAAAGACGGTGATGTGAAATTAGGTCAGAGAGTTGGGCAGGAAGAAAATTATTCAGCAATTTGTAATTTTTAGCTTTAAACTTTGGATTTAATTTGTTAAAGACAATTATCCAAACTTGGGTTTAAATACAGCTACGTAACCATTGGGTAGAGTATCCTTATTTGAGTACTGTCACTCCTGACTAAGACACAACATTTTTAGAACTCTGTGAAGTTAGAGATTAATTTGGGGGAAACTGATAATGTGAAATGAATTTTCCTTCTATCCATTAAAAAGGTGGGACTGCCTAAGTGGCTGCTTAAATAACTTTAGTCTTGCAGTAGGTTTGAATAAGGTAAAATTTCTCATTACTGTTTATTTCAGCAAAGTATGTCAGTGTTAATATCATTATTATAAATATGTCTTTATTACCCTTTTTGAAAATGATATGGTTACATAAAGACATAATAGTGGTTACATAATACTACTTATTACATAAATGGTGGGACTGTACTCCATTTTCTATCCTGTATATATACCATCAAACCTTTCCTTGTGTGCCTCTTTGTCTTTTATTTTTGAAGTTTATTTCCTATTGCCTTTTGAGACTATTTTCCACTTGTTATCCCACCCACTTCCTTCACATTTTGTGCATTTTTTTTTCATTCTTTTGTTATGGCTTCCTGGTTCAGTTTTATTCAAATAAAAATCATAGATTTTTGCATTTTATTAAAAGTGTCGGCCGGGCGCTGTGGCTCACGCCTGTAATCCCAGCACTTTGGGAGGCTGAGGTGGGCGGATCATCAGAGATCAGGATTTCAAGACCAGCCTGGCTAACATGGTGAAACCCCGTCTCTACTAAAAATAGAAAAAAAATTAGCCAGGTGTAGTGGCATGCACATGTAATCCCAACTACTTGTGAGGCTGAGGCAGGAGAATCGCTTGAACCCAGGAGGCAGAGGTTGCAGTGAGCCAAGATCACACCACTGCACTCCAACCTGGGAGACAGAACGAGACTCCATCTGAAAAAAATAAAATAATAAAAGTGTCAGCTAGTTATCTGAAATTTTCTTCTGATTTCCATGATAAATCATTTTTTCTCTTATTTGCTTATTCTGAAACAAAGCTATATTATATGGTTGATAGGTGGTTGATGCCCAGTTGACATTCACATTCTTAGCACGTATCAGACATTCACAGAATGTGGCTGAGTTCATTTTAAAGAAGAATCTGCTTATATTCCATGTACTTAGTTTTAACATAATCTGATCTCAAGGAAAGCAAAGCACTCTATATGTTTTATATATACTTCTACATTACAAACCTCAATGTGTATTACCTTCATGATGTTTCCCTACTACTACCCAGGGAAAAATACATTTCTATAATGCAATGTGATTTACCCTTCCTTTCATTCACTCATTTTCTAGGAAATATTTTCTGCAAATAAATATAGAAAAAGAGATACTTAGCACTAGAGGGAGAAAGTGAGAAAGGCAGTCCACTGGCTTCGGACTGCAGTAGTCACAGACATGCAATTGAGGAATGGTTTCTGGATGCTATAGATTATATTTCTAAATCAGGATGCATGAAACTGGGTAAATCGGTTTGTTTTATTTTCTGCCAATAAGCTATAGTGAACCTCTAATTGATTTCACGATTAAGTTCCATCAGTCTTGTCGTTACAGCTTAGTAACAGGTTGTCTAACCTAGTTTTTAGTACTCTAATGGGAATCTTAAAAAGGTATATTAGAAACTTCTTATTATAAGATGATATTTTTGTAATGGTCTGCCAATAGTT
This sequence comes from Homo sapiens, assembly GCF_000001405.40. Lineage (NCBI taxonomy): Eukaryota > Metazoa > Chordata > Mammalia > Primates > Hominidae > Homo > Homo sapiens. Next base: position 175,407,960 of record NC_000003.12, read on the forward strand.
TTAATTTACTTGGTGGTGATTTGGTCATTGAACATTGTTTTAATAAAATCTAATTTGTAACTTTTTCTCACAAAGACGAATACTTTATGAGTTCATTATGGAATCTTAAAAAGTCGATCTCATAGAAACAGAGTAAGAAGTGGTTAGCAGAAACAGGGGAAAGGGGAAGGAATGAGAAGAGGGAACATGTTGATCAAAGAGAACAAAATTTTATTTATAGGAGAGAACTCAGTTTTGGTGATCTATTGCTCTGCATGATGACTTCAGTTAATAGCAATGCATTGTATATTTCAAAATTGATAAAAGAGTAGATTTTTAATGTTCTCACTGGACAAAAAAAGTTAGTGAGGTGATGAATATGTTAATTAGCTTGATTTAATTCTTCTACAATGCACAACAAAAATCAAAACATTATTTTGTATCCCATAAATATATACAATTATTATTAGTGTATTAAACAGAAATTTAAAAATTTAAACATATATAAAAACTAACAAATATTTAATATCTCATAACCAGGATAGCATTCTTACTGCTTTGGAATGACCATTTTCTTTGACACTTGCCTTTGAAATAATAAAGAATCCAGTTTACACTTGGAGCACCTGATAAAATTTCAAAAGAATAAAGAAACTGAGATTGTATATAATGTTTCAGAATGAATACTGCGATGATGTGTTTTGAATAATCATAAAGACTGTGTTATGGTAAAATAGATTGGTCTTGTTTATTTTGAGGGGCATAAACATGTTATCATCTCTTTAATGACCTTGTATTGTCATTATCAAAATCCTAAAATGTGCTTCTATTCTTTTTTTTCTCTTATTTGAATGAATTACTGTTAAAGGACATTTTGTATTGGCAGTAAACAATCACATGCTGGAATAGGTAGTCAAATAGATGAAAAAGTTGAGAAAATTGAAGTGAATGGATTGCTGAGTTTTTAATAGAATCTTAGTACACTTATTCATAAACTATGACTAAGCCTCATTCATTTTCTTGGGTTTTATTTACAGTTATTTACACTATACCCACATATCTTTGTCCAACTCAACTTAATTTTCCATCTAGTTTATATTACATTTCCTACTTTAAAATGTATATAGCCACTATTGTATTTTCTTAAATGACTTTTTTACACATGGAGATTTTTCTTTTCCACATGAACTCTAGGTGTTTCCTTTTCTATGTATTCTGAATATCAACCTTATATGTTTTATTTTAAAAACATAATCTTATTAAACCATAAACTCTATAGTTGTGGAGACATGGAGAAATTTCTAAAAGTCATTAGAGATTCTCTTTTTTACTTGTTACTTTAAAAAAAAAGAAAGAAAATAAATATGTTAATTGAGCTAAGTGCCTACCTACTTGTGGCAAAAGTTGTCCAGGATGTCATTGATTTGTGATTGTATTCCATTTTTACTTCTAAAAATCTTTAGTCATCATTTTGAGTGATATTTATCAATAACTTATGATGAGTGGATCTTACCCATATTGTTGACTCACCTTGCCTGTGAAAATTCTATATGTATGTTAAATTTAAGTTCAGGTAGACCTTATTATAAATTACTTGAAATAATATATATAAGTATAAGATTACAAGAAATCTAGGTGTAATTTATGTTATTTAAACAAACAGAAGGAAAACATTTTTTTTACCAATCTCCCTCCCAAGAACTTACCAAATTATTTTAGATGACTTGTAAATTCATTAATTTAGGTAGTTCAACATTTTTCAGTTATTAAAAAAAGTAGATATGTATAGCATGTTAACTATTTTACTTTCAGAGCAATTTTTTCTTGTTTTAGACATATTTAATGATGTATAAACTTAGAGAAAGAACACTGACATAATTAGATTATGCATTTGTTAATATAACCTTTATCAGGAAAGTTCAAAATATTAGAGTAAAATCACAAAGTCCAAAGTTTTAAAAGTAAAATTCATCATTCAAAGGGAAGAATCAGGGGATATTGCTGAAATATGGAAGGTTAATGAAGTTAAAGAAGTAGATATTATTTAAAAGTAGAAAGACAAGTGACTAAATAACCAAACATAATTGTATAAGGATTAAGCTTTGGAAAGAGATAGGAAAGAATAGCCTAAATTAAAATCTCATTTTGTATATCAGGAAATAAATTTATATTGTCTAAATAATTCATAAATCTAGAAATAGTGCTATAAAAGTAATTACCAAAAGCACTAAATGTGGACATAGTTAAAGACAGTGCCTTTGGGAAATGGGCTTGGGGTCCAACAGGAAGAACGTGTAATTGATTACTTTTTATCATAAGCTCAACTGTAGTCTTCTTTTGAAACTATGTACATACACTATTTTAATAGAAACATTTCTTAAAAGTTGTTTATCTTTTGAAATGATCTCTTAAGTTTCATTTAAAAGATTCCAGATGGTTGAGTTGTAACCCACAGAGAAGCTCTGTATGAACACTAATTGATGTAGAACCAAGAACTCCAAAGAAAAATTCAGGAAACAGATCTTCTCTTACACTCACCTACTGATTTATTCCACAGATGTTTATGGAGGACTTACTCATGCCAGGCATTCTGTTAAAGCACTGGGAAACGTGAGCAAAAATACCCAACATCCTTGCTCTTACAGAGCTTCTAGTCTAGAGGAAAAAAAAATGGCCACTTAAATAATTTCACAAAAATGTTGAATTTTAACATATTTACATGATACAGTAAGCACATATAGCTGGTAGCCCAACCTAGACTTTTATGGGAAGTCAAAGTCAGGGACGACTCTCCTGAGAGAGTAATAAACAATTATCTGAGGCATAAGTATGCCTTAGCTTAGAGAACTCGGCAGGTGGTTCAGATTTACAGTGAGCGGCATAGGTTACGATGCTGTGAAAGAACAAACGTGAAAAAGTGGACAGACGCCCTCTTTTTTGCAAAGAGTAAAGGAGAGCAGGATGTAAGATAGAACTGAGGGTGAAGGTAATGGGATAGACATCACAATAAGAAGCCATTGAAATGTTATAGCGATCATATTTATGTTTCATAAAGTCCTTTTGGATGCGGTGTTATAGGACCATTAGACGGGCAAAAGAACAGATCTAGTGAGGGCAATGAAAGAGTGTGTCAATAAGCTCTGGACGAGAGTGATTATAGTCTTAGAATAGAGAGGTAGCAGTAAAGATTTAAACCACATGAGTGGAATCAACAGATAAGTATCAGGAAGGGGCAGCAGTGTTCTCTATTAAACTGTACAGAGGAGGTGGCCTATAATTTACTAGTTTCTGCATGCAAAAATAGGTGAATTGAAAGAACATTGCATTAAGAGGAACTGCAGGAAGTAGAGCAGCTTTGAGTTATGCTCTTAATTTACATTTGACACACAGTGTGATACCTGCAAAAATTCAGGAAGAGGGATTAAGTAGTATGTATGTTAGAAATACTGGTCTGATTTTCAGAGAAGAGTGCGGACTGGGGGTAAAAATTTGAGTCAACTCTATTGATGTGCGAATTGAAGGCCTGGGTGTGGAGGAATTGTTATGGGGGAAAAATGAAGTAAAATGTAATGAGAGCTTAAGACACAGAATTGGGAGACCTCCAACTTGTAATAAAATTGTATAAGGGAGGAGTTGAATAAGCAAACAAGAAGGAGAAATGCTTGTAATCATAGAGAGTGATTCATGTGAAGAAATTTCATTTTGTAACAAAGAAAAGGGATGGATGAACGGGGCAGAATATGACTGTGTCCATTTGAAATCCAGTCAGTCACAAGCTAAGATGTCCAAAATCAGAAACAAAAGTATTTTAATTTTGTCTGGTAATGAACTATTTTAAAAACAATTACGTTGTATCACTGACTAATTGGTCAATGTTTGTGTTCAACAATGGGAGATCAACTCATCAGAGCCACTGGGAGCTTAACTGTGCATTGGCTCTGTGAAGATTGCTTGCAAGATGCCAGAGCTTATTCTACAACTTCCAAGCAGAGGAAGGGCTAGAGTCAAATTATGAGATCACATAGCCAGAAATTCAAAAAGACTAGATAAATTCTGTAAACCCTGATCGAAGATAGCAGGCTGCTTCTAAATGCCCAAGGCTCTGCCCAAAGGGAGAACTTCTGTCTGAGTCAGAATCCTGATTCTGGCTAGCAGTCACTTGACAGTCTGAATTCAACATTGTTCTTGTATTTGAATTATAATCAACGTATTTTTATTCTAAGTTGACGTCTCAACAAGTGTGGGAACACCCTTTACCAATTCTTACAGTCTTTTCCCCCCTTTTTATGCTAAGGATGACACAAAAGATAGATTATGTATGTGCACGTGCACGCGTATAGTTTGTGTGTGTTTATATAATTTTGTTGTGTTGGAATTTACATCACTCTAAAGAAGCAAGCATTTAATGGATAAATGGATGTTTGGGCTTTTACAAAAATTGAACTTTACTGTAAAAATATTTTCAGTGTATGTTATATGATGCAGGAGGGAAAAAATTAGTATTCGGATAGCTATTTGCTAAAGAACAATTCAGTTAAGCTGAGTGGTACTCTTGCCTGTTATTATTAGGATGGGGGTTATCTCCTAGATATTAGTTTTTCTTTCCAAGAAATGAGCAGATTTACATATCTCATTGCTTGGCATTATCATTATGAAACATCAAAATACAAAAGAAAAAAATACCCAGATGGTGTTTTGAACATTCTCATTAACGAATCAGTTCCTTCAGTACATAAGGCTCAAATGGGTCTTATCTCAAAAATAAGTAAATAAAATAAGAGAAAAAAATTCTAAATTCTTGAAAAACATATGCATTTTTCTGTATCTTGTGTTAAATTTCAATAAACATCAGCCATTTCTGAAATTATCCATCTGATTATTTCAAGTATTGGGACATTTTGGGTCAGACTAATTTCTGGTATACTAAGGAATCAGATTATTTATTTAATTTATTTATTATTATTATTATTATTATTATTATTATTATTATTTTTGAGACGGAGTCTCCCTCTGTCTGTCGCCTAGGCTGGAGTGCAGTGGCGCAATCTGGGCTCACCTCAAGCTCCGCCTCCCGGGTTCATGCCATTCTCCTGCCTCAGCTTCCCACGCCCGGTTAATTTTTTTGTATTTTTAGTAGAGATGGGGTTTCACCGTGTTAGGCAGGATGGCCTCAATCTCCTGACCTCGTGATCTGCCCGCCTTGGCCTCCCAGCACTTTGGGAGGCTGAGGTGGGCAGATCTTGAGGTCAGGAGATGGAGAATATCCTGGCTAACACAGTGAAACCCAGGAGATGGAGAACATCCTGGCTAACATGGTGAAAGCCCGACTCCATTAAAACTACCAAAAATTAGGCCGAGCGCGGTGGCTCATGCCTGTAATCCCAGCCTTTTGGGAGGCCGAGGAGAGCGGATCACAAAGTCAAGAGATAGAGACCATCCTGGCTAACACGGTGAAACCCCATCTCTACTAAAAGTACAAAAAATTGGCCGGGCATGGTAGCGTCACCTGTAGGCCCAGCTACTCGGGAGGCTGAGGCAGGAGAATCACTTGAACCCAGGAGGTGGAGGTTGCAGTGAGCTGAGATTGCGCCAAAGCACTCCAGCCTGGGCGACAGAGCGAGACTCCATCAAAAAAAAAAAAAAAAATCCCAAACATGTGCTATATGGTAATGTTGAGGATATGAGCACTAACTGAAATAAAAGTTGTCATTTAGAAAATTACCTTGAGACAAAGGCAGCCTCCAGTTTCACTACCTGGACGTCATGGAACAGAGAGACTCATAGACCAAATTAAATTGCTCTGATCACATAGTTTTTAAATCGATTTAAAACATAGGGAGAAGCAAAGGAGAGAGAGATGGGATAGGTTAAAAGGTTTATTTTAATTAATAAAATAAAATAAAAATAAAAAATAAGGTGCAAGCATGTTGAAAAGACCAAAATACCTGAATTCTGGAGTATACTATTGTTGTTGTCCCCATTTAGAACTGTGGGTCTTCAGGCTTGAGAGTTGGGGCCTTTGCTGGGGAACCACCGTCTTCTACCCAGTGTTTCCTTGTCTTCTGTCCATATCACTATGTTTGTGTGTACTCTCTGCCATATCCATTTTTCCCCATTGGCTAAATGGCTGTAAGGCCTAGAGTTGTGGTTTCAAACAAAGGAGCCCATAGAGGGGGATTTACGGTAGCCTAATAACTTGTGTTTGCTTTGTGGGAAAGACACGGGAACAGTATGCCTGGCTCATAGCTATAGTTTGCCAATCAGCCTGCTGACCAGTCATAGATTTTATTTGTGTTTCTTTGAGAAAAAACGCAGGGAGCCAGAATCTTTGTCAATGATGAATAGTGAATTAAGGCTTTATGAATATTAGATGCTCATGTATTTTTAGTATATGAATATTTAGTGCACCGGTACCTTATGTGTGTTTAATTCCTCTTAAATATTTAGTATCTTTTGGTCCCTCTATTTTTTGATGTTTAATACAAATTTGGGCTACTTATAGACTACTGATCTATATACTTTTTACACCTTGAAATGTTTTGCTTTTGTTTTTCTGAACAACAAACTTATTCATCTCTTTCAATAATATTGAATATTCTCAAAAGCAAATGATTTTCGAAAACGTAAAGTCAAAAGTCTTCTCCTTATTATTATATGCTAAAAGAAAGGTTAAAATGTTAGTGCCAGTCTCAGTCAAGAGTATGTTATTCAAAAAGTGACTTTGAAATGTTTCATTTCAAAGTTCCTTCAACTCTGGTAACTAAGAGCCAATAGGTGCAGACATATCAAAAGAGCAAACATGAAAGTGGTCTTGATTTTAGTGTAGATCCAAGTCCAAATTGGTTAAGGTAAAGGATCTACAGAGTTACAAGATAAGAAAATTATGTGAGGTTATGCAGGAAAATGCTTACAGCTCACTTTGCAAAGACAAAAAGATATGAGAAGAAATTTAGCTGATTAAATATTGATGAGTTCTCCTTCTGGGACACTATGTAGAGTAAACTTGGAATAAATGATGAACATTACAACTGATCAAAAGAAAACACTTTTAAGTAGAAAAATTGTCTTACGGGATTATCACTGTAAAATAAACTTTTCTTCTTGACTTTTCCCTTTTGACTTTTCTGTCTATATATCTGAGTAAATATAAGCCTAATTGCCCTCATTTATATACACAGATAGTTCTAATAGTAAAATAAAAAGAAATAGCATACCACATACTGTGTGTGTGTTCATATAATTGTGTTGAAATTTATTTGGTTGGTGCAAAAGTAATTGTGGTTTTTGTCATTACTTTTGTGGCTCTAAATAAGCAACCATTTAATGGATGAATGGATGATGAGCTTTTAAAAAAAAATTGGACTTCATTGTAATATATTTTCCATGTATGTTATATGATGCAGGAGGGGAAAAATACTATTTGGATAGCTATTCACTAAAGAACAACTCGGTTAAGCTGCATGGTACTCTTGCTTGCTATCAGGATGGGGGTAATCTTTTAGATATTAGTTATTTTACTCTGTTACATTGCTAACAGGGTAAAACAGGTTAACCATAATTTATGTAGAAAATATAGAATGTGAGAAAATAAATAACGCAATGAGAAATACAAAGACTAAACAAACATTAAATAAAAAATACCAAACACATGCATAAGATACAAACTCATACAGTAATACTCAGCCTTGAAATAATCTTCTAAACTTATGAAAATAGCAAAACATAATACAAAAGAGAAAATCTCAACACTGTTATTGTAAAGTTGTTTTAAATTTTGTGTGCTAAATCATTGATATTAATATTATAAGTAACTGTAAGTCTTCTAGCAGGCTAGATATTAGGCAATATATAGCCAGAAACAACTTTTTTATACATTAAAAAAAAAAAAATTCAGATTGGGTGTGGTGGCTCACACCTGTAATTCCAGCAATTTGGGAAGCCAAAATGGGAGGATTGCTTGAGCCCAGGAATTTGAGAACAACCTGGTCAACATACTGCGAGACCTTGTCTCTATTTAAAAAAAAAAAAAAAAAAATTAGCAGGGCATGATGGTGCATACCTGTAGTTCCAGTTACCGAGAGGCTGAGATGGGAGGATCCCGTGAGCCTGGGATTTCAAGGCTGCAGTAAATCATAATCATGCTGCTGCACTCCAGTCTGGGCAACAGAGCAAGACCTCATCTTAAAATAAATAAATAAATAAATAAAATTTCAATCAGAAATATATTTCACAGAAACACATCAGTATATGAAAAAAGTTGCTAAAATTAATTCTTCCAATAGTTTTCTAAAATGGCAAGAACATTGAAACAAAAAACATTTAATGCTCTATTGTAATATTTACAGTGTTGTGTTGTGATTAAAAGTAAATTATAAAATAGTACAGAGTTATTTTTATAAAGGTAAGCACTAGTTTTTTAATTGGATATAGCAAAATTAGTTAATTTTTAGAGATAATTTGCATTCTGAAGACTGCTATTTGTTTTAATTGAATCACCACTTCCTTACTGGAATTAAAATTTATGTGAAACAGAACAGTTTTGTTTTAGTAACTTTGAATTGTGTTTATCATAACAGTAAATGATAACAGTTATAGGATTTAAGAAGTATTGTGCTAATGACAAGATCACTGATGTTAAGTAGAAAAAAGGCCTTTTTTACTTTGGAGAAGAAGTTACATTTACTACAATGCTGTAAAAGTAGGCTTCATAATTGTACACAGATAGCTATAAAATTCAAGAACAAAGTTTTTGTCACTAGCGTGTAAACTTTTAGCCCTTAAGGCTCTTTTCTACATTCAAATTGTTTGCATTACATAATTTTCTAATAATATGAGGTTTGCAGAAGTGAGAAAGTATTAACTGAGATGATTGCAAAAAAAAGTGTGAAAACTGCAATTCTATGATACGTGAATGTATGTGGATGATAATGTGTGAAAACAAATAAATATATGATGCTGAGTCACTTGAATTGTTGTTAAGTGACTATATATTATCTTTGAAATTTAAAATAATTAAAAAATGTAATATTGAGGGATAAATCAGTGTTAAGATGGACTTTATAGAGCACTAAGCAATTGTTTATGATATATTTAATAATTAAAATATTTATAAATTTGGTTACAATTGGGTTAAATATTAGTCAGAAAACAAGCAGCCAAAATACAGAGGAAGAGAAAAGAAAAAAAAAAAAAAAAGTCCAGCCAGGTGCCAAAACTGCAAAATTCACTGGTTTCTAAAATATTCAATAGATAATACTAACTTCTTTTTATGAGACAAGACAATGTAAACTATAATGCATCTACTCTAATTAATTACTCAGAAGCAGAAGAAAGTAAATAATTATTGAACTAATTCTCAAAGTGGACATAATTAGCACATTAATCGTCCATCATAAATTATTTAATTCAATAATAATCCTGGAAGAAAAATTAATATTATAGTCAGTAGTAAAGTGTTTTGCATTTAATACTCATCATCATAATGCTGTCAACTGGAATAAACGATGCCTTCAAATAATTTTTTAAAACTATTTTTGTTAAATTGTTAGGATATATTAATTTCTACTGAGTAGGATAATGAGTTTTAAAAAAAAACAATTCAGTAATTATCTCAGTTTTAGAATTTCTCTTAGACTTAAACCAATTAGCTCTCCACATCCCAACATAAGCTTTATCTCATTGGCACTGTAGTTTAAAAATTCTAACTAAAATACTGAAATAAGGAAGAGGAAACATATGTAAAATAAGATTATAATGAGTTCTTTACAAAGGCACTTCAGAGCTGTCTGACATTAAAAAATTAAATGTTTAGTGTGTAACACATATTTAGTTTTATCTTTTACCCAACATTCTGATATTTATCAATAAAAACCTATAAACACTGTGACGTGACAAAAATATTAAAAATACATTGAGTATTGAAAGCCAGCTATGGAAAAGTAGCTCCTTTCTTATGGGCTCCTGAGCCTTTTTATGAAGATCTGTTTAATGGATTGAGCTCCTTAGAACCTTGCTTGATTGACATTGGGAATGGTGTGGAGTTATGGTGAAAGCAAGCAAAATAAGCAGGACAGGTAAAGTAGGAGATGAGGAGAGATAGCTGGGAATTCTCCATTGGCTGGGTTTGGGAAGAGTTTGGGAAATCAAAAAAGGAGAGCTGAAGTATAGGAGAATGAGACCAGAAAAGAGAAAAAGAGAAAGGGGATATTAGGTATTTTTGAGGTTATGATTAAAATCTACTTTTTGTATTTTGGAAAGGATTTCGTAAAGATTACATTTGTTTCTGTCTGCTAAATAGCAGACTTCAAGTACATGGCCTCAAGGCAGGAGCAAGAAGCTTTTTAATGGGTAACACATACATGTTTTCTAGTTTGGGGCCTCTGCCAAATACTCAGCCAAATTTTAAAAATAAAGAAGTTTTCCACTTTTGTAAGGTTATCATCCAATGCATTATTGTTGGATTCAATGTAAGCTTCCTATGAGTAATCTGTGGTTGTATTCAATTTATAAAGTATATTAAATGTTCACATCTTTGATCAATGTTTCTAGAAGTAGGAACTTCATGAGATTGAATAGGAAGTATAATTTTTCCTTCTCTGAGCAATGCATCACATAAAATAAATATGTATAAAACCTGTAATGTAGCCTAGGTGGTTCACTTTCTCATTATCCGTGGAAGATGGCATGCCAGCCTTCATTGTGAATTTAGAAGTGATAGTTACATAATAGCCTAATTGGTATTGGTCGATGAAATATAGTGAAGTCAATGACAATAATGGTCAAAGGGGAGGGGGCAGATAATTGGAAAGCAAGAGGAGCACATATCACAGTAGGCTATTTTTCCACTTGGTTTTATATTGCTTTGAAAAAGAAGAGATTCTACAATAGTTCTGCTTCAGGCACTCAAATTAAATCTTTATAGTTTTAAAGTTTGTGTTGAGACTCAAAGACACTTGAATTTTGAACAGTCGAGAGCAACGGCAGGCAACCACCAGCTTGTCTGTTGCAGTTCACATGTATCAGATGTGATAAACCTTCCTGTTGAGTGATCATCACTTTTCTGTTTTCTTTTTCTTTTTTTTTTTTATGTTTTGGAGTCATAGATACACAGAATGGTTAAATAGTGTACTCTAGCTCACAGACCTGTCAAGTGTCAGAGCTGGGACCCAAACATGAGCAGTTTTGCTTCAGAGTGAATTCTCATAATCATTTTACATGCTGCCTCTGGGGAAAAATGTATTGGGGGAGGGGTCATTTCAAGTATCCTTCTCAGTTGCATATGACAAGGGTTTTTGAAATTCTTGTCCTGAAGCAGGTAGATAAATTGAATTAGGTTTAACCTGGATACAAGTCAGTATGATATAAATATTTCAATAATATACTTGTATGTCCTCTGTTTTATATTTCTCAAAATAATTTTAAAAATTATTATAAGCAAAAAATTATAGCAAAAATTATATAAAAAATTATTATAGCAAAAAATTATTATAAGCACAAAAGCCTATAAACAGATGAAATTATGAAGTGGTCTACTAGAAATCCTGCATTGGAAGATTTCTGGAGAAAATTATCCAACCATTTCTATCTTCCAGTATACTGCATATTATTTAGCAAATATACTATCATTAGGTAACATTCATTTTAATTCAAGTGTGTTCTCAGAGAGACCTGATAAAGATTAGGAAACAAAATAGTGCCATCGTATTTCCGTTTTGTTCCTCTGTGCCTTCTCTGGGTGCTTTTATTACTGCCCATTTTCCCATGATGACCTAGATATAAGTATTTAAGAAATTTCTGCTGAGTCTGGAATATAGAAAAAAAGTGAGAAGAGTGTTATATTGGGGAATGCAGTAGCTGGGGATGAACTATTTGACTATGAGGTGGCATTGCAGTATGCTTCATAGAAGAAGTGATATTTCCAGTGTCCAATTTTTTTAAGAAAAGAAAAATCAATAAAACAAGCAGTTATAGTAGAAGGTCCCAGACCCAATTAGACACAAGGACTACAAAGGCAAGGTTTATCTGAAGAATAAAAAATACTCTGAATTTTTTTAATGAAAGTTCAGGGATGGAGCAGACATCGTTGGCCTCAGTCTTCTCAGATGCAAAATATAGACATTGACCTAACCCAATAAATATTTTTCAACCAGGGCTGATCATCAGCATCACCCATCTGTAAATATACAGATGCCCGCAGTTAGATGATTTCTAAAATTTTGTATACCTTTACTTTCATGAAAAAAGAGAGAAATGTTTCTTTTCTGAAGTACTTGAATGATTCTTGTCTCTTCTGCATGTTTTAGCCTGATTACTATATAGTCCTGTTTAGATTGGCACTTTCATCGTCTATCTCTGCTGAGAGAAGAATTGGTTGGATGGTATCGTTTGCATATTTGAACTTAAATTCTTCTACACCTGAAGGGTCACAGAATAAGATGACACATTTTTGAATGATTACAACTTTGTTTTTCTATAAAATGGTTCAGTATTTCAGAGTTGAGCATACTCGTTAAAACAAGGTAAGGTGATAGACCTACAGTTTAGGTCAACATTTATTTCAATTTGGAGTTTCCTTTGGAACATACAGCCAGTGAATTCCAAATTTGAAAACTTTTTTCTGTTAATAGCCCAGCATATAACAAAGCTAATAAACAAAAAATTTAAAAAGCCTTTCTTGAAAAGATAATTGTTTAAAAAAGTAACTCCATACCAATCCAAGTTCTAATGACCATATTGGAAAAGCATTATAAAGTTGAACATCTCCTGTTTCTCAAACAGCTCATTAAGTGGTTGGATTATACAATCTCTTAAAATTCCTTTAGATTTTATTATTACACAGTTATTTATTTGATGAAGGAATTTAAAAACAGGTCAGGGGTTGTATCTAACTGGCAATAAAACCAGTGAAAGACCTTTGTTAAATTATCAAATATTACCATTCTTTCCTAGTATATATGTTTGCCTATCTGCATCCACATAAAAAAGTGATTCAATTTTTTTCTCATAATATCTGAGTAGAAATATTCTGATCATACTTAGAGGTTAGAAGTATTTAATTAGAAGTTATAATATATTTCTGGAACGGATATAGAATATATCGTGCTTTTTTTCTTGATTGTTGCATTTAGTTATTCTCTAAGTTTTCTTTGCATAATAAAGAAATTATAAAATATCAAGAATGATTTCTTAAATCATTCTGTATATATATTGTTACTGCTTGAGACCATATACAGTTCAGACACAGGCATCACTCCCACATAAGAGCCATCTCCTAGGGTGGATAAAGTGGTTATAAATATGAAATACCAACTTATAGATGCTCTACCTTTCAAATGGTTCTCGTAGCATTGTTCACACAGCAGCAGTACCAGCAGCATTACCTAGGAACTTAATCAAAATGTGATTTCTCAGTCTCCACTCCAGACCTTGTGAATCGTAATTCTGGCAGTGGTGTCTGGAAATTTGTATTTTAATATGTCCTCAAGGTCACTGTGATGCACACTAAAGTTCAAGAACCGCTGGTCATTTTCACCTATCTACCTTCTTATGCTTAGCTATAATGTGAGAATATAATGTCTGATTGTCCCCTGAATTAATCCTTGGATTCCTGTTTTATTTTATTTGAAAGAATTTTGTTGTGTTACAGAGGAGTACACAGAAGGGCAAACAAATTAAAATACAGATTGCAAGCAAACATTCAAAGTAACTTTGGGATAGCCATACTTTTTTGTTACAGCCTCATTCATTCATTGATTTACTTATTTGCAAATAAATGCAAGTTAGGATCATGATAAATACTATGAAAAAAACTAAAGCAGAGTAAGGGAATAAAGGATGTGCCTGGGAGGGTGTTATATATGCTACTTTTGTTGCATTATTTAGGAGGCCTTTGATAGAGAAGATAACATTAAGAAAGACAACTGAAGGAAATGAATGTGTGATCCACAGACATTTGAAGCAAAGTATAGGCCTCTGACAGCAAATACAAATACCCTGGTGAAGGAGTTTGTCTGCTGTGATTGAAGAATAGCAAAATATCAAATAGGCTAGGAGAAAGTGAAACAGTGGTAGGAAATAAGGCCAGAGCAGGAAGGACACACCCCATCATAGGCTATATTGAGGAGCCTGGATTTTACTTTTTATGTCTTTGAATCCCATTAGGACTCTGAAGTATTCGTGTAGATGATTTTTTAAATTCTTCCTAACCCTAAAATATTTAAAGACTTCAATTTATTTTGAGTATGCCAGCAAAATAGGAATGAATAAAAAGGCAGCAAATCATGCGTTGACCTCATGGAGTGATTTGGACAAAAGAAAAAATTCAACATATTTTGTAAACAAGTCCTTCCTAAGATATAATAGGGAAGAGAATGAGGAGAGTTGGAAAAGTTTATTAATTGAGGACCAAACCTTAAACTTGTTCATGTCCCAGAAATGCATGAAATAGATAATCTTAAAGCATATCTAAGATGGATTAAACTACTACAGTGTCTTTCCACTCTATACAATATTCCTGTCCTTTAGTTAATTACCTTTTTCAAGTATCAAAATAACCTTACATAAAGGCTGTCTCTTGTTGGAGAAATATAATTAAAAACAAAATCCTCCGCCAACCTAGAAATCTTCTCCACAAAGGTAGAAGAGAAAAAAAAAATCTTTTATTTGTTGAATAAGCATTAAACCAGAACGTGATGTGCATCACAGGCAATCTGCTAAAGAGACTGCAGAGACAAAAAATAACTTTTAGCTTTTTATAAAGCTGAGCAGATACAACACATTGCATACATTTTCTCAAGATAAACAAAAACTAGTCATCAGGTAAGAGGACTTGACAGCACCATTGAACACATAGTTCATTCTAAATTCACCTGGTAATTCGGTTGGCCACCTGTTTTTGCTAATTGCCTTTATCCAAAGGAAAAATACGTTTCTCATAACTTTATGACAGGAGATAGGTTTGCAGCTTGGGGCCAGGCACCAACTAAACTATAGGCTCCTAGCTTGTCACAGAAATTAGAAGATAGGGGGCACTATCTTCCTTGATGATTGCATTTCAAAGAGATGGCTCCCAGGTCCTTAAGAAAAAAAAAAATATATATATATATATATATATATTTTTTTTTTTTCCTGAGTTGTAGAACTGGAAAGAGGTTTATTTAGCTTTTAAAAAGATTTGCATGCATTTCAAAGGGAAAGAGAAGAATTCTAAGGTAAATGTTCTAAGAAAGGGAGGGGGGGGTCTCTTCTTTTTTTGCACAAAGAAGAATTTATTTTTCTTTTTTTTTTCTTTTTTTTTTTTCGGGCTCAAACCGTTTAATTTCAGAGTCCATTTTTTTTTGTTATTATACTCTAAGTTTTAGGGTACAAGTGCACAACGTGCAGATTTGTTACATATGTATTCATGTGCCATGTTGGTGTGCTGCACCCATTAACTCGTCATTTAACATTAGGTATATCTCCTAATGCTATCCCTCCCCCCTCCCCCCATCCCACAACAGGCCCCGGTGTGTGATGTTCCCCTTCCTGTGTCCATGTGTTCTCATTGTTCAATTCCCACCTATGAGCGAGAACATGCGGTATTTGGTTTTTTGTCCTTGCGATAGTTTACTGAGAATGATGGTTTCCAGCTTCATCCATGTCCCTACAAAGGACATGAACTCATCATTTTTTATGGCAACATAGTATTCCATGGTGTGTATGTGCCACATTTTCTAATCCAGTCTATCATTGTTGGACATTTGGGTTGGTTCCAAGTCTTTGCTATTGTGAATAGTGCCACAATAAATATGCATGTGCATGTGTCTTTACAGCAGCATGATTTATAATCCTTTGGGTATACACCCAGTAATGGGATTGGTGGGTCAAATGGTATTTCTAGTTCTAGATCCCTGAGGAATCACCACACTGACTTCCACAATGGTTGAACTAGTTTACAGTCCCACCAACAGTGTAAAAATGTTCCTATTTGTCCACATCCTCTCCAGCACCTGTTGTTTCCTGAGTTTTTAATGATAGCCTTTCTAACTGGTGTGAGATGGCATCTCATTGTGGTTTTGATTTGCATTTCTCTGACGGCCAGTGATGATGAGCATTTTTTCATGTGCCTTTTGGCTGCATAAATGTCTTCTTTTGAGAAGTGTCTGTTCATATCCTTCGCCCACTTGTTGATGGGGTTGTTTGATTTTTTTCTTGTAAATTTGTTTGAGTTCATTGTAGATTCTGGATATTAGCCCTTTGTCAGATGCAAAAATTTTGTCCCATTCTGTAGGTTGCCTGTTCACTCTAATGGTAGTTTCTTTTGCTGTGCAGAAGCTCTTTAGCTTAATTAGATCCCATTTGTCAATTTTGGCTTTTGTTGTCATTGTTTTTGGTGTTTTAGACATGAAGTCCTTGCCTGTGCCTATGTCCTGAATGGTATTGCCTAGGTTTTCTTCTAGGGTTTTTATGGTTTTAGGTCTAACATGTAAGTCTTTAATCCATCTTGAATTAATTTTTGTATAAGGTGTAAGGAAGGGATCCAGTTTCAGCTTTCTACATATGGCTAGCCAGTTTTCCCAGCACCATTTATTAAATAGAGAATCCTTTCCCCATTTCTTGTTTTTGTCAGGTTTGTCAAAGATCATATAGTTCATATAGTTGTAGATATGCAGCATTATTTCTGAGGGCTCTGTTCTGTTCTATATCTGTTCTATATCATTGGTCTATATCTCTGTTTTGGTACCAGTACCATGGTGTTTTTGTTACTGTAGCCTTGTAGGATGGTTTGAAGTCAGGTAGCGTGATGCCTCCGGCTTTGTTCTTTTGGGAATTTATTTTTCTTATTTTTAATTTTTATGTGCCCTCATAGTCTTAATTGCAGAACAGTGTAGAAAGGCCAAGCACTGCCACATAAATATCTGGGTGGCATATAATAACACCATATTCCTTCACTTATGATTTAAGAGAAAGCTTGCAATTTTAAATAGACACCTGAGGTAAATAATTCTTCTGCAACCTGGAATTTGGAGACTCTTACGTACTATACAGCCAATACATGGTGGTGAATTCAACTACTGTAGGGAGGTGAGGATAAAGAAAACTGTTTAAATTCAAGAAATATTTAGAAAGTAAAATCTATTGAACTTGGAGATTGGTGGGATATTAAGTATGAGGGAAAGTCACAGATCAAATGATGATATGGAATTTTCTGCCTTAGACTTCTGCTAAGAGCATTGTGGAACCATTCACAAATACGGTATCAGTAGAGGAGTAGAGGAGAAGCATGGGGAGAAGTGAAGCAGGAAAATAAGCTCAAATATGTAACGTGAGGTTCTGTAGGACATACAAATAGAGGTATATGTGTAAAAGTGATCTCCTGTAAATCCTATATGCTCAAGATGCTCTATTTTAATAGGAAATTTTGTTAACCTTATGCCCTTTCTACTGATCCTGGCTCCTCACTCCTCCTGCTACCATCAAGCAGCATTGCTTTCTGAAGTTATAAAATACAATTAAAAATGAAACACTTTATTCATCATGAAAATACAATATATTTCTATTAATGGAAAATAATAGGTTTACCCAGGACAAACATCTGCCATAAATTTAGATGTATTTTTTTTAATACTATAGCTGAGGTAAACATGAACACTAATCTCATTGGTCATTAAGGGGATTGGAGTCTGTGGCCTCTGGTTACCATTTCTGTTTGTATCTATAAGATAAGAGAGTAAAAGAATTTAGATAGTATTTGGTAAAATTACGTCATGTAACAAAGTGTGACTTCTATTTTGTAAAGAGTAATAACATTTTCCACTGTTTCCTAGATAATTTTATCCTACATTGAAAACAAAAGAAAGACCTAGGATCATCTGTGTTGTGGCTAAATATGTGGAGATACTCAAAGTACTATATTTGTTAGAATATAAATATATTTAAGTAATCCTCTAATGTATCCCCTTGTTTTTCAGCTGAGGAAATAAGAGTTCTAGGTGGTGATAAATACTGAGAAAGATATAATTGATAAAAAGTACTTGGGGGTTGACAACCTCAGATTTTTATTTTGTAGAGTACAAGTAATCATGGAGTCTGTCAGAGAGAACTGAAATGCTACTTCTGATATTCAGTGGCCAGGTGAAAAATATTGTGGATCAGCAATGACTTATGGCCGGGTGCAGTGGCTCATGCCTGTAATCCCAGCACTTTGGGAGGCCAAGGCGGGCGGATCACTTAAGGTCAAGAGTTCGAGACCAGTCTGGCCAGCGTATTGAAACCTGTCTCTACTAAAAATACAAAAATTCGCTGGACGTGGTGGCAGGTGCCTCTAATCCCAGCTACTTGGGAGGCCGAGGCAGGAGAATCACTTGAACCCAGGAGGTGGAGTTTGCAGTGAGCCACAATTTGGCCACTGCACTCCTGCCTGAGCGACAGAGTGAGACTCTATCTCAAAACAAAACAAAGCAAAACAAAAATGACTTACGTTGTATCATTGTTATGTATTTATAAGTAAGGTCCACTTAAAGGCAAGGTTGTTTATGAATTCCTTTTTCTCATGTCCTTTCTATTTCTATATAGAATCAATGCCACACACTCACATACCAGACTATAAGTGAATATGACTTAATGTGTCTGCAAGGGTATGCACAGGTATGTAGTGTTAACAGTATTTATGGCAATTCAACGTTTGAATCTCAGTTGCCACTGCAAAGTAATCCAACTCTTGCTATGATAAAACCATATTCCAACCTTATCCTTTCTCATATGCAAAGTTCAGTATCCAAAAATTCTAATATAATAAACATGTATTTATTATTTTTGCCGCCAAACAGCATTTTTGTACTCAACTTCACAGCTTTATCTCGTTTGCTATTTTAAAAATATAGGATTAGCTGATCAGCAGCTGCCTATTTCTAACGGCAGCTATGCAGCTCGTAGCTGATAATTATGGTGTCAGAGAGAGTGCTGTATTTGTAGGATGCACAATTCCATTCTTCACTTTGTGATGACCGGAAACAGAATGTGCTGACTAAGCAACCTGAGCAACCTCATGATGACTGTTCACATACGTAATGAGTTTCTGTAGGTAATCATTTTTGAAAGATTTTGCTAGACTAATTTTAACTCTGGTAGATACTTCAGAGCAAAAGACTTCACTTCTGGTAGCCTAAGGCTTATGACTCAACAAAAAGTGTGACCGGTTAGGTTATTTCTTGAATATATGCTGTTCTTTAGTTACTTTTTAGGACTTAGGACTCAGAAAGAATCAAACTACTGAATCAACCTTGAAAACCCTCTGAAAGCCTGTTTTTAACAATTTACAACAGAAGAAAGGAATAGATGAAAGAATCAGAATATTTCTAGTAGATTTGGGGGGTAGTTTCTCATATTGCATATTGCAAAGGCATTTGTACTTCCAGCAATTAAGCAGCTTAAATCCCTACACTTATGGAAATAGAACATGAAAAAAGTTCAAAACATTTAAATGAATATATTTTTCTACATTCTTTCTGAAACAATTATACAATTATTAAATGATTCACGTTATATACAGTAATAATTGCTGATCAAAGGCAGATGCATATTTCACATATATGTTAAAAATTTAGCTAAGAATATTATACAACATTTTGCCAAATTTTCTGGATAACACAAATAAGATTTTACAACAATGGCAGCTAATAATTTAGTTGGAATTCATAACTTGAAATGTTTTTGTTTCTCTCTGAATAGCCATCATCAAATGTAAATTTCATTCTCTTAAAAATATTACATTTCTTGTTTTCTAGACTAGATGACTGACACTTCATTGGCCTTTTCCAATAGGCATATTTTTAAAATTTGCATATTTTTATACTTCTCCTCTAAGGTAGGAATACAATAAAGTAATTCAATTTACTTTCATCCATACCCAAATGTTGCTTAAGGTTCTTCATGCTGCTGGAATCATACCCTTGTAACATATTATTTAAATTCTTGTGGATTGGAAGTTGTAGAAACGTTGACATATAATGCCTGTTTCTTTTGCATATTAACTGTTCATCTGTGTTAATACAGAACATTTCTTTTTTAATGTAATCTTCACCTTTTTTTGAAACCATGTACTCAATTAAGAACATAAATGGCACTAATCTAAATCATAAAGATCACTGTTTCATCTTTACAGCTGTGTCATCATTCCCCAGATTTAGATATTGATCATTTCTAGCAACCCCCAAATGTTCAAACTTGTTTTTGTATCTTATATTTATAAAAAAACTACCTGAGTACTTGATGGCATACAGCTTGACTTCTGTACCTTGACTTCTGTACAGTAGTGTTCACTACTGTACCTTTAACAGATAGCTAGAAAATGGGAAGTACTCAATAAGTTTTTTTGAAGAAAACGAAACTCCTTTGGTACATAATGCTGAAATGAAGGAATTGTTTACTGACTGTAATATATTTCTCAAAGATTTCAGACTTCATTCCACTTTATAACAAAATAGTCACCGAATCACCTACTCCTGTTTGTTGTCCAGCAGACAGGACATTTTTTCAGCTTAGGTGAGAAATCTGAGTGGCTAGTTGGAGGATGAGGTTGAGAAGTTCAGCCCAGGGTGACCTAAGCATGTGGAGTGTGTGGAGAATTTTCCTGGCACTCTCAATCTAGAAGTTTACTAGACTCCTGCTTCTGTCTCAATTCCTGCATCTTTTCAATCTGTCTTCTTCATTCTGGCTCCTAAGTCTCAATTCTTTCCATTTTTTTCTATCTCACTTGTCTCCACCATGAGCAAAGCCAACTTTAATTCTCACTGGGACAACTATAGCTGCCTCCTAACTCATCTCATTGCATCCTCTTTTAAAGCTTCCAATCCATTCTCTGATATATCATAAACAAGCTTTCAAAACCCTAAATCTGATCATGCCATCTGTGTAAAACTTGTAGTGTTTGCTCTTGTTGATTTTTAAGATTATATAAATGATAGCACACTATGTATATCTATTTTTATCTGGCTTGTTCCTTACTCAGCATGTTTTAGAACCTAACAGTTTTGATTGCTTGTGGTTACATATTAAAATACAGAGTATGAAGTAAAAGGGCTTAAGAAACCAAATGAATGATATTGGTTTTTTCTGGAGAGGGATGGAGGGAGGGCAGTAGTTCTGCAGGGAGTAAACAAGACTCTAACTTTATCTGTATTGTGTTGTTTTAGAATAAAAGTATATATTAAAATGTTAACATAAATTCTGTTAATTCTGGACTATAGTAATATATATATGTACACACACACACACACACACACACACACACACACATATATATACATATTCCTTCTTTATGCATTTCTGTATTTTTTTAATTTCTCAATTTTTCAGATACGCCCTGGGGAGAGCAGGAAAACCTAACTGATTACCTTGCTCTTAAAGACAAGATATGTTTCATGCTATAAATGCTGTATATGAATTCTTTGACTTTCTTTTGCACCACTCCAGTCATATGACCTCTTTTGTTTCCTCTGGTACACTATACTGTTTCTTAATTCAAGGCCTTTACATATGTAGTTTCCTTTGCTTAGAAGGTTTCTGGAGGATAGGAATATGTGTCCTATCCTATAGTGCTAACGAGAGGAAAAATCAGGTGCAGCCACTTTTGAGTACAATTCATTGGCATATATAAAAATTTAAAATTTGCATATTTTCTGACCCCAAATCCATTTTTCCATAGCAGCCTTATGGAAACCTTCGCACATATGCAAGTTGATGTACATGCAACAAAATTCATGGAGGTTTTTATTACAATAGCAAAATTTAGATTCGTCTAAGTATATTAGAATACTATTAGAATTATGGAATACTATGCAACATCCACAAAGAATAATAAAAGAATAACATCTGCAAACTTAAATAAAGAGGTCTTTAAGCCTTCCTTACAGAGTGAAAAAGAAATGTCACAGGGTAATATGTATGAAAATATTTAAGTAAAAGAAAGTATAATAATAACATTATACAATTATTTTAAATTTTTCTATGCATTAAAATAATATGAAATTTAGGAGACACTATATTGGTGAGAGTGCCTCTTGGTAGTACAGGGAAACAAAATGTGGGGCATGGCCAAAATGGTCTTTAGCTTAACTTCAATGTTCTTGTTTTTATAATAAGAACAGCTTTATGTATTTTACTTAGATAATTAAAAATTAATAAAATTCCCTGCCATCCTCCAAAGAGAAACAGTGATTATTATTCTGTGGATCCTTTCATCTTTAATATTCTGATTTTATATTCTTTGGCCGTTAAATTATGCATTGAGAACTACCATTCTAAATTCTACCATTTTATAGTAATTAACCTGCATATTTTATAAAAATTATAAAGTTCTTCTTTAAGTTATATACGCATATGTGTATACATACATATACATATATACATGATTGTTAACCTATATATGTGTGTTAATTTGGAAACTTGAAAGCAATGAAGATTTAAAGATTCTCTATGGCATTATTTTGAAATATACCCTAATTGTAAGTATTCAGTACACAACTTTGGGATTCCAATCTTATTATTAAAGGGAATATTTCATCTTTTTGTTGGCATTTTCTTTCATATTATTAACTAAATTATATAACTCTAGTTTGTCTTCCAGCTAAAATCAGTAGGATGGGCTGATGTTATCTTCATATTTACATCTTACTTACATCTCTGTTATCCAGAGGCAGATTCACTGAATAAGTCTAACTTTGTGTCTCTACACGTTATTATTTCTTCTCTCAGTTTTTCCTGCCTCAATAAATTGCTAAATATCTGAGAGTAGCACAGAAGTCTATCTATAAATGTTTATTCTCACACTATATCTAAAAAGTCTGGACATTGTTTATTGATAACTATAATGCAGATTTAGACTATTGAGTCTTTATATAATGCTATGTCATTAGTTTGACATTAGTTAATGTTTTATAATTTCCTGTTGCTTATGGATAACCACTTAATTTTAATATCAGCCTTAGATCAGTATATAGGTGATATAGGTATAATGCTGAATCTTTTAAATCTAGCATCTCATTGATATTTTTATTGAAACTTGAGATAATTTTGAAATCTTTGAAAAGTTCAAATAAGTCCTGAATGCCTTCAGAAAATAGTTGATGTCTTTTGTACTGAAAAATGGATTCAACTTTAACAGCACACTTTCTAAAAATAGCCATCTTGCTTTCATATGATTAATATTTTCTTCGAAGCAACCTTGCAAATGTGTCACTTCTTTTGTTTCATTTCACGGCAAACATACTGTGAGAAAGTGAGCAAAGCCTGTCCTATGATCTGTTTGATTTGTGTATCTCTGTACACTTCACGAGTTGGGCATACTGCAGAAATGTCAATTTTCTTTCCTCATGGGAACCTCAAAAGAATTAAAAAAGCAGTAGCAGGACAATATGCAGTATCAGAAGGAGCAATAGAGATTTTTTGTTTGTTTGTTTGTTTGTTTGTTTAGTTCTATTGGACAGTTTATGGATAGTATTTGTCACTGGCGTAATGTGACTCATTTATATTGTACCTATTCTTCTGTGGAGCTAAAGGCACTTTATAAGCATTCTCATTCATCCTCAAGCTTTGCTATGAGCTAAGTATTAGGCAGCTTTTATTCTCACTTTATGGCCTGGGAAACTCCAGTTTAAGGAATGTCGGCGTGCAGGCATTTGCAAAGCGTTCCAAAAACAGCCAATGGGATTCACAGTAACGTGTGGACTATGACCAAGCAGTGAAAGTCAAAAGTTCTTTGTATGCAGAAGTGTTCTGTGTGAACAGGTCAGGATATTTTACTTTATTTATAGGCTTTATAGTAATACTTGTCTGATGAAGCCAAATACTAAATATAATTATTTAAAATATTCTGACTCTTCTTTCCCTTCAGGCAAGTCTTCCTACTGAATCCGTGTGATTAATAGGACTTTTATTCTTATACTCATCCAGGACTGAAACCTTAATTGCCTTCTCTCTTAATTACCTCATTGCCACTACTCTGTTCAGTGGGTTGCCAAGTTGTGACCATTCTCCTTTCCCAGACTTTTCACATGGATCTTTACCTTTCTGTGTCGAGACATCCTAATTCATGCAGCTATTACTTCTTGTTGAGAAAAAAAAATAGCTTTTAACAGTAATGACATCAGAATTTTAATTTTGAAAGCTAAAAGAAGTAGACTCTGATCTCACCTGCATAGCTTACCAGCCATATGACTCTTAGCATTACATTATTTCTGAGCTTTAGAGTTATTTCTATCACAAGAAGATAACAATAACTAGTTTGAAAAGTTGGACCCTCATATATAAAGTGTAAAAATGGAATGAGACAATATATGCCAAGTATCAAGCTCTGCACCTGGTACAAATGGGATCTATTTTTACTGTTTTCCTTGTGAATACAATACATTGTGAAACAGAATTTTTCCAGTTCTCTTCCTTCTGCATATCATTCTCAAATCAAAACTTCTAAAATCCCCTTTGATGGTACTAATTATCTTCTTAAAACTCCATAAAAATCTCCCAGTACTTACTCAGTTTTCTTAATTTAATATATAAAACCCACCATAATAAAGACTCTATAATTTTAGTCTTAATCAACACCATATGTAGTCATCTCCGGTTAACCTTGGCTCCTTGCCATTCCCTTTTCACAGCCTTATTTTCCTCCCACAGCTCATTTAATCATGTTGATTCTTTTGCCTGGAATCAGCTCCCCTACAGTCATTTTCTGTAGAGTTCGAAACATATATGGAAAAACCCTGTCAAAGCCAGGCTCATTCTATGCCAGATGTAGCTAATGAGAAGAGTTCTATTAATTGTTTTTTAGGGCTCTAGCCACTACTTTAAAAGCACTTCTTATTTTCCCATGAAGAGACAAAAATCTTGCTCAATGGAGCCGGACTTTGACATGCTGACCACTCAGCATTCATGGGAATGTGTTCTGATAGCTATTCATCAGCAACTTACTTTTATTGTTTCCTCTGACTGTATCACTGCTCTTTACAGGTACCTGTTCTCTTTCATCTGGTGTTCCCAGTCTCTTCAGGCCTGCTGAAGCATCTTTGCTGGTTCATTTCACATTTCCTGGTCCAAGACCTGGGATTTTCCGGCTACTTTATCTCTTTCATTCATTAAATAGTTGCAGTCATGAAGCTGTATGTTTGCATTTTCCAGTCGTCTCCCAGCTCTTCTGGTTTGCTCCCTGTTTCCATCCCAAGCCACAAATATACAATCAAATAGAGCTGCCAGACAGGAACCTGTTCTTGCTCTGGAATAACTTCTTGGACTCTTTTTCTTTTCCAGTAACATCCCACTCATTTCCTACCTCATCTAAGAAACATTCACAGTGTTGACTAAGAATGACACAAAACATTCTTTAAATGTAGCACTGGCGTAATATAACATCATTGGGTTGTGAAGAAGATTAAATGAAGGAGCTGAAAAAGAACATTTTGAGCAATGTGAATAATCTAGACTTTTGTTCAAGCTCCATTATCATGGAAATGCTTTTAAAAGATGACTGTGCATAGGGCTATTTGAAGTCCTGCACACGGGAACTAACAAAGATACCATTCCTATCCCTTAAGAACACCCTAGCTTATTAACAGGACCATTAGCGCTATACTAAGCACAGCCATGTCTCTAACTGTGCCACTATGGCCTTCGCTGTGACTTCAAAGAAAACTCATTACTAAGTAAAATAACCTTTTGATACACTGAAAAATATTACCTTATAAGAAAGTAGGCAAAGCATTACCTTAGACTTTTATCCCTAGCCTTTTTTTTTCTCTTTTGGATGTGAATTTGGGTTCCATTTCATAAAGTACTTCGAAGAAATGTACATCCAAAACAACTTACCAAATTACATTCACCACATTATAGAACTTTTATGTAAGAAAATTCTCATATATATAAATTCAGAGGAAGAATTAATAGAATATTTCTGACTGGAGTTCTCTGTAGAGACACTTTTCAATGATGAAATGATGAATCTGTGTCTCATTAACCAAGGGAATTTTTCCCATGGCAAGTGTTTTAGAATACCAATATTTTTTCTTCCAAGTGTATCTTCTCTCACTATATACCATCACTACAGCAAGAAACGAGTGGTAATCAGGTCACAGTTCTACATGTGACTAAGAGCAAAAATTAATTTTAATAATATTGTAAGAAACCAGGAAGGGAATATATTGAAATCTTTTACACTATCCATTTCAAACATGAGGGGCATTTCTGTAATAATAGTAAGACATTCACCTCAAATTTAGATGTATGCATGTAACTACAAAGAGCCTCTTTCAACATGAAAATGGAAAGATTTCTATTAAATTAATGTCAAGAAAATGCTGTATATATGATGCGTTTAAGAACTCAGAAGATGTGGAAAACTATCCCAGAGTCACTTCCTAATTAGAGGTGAAGCAAAGGCCAGATACTGGTCTCCGAACCCCAGGCCAGTCTTCTTTTCTTGTGTCAATATTTCCACGTCAAAAACAGGAAACTGCAAAGATCTGAGAAGTACTTCATATATGCTAGCTCATTTATTCTAGCAACATCTATATCAGGGAAGCAGGGGTTAATTATTTTCCATTTTTATTATCTAAAAAATAAGTAGATCTGGAAATAAAGTACTGAGCTTCTGTCTGTTCATTTAATCAGTCTCATAAAATAATGTGTGCTTATGATCTGGTATGAAGAATTAATGGTTGCATACTTTTATAACAACAACAAGAACAAAACACATTCATAGTTTATTTGCTATCTGTTAAAAATGTAAACTAGTCTTTTTTCAAGGCTAGAAATTTTGCAAATCATTCCAATGTTTATACCCTTCAAGTAAGAGATGGAAAGCTTCTCAGGGGAATGCCTCTGAAGCAGTTTACTTAGCTTATATTACATGTAATGTGCAGATGGCCAATTATTCCAGTTATGAATCTAGACTACTCTCCTCAAAGTAAAGAACAAACTAGATATTTTATCTGTCTCTTAGTTTGTTTTTCTTATGATATAGTTTATGGTTGTTTCCAAATGTTCATGTTTTTAGAATGCTTTAGGGGATAAAATAGTCTTGGAGTAGACAAATGAGGAATACCAAAGAATAGAAATGTTTAGAATTATGTGGAGTAGGGAATTAATTATCATATATACAATTTTTTCTCTGAAATAGATTTAAAAAATATTTATCAGTATCTAAATATTACCACTGCTGCTATAAATCTTAATTTTCACTGAAAATGACAAATTTATTAATATAAACTTAGCAAGATAAAACCCTTTACCAGAGAAAGTCTTGTTTCTTGGGTAGAAAGTTCAGGTTACAAAATGTCTTTAAAGAACACGTTAATGACCATCATCCACTTGAAAATACAGGATTGTTCTTTGTTTCGATGTGACTATATCAATATGTACTAAAGCAATAGAAACCATTTAAAGTAAGTTTGAAAATATATTCTCATAATTCTGTAAATATAATCAATTCAATTATAGGACAGACTAGATTTCAACTAACATATAATTAAGTACCATGCTTATGTCTTGTATAATGGCCAAAATCTAGTTTAACACCTGCTTAACTACACATTAATCAAAACATTTTAACATAATAATAAAAATTATCCTTTAATTGACTGTCAAGTTTAGCACAAACTCCAAAACTGCATAGCCAAAATTTTATACATATTTAAGCATATTTGTTGGAGGGAAGAGAATGATGGTAACTCATATATTATAGTCCTTTGTCCCCAAATAATTGTACCTAACCAATATAAATCTTGAGTTTATATGTCTAAACATAAAAGAAAAATATTTTTAATCATGGGGAAAGTTTTCTAACCTTTTTTGAGCCTGTTTCCTACTGATGATCCGTACCTATGGATAAGCTAATTGGAAAGGAAGACCCAAATTAATATTAACAAAGACTTTACCTGTGTAGTACTTTTTTTTTTTTTTATACTTTAAGTTTTAGGGTACATGTGCACATTGTGCAGGTTAGTTACATATGTATACATGTGCCATGCTGGTGCCCTGCACCCACTAACTCGTCATCTAGCATTAGGTATATCTCCCAATGCTATCCCTCCCCCCTCCCCCCACCCCACCACAGTCCCCAGAGTGTGATATTCCCCTTCCTGTGTCCATGTGATCTCATTGTTCAATTCCCACCTATGAGTGAGAATATGCGGTGTTTGGTTTTTTGATCTTGCGATAGTTTACTGAGAATGATGATTTCCAATTTCATCCATGTCCCTACAAAGGACATGAACTCATCATTTTTTATGGCTGCATAGTATTCCATGGTGTATATGTGCCACATTTTCTTAATCCAGTCTATCATTGTTGGACATTTGGGTTGGTTCCAAGTCTTTGCTATTGTGAATAATGCCGCAATAAACATACGTGTGCATGCGTCTTTATAGCAGCATGATTTATGGTCTTTTGGGTATATACCCACTAATGGGATGGCTGGGTCAAATGGTATTTCTAGTTCTAGATCCCTGAGGAATCGCCACACTGACTTCCACAATGGTTGAACTAGTTTACAGTCCCATCAACAGTGTAAAAGTGTTCCTATTTCTCCACATCCTCTCCAGCACCTGTTGTTTCCTGACTTTTTAATGATTGCCATTCTAACTGGTGTGAGATGGTATCTTATAGTGGTTTTGATTTGCATTTCTCTGATGGCCAGTGATGATGAGCATTTTTTCATGTGTGTTTTGGCTGCATAAATGTCTTCTTTTGAGAAGTGTCTGTTCATGTCCTTCGCCCACTTTTTGATGGGGTTGTTTGTTTTTTCTTGTAAATTTGTTTGAGTTCATTGTAGATTCTGGATATTAGCCCTTTGTCAGATGAGTAGGTTGCGAAAATTTTCTCCCATTTTGTAGGTTGCCTGTTCACTCTGATGGTAGTTTCTTTTGCTGTGCAGAAGCTCTTTAGTTTAATTAGATCCCATTTGTCAATTTTGGCTTTTGTTGCCATTGCTTTTGGTGTTTTGGACATGAAGTCCTTGCCCATGCCTATGTCCTGAATGGTAATGCCTAGGTTTTCTTCTAGGGTTTTTATGGTTTTAGGTCTAACGTTTAAATCTTTAATCCATCTTGAATTGATTTTTGTATAAGGTGTAAGGAAGGGATCCAGTTTCAGCTTCCTACATATGGCTAGCCAGTTTTCCCAGCACCATTTATTAAATAGGGAATCCTTTCCCCATTGCTTGTTTTTCTCAGGTTTGTCAAAGATCAGATAGTTGTAGGTATGTGGCGTTATTTCTGAGTGTATATCTAGAAAACCCCATTGTCTCAGCCCAAAATCTCCTTAAGCTGATAAGCAACTTCAGCAAAGTCTCAGGATACAAAATCAATGTACAAAAATCACAAGCATTCTTATACACCAACAACAGACAAACAGAGAGCCAAATCATGAGTGAACTCCCATTCACAATTGCTTCCAAGAGAATAAAATACCTAGGAATCCAACTTACAAGGGATGTGAAGGACCTCTTCAAGGAGAACTACAAACCACTGCTCAAGGAAATAAAAGAGGATACAAACAAATGGAAGAACATTCCATGCTCATGGGTAGGAAGAATCAATATCGTGAAAATGGCCATACTGCCCAAGGTAATTTACAGATTCAATGCCATCCCCATCAAGCTACCAATGACTTTCTTCACAGAATTGGAAAAAACTACTTTAAAGTTCATATGGAACCAAAAAGGAGCCCGCATTGCCAAGTCAATCCTAAGCCAAAAGAACAAAGCTGGAGGCATCACACTACCTGACTTCAAACTATACTACAAGGCTACAGTAACCAAAACAGCATGGTACTGGTACCAAAACAGAGATATAGATCAATGTGTAGTACTTTTTAAAAAGTAAAATTATACTCTGCATAATCTATATATTCTTTTAGTATCAGAATGCATATTTTGCTTTACAAATGGGAATATTGCTTTCCACTCCCTTTAATGTAAATATAAATATAACTGTTGTTATGACACATTAGTTAAGTATTAAAGCATTATGATATTTACTAGGGAGCATAGCAAGATGTTTTTGCTTAGGGGTGGACCAATGAAATGAGAAGATGTGAACATCTATGTCTTTATTTTTACAATTTCGTGGTTTCAAATTTTATATCGTGAATCATGAATTTTAGGCTTACAATTAGACAAAACAAAACTATTCATTTAAACTTCAGTAATTAATTCATCAGAAAATTGTCACTGATCCCCTTCCTTTTATTCTGAGAATAATGCATAGCACAAAGCATTTTTAAAGTACGTTTCCATTTTAAATAATAATCTAAACAATACTTTGCTGACGTTGACTAGGCTTGATAGAAAATGGTAATATTTATAACAGTGGGCTGTAAGATACTGAAATAATAAAGGATCAGCTGTATTCACAAGGACAACAAAATGACTAACCAATTTAGTGTACTGGTCATTTCAGAAAAATAATTGTAAATTTAGTGAGCTAAAATAAAAATGAAAAAACATTTGTGCCAGTTATTTAATGGTCTGATTTCTGTCAAAGTGGCAGCCCTCTGGAGAAAGTCAAATAAAATATTCCAGGATAACATCACTGGTATCAGTTTGTTCAATTGATGTTTGGGTCATTTTCATAAAAGTGCAGCAGAAAATGTGTTTTAAAATCTCAGTTTTTTTCAGCTCTGATTGTTTGGTTCTCTGGTAAGTCCACAGTATTAATACTTTTAGTTTGTCAGTCTTTTATTATAATAAATTATAATAGTTAAAAACCAAGAAATGAAAAATGTAAGTCAAGTCACTTAGCTATTGTAATATTTAATCATGGCTGAAATAAAGTGTTATAAATGCAATTTTTATCCTTGCACCACCAAGTTTATTTTTGAGTAAAAGACAAAAACAAAACCAAGTGCTCTCTGACCATCTGATTATTCATTTATTTATGTATTTATGTATTTATTTTTATTTTGATAGGTTTTGGGGGAACGGGTGGTGTTTGGTTATATGAATAAGTCCTTTAGTGGTGATTTCTGAGATTTTGGTATACCCATCACCCAAGCAGTGTACATTGTACCCAATGTGTAGTCTTTTATCCCTCACCCCCTCCCATCCTTTCCCTCAAGTCCCCAAAGTCCGCTGTATGATCCTTATGCCTTTGTGTCCTCATAGCTTCGCTACTACTTATGAGTGAGAACAGATGATGTTTGGTTTTCCATTCCTAAGTCACTTAACTTAGAATAATGATCTCCAATTCCATCCCGGTTGCTGCAAATGCCATTATTGTGTTCCTTTCATTGTTGAGTAGTATTCCGTGGTATACACATACCATATTTCCTCATTGATTGATGGGCATTTGGGCTGGTTCCTTATTTTTGCAGTTGTGAATTGTGTGGCTATAAACATGCATGTGCAAGTATTTTTTTTTTTATAATTACTTATTTTCCTCTGGGTGGATACTCAGGAGTGGGGTTGCTGGATAAAATGGTAGATATATTTTTAGTTCTTTAAGGAATCTCCATACTGTTTTCCATAGTGGTTGTACTAGTTTACATTCCCACCAACAGCGTACAAGGGTTCCCTTTTCACCACATCCATGCCAACATCTATTTTTTTTTAATTTTTTGATTATGGCCATTCTTGCAGAAGCCAGGTGGCATCGTATTGTGGTTTTGGTTTGCAGTTCCATTATCATTAGTGATGTTGAGCATTTTTTCATGTTTATTGGCCGTTTGTATATCTTCTTGTGAAAAATGTTTTTTCATATTGTTAGCCTACTTTTTGATGGGATTGTTTGTGTTTTTCTTGTGTTTCTTGTGTTTGTGGTTTTTTTTTCTTTTTTTTCTTTTTTTGATGATTTGTTTGAGTTCCTTGTAGATTCTGGATATTCGTACTTTGTTAGATCTATAGATTGCAAAGATTTTCTCCCACTTGGTGGGTTGTCTGTTCACTCTGCTGATTGTTTCTTTTGCTGTACGGAAGCATTTTAGTTTAATTAAGTTCTATCTATTTATCTTTGTTTTTGTTACATTTGCTTTTGGGTTCTAGGTCATGAAGTCTTTGCCTAAGCCAGTGTCTAGAAGGGTTTTTTCCCAACGTTATCTTCTAGAATTTTTATGGTTTCAGGACTTAGATTTAATTTGGTTCGTCTTGAGTTGATTTTTGTATAAGATGAGAGATGAGAACCCAGTTTTGTTATTCTACATGTGGCTTGCCACTTACCCCAGCACCATTTGTTGAATACGGTGCCCTTCCCCACTTTTCGTTTTTGTTTTCTTTGTTGAAGATCAGTTGACTGTAAGTATTTGGCTTTATTTCTGGGTTCTCTATTCTGTTCCATTGATCTATATGTCTGTCTTAATACCAGTATCATGCTGTTTTGGTGACTATGGCCTTATAGCATAGTTTGAAGTCAGGTAAGGTAATGCCTCCAGATTTGTTCTTTTTGCTCAGTCTTGCTTTGGCTATGCAGGCTCTTTTTGGTTCCATATGAATTTTAGAATTTTTTTTTCTAGTTCTGTTAAGAATGATGGTGGTATTTTGATCGAAATTACATTGAATTTGTAAATTGTTTTTGGCAGTATGATCATTTTCACAATATTGATTCTACCCATCCATGATCATAGGATGTGTTTCCATTTGTTTGTGTCATCGATGATTTCTTTCAGTAGTGTTTTGTAGATTTTCTTGTAGAGGTCTTTCACTTCCTTGGTTAAGTATATTCCTAAGTATTTAATTTGTTTCGCAGCTATTGTAAAGGGGGTTGAGTTCTTGATTCGATTCTCAGCTTGGTTGCTGTTGGTGTATAGCAGGGCTACTGATTTGTGTACATTTATTTTTTAATCCTGAAACTTTGCTGAATTCATTTACCCATTCTATGAGATTTTTGGATGAGTCTTTAGGGTCTCCTACTTATATGATCATGTCATCAGCAAAGGGCGACAGTTGGCTTCCTTTTTAACAGTTTGGATGTCCTTTATTTCTTTCTCTTGTCTGATTGCTCTGGCTAGGACTTCCTCTATGTCCATTTCAAATTTGTTATTTAGAAATAGCTTATAAAGAGACATGTTAATCATTTTGAAGGAGACTGAGAACTGTTGATTTGTGGTTTACTGATATAGTTAATTTGGGGGAGGGTGAGCAAATACAGTTTTTTTTCTTTTCATTTTTCTTTTTATGTATTAGTCATTTTATAAACTATATAAATTACACTATAAAAAATATACCATTGGCTCTCCATATCCAGGTGTTTCACATCCATGGATTCAACTAACTACAGATTGAAAGTATTTGGGGAAAAAAAAATCCCACAAAGTTCCAAAAAGCAAAACTTGAATTTTCTCCGTGATGAGTACTATGTTGAATTCATGTGAATTAAATGATATGTAGGCATTGTATTAGGTATTATAAGTAATTTAGAAATGCTTTAAAGTATATAAGAAAATGTGGATAGGTTATATGAAAATACTAGGCCAGTTTATTTAAGGGACTCGAGCATATGCAGAATTTGGTATCCACAAGGGCTCCCAGAACCGATTGCTGGCAGGTACCAAGGGATGACTACGTAATGATTTACGCCAGTGCTGATCTAATGTGCATACAAATCACCTGGGGATCTTGATAGACTATAGATTCTGATTCAGAAGACCTGGGGTGGGACCTGGGATTCTGCACTCCTAGTAAGTCCTAGTTCATGCAGATGCTGCTTGTCTGAGGACTACACATTGAATAGGAAGGATCTGTACAACATTGAGTGAGTAGCAAGGATCTCATGTTCACACACACACACACACACACACACACACACACACGAGGTGCACAGGGTTGAGTTGTGTATACTCCTAAATTCTGAAGTTGTGTTATTCTTCTCATTCACCATCATCATTAAAACACACCAGGCCCCTCTTTTATTTAACCAGCACATTTTTATCTTATCTAACCTCTCAGTGCTTTCATCTCAGCATGTGAGATTTCTCATCTCTGAAGGTTTATCTTCCCTGATGCTGTTTGGCTAATTGGCACTTGAATACACTGACTTTTCTTTATTTTTATTTTTATTTTTTTGAGATGGAGTCTCGCTCTTTTGCCCAGATTAGAGTGCAGTGGTGCAATCTCAGCTCACTGCAACTTCCGCCTCCCAGATTCAAGCGATTGTCCTGCCTCAGCCTCCTCCTGAGTAGCTGGGACTACAGGCGCATGCCACCATGCCCAGCTAATTTTTGTAATTTCAGTAGAGATGGGGTTTCACCATGTTGGCCAGGCTGTTCTCGATCTCCTGACCTCAGGTGATCCACCCTCCTCGACCTCTCAAAGTGCTTGGATTACAGGTGTGAGCCACCACGCCTGGCCAACACTGACTTTTCAATTAGGTTTAAAAGTATCCCATCTTGTCACACATATAAAGTATATATATATATACTGGTTACTAACAGAGCATATTTTCTTTACACAGCCAACCAGATGAGATTGAAGTGGGCATCAACAGTTTGAAAAAGCGTGAAATAGAATTAAGGATGTACAATTAGAACACAACTTACTTATTTTAATGCTAATTTCTTCTAAATTTCACCCACAGTAACTTTGGCTCTATGGCTCTGAACTAATATACTATTTTTATTTCAATAGTGAAGACACTTTGGTGTCACCTTGGTAGAGATGACAATAGTATCGTAGTGAAATTATTTATTTGTAACATTTCAAACAGTGAGTCAATGATGGAGTCAGGCTTAGGACTTTGTTTATCCAATTTTCTCATTATACTATGCACATGTAGCATTGAATCAGGGATTGAATTATTGACGTAATGGGTCTGTTTGAGTCTTTATCTGGATTACAAAGAGTGCATAACATGAACAGAGAATTAGCTAGCTACTAAAATAAAAGTTGGTCCCCCTCAGTCTTTATGAAGCATAAACAAGGTACAGAGTATGATATAAATGCTGCAAGCTAAAAGTTAAAGTGCTAAAATGTAGTGTCGCAGTCTTTTTTGTATGGTATCCTTTCTTTCGAGGCACATAATCCATTTAATTTTCATCTCATATCTAATGGATTCTTATAGTTCATAAATACGCTTTAAAATATCACTGAATAAAAATAGTACATGTGTTTAGCTTTGTTCAAAACCTCTTAATAATGTAAGAAGATAAAACTCTTCTCTCAGCTCTTCTTCAATAGACATAGGTTTGTTTTAAAAATAACTTCTGTCTATAATTTAATCTTAGTGTCTTGTAAAGTCCTGCTTTTAGTATCTGCTCTCAGAAGTGAACTGTGTGTCAAATTTCCATTAAGCTGAAGGTAAAAAATTAATGAGGCACTTACTTTAGATATTTCAAAACTAATGCAAGTCTATCAGTCATGCAGCACAAAAAAATCAAAGATTTGGGTATGTTCAATTATGGTTTAGGGTTCACTCATATTTAACATTTAAATGCATTGCTTCATAAGCTTAATAGAGCATTCTAGAGAAAAATGGAATGCAGTTATTGATTTTTTATTAACATAAATATATCTTAAAGATGATTTTATTTATTTAAAGACTTTTTATCTACAAAACTTAATTTTAGGGCAAGGATAATCAGCGAATTGATAGGGATAGACGGGTTTTGAAAGTTTATTTAATATGTCTGCTGGGGGAGAGTATTAGTTAGCCAGGGTGAAAGCATAACTATATAGCAAGCATAGAATTATAATTTATTCTTCAATTGTACACCAGCTCAATTTTGGCAGGACTCAGAAAACCATTAAGACATAGGCATTAAGATTATTTTTCAAACAATTGTTGATTCTTTTTTCTACTATTAATTATTGAACTCCCGTTATGTACCTGACAAGGTGCCAGGCATTGTGTATCATACAATGATATAAGTGACTTGGTCCTTGCTTTCAAGAATTTATAGTTCAGAGGGAACAAACAGTGATTTTACATAGTGATAATGTTAACTGAAAATAGCAAGCATTGCAAAAAAAAGGTGCAGATATAGCACACAGAGCTGAGGTTGCCAGAGAAAGCTTCACGTAGAAGATGACTTGTAAGTTGGGCTTTGAAGGAACTGAGTACTTTAGATGCATGTGATGCATGAGAAAAACAAGTGAAGTAAGAGGAATGGCTTAAGCAAAAACATGGGGGACGTGGCTCATGGAGTATGTAAGGGTATAGCTTAAGATTTTGCTTAAGATGTATGAAGAAAACTGATAGGAAGTAATATTGAAGTATAAGGTTTGGGATCATGAAGGGCTTTGAATGGCAAGCTAAAGAGTTTGGTGTTTGAACTGGGGAGAGATACAATCATACAGCATCTTAAGAAGTTTCCGCAATCATGAAAACTTCGAAATGATAGACAGCACATTGTGCATCAATATTATTTCATTATCTCATGCACATTAAAAGCTCCAAAGGTAATGGCTGAGAGAGAAAACACATACTGGGAAAACCAGATGGCTATCCCAGCGTTTGTACAGACATTGTCTATGCTTTGAAACATGAATCAATTTGTCCTCAAGTGCAGCCTGGAGCAGTAGGAGACTTGAGGCTCATCACTTTTGGCTGAGAGCAGCCTCCTATGGTCTGAAAATCCCCTTTGGTTTACCTCAGTAGGTTGTACAACTATTAGCATTCTTCTACATAAATTATGCAGGGCCTGGTACCTTGGCATGCCACCTGTGCAGTCTCACAGAGTCCCCTCTCCAAAGGGCCCCACACTTGATTTAATGCTCTCCTATTGCCATATGGAAATTCTTCATACTTTTTAAACAAGAGGTCCCACATTGTCATTTCACTGTGGGTCCTGCAAATTATATAGCCACTTGTGGTTCCATGAATATGAAAACTGTTGGGAAATAATGACCTACGCTGTGGTCCGAATGCACTGTTATCTATATAAGGGAGCAATGAAATTATGAGGCCAGCACTGCTCTTATATAACAAAATGGATTCTAAGCTTAAATCTTTATTATTTTTTCTTCAAAGCCATGACTTCCACGGCTGCCATAGGCCAAACCAAATATAATATTTTAGCCTTGTGGTCTCCCAGATGATAAATTAAGGAAACACTCGTGTAACATATTTTCTTATTTATAATCTACCTCCTCCTGTAGCCTGGATACCAGTATCATCAAGCTCTGCGCCCTCTGAAGTCCCGTCAATTAAATTCTGAGAAAAACCGTTAGCACTTATTTTCCCTAGTAAAAGTTCTGAAAAATATAGCACTGCATTTGAAAACATCACAGGCTGCCTGATAGAGTCATTCTGTTGGGTATTTCCTTTTCTGAGTCAGTAAAAATATATAAACTGAATAAGTATTCGTTATTTCCTTAAGCATAGTTTGTTCTCTCCATTATCTCTATTCTATTCGTGTACTTTTTTGTACTTGTGTTATTATAACTGTTTTATCTTATTTTTATTTTTTATTTTTTGAAGTTATAGATGCATTTAGTTCATGTAAATAGTCAAATATTTCTACAGGTTTAATTTATAAAAATGTCACCTTCTCCTCCTCTACCCTGTGTCTCTTCTCTCCTCTCTTTTTAACTCCCCAGGGCAAATATGTAATTGTTTTTAACATCTTTAGTAGCTACTTACCTTTTATATTTACCTTCCTTCTGCTCGGTTATGTGTTGGAGTTTGTTTTTCAGTTTTATCCATTATATTGACTTACCACTTTGAGAGATAGAGACTTAACTTTCACAAGTATTCATGTACATCACTGCCTTTTTCCCTTTTCTCCTTTTTCCTAAAAAGGATCATTTTTGTGTTAAATCAACAGTCATTATTTATATTATTATGACTATGTAAATATTATACATATTGTTCAATGATTAAATTTCTTCTTGCACAACTTTTGGTCCCTTTAAGCTAATAATTGTCTCCCTTTATAGATTTCTTATTTTTCTTTATAGCTAGACATTCTTCAAACCCTTACACTCTGATCTTACTGTAAATATTCTCTCAATATGTTAGCACACATCTGGTATTCTCACTAATCTGGTCTTCCTAGAGACCTCCCTCCCCAGCTCTGCTGACCGCCTGCCATCATCCTCACTAGGTCTGCTGCCGAGGGGCCGGCCTAGGGTTGCCCTTGGCTGAGATCTCTTACTTAAGGATAACAAAATTAAGTTGATTTGAAGTTCTGTATATGACTGGGATTTATTGACTGATGAATTTCAATGGAGGATGTTGTGGGTGAGTTGTTTCTTTTATTAATAGACCTGTTTTTGGTATTTTTAGATATTTTCTATTGATCTCATCATATTTGCTAAGAGTGAACCTTCTATTACCCTACCTGGAGAGAAGGTTTCTGTATGCCAAAAGAGAAAACATCTGAGGAGTCCAGGCAATCATGACACCTTTTTTTGGGGGGGGCGGGGGGGACTGTGTCTCACTCTGTCACCCAGGCTGGAGTGCAAGTAGCATGGCCTTGACTCACTGCAACCTCTGCCTCCCGAGTTCAAGCTATTCTCCTGCCTCGGCCTCCTGAGTAGCCAAGATTACAGGCGTGCACCACCATACCCAGCTAATTTTTATACTTTTATTATGCACGGGGTTTCACCTTATTGGCCAGGCTAGTCTTGAAATCCTGACCTCAAGTGATCCTCCCGCCTTGGCCTCCCAAAGTACTGGGATTACAGCCATGAACCACCACACCAGGTCGACACCATCCTCTTTAAAGTGTGATGTTTCTCGCTGTATTTGGTGTCTCCCTGTTCACTCTCTCACTCTCAGTTTTCTGCTGAAGTGAGGAAGGAACAGGCACCCACACTGACTGGGTACATGAGGATTCCAGAGAACAAGCCATTTCACAATCAGAATTTCATCAAATCCTCCTGTTTCTGGTCTCTTTTGCAGCCCTATTTTAATAGGTACCTGGTGTTGACAATTTCTAACCCTTTCTTTGTTCGGTGGTACAAACAGCATTCTCAGCTTCCCTACTAAGAACTTAGGTTTTAGGTTTCCCCCTCAGGTCTTACATCACTGACACTTACATATCTGCTTTCCAACTAGAATCTTATTACTATCTATTCTCCTGGCCCCTGTACCTTTATGCTTTCTCATTCTTTTGTCATCATTTTAGTGGAGTTTTATGGGACAATGGAGGTAAGTGCATATGTGCAATCTGCCATCTTTAACTAGGATATGTCATTATATTTGGACTAAATTTTTATGAGGTATCTCAAATAATGTTAATAAGTAAACAGGGTATAACTAAGGAGTAGATAAACAAGTGAATGAATATAAACTTACCAGTCATAATTTAAATACTTATTACAGATAACTTTTCCTTAAGTGTTTTAAATTTCTGTTTACTAAGGATTATCTTCCTTTGTCTTTTGAATACAGATGAAAGTTTTAGACAAAGCCGATCAAACCTCACCTCTCTATTAGTGCAGCCCATCTCTGCACCCCTCGTTGCAAAACTGATCTCTTCGCCAAAAGCTAGAACCAAAAATGAAGCGTGTAGCTCTCTAGAGCTTCCAAATAATGGTAAAGTATTTAATGTCGTTCTCTGTATTTTACAGTTTTTTTAAAGACCATGATCATTTTTAATCTCCTAAATTGATGTATGTAGGATTATTCTTTTCAAAAACATTGACTTTTGATGAAGTGAGCATTATTTTCTTCTGTGGCTCTTTAGCAGCATGTTTGGAAAGTAATTTTGATAGAGACTGAGAGTTGACCAAAATGAGAGATTAGAAAAAGAAACCATTTTGAACTGCTACAAAGAAAAGTAGCTTTATAAATAAAGCATTTTTGTACATTCATGAAAATCTGCTTAACATAGCTTCCCGGTTTCAGCTTCAGCAGTCTCATTGCCTGCCAAGATTCAGTGGATAGCAGGCAACTATCTGGGGTATGAAGTCTTTTAGTATAAAGCATTAAAGCCTAATTCCTGCAATTGACTAAAAAATCCCTCTGTCTATGCGCATCATCGCCCGAGAGATGCTTCTTGTACTGCAGTGCCGTTTGTCAGGCCTTGTTGGACCACGTAGGATGAAACTGAAGTAGTTAAGCTACCTGTGGAGGGATGAAAGCCTTGGGCTGCATCTTGTTCCTGCCTCCAGCCTCAGCATTAGGGTTCTAAAGAAAAGCCTCTCTTTACAATTTGTTAAATTTGTATCTATTTGCTAGGAACTACACCTTGTGGGCTCTTTTTTGTGTCCAGACCTCTGGGTTCAATAGTCATGTTTTATCTCAACTGTTTTTCTCTTGACAACAAAAGCATACAAAAAAGAAAATATGTTGAAGAAATATGTACAAAAAAATCTGAATACATTAAGGATTTCTCTGTTAGGGACATATGCTTTTCAAAATCCTGTAGATTGAGAGCCTCTAAACTGATTACCAATTAAACAAGGTGGGAAAATTAGAAAACAGTAATAAGCCAATGTCCTCAAAGCAGGAGTGCAGAAGCACTCGAGGAGCTTTCTGTTTTGTTTTGTTTTGTTTCTGCCATTTATTCTGAGCCCAACAAATTGATTATGGGCTCTGTTTGTTAAAATATGTAATGTAAAATATGTAAACCAAAATAATAGTGTAGTTGTAAGAGGCACTGGACTTGTAAAAGACCATATTTAAGCCCAGATTTAAATAATTAATTAATTCAATACAGAGCCCCCAATACATTCCAGCCACTGTCCTGCCCTCAAGGAGCTGACAGTCTCTGTGCTAGCTCCATGCCCTCCCCTATGTCACCTCCCACTGGAAGCCTCTATGTCTGCAGCTACAAAAAATAGCTACAACTTTATCATCTTAAATAGTTGTGAGAATCAAAGTATGATATGTGTATCAATTCTTTTTTAAAATTTTTTTGTGTTATATGTTATGTTATATATTTTTTGAGACAAAGTCTTGCTCTGTCATCAGGGCTAGAGTGCAAGTGGCTTAATCATAGCTCACTGCAGCCTCAAACTCCTAAGCTGAAGCAATTCTCCTACCTCAGCCTCCCAAGTAGCTAGGACTACAGGTGTGTGCCACCACACTAGACTAATTTAAAAAGTATATATTTTTGTAGCCACAGGGTCTCGCTAAGTTGCCCAGGCTGGTCTTGAGCTCCCTAGATCAAGTGGTCCTCCTGCCTCAGCCTCCCAAAGTGCTAGGATTATAAGTATGAGCCACCATAACTGGATTAATTTTTTTGTATGTTGTAAAATGTTATGTAACTATTAAGAAGTATCTTTGTTATCAAATAACTACTTTTTTAAAAAAATGCAGACATGTCTTACTCTATTGCCCAGGCTGGAGTGCAGTGGCATGGTCATGGTTCACTGCAGCCTCAAACCCCTGGGCTCAAGTGATCCTCTTGCTTCAGCCTTCCGAGTAGCTAGGGCTACAGGCACATGACACTACACCCAGCTAACTTTTAAATCTTGTTGTAGAGACAGGATCTTACTATGTTGCCAGGGCTAGTCTCAAATTCCTGGGCTCAAGCAATCCTCCTGCTTGTCTCCTAAAGTGCTGGGATTATAGGCATGAGCCATTGTGCCTGGCCTAACATTAATTTTCTTCTTTTTTTTTTTTTTTTTTTGAGACAGAGTCTCGCTCTGTCTCCCAGACTGCAGTGCAGTGGCACAGTCTCGGCTCACTGCAAGCTCCGCCTCCCGGGTTCACACCATTCTCGCCTCAGCCTCCCAAGTAGCTGGGACTACAGGTGCCCGCCACCAAGCCCGGCTAATTTTTTGTATTTTCAGTAGAGACGGGGTCTCACCATGTTAACCAGGATGGTCTCGATTTCCTGACCTCGTGATCCGCCCACCTCGGCCTCCCAAAGTGCTGGGATTACAGGCATGAGCCACCACGCCCAGCCTTAATTTTCTTCTTAATATGCAGAATAATGTCCTTGCAAAGCAAGATGACACTCTCCAGCTGCATTTCCATAATAAATTAACAACAGGCATGAAGCCTACAAGAAGAGTTGAGATATACACCCATGTTAAAGCAAGAAAGATAGGCCTACTTTCTAAGGGATTATGACATATGAAATTGTTCTCATGGATATTGTTATGTTTTTAGAAAAATTGTTATGTTTTTTAAAATTCAAAAAGATATATTTAAATCATTGAGAAGACCTTTCATGTTATAATGAGTTATTTATTTTTTAAAATACAGAATATACATTTAAATTTTCCAAATACTGATTGAACAGTCTCACTGAGTCTGGTAAATCAGTATTGGAAAATCTAAATATATAATTCTATGTTAACATATAATCCTACATTGAACTGAATTTAATGTAGGATTATAACCCCTTAC
Organism: Homo sapiens; assembly: GCF_000001405.40. NCBI lineage: Eukaryota > Metazoa > Chordata > Mammalia > Primates > Hominidae > Homo > Homo sapiens. The sequence continues at coordinate 175,450,139 of NC_000003.12, forward strand.
CCTAATGTTTTGGACAATAATGCTCATAGTTTTTCTGAGATAATTAAGTTTCCTCATAGATACTATAAAATGCATTAATTATTCACAGTGATGTATATCAGGATGAAACATGAAAAGGATACTGAATGAGGTACTATAATTTTAAGCAATAACAGCAATGCTTATTATTTAAGGATAAAAGAAATAATTTAAAACATATTATAATTATAACATATTGTTAAATTTTCTAAGTATAGCCCTGATCTTTAGTGTCAGAAAATCTTCACTCAACAAGTTGGAAATGGGCACATTAAGAATATGTGTGAGAATCCACTAATTATTTATCTTACCCATTTAACCCTTTATGCACACTAAATCAAAATTCTCTAAAATCCAGGCAAAAATGTAATAGAATTTTTCTACTACCAAATCAAGGACTACATTTAACACCTCTAGTGTTAAAGTGAGTCATTGTTCAAATTTCAGAAATTGAGTCTTGGTCCTGTTTGTCCAGACTTGGATTATCCTTGAACCAATCATCATAATATAGTTGATGTAGTCTGTCAATAGGCTTGAGTCAACCAGAATCTATTTCTAGGGATATTGCCAAAGCTACTCATAAAATGTTGATGGGAAATGCTGGCAACAGTTCAGAAAGGGAAATTGGCAAATGGATGTTGAGAAAGCAAGTGTAGTTCAAGGATGGTACAAGTCTGGCCAAGACTCAGTTTACAAACTTTAAGTAATGACTTGCTTCATCATTAAAAGTGAACAAGAAACCATGTAGCTCTGGGATCTTTCTCTAGCCATCTTAAGACCATGGGAATGCATCCTACCTGAAAATAAAGTCAACATAGGAAGGGGTCAGATGAGTAAAGGGGAGAGAAAGATAGAAATAGATATAGAGAGAAGGTGTGGGGAAAGACGGAGAAAGAGAGAGAGAAAAAGAAACCCTTATTTATATGATTAGAGCCCTAAATAAAGCCTTGTCTGAAGCCAAATCTATTGAACTTTTCGTATATATGAGTCAATACATTACTCCTTTGTTTCAGCCTATTTATATTTGGTTTTTGGTTACTTGCAACTAAAAGCTATCTAACTGATACAAATCATAACACTTAAACTAAACAAAAGAATTAAATGCCTTCATGCATGAGATAGGCTCAGCAAATTGAAGTGGACAGCTGGGCATTTGTATCGCTGCGAGAACTAAAAAAAAAAGTATAAGGAATGGAAAAAGAATCATGAAAAAAGTTCCTCCTTAAATAGATTGTTTGCATTGATTAGATAATTGGATACTGACTCCATTTCATTTTGAATGGTCTTTTTCTTTGTAGACCTGACCCATTCATTCAACGTATTGTCAATATTTGTCTTTGAAGTTCAGTCAAAACATGGAAAGCTTAATTTTCACATATCAATCTGAGCTTGTGGTTAAAATTCATGACTATAATAATTAAAAGGGAAGAAGAAATTTTAAAATCCATTAATGTAATTTAGCGTGAAAAATATAAATGAATCAAGTTAAAAATAAACATTTTAAGATATTTGATGATTCACTTATTTTGAAAAAATAATTGTTTACATGTTGCTTAAAACTTATCAGTGATGACAAAATTTTACATAAATAAATTTGGGTGATGTCTCTTCAAATGGATATTCAAGTGCTATTATTTCCTTATTTCCTATTATTTCCTTATTTACAATTCTATATTTTTATGAAAATTACTTTTATTATTAAAATGACATAGTGTCTAACCGATCATCTTGTTTATAATTTTTACGTATTTCTAATGCATTTTGAAAATCTATCTTCCTAATCTGTTAGTAGTTACTTGAAACAATGCATTACTAGCATTTCTTGAGTACAAATTTAAAAGCATGTATTGAACATATTATCTACAAGTTGTAGTTACACAAATATTTATTGGCAAATGGTGCCTTTTAGCTTTTCAAGAAATTTCTATTAAAAGGAAATGTTAGTACAATTGAATGCAACATTGTGTATTCTTACATATGAAACTAATCAATGTGTTCAGAGCAGCTTCAGAATTGCTCCATGTGAGAAGATCCAGTACATTATGCTATTCTCATTAAAGAATGTCTTCAGATTCTCTCTCTCTCTCTCTCTTGCTATGTCTTTCTCTCCCTCTATCCACCTACCTATCAATTTATCTTGGTAGACAATGGAGTAGTATGATCTTATATGACATAGCTTCCTTTAAGTTCCAACATAACAAATGACAAACCTTTTTGGCCATAACAAAACTAAGTATTTTTTAGTAGGCCTTAAAAGAAAAAAAAGAAAGGGAAAACTAAAAACTTGTTTTTGAGCAGAGTGGGCTTTAATAATATTGATTAGGCTTTTCCAATCAACATGGAGGAAAATATTCAAAAGAAATGGGGAAAATTTTAATTTGTGCAGATAGCTTCCATATAGCATGCATATAGATATGATGGCTGTTCTTTATCTGAATAATTCAGGGAGCTAGAACTCTTTACGAAGAACTGATATGTGTGGAGACAAATGCCAGATCAACTGTCTTCAAGCAGTCAGTTACATAGTGAACCTAGGAGTCTGAGGTAGGAGCTGATAACGGAGTATTCCGTAGAACTAAAGATCAACATTCATGAGCTGCCAGTCGGAAGTCCTTGGACAAAAGGAAAAAGAGCTTCAGAATTCACTTTGAAGGACTGTTCATCAGGGATCTTAAATGGAGTGAGCGTAGGGGGGAACCTATTGTCCAAAGTCCACAGAAAGTAGAGTCAATTCTCTGTTTCCTGGGGAGTGCAGGCTGGGCTTACCAAAGGTGACGCAGATCTGACATTCACCCAGAACTTCTCAAGTTTCCAGGATTCTGTCTCAACAGTTTTGATTTTAGAAATGATTCAGCTGGGGTACAGTCTAGAGTTTTTGTTTGTTTGCTAAAAGACTTAAAGACAACCTGAGATGTACACTTGGAAGCAAAATTACTTTAAAAAGTGTTTTCTACTTTTTCAATATTTCTCAACGATTTTACAGCTTCTTATTTTCTTAGCATATCATTTTTCAAATACCTGTCACTTTTTACAAATTATAGAAATTCCAACTAAACTTTGGAGTTTATATGTGTGATAAAATCCATTAGCGTACACCCTATCTTTATATTTTTATGTTATGGACCAACACTGTCATTTACTAAACAAAAACTTGCACGGATTCCTCACTGCCTTTGTGTTTCTATATTCTGCTATTCCTTGCAAGTATCCAATATTTCTCCTTATTATTCTGTTCAGTATTATCCAAATATGTCTTGCATGTCTGTGTCTCTAAGTTGTAAAGGCCCATTACCCTCTAAATTCTTAAGGTTCAGTGCAAGTGTTATATTCTCCACCAAAAGCTCTTTAGAGTTTCATTCAAGTTGGACGTAGCCTCTCTTTATGACTCTGTCATGCATTTGGCACTTGTGTGCTATTTGGCATTATGATATGATATTCTTCCGAGAATATCATAAGCAGAGCATAAGCAACTGAATTTTCATTAGAATATGTTGTTTCCTCTTCATAATTGAATTATTTGTGGTTTTCTTTATGGTTCAGGGTATCATCAGTGTTCTATGAGTATTTGAAATGAATGTACGCTGTGTAATTGTCTATTCTATACATGCCACTTAGACTAAGTTCCTTAATCAGGTTGTTCAAATATTCTGTATATTATTCATGTTAAAATCTCCTACTGTGAATATAAATTTGTCCATTTTCCCTTGTAGTTAGTCAATTTTCACTTTATATGTTTTGAGATTATTTCTTCGGTGTTTATACATTCAAATATATCATACCTTCCGGAATAGCTGAACCACTTATCACATGAAGTGACATTCCTTATGTGTAGTAATTCTTGTTTTGAGTATTAATTTTGGAGCACTGTTTGTATTGGTATCTTTATGCTACGTATTTTTTGCTTTCAACCTTCCTGTATCTTCCCTTTATATATGTCTCATTAATAGCAAATAATTTCCAATTTAAATGCAATCTGATAGTCTTTTAATAGGAGCATTTGGTCCCTTTCATTTAATGTGATTAATATGTACTTAGGCTTATAGTTTTCATCTTAATTAGGGTTTCTTCTTTGAATCACATATTGTTTTCCTTGAGGTTTATTTTTTCTTTAGATTTAGATGTTTGCCATTAAATTTTTCTCTCTACTATTTAGAAGTTATAAATACATTTTGTATTCTTTTATAATTAATCTAAGAAATTACAACTTCTTAGAGATGCCATGCCCCTGCTCTGCTTAATGTCAGGTAACTTTCTTTGCAGTCTCTTGGGAGGGAGGGGGAAGTTCAGAACTTTAGGGTTCCTACTTTATAGAGGAAGAATCTTTTTTTAGAACCACCTTCTTCATCCCAGTTTTGGTAAGCCCAGGACTTTGTCTTCTGACCTTTGCATCTCACGAGGCCATCAGTATTAAAGGGTTCTCTTTGTTTACCAAATTCCCTTAGGTTGAAGATAGCCTCGTAGTTTTATTTACCTGGGTTCCCATCACAACTTAAATTTTGACCTAGTAAGTTCTTAATTTCTTGCTAATTCTTAGATGCTGTTAACAAGATTTGTTTTGTATTTTATTTGGCATTATAAGTTATTATCAGTGAGTGGATTAATCTGATATCCTAGCCCACCATATTTTTAGTAAGCAAAATCTTCTCTTCCTTTCCATCCATTTATTTCCTGGCAGCAAATATGGACTTGGAAAATTGTGTAGATTGATTGGCATATAAATCAGGTTTGCATCAAGAAAAAAAGAATACACTAAAAAATGTGCAATTTAAGAGAATTTAATCAAGTGCTTATGCACATGGTGTGGACAGGTAGAGCAAAACAGAAAAGGGATACCATTGCTACTGCCTCTAAACCAGGTCTAGTAATTGCTACTACTGTAAACCTGAAAGGGCAAGAAGAGAGAGCAGTTGTAGGACCGGGCAAGTACTTTAGCTGTAAGAGAAGAGCTGTGGCTTTTAGTCAAGCAGAGTTGTCACTGCATAAAGTGGACAGCCAGGGAGGGTACTGGAAAATAAATACTCCAGTCTTTCCCTTAACCCAACCTGCTGGCCTCTTGTTGATGCCTTCAATTGGGTAAACTAAACCCGAAGCCAAAGAATAAAAGAACCAGGTAGATGTAGTTCTTAGAGGTACTTCTCCTGGGGTAAGGTTAATGGAGGGTAGCAAATAGATGTGAATGAACAAATAGAAAATATGCAGCAAAGATAGTGCTTCAGGTGATTAGTCTTCTGATTCATTTTATGATTTATGATTTGTGGAAGTGTTTGGTAGACAGATGAGAAAAAATTGTCAATTTTTACATTTCTGAGGGATACAAAGAGAGTAAAAGTTATTTTTTCTCATATTCGTATTATTTAAAATGTCTTCCTAGTTACATAATTTTACTAAATAAAAAGAATACGATTTAATTCAATGTTAATTGTTTTTCCAAAAGTATGCAAGCTCACATGAATACTTGCACATATGGATGTGAAAATGTGTGCGCATGTATTAGACAATCAGGGGATAGCTATATGTACTTGAAAGTTTACAAGTTATGATGGCAGAGAATCTAGAAGCAGTTTATATTCAGATTTTCCGGCAAACAGTTGGCATTTAGGAAAGATAGCTGCAGACCACAGCATCTCAATCATCAAAACTGTGCCTCTAGAACAGATTCTAGTCACAGTGAGGATCAGGAAAATTAAGAAAATGAAAGAACAATCTGGAAGTCCAATCCTAGAAGAAGTTATTTTCTAGAGCCAGGTGGACAAGAAAGGGACTCAAGTATATATAATGGGACAAATATTCAATTAAACTTAGAGACTCTAGAAGAACTATGCCTAGGAAACTAACAAATGCTTACTTATTGGAATTGAGACTCAGAGTTAGCAGCAAGTGTTATTCTTCAAATCTCTTTGAATAAGATTGGAATTTTTTCTAGATACTTGGTATAATTATTCACAATACAGGTGAAAATGAAGCTTTGTTAGTTATCACGGAAGAAGAAGATTGGGAACCAATTAATCTGGCTCTTAATAATTGCAACAAAAATGCAAGACAGAATTGTCTCTGGACCATAAAATTGGCAGCAGTTATTTTTCTCTGCACATGATGAAATTAAGGGATAGAGAGAGGCAGCTATTTCATGTCTCTTAGCTCTGACACCCCTCACCCTATTTGAATACAAATGTTCTCTGAGTGGAACACATTTTTATATCTTGAAATCTTTTAAACTTCACATGTCATAATTAAAGCTGTCATCAAATTTTACATGAAAGGCAGAAATTGGTAAATGTGAGCTGGAAATGTAATTTTTAACTACCAATACACACACACACACGCAGCAATTTTTTGAATAATTAACTGCCCCTAAATGTTCTCCAGGAGTTTCTAATTACAACTTTCAACGGTGAATTTTTTTTAAATCTTGAAATAAATGTACAGAAAGTTGCAATAGTAAAAGTATTTTTTCTTAACTACTCAAGAGCAAATTACAAACATAGTGAATATCTCTGACTTTGTCAGTGAATCATCTGACAAACAATGACATACTCCTACACAGATGATGCAACCATCACAATCAGAAATTAATCATTGATACATTACTACCATGCATTCCACAGACTCAATTAAACATTTTCCATTTTTCCCAGTAACATCCTAAATTACAATAGGGTCCAAACTAGGCACATGTATTGCATCAAGTTGTCAAATCCTCCATTTCCTTCAACCTGGAAGAGTTTCTGTCTTTTCTTGACTTCCTTTGCTTTGCTACCTTTGAAGATTCCATACCAATTATCTACAGTATTGTCCCTCCAATCTGGGTCTATCTGATGTTATCTCATGAGGATATTCAAGCTCTGAATCTTTAACAGTAATACTACAGAGTGAGACTATGTTTTTCCTATTGCATTTTATGAGCTGGTGCATGATATTACCATGTACCAGGGAACAATTTTTTCCCCTGTTTGTAATCAGTTGATGCCATTACTATGGATCCAACGTTCGTCACTGTCTAATATGGGCTATTCACCCTACATCAAATGTTCTACCTGCCCCTACCATGATGTAGTTAACTTCCTTACTCTACTCAGGCTCTAACAAGGTATGTTTCTCAGCTCTTAAAAGCAGATGTCCTTCTCACTCTGCTTCAGTTTGTCCCATCTCTGGTGCTGCTACTACCTATGATCACTTGATTAAGGTGGTGGCCGCCAGGTCTCCCTATTGAAGTTACTTTATAATTTTTTTCTTTTATACTCAGTAAGCATTTGAAATCATGTAGCATACTGCCCCAAACCACTGCTACCTTTAGCCACTAGTATTTGTGTTCACTGATACGTGTTGCCCAGTCATTTCTATGATGATGCCAATGGTGACTTTCCAACTTCCTTTTTTTATTTTGTGTTTAAGACAGTTTCACTCTGTCACTGCAGTGCAGTGGCACCATTTTAGCTAAGTGCAGCCTTGAACTCTTTGGCTCAAATGATCCTCTTGCTTCAGTCTCTGAGTAACTAGGACTAGAGGCATGCACCACCATGTCTGGCTAATTTTTTTTTTTTTTTTTTGTAGAGACAAGATCTTGCTATGTTGCTCAGGCTGGTCTCAAACTCTTGGCCTCAAGGGATCCTCCCAAAGCTTTAGGATTACAGGCATGAGCCACCACTTCCAGCTGTAATTTTATCATCTTTACACTTATTAGTTGAAATTCCACTGTAAAGAAGAGATTTTTCCTTTTTTCTATTCATTTCTTGGTATGATTTTTTTAATTTACACATGCCAGTATTGAGTCATTACTTAATTAGGATTTATATTCATAATAGATTCAATAGGTTATAAACCAGTACTATTTGTATCTTAATACTCAAATTGTCAAATGTTAGGCAGTAATAGCAACTTCAGCTGGGTTCTGTGTCCTTTGACATGTACTCATTATTCTTCGGGTATTTCTTTAGTTTTTGGCACCATAAGATGTACCAAATCATCTTGTACTTTTCCTGTGCCAGCTGTTATCAGCCAATTCTCCAGACTCTAGGTCCTTTGAGTGGAGAATAGTGTCTAGAAAACCAGATCTGGATTCATCTATTGCTATTGAAGTGTTGTTTCTCTCCATACTACTCAGTGAGCAAAACTAGGAAAATATAGTTATATTTTAATATTACATTTGTATGTAAGTATATAAAAATATATCTATACACTCAGATTTATATCTGTATTTACTTTTAAATCTATATGCATGGGTGTTATACACACACATACACACGGTTTTGTATATATGTATGTTCTCATGGATATATATAGATATATATACAATCAACAACATATATAGATATGTTCTCATGGTTTTATATATAAATATATAAATTAATATAAATTCATATGTTCTCTTGGTTTTATATATAATATATAATTAAAATATATTAAATTTTATAATTTATAAATATAATAAAAATAAATTATATATATATAAAACCATGAGAACATATCAATATCAAGTTTTATTTATCTTTCCATGTTTGTAAATCTTTTCTCTAGCAGTTAGAAATTGCCTTCTCATTAAATGGAATATATTTACTTAGGTAATTAGATCCTCTGCATGTAATCCATTGATGCCATTACTCCCTTCACAATGGATCCAACCCTAGGCACTGGTACATACAGGCTATTCACTCTATATCAAATGTTCTGTCTGCCCCTACCACAATGTGGTTAACTTCCTCACTCCACCCAGGCTCTAACACTATATGCTATTCAGCTCTTAAATGCAGATGGCCTTCTCACTTTGCTTCAATGGCTTATCTCATTGCACTATTTCCCCTGGTAGTTGCTTTCTTCCTCATATTCAGGCCTTCTCACACAGAGGTACACATGTGCCCACACACACACCTAGACACTATCCCCACCATCCTTGGGCCCTGATATACCATGCTGGACCACAGGCCAAAATAACTAGATCCTGAGGTCCACAACCACCATAAAAGAAAATTAGCACAACAAATACATATACCACCCGAAGTTACCATATTGGAACACATGGTATAAGAACTTAAAATAAGGATTAAAGTTAAACTCAAAAAGAGAATAAAATATGTTAGCAATATAAAACAAAAATCAGAAAACATTTTAAAAAATGAGAGGAAATAATAGGTATGGAAAATAAGATAACTGAAAGAAATATAGTAATAGGGTGGGTAGATAGATACAGCCATAGATAGATGTAACTGAAGAATAAATTCAAGAGCTAGAAGATCAGATTGACCTTCTAGATCCAGAGAGGCGTAGAAAAGGATAAATAGAGAAATACAAAAGTACGAGTAAAATATACAGTCGATTAAAATGGAGTTCTAGAAACAATATTAGAAGAAGGAAAAAATGGGAGAGAGAAAATGGTCAAAAAAGTAATAATAATTTTTCCAGAAAAAAAGGAAAAAAAAACCACACGTATATATTTTATAGTTAAATTCAAAAAGCACAAAGAGAAAAATTCTAAAAGTTTCTACAGTGAAAAAGGGTTCGATATTAACAGGTGCTACACTAGGAGGAGACAATCTCTCTAGGTTTTAATTCCACCATCCCTGGGGATTTGGAGGAGGAGACATACCCCAGAGTGCAGGTTTGTTCAAGACTTTTTACAACAGTGCCTCACTCCAGTAGATATGGGAAGGCCTGCTAAACCCAATTTCTGTTCCACTATTTAATCTCTCCTTTTTCATAGTTTGTTCATAATCATACACGTTTTTACCTAAGTTTAATCATTACGTATATCTCTCTGTATTCTTTTCACTTACAGCATATCCATGTTTCTAAATATTCTTTTTACATTTTTAACAGCCACACATTTTATCACAATTCTCTAAGTCATTTCCCTGTTTCACATGTTTATGTTGTTTTCTGTTATTGCTATTACAGATTATACTACAGAGAGTTGAATTATTCTTGTAGGATAAATTTCTAAGTACAGGATTGCTTTTGTTATTGCTATGAAGAGTAATATTGCCTTACCAACGGATTGTTCAAATTAGCAATGCCAACAGCAGCAGGTGTGTCTTTAGAGCAAGTTTATTCAAGACTTTCTGATATTTATTATTAAAATTTAAAATGTGATCATGGTGCTGACTCTAGTGAAAATAAACAGACTCTATGCATATTTATTTTCAGATGTGAGTATGGAATAATATAAAACAATATGCATCAGGATCAGCACATGCATGAGGATGTAAATAAAGAGATGAAAAGTAGCTTTTTGCTATGTAAATATGTCATTATTTTGACCTAGTCTTTGCCTAGTGATACATAAGGAAGTCCTTCTGTCAGTTGGAAGGATCCAATGTAAATATAGCATTCTTCTCAGAGCAAAAGATTAGGTTTATTTTCTTTGACCTCTGTGCTTCTTTTAAATAGTTCTAGACCTCGAGATGTAGAAAGCAGAATAAAATAATTTGAAATCCTTCCATACAAATGTTTAAGATCTCTGAAGGAAATTTAAAAGCAGCTCTCAAAAAATAAAGTAAAATATAACCAAATATACAAAAGCAAAACTGAAGACAGAATCAACAATCAGAGAAGTAAGCAAAAGAGTTGGTACTCTGTTTGCCGCATATTCAGAAGTTATGGGTCTTGGTAAAATTAGAGTGGGACTATAGCATCCACACTGGGACAAAAGAGATGATCATGTTCCCAAAGAGGCAGGGTGTTGCAGACCCAAAGAGTGCGCAGCAGCAATATTTATTGTAAAGAGCAAAAGAATAAAGCTTCCACAGTGTGGAAAGTGACCCAAGCAGGTTGCTGCTCCTGGCTGGTGTGGCCAGCTTTTATTCCCTTATCTGTCCCCACCCACGTCCTGCTGATTGGTCCATTTTACTGAGTGCTGATTGGTCCATTTTACAGAGTGCTGACTGGTCCATTTTGCAGAGTGCTGATTGGTGGGTTTACAGTTCTTTAGCTAGATACAGAGCGCTGATTGGTGCATTTTTACAGAGTGCTGATTGGTGCATTTACAATCCTTTAGCTAGACACAGAATGCTGATTGGTGCGTTTTTCCAGAGTGCTGATTGGTGCATTTTTACAGAGTACTGATTGGTGCATTTACAATCCTTTAGCTAGACACAGAGTGCTGATTGGTGCATTTACAATTCTTTAGATAGACACAGAGAGCTGATGGTGCGTTTTTACAGAGTGCTGATTGGCACATTTACAATCCTTTGTCTAGACCCAGAGTGCTGATTGGTGCATTTTTACAGAGTGCTGATTGGTGCATTTACAATCCTCTAGCTAGACAGAAAAGTTCTCCAAGTCCCCACTTGACCCAGGAATTCCAGCTGGCTTCACCTCTCAATCCCCCCTCTAATCACGACACCCCAACAGCTGTTGGGAATTGGGCAATGACCACTCTAGCTACTTCCAGTAAGAATGTGATCCAGTAAAAATTAGTGCATGTGTGTGAAAATGGTTATTGTAAATTTTAATCACTATATTAATGCAAGGTAATATTGTAAGTAGTACAGTATACATATTGTGACGTTTTCTCGCTGCTAACTTAGACAAAAATATATTGAATTTTAGAAAACCAGAAAAGATTCTTCACCTATATCTGTATCTAAAATAAGCAGGAAAGATCATTGAAAGGTGTAAGGTAAAGAGTCTATAAAGTTCACTTATGTGGATCGTTTGGAACAAAGCTTGAGCAGGGAATTAGACAAACAATCAAAACAAACAAACATATGAGCCCAGTGCTATGACAATCTTGAAAAGGCAGAACTATGAGACAATAAAAAGATCAGTGGTTGCTGCCAGGGGTTTCTGGGGAGAGAGGGAGGGAAGGAGGGCTGAAGAGGTGGTGCACAGGGGATTTTAGAGTAGTGAAGCTATCCCGTATGATACTATCATGATGGATATACACCATTATGCATTGTCAAAGCCCATTGAATATACAACACAAAAAGTGAATACCAATGTAAACTATGGACTTTATGTGTCATTATTGGTCTATCAGGGTAACAAATGTTCCACAGTAATGCAAGATGTTAATAATAGGAGGCTTGGGAGACAGAGGGTATTGGGGAACTGTATACTTTCTCCTCAGTATTTTTGCAAACCTAAAATGCTCTAAGAAACAAAGTCTATTAATTGAAAAACAAACGAAAATGCATAGTACCTAAATTAAAAGCACAATGCTCAGACTCTACGTAGATTTACTCATAGATAGATAAGGCACTCAGGCATTTTCTAAAGGCCTCTTTACTTTTGTTTTGGTTATTATTTTAATGGATTCAGTATACGGATTTTCCATTTAATTTGTTTGAAAGTGTACCTTGAGGGAAAGAAGTAATATATTTATTATTACAATTTCTATCTAGCAGTAAGAAGTGACATTTGTAGGCCTGCCAGTATAATGTGGCTACTTTGCATTACCTGCTTTCAAATGTGCCATGCTCTGCCCTGACACTAACACCTGGCTACTCTTAAACCTCTGCTTTAAGGAAAACTTTAAAGATCCTGTGAACCACTTCCCAACCCAGACTTCTCAGGATCCATCAAATACGGGATTAACACATTTCATCTCCAGAGACTATGTCAGTTCTGTGACTAGAGTCCTTCCTGTTTGGTGTCTTTGCCTTATTTGCAAAATTTTTGAATATCAAACATAAACAGAAAAATTCAAAAAGGTAGAGCGATTAGTACAGATTTAGAATAGAGGTAAGGGACCTACAAACTCAGAAATAAAAACTCTAATATATGAAAACATGTACAGCTTTAAGAATATTTATCCTTTTATGTTGTATAATGCTTTATTTATCATTTTTAAAGTGTTAATAAAATAGTGAGTCATACTGGAAAGGTTATTGTCCACATGTTCTTTATCTGAAAATAGAAAAGCATTCAATATTCTTTGGAAATATTTTAATCTATTTTTTTCTGTTTTTAAAAATATGAGTTCCCCACATCTCCTGAAGGTCTTCTCAATGCTCTCATGATGAACACTCATTGTAGAACTCAATGTAAGGTTTAGAAGTGTCTATTTATGGCTCTGAGGTTCAAAGAGGCTAGCAATTGTATCTTAGTCATCACTGCGTAACAAACACCTAAAATAGAATCTGTACAAAGTATTGAATAAATATTTGTCGGAAAAAGTATAACTGGCTATCTGAGAACATTCAATTCTGTGGAATTCTTTTGCTGATGATATTGGATAAAATAAATTTTAAGGTTTAAAAAATACAATAAAATATAAAGAAGCAAAAGTCTTTAAATTTTTATTTTTTCAGAAATAAGAGTCGTCAGCATGCAAGTTCAGACAGTCACAAAATTGAAAACAGTTACTAATGTTGTTGGATTTGTAATGGGCTTGACATCTCCAGGTAAGTAGGGTTGAAAATTTATAATCTACACTTTATATGAAACTATACAAGGAAATGCTCTGTAATAATTTAATATTATACTTAAATATCCTACTTGAGATATAACTAGAAATTTGTCCCACTCTTAGAGTAGATAAATTTGAAACTAAGAAGTGGGTCTTCCTTCTCTTTCCTACCGTATCTCTTCTAAAATAAATCTTAGTCGGGGGAGAGAGAGAGAGAGAGAGAGAGAGAGAGAGAGAGGTGGGGATCTCTCAGGAGGAGATGAAACAAGAAACAGAGTTTAGATTTGGTAAACTGGCATGTTCTAAAAAAGCCAAAGTTTTCTTTTTTCTTATACTCACCATAACACCACTGAAAATTTTATTTTGATCAAGAAGACATTTTAAAGAATGATTTTCTTTTTCCTCACTGCAGCCTCTGCCTCCCAAGTTCAAGCAATTCTTGTACCTCATCCTCTTGAGTAGCTGAGACTACAGGCACCCACCACCAAGCCCGGCTAATTTTTCATTTTGTATTTTTAGTAGAGACAGGGTTTCACCATGTTGGCCAGGCTGGTCTTGCACTCCTATCCTCATGTGATCCACCAGCCTTGGCCTCCCAAAGTGCTGGGATTAAAGGGGTGAGCCAGCATGCCTGGCTAAGAAAGATTTTAGTTTTTAATGATTTTTTTTTTTAAATAAAAGTTTTGGTCTCCAAATTTAGTTGTCCAGTTTTATTCTATGTCCCACTCTGTATCCTTGGTCCATTGCCAAATTTGTCAAATGTCTGCATGGCTTTAGGTTTTCAATGTGCTTATGAAAATGGTCACCTGCAGCTACTCAGGAGGCTGAGACAGGAGAATCGCTTGAATCTGGGAGGCGGAGGTTGCAGTTAGCTGAGATTATGCCACTGCTCTCTAGCCTGGGCAACAGAGAGAGACTCCATCTCAAAAAAAAAAAAAAAAATTGAAATCTTCAGATATTATGTAGGCTAATTAAGAGATTAATAGCAATACTTCCAAACACATCGTAAGGCTGAATCACATATTACTGTCTAATGTGCCTGTTATACAGTGTAGCATGTAACACTCTTTTTATTACACTTTTGCTACTTCTGTTGATTTTGGGACATTTACGCAAGTTCTCCCTGGAGAATTATTCTTTTCCATGACTTTAGTAAAATTGGCCTAGTTGCTAGCTCAGAATTTTAAGATCAAGTTTTACAGCCTCCCAGTTTCTTGCTGGCCAACTCTTACAAAGTTCATGAAAGCCAGTTATTTTCTCCGATTTCTTTACAGTCACAATGTTGAACAACCTCTGATTATAGTTCTTTAAATACAAGATATAAATAAATTTGAAAATTGTTACTATTGAATTTCAACAAATTTCCATCATAAGGTTCTCAATTGAAGCACTAGAATATTTATTATCACTGATACATTCGCAAGTTGTTATTGGAAAACCCAGTTGTACAAATTATACTAGCTTTAGAGTGAAGAAAATTCACTGTACAAAATAAACTCCTGGAATTGAAAAAATCGATTTTACCATTAGTATTCTTCAGTATATGATATGCAGAGTTTCTCAAATTTTGCTTATTTGAATTTTACAAAAAATTGACTATTTAATTAGCCGGGCATGGTGGCAGACGCCTGTAGTCCCAGCTACTGGGGAGGCTGAGGCAGGAGAATGGCGTGAACCCGGGAGGCGGAGCTTGCAGTGAGCAGAGATCACGCCACTGCACTCCAGCCTGGGCGACAGAGCGAGACTCTATCTCAAAAAAAAAAAAAAAAAAGACTATTTACATAACATTTTATTTAATAACTTTGAAGATTAGAAACAATAATCAATTAGCATTGTTTCTTAGATATGGTTTATTTAGAATGCAGACAATTCCAAGCAAAACTTTTGAGACATTTATGGGAGATAAGTGAATAAATTCTTGGGTTTTTAACATTTGCAGACACACTCTCACACTATGTATACCATGAATTAAATCTTTTTTTTTTTTTTTTTTTGAGATGGAGTCTTGCTCTATCACGGGGCTGGAATGTAGTGACACGATCTTCGCTCATTGCATCCTCCGCCTCTGAGGTTCAAGCAATTCCCTGCCTCAGCCTCCCGAATAGCTGGAATTACAGGTGCCCGCCACCAAGCCCAGCTAATTTTTGTATTTTTAGTAGAGACGAGGTTTCACCATCTTGGCCAGGCTGGTCTTGAACTCCTGACCTCGTGATCCACCTGTCTCGGCCTCCCAAAATACCGGGATTACAGGCGTGAGCCACCGCCCATTAATTAAACCTTAATAAAATGTTGGCAGATCAAATCCATTGCCAATTCCTGTGTGGAAAACTAAAATATCTTCATACTGTGGCATTTCTTGTAAGGTAGCTTTCTGGTGTTATAAGTCAAAGGGTGATTCATTTATTCCACCCATGTGTAAGACCTACTTTGTGTTGAGCATTGTTCAAAGTGGCTTACAAACAGTAACTCCTAAAACTCAGAACAACTAAATGGAGATGTACTATTTGTTTTCCTACCTTAGAGATGAAAATACTAAGGCATCGAAAGTTGAAATAAGCTTTCCAAGGTCACACAACTAGTGACTTGCACAGCCTGGATTCTAACCCAAGCAGGCTGGATTCAGGGTCTGAACAATTTACCATCCAGTTGTGGGACATCTGGTAAAAAAATGATATTCAATGAAGAAAAATTTTTGCACAGATGTATGAAGATACTTGCTCAGATAAATTCAGATATGTTATTATTACCAATAACATTCGCTGACAAGAAAATCAGAGGAAACTCTCTGGGGGCATTTTCAGCCTTATTATTGAAAATATTCAGTAATGTACATTGAACAGCTACTTCCATGTGTTAGGAAGGCTCTCCTAGTAGTGTATCTAATACATTTTGAATGATTGCATTAAATAAAATATGTAAAAGGCAACTTTTACAACAGTTGAATGACTTTTGATATTGGTGAATTTTATTTTTTTTCTTCACAGAAAGGAGAGGGCCTAAAATTTTAAGTTGGAAGCTGTAATTAATTCCCTGTGGAATTAATTTATTGCAGAATCCATACATGACTACCACATTTTTAATATTTAAAGCGCCTTCTTAAATGTATTAATAGTTTATTAATATTTACTGAGCATGCATACATTGTTTACAGGGCACTTCCCACTCTGAGTCTGGAAAAATGTTAGATAAGGGTTTCACTGTGGCATATTTACATGCTTCATTAATTAATATTCATGTTCTAAAGGAGAGTAATATGGATCTAAGCTTTGGATTCATAATTGGGTTCAGCAGCTGCCTCTGCTTTGATATACACAGATGTGTGAATTAAGACAGTGAGCAAAAAAATTAAAGTAGTCTTAATTATTAGAGCAATTTTGCTTAATTATTGCTCAGTTGTGCAATAGAATTATGTAAATGTCATTAAATTTATTGTTAAGGTTTACATTTTTTTAAATGGCTCTTGTCCCTTTCTATTTTCAGACCGGTATATCATAGTTGGCAGCCATCATCACACTGCACACAGTTATAATGGACAAGAATGGGCCAGTAGTACTGCAATAATCACAGCGTTTATCCGTGCCTTGATGTCAAAAGTTAAGAGAGGGTGGAGACCAGACCGAACTATTGTTTTCTGTTCTTGGGGAGGAACAGCTTTTGGCAATATTGGCTCATATGAATGGGGAGAGGTAAAGCAAAATATACATTAATTACAGTGCTTTTCTTTTCTTAGTTTGCTAAAGTAGACAAAGTAAAATTTTCAAAGCCAAGGGCAATAATGTGCTTCTCAACACAAGTGTCATATTGCCTAATTTGCTGAGATGGCTTATAATAATAATATGGAATTAGAGCTAGACCACAGCAAACTACGTATGACCTTCAAATATCTTACCCCTATTGTTACCAGACTTACAAACCCTGATACAGTCTAACACACAATAGTGTTTACCTTATTATTGTATTTCTCCTTAGAAGACAGGATGACAGGCACTGGACAAAAAAGGATCAGATGATACTTATTATTTTTCTTTTTCTACACTTTCTAGGAATGATCTGGAATTAGGGAACAGTCTCCTATATTAAATGTTTATTGCCTTAGCATTATATTTTCTCTCTTCAATATGGATATTGAATGTAAAATACATTTTAAAATCCACTTTTTCCTCCTTTTACCACTCCACTCTTTCACCCTTATCTCCCTACCTTCTGTCTCCTACCTGCCTATCTATTGCCTACCTACCTACCTAACCACCTTAGGGAACCTGTATCCAAATGAAATCTAGCATGCAATGAGGTACAGTTAGAATACAACTGAAATATTGGAGAATTTAAGTCTCAAACTCTTCTGACAGACCTGGGTCTCATAAATGCACTGTATTTTTAATGGAATATGATAGCTGATAATTGGATTGATAGAAAGTCTATTTACTTTTGTGATTTGTTTTAAAAAAGAGGTTCAATAGACATATGTAGACCAAAAACACTACATAATTTTACTAGGAAAGCAAGATAATTTAATACTGTAGTTTTTTCACTACTTCAGCTCTGAGGAGAAAAATTTAATAGGAAATTATTTTGCTACATTTTTATTTTTAATCACTCAAAAAAGATAAAATATCTATTAAATCAAAGAAAATATTTAAAAAGGTATAGAAAAGAAGATAGCAAGTATCTTTTTTAATTTGAAGTAAAGAATAGACTTAAAGATGAAAAAATTTTTTCAGTGTAAAATTCATCAAGATTCACACACTGCAAATTGGAATGCTTTTCTGTATGCAAATGAGTGGTGTGAATGTTTGGGCCATATTCAAAAGAATTACTTCAAATGAAAAAATTCCATTGCTTAAAGAATCTTTTTAAGTTGACAACTTTGTAAGTAAGCTGGAAATGAAATAGCTGAACCAACCTCTCAAACTCATATTCCAAATTACTTTAAAGATTGGTAAACAAGTTAAAGAACAGTTTAGGGAATATGTTTGTAATCTATACCATTTTTAATACATCAGAAACAATGAAATTAATGTTTTAGTTTTCCTGTAACAGTAAAGCACATATCTTTAAAATGTCTTAAAGATTCTTTTCGAATTCCAAAGATGTATTTTGCTATTTCAAACTATATTTTAGGTCTTCTAGATACCTATCTAGTAACTGTCACAATTAATTTGTGTTAATTCTAAATTAAAATATATATTTCTGAACTATGTTTTAGAATAGACTAGGCTTGTCTAAATTAATAGTTTCTAAGGTAAACATCTCAAACCCCAATGCATGCAAAATTTTATTAAAAAGTTTAGTTGAGCATCAAGCATCAGAGCCTGTGAGTTGAATCAATGTGGGCTTGCATGTGTGTGAGCGATAGTTTTTGTCAAAGTAAGTTGATATTTTTGTGGTTAATACACATTCATTCTTAAGTTTTTGTGGGGTCATTGTACCTTTTGATAATTGTATATTTTCTTAGTCAATGATGCTAAAAATACAACAACTACAATGTGGGAGTTCACAGGAAAAAAATTTTGTTAATAAGGTTATTCCTATTCAAAACAATTAAGTACCAATGTCTCTGAATGTTTATATATGTATTTACATTTAGCAAGTGATTATACATTCATTTACTGGCATTTTAGGTGACTAGATGGGCAAAGACATATGAGTAATGAAAATGGTAAATAATATACATTTGATTATTGGCCTATAAAATGTATTTTTATAATTTACTGTGTCTCACCAGATTGTTTCAGTGCAATTCATGAAGCCATTTTGTAAACATCCTATTGAAGACAAATTTAGAAAACTGCTAGTTGTCCTGTTTTGCCTACTCATGTCAAATGTAATCCTGAGAATGAAAGAGTTTATGTTAGACTGAAACTAATTTATGCTCTAAATATATTCCCCTGTGAAGGGGAGTGAGGAAAGCCCTTATTGACATGTCATATTGCCCCTTTTAATTTTGCTTGCATAGAAAACTCTGGAAACCCACAGTGGTAGTTAAGAGGATTAGATGATGTTGGTCAATAAACTTAACAATGGAATTTATAGACAGAATTATTAGAGAATTGATTCAATACTGATCTTGATCTTTGAGAAAAATTATAACATTTTGCTAAATAGGTTCTATACTTTAAAAAGTACCATTTCTTCTGTGAAGAATCCTCGTTTGTCAGAGGCTATTGTGGAAATATTATAGATATTGGAGTAAAAGAAGTCATAGTTCAAATTCTCTTTACCATAGAATATGTCATCTGAGGCAAGATTAACTTCCCTAAGACTTGATTCCTCAAATGAGTCTACTAATGCCTATCTTATGAGGGTCTCATGAGAATTATATAGACTAACATATAGACAGTGTCTATGTGGTAGTGTGCTAATAGAAGCTGATATTTCATAGCACTTAAGTAACAGATATTTTTGAACAATATTATGGAAAAATTACTCAAGCTTAAAATTCATCATTTATGTGCGCTTAAAATGTTTACTAATTTTAAATGATTGTCTTTTCAGCCCTCTTTCAGAGGTATGGCTGAATTTTCAACATAAAATATGGATAACAGTGAAAGCATGCAGTATTTATGTTTCTGTCCCTGGCTTCTTTTAGTTAGCATAGTGTTCTCCAATTCCATCCATGTTATCACAAAAGAGATAAGTTTCTTGTTTTTCAAGGCTAAATTGTATTCCATTGTGTATATATAACACATTTCCTTTTTCTATTCATCTGTAACAGAGTGTAGAATGGTGGTTTCAGCCTGGGGTATGGAGGGAACGGGGAGAAAATGGTCAACTTCTATTATATATTGTGTGGCATGGTGAATATACTTAGTAATAGAGTATGATACATTTCAAAATTGTTCAGTAAATTTTATGTGTTCTCATCACAAAAAATGTAACATATTTGGGGTGATGAATATGTTAACCAGCTTAATTTAATTATTCCACATTATATTCATAAATCATAACATCACTTTGTACTCCATAAAATTATATCATTTTAAGCTGTCAATTTACAATGAAAAAAATAAAAATAAAATAGGATGACATTATCTATTTGGCAGGTGTATGAGTCCTTGTAGTCTTCCATTTCATAGTATTAGAAGAAGAAAGATACTTTCCCAAGTTATGACATAATGTAATCTTTTAGGACATTTCTGTAGAACTGCCACCATGACAATTATTTGTTAAATGCTTGCACAAAAAAAAACAGGAAAATAGCAGAAAGACTTAGTGGTCCTTCTTAATAGGATCAGTGGTGTTCAATTTTGTGTGGTAAGGAGCAGAAGAGAAGTGGAAAACTATTATATGGAATCATTTGGTGTAGCTTGTGTGCATGAAATGCATCAGGTTTTTTTTAAGGTAATATTTGCAAGATTACATTGTATTATGGCCCATTTTACTGGTAACACAGGGTTATTTTGTGCAGCGTAGCTCATTGCTTCAAAAGTAAAGGGCTGGTTTTATTCATCACTGAAGTGGTTTATCTATATCTCCCCTCTTATTCAGTAACTCTAAAATTAAGTTGCATTCATATTCTGTAGTTAAATCCATACTGTGTTAACCTTTGAAGAACATTTTCTCTTAAAATTTGACTTTTGTCAGGAACATGCTTTAATATATTTTATTATATATCTAACTCTTACCACTCTTGTTTAAAATCCTTTTATAATCTTTGTGTACACTATTACATAGTATAGGATCACTTTTTTAAGAAAGAAATTATGGCCGGGTGCGGTGGCTCACGTCTATAATCCCAGCACTTTGGGAGGCTGAGGCTGGCAGGTCACGAGGTCAGGAGATCAAGACCATCCTCGCTAACATGGTGAAACCCTGTCTCTACTAAAAATACAAAAAATTAGCTGGAGGGGTGGCCAGCGCCTGTAGTCCCAGCTACTGAGGCAGGAGAATGGCGTGAACCCGGGAGGTGAAACTTGCAGTGAGCTGAGATCACGCCACTGCACTCCAGTCTGGGTGACAGAGCTAGAGTCTGTCTCAAAAAAAAAAAAAAGAAAGAAAGAAAGAAAAAAAAAAAGAAGGTAATTATGCAATATAATAATTTTAAGTATGAAATGAAATGTTCATTATTCAACATCTAACTAATAAAGTAGAATCTATTTATTTGTCTTACAGATAGATCCTTTTTTTTTTGTTATTTCAGGATTTCAAGAAGGTTCTTCAGAAAAATGTTGTGGCTTATATTAGCCTCCACAGTCCCATAAGGGGGAACTCTAGTCTGTATCCTGTAGCATCACCATCTCTTCAGCAACTGGTAGTAGAGGTAAGACAAACCACTATTGTATCAAATGATTATGCAAAACCGACCTTTTCTCTATATTTTGACATTTCTTGATTTTTTCATTTATTTTTAAATATGCATCAAATGTTGTATAAGTGTTTTAAGAAATGATCTATTGCTGACATTTTATCAATATACCTTAACTAATTTCTTATGTTCTGGAATTCTTCACTTGCTACTCTTTTATGGTCATATTTCTAGAAGACATGAGTCACACAGTTATAGAGAAGGTATACAAAAATATATTTTTAAAAAATATATGAATTTAGCTCTCAAATTCCCAATTCTGTAATCTTGACATTTTATGATAAGCCTGGTTACTTTTGAATTTCTTCCTCTTCATTCTTGTTTTAAGTAAATGTGAGACCTGTCCTATCTTTACAACTGCTGTGTAGGCCCCCCGAGAGCAAGAATATAGTGATAACTAAATTTAAAAGATTTAGAAAATATTGTTTGAAAAATTACCTGTGGAAAAAGAAAACATGTTTTCTTAGTATCCTGAAAAATCATATATTTTTTATGTTTCATTGGAGTTACTTATTTTGAAAATATTTTGTCACTTCTCGCCTAATTTAAAAAATTTAGCAGAACATTTTTTCCTGTTTATTAGTAGAGTTCACACTTTTATTTCTGCATTCTTATTATGAATTTCACTACAGATAAAATATGTGCTATTTCTCATTATGAAAACAATCATACCACAACTTAGGGATGGTTTCCTCTTAGCCTCAATGTCTGTTAATTTATATATTGGAACCAATCTTTCAGATGCCCACAGGACTTTTTGGGGAGTATTGCAGGAACTGAACTAGACAAAGAGAGAGGCAATGAACAGAGCTTTGAATGAGCCATAATTTTTGATTGAAGTGTAATGCAAACTAAACATTTTACAACTTTCATAAAGTATTTTTAGCTTAATAGTTTTTATTGGCATTTCCATATGTAGTACAATAAAGAAGACATTATGAAACATGAAGTAGATAATTCTGTACATTTAAAATCAGCCAATCCCCTGTGTGCATGCCTAAATTATATCCATATCTGTAAGTTAATTTCTCCTGCTCTGTGTACTACTTTGAATTCCTTTACTCCTACCTGCTTGGAAGCCTTGCAAAAGCAAATGAGCCTCGGATGTCTCCCTTGGAAATTTAAGATATTTCTGAATGAGTGGATTATAAGGTAGAAGAAATAGTGATCTCAAGTATCCAGAAATAGAGGAGGGTTGGTTTAAAAATGTGTCATTTTCTTATCGTGTGTGACAAGTTTTATATTTTGAGAATCTTGAAAGATATTTAATCATTGAAATTGATGGGTAAATAGAAATAGTTAATTATTAAGAAGTATTAAATCTACATAATGTTATTTCTGAGAATATAATGCTATTTAAAATATCTTTGCACATCTTATAACAGGACTAAAATATTTCAGTATCTAAACCTAATTATGTGAGAATACAGTATGGTTTCTCAATCACAAGTGATGATTGATGATTCACAAATGATGACGTACATGTCAACATGTACCTCACTTTTTGGAAGAGGAATCTTTTCTGTTCTATAATTGAAAATGTTTGCACACTAACAAATGTAAAAATGAACTGGAATGTGTATAGAAAATATTTTTTTTCTGTTGAGATCGTGTGTCTGTGTATGTATGTGTTCATGTTTCACAGAACAATTTAGAAGGTTAGGAATATCACAACTTCAAGCAAAGGATAGCATTATGTAATTTCAATCAATGGGGATTACTTATATATATATGTCTAATTTTATGGAATGAATATAAATAACTTAATATATATTCTCATACAAAAATTTAATATCACATTTTTAAAAAATTATATATTTTTAAAACTCAAATATATAAAGGTTTATACATTTTATAAACAACTCAAATCTATAAGTGTTAAGAGATACGAAGAAAACAAAACTTTACAGTAATTTACATGATTTAATTAAAACAATTCACCAGTAGTAAAAATTAAAAGAAATACATAAAGCCTTTTTTTGAAATAAAAAAGAACTAAAATGATAACATCCAGAACATATGTAACTTCATTTCCAATACTGAAGATTTTATCAATGATTAAGGACAAAGATATTTCATTAATTTGTTTAGATTTATTTTTCTTTGAGTGTACACACAGTAGTGGGATTGCTGTGTTGAATGGTAGATTTACTGTTAGTTCTTTGAGGAATCTCCATACTGTTTTCCCTAGAGGTTGTACGAATTTACATTCCCACCAACAGCATATAAGCATTCCCTTTTCACCACAATCTATGCCAATATCTGTTTTTTAACTTTTTAATATTGGCCATTGTGGCTGGGGTAAGGTGGTATCTCATTGTGGTTTTTTTATTTGCATTTTTCTGATGATTTGTGAAAAAAGCATATTGACTAAATTGTAAATGACACAAGACTGTATAGAATATCTAATCCTTTGTATAGCAATATGTAGATTACAAAAGATTTCATCAAGTTCATATAATAGATTTAAATACATAAGATGAAATCTTTAAAGTATTATTATGAAATACTGCATTTAATTTTTTATAAGCTAGATACATATAGGATGTTTTAATGGATTACAAGCTTGATATGAAACAAAACTATAAAATGGATGTCCTAAATCAAACACCAGTTTTAAGTACATTTATAGAATGTTATTCAAATCAAGGAGTTGGTAGTCCCACAGTATCTGGTCTATCAGACAACATCTTGATATGATAGTCTTATCGCTCAAGTCACAATTACTGGATATATTGAGGTATAATTCACATACAGTAAGATTCTCCATTCTTCAATGTACAGCTTGATGAATTTTGACAAATGTATATAACCATGTATACACAATCACAATCAAGATATACGGCATCTCTGTCACAGTCACGCTCTCAGCATCACACAACTGCTGCTGGCATTGGGGGGAGGTTTGCCACTAGTGATTCAGGACTGCTTTTCCCTACCTCTTCAGTGCCTTTCAGCAATATGAAGTTAAAACCAAGTACTTTGAGTGCTCACCTTGTATTTGGTTCTTATGAAGGTTTTTTCTTGTGTAGATAGCTGCTAAATTGGTGTCCACTTTGAGTGGAAAATCGGTGGAGCCTTCTATTCCTCCACCTTGCTCTGCCCCAAGTCCCCAGCACCTTATTATAAAGAACATGGTGAACTTACTTTAACCCAGTATTCATATTGAAGGAGCATTATAAACTGTAATTATACATTCTTTCATGCACAAACATTTAAGTACACACACACACACACACACACACTTAGTATTGTATATATTTGTGTATTATATATTATATATTTATTTCTTGATTTATTCTACTGGAGACCTTAGGATGTTCTATAGACATCAGTGGAGTGCCAGCACCTCTGATTGAGTAGAGAATAAGAGATCCTTGCTAAGACCTAATTTCTTGGGGGGATAAAAGCCCTTTTTTGTAATTTTATTTCCATTGACTCCTTAAATGTACAAAAAGATGTACAGGTGAGTGACCTCTTAGTGAAACACAAATGCCTTCATGCAAAGTAGATTATGAAATTAAAGATAAGATTTATCTTCAAATAATAGTTTTAAAATTAAGATGCAAAACAAACACATATGCACCTCTCCCTATATGTTGCTGTTCTGCTCTTAGTTTTCAAAATCATCTTTTCTAGATCACAGAATGTATTGATTTTGCCTTTAGAAAAACATAATTTGGTCATCCATATTTTAGGCAGCATTCTGTAAGTCTTAAGAAAATAGCAATGAAATTTCTAACAGGTTATTTTGGGAAAACCTGCAGCATTTGCACATATGAAAGCAGTCCATCTAGCCATATTCTATTTAAATGTTGCTTTTGCAGCACCTGCCAGAAACTGGCCAACCTGATTAAAACTAAATAATTACATCAGTATTGTAAAACTTTGCAGGGGACAGACAGTGTTTTTTTAATTTAATTTAATTTTAGAGACATAGTCTCACTTTGTCACCCAGGCTGGAATGCAAGTGGTATGATCATAGCTCACTGTAACCTTAAACACCTGAGCTAAAGCAATCCAACACCCTCAGCCTCCCAGGTAGCTAATCCTATAGGCATGCACCACCATGCCCAGCTAATTTCTTAAAAAATAGTTTGTAGAGATGGGGGTCTTGCTGTGTTGCCCAGACTTGTCTCAAACTCCCGGTCTCAAGTGATCTTCCTGCCTTGGCTTCTCAAAGCGCTGGGATTACGGCCATGAGCCACTGCACCCAGCCAAATGTTGTTGTAGTTGTAGTCGTTGTTGTTGTTTTAAGTCTCTGAAACAGTAGCAAAGATATTTTTGTAGTTTCTTCTTTAATTTCCTGTTTTACTTTTTTTATATACAAAGCACCACAAAATGCATACATATATTTCAAGTCAACTACGTTCGTTGGAGTTTTTGAGCTCCTAACTTGTCTATAGTATTATGTCTTCATTGTGAATATCCCGTTTGTTGCAAAGCCTACTGACGTGCTAGATATTTAAAGAGAACCCAAGCTGTGCACAGCATTGCTTTAAGTGTTGTAGGACACAGTAAGCAGATGAAATGCCCCTGTTGCCCAGGAGCTTATAATTTTACCAAGAACTTCAGATGTGCATAAATAGCTAAGATATAAGAGTGAGTGTGATATGTGCTATCCTAGAATTCACAGGAAAGGGAAAATATGATTGGTTTAATTTGGAAACATGCATTATATGACAGTGGCAAAAAACTGAGTGGACTCAGAATCTTAAATTTAGCCATCTGTCTTTTCAAACCTCAATCCTTCAATCAAGTAAAAAACAAACAAACAAAAAACAGTATTTCTCTTCAAATCACAAGAAATAATGCTCATTCCCATTTTCTTGCTCAATTGAGTGCAAAGTTGTTATGCTTCTGCTCTTTTCTTCTTGTGTGAGGGCGACTAAAATGCCACAGCTTTGTCTGCTGAGGTACTTACACAGTTACTTCTCTAACAGCCACTGTATTGTTTTACCTTCTGACTGACCATGCCACAATTCTTTAGGGTATAAAAACAACACGTCTGACATTTTTGCTTGAGTGACTGGAGCCCTGACTTTCAAGTAACAGAGATATTTATTATTTTTGTCTTGACTTTATATTTACATATTCTGGAATAATAAAAATAACAACTAAGTCTTGTAATAAATCTAAATTAAACCTTGTTATACCCTAGAGCTTGCACAAGCTCTTGGATAAGTCAATAGATATTCCCTTGAAACAATACCACTAGGCTATGATTTTAATATTTGAAAGGATTTCCTCAGGTCAGGCATCAGAGAAAAGGCCCACATCATCTTTCTGGGGGCAAACACCAAAACATTGAGAGCTGTGTTCTTGAACACTTGCTGAGAAACAAACAGCAGATAGGTTACCAAATCCAGAATCCTATAAATAGCTTAGAACTTTACAGATGTTTCTTAAACTTCTTTCAGTGTATATATAAATCAATATATAAATGCATCATCAAGCATCTTTTAGAACAGATGTTACTACTTTTCTAAATCTCTTCTAACACTTTCGAACCTGACTCTGTATTGACTGCATTAACACGTCATGGGTGAATTTCAGACTAAAGTCAATTCAGAATGATGATATTTAGCATATTAATTTCCCAAAGAATTATAGAACTTCTTTATTTTATAATTGAAAGCCTGTAACTTTGTTTGGAAAACACCTGCATATTTTACTTTTTAGAGCTGTTGAAAGGGGAAAAGGCCAAATGAATTAAAGTCCTAACCAGAAATCACTTAATTTACTGTACCTTCGTTCCTTTGTCTTCTATTTTTGCTCCATCCTGTTATATCATTTTCATATTTATGTGTTTGTTATTCCAACTTTAACCAAAGACTTCTATCTGCTACTGGATTTTCATAATATGCTTTTGCATATACATGTAGTTACAAATAGTCACTGTGCAAAAAATGTGGAAAACAATGTGAGATGAACAGTCCATGTGTTGCTCTGGGTTTGGATGGCATTACTGCCTCAATAGAGCCATTCAAGGGTTTTTGTTGTTGTTGCTTCATTTTATATTGTTTCACTGGTGACACAATTTAGACTTATTTTTTCCAAACACTCTTTTTTTGGTTACTTGCAACTTTTTTTTCCACAAGAATTGTTGACCGAATATATAGTAGCAGATCACAGAAGGTACAGTGCTAAAATAAAAATAGCTGTCTTCTCACTCCGCTCTTGATGATTTAATTCAGTACTGAAACAAAGCTTAATTTCTTTTCTGCTTCCTGTAAGATATAACAGTACAACTGATGTGGAAACATTCTGTTAACTTGTCTTTCATGACACATGACATAGATTTTTTTGGGTTTTGTTTATATATTTTTGTTTTGTTTAGTTTTTAATGAGAGAAATTCTGTTTTCTTATTTACCATGAATTGCAATTCTTTTCTGGGGGTACTCCTTAATTTATCTTCCTTTCTGCTGGTGGTTTTACTTCTAGTCAACGGAAGCGACCATAAAGACTAATGAACTGATTTAAAACCCTTCTTTACACTGAGTTACCACTTCGATAAAGATTCACATTTAGAATTGTGATTCTATTGGCAGGTTTATCTATCTCCTGAGTTTACAAGGTTTTGCTTTGTGTTAAAACTAATGCATCCCTCCAGTTTACTACTGTTTTACAAGGTTTTCTGTTCAGTATATACTGACAGTATGTAAATCCCTTTTTATTTAGATTTAGATAACAAGAGAAGTCTTAGTGAGATTCTGCTTAAAACTCCAATTTTCAGAAGGCAGCTGATTTATATATTAGGACTATGTAACCAAAAAGAAATCCAAACAATTTGAAACTTGAAATACTATTTAGCTTGAACTCAGCCATCCCGTCATAATTAATATCACATTGTTAAAATGGCTTAAGCTGAGTTACTTTTTGTCTGCAATTTTTTGATTGGTACACTGGACACAGGCCTCTTCAGGACTTGAAAGAGTGACTGTTTACTCAGGACAGGTATTAGTGAATCACTACTGTTGGGAGGTTAGATAAAATTCTGTAACAGTATCATTAATGCAGTACAGTACACTTTTCCATTTAAAATATGAAATTTACTCTGATAAATTGTTGCTCTATTTCCCCCCTTAAACACTGATCAAGTCTTACATGTTTGGGTTAAAAACCTATCATTAATGCTATCAATTAATAATTTACATAACACTACAATAGTGATATTCGTTCTTATGACATATGACAATTTATATAGTATTTTAATGAATAATGAAATAAATTTAAACAGTTTTTTGCTGAACAAAATAATAACCGTCTCAAAAATAAGTACTGGGGTAATTTTATTATCTGTTGTTATGTACTTATCTTTGATAAATTTTATAAATTGTGGATTCTTGGTTTTTGCCATTTCTCTTTTTAAGTTGTAACCTGATTAAACAATTTTGTGTTTGAATGGTTTGCTTGAATCTTTAACAAAATAATTTGATTCAATGAAAGAAAAGGTAATCAATGTAATAATAATGTTAAATAAATAGTTAAACAAACAAATATACCAATGAACTTACTTTGAACAAACATTTCCCAGTGCGCATTATGAAAGGTATACAAAGTAGAACCTTCAGTATGTTATCTTGCATTATAAAGATCCAAAGCTAAATAGAACATGCAGCCTTTTCCAAACTTGTTTTACTCTGGAACATTTTCCTTCAATCATCTTGTGAAAAATGGCCACAGGAATGCTGCTTTAAACAAACCCTATAATATTTAAAATATGAAATTCTACAAAAACGAAGTTTCCAATATCTTCACTTTGATAATGAATTTTTCAAATGTCAAGATCCACAATTTGCATTTTTCAGTGCAAATACACTTTTTCAGAAGCACAACTCTATATACAGTGCTGATAAGGCTTGAAGGCACTGATTACTCCTTCCCTTTGATCTGGAATTTCACCTGCAAATTTATAGCCTTAAGTGTCTTATAACCTGACATGAATCTCTCCATAGTTACTACTACTAACTGTATTTTTAGTTGCAAAATTATAATTTTAAGGTGAGAATTATGAAATAAATTGAGCAGCAGAACATTAAGCTATTTTAATCCTGAAAAAACAGTTCTCCTAAGGGCCATGGATAGTAATTTTATGTATGTCTTCAAGGTTTACAGAAACAATTTCAATTCAGCCTAAGGAAGAATTCTCAGATAGGAAGAATTACCTTCAGGTGCTCAAACACTGCACTGATGTAGGGAAGAGGAAGTGAATATTTTTATGGATGACTGCTTTAGTCAACATTTATTTATAAAGTAATTCATTCATAAATTCATCTTTTATTTGTGTTTGTTTGTTTAGCTTTTATAATATATAAAAGAGCCTATAATTTATTTCTAGGTGCCTCTGGTTTCTAGGCTAAGAGCTTTCATATTTATAGTTTATCTATATTGTGCCTTAACAAATTCTGGCTCTAAATCTACAAGCCATATACGATAAACATTGGTGGAATACAAGAAACCATGAAAATTTTAGGTCTAGTGTTAATGTTTACAACTCTTTTCTGAGACTGTATAACCACATAAACATAGCGCATTGTTGTAGACATATATCAATGGCAACCATCTCATCCACAAGCAACTCTAACTCATTTGTCTTCTGTAATCAATGGTAACTCCAGAAGGAGTTTAAGATGGCAGTAGCCTGGATTGAAATAGACATGATGTAGTGAGGTTTAGGGAGAAAAATCTGTTTTAGAATCATAGCATCAAAAGTAGTATTCTATTCCACAGCACCCTTTTTCAAGTAAAGTAATCCAGAATTATTTACTTTGAAATTTCAGAATCTAAATGAAAGGTATTAATTTATCAATTATGTTTTACATAAAGTTGTCAACCTTGAAATAAAATAGTTTTTTCTGGCTTTATACAGACTTCTAAAATATTAATCAGATTTCAGTAATATTCAGTAGGTAATCATAGGATCCAAAAATAATAAGGTATTGTACAATCCCTAAATAAGGTGGGCTGCTGCTCTAGTTTGATAAAGATTCACAAGGGTGATTGACATTTTCACTTTAACCTAGAATTTAAATAAAAGAACTATGTATATTAGAAAATAGCTCCTTGAGAACTAACATAGCTCCTTTTATTATCTTATCCTGCTCTTTGTAAAAAGTGTATAAACTATACATGGGCAAAAAGAAAAACATAATTCGTCACCTATAATTTTACTATCCAGAGAGAAACACTGAGAACATTTTTTCTTTGTGTAATGCATGCAGATTATGTCGTTACCTAAAGGGAAATGCGATCTGTAATTTTTTCCTTTTAAAATACTATAAGTAGCTGCTATTTTTTAAAAAAGCAGTATTATCATTGGTACATAAGTGAATGTAGATGAACAATATATGGGAATTCATTGTAATATACTTACAACTCTTTTGTAGGTTTGAATTGTTTTTGAAAATAAAAATGGCCAATTAATGTATGTGTATTATTATATAGCTATATTGCCTTTACTAACCAATTCATTTTCTTTAACATTTATATACATTTCAAAGATTTCTTTGTCATTACTAACAATGCCACTGTGTGTGTGTGTGTGTGTGTGTGTGTGTGTATATAGCTGTGTCTACATACTCTTTTCCCTTTTCAATTAGGAAGCTTGGGGAACAAAAAGCTACTGCTTCAAAATGCTGACTCTAGGACCACAGCACCATAAATTGATAGGTATTTGGAGCAACTTCACTCGTGCTGGTGTAAAATGGCGCCATCCCTTGAAAAAATGGTTTGACTATTTTTTATAAAGACAAACATATATCAGTCATATTACTCAACAGTCACAAGTCTAGGTATTTATCCAAGAGAAATGAAAATACATTATACAACAACATACACAAGCATGTTCAGGACAGCTTTATTCATAATAGCCCAAACAACCTAAATGTCTATCAGGAGGAAAACAGATAAATTGTCCCGTGGTTTACTCATATAATGAAATACTACCTAGCAATAAAAAAGAATAGTCTATTGGCAGATACAGCATCATGGGTTAATTGCAAAACCTTGTGACTTGCAAAAGAATCTAGACACAGAACTATATATTATACAATTACATTTATGAAAAGTCCTAGAACTAACCTACGGTAAAAGAAATCGGTATTTACTTCTGGATTGGAGTGCCATTAGATATAAACTTTAATACATGTATATTCAGTGTATCTCCAGAAAAAAATTCATCTTTCAAAAGTTCCAACTCATGCCTAGAGACACAAAAACTTATCATTGCACTGAGGCGAAGCTTACAGTACTATTGGGAAAAAAAATATTAAAAGTTATTCACTTTTCAATAAGAAAAAAATTGGAGAAACTAAAATATACTTATCTAAGGGATACATATTAGCCAACATCCAGAAAAATCTCAGCATGAATGTTAAAGTAATCATTAGATTCTAAGTCTGCTAAAATTACTATAATTTTATATTCAGTGAATTCTTCAGTTTGCACAGGGGGCTCCTTAAATCTGAAGTTTTCAAGAGGCTGCTGTTGACTATTAAATTTCCAATGACCAAGTGTATCTCAAAAGATAAAACCACATAAATTGTTAGCTTCAAATATGGAACCGTAGACTGCAGATGTAGAGATTATTTCATCAAAAGCTTTTTAAGTAACTAAAGCCTTGGTTTATGGTGCGGTCTTTTAATCTGTCAGTGTCTTTAAAAGCATTTATTATTACAATATAACTTCCAGCTCCCTTTGAGAAAATCTTTCATCATGACGTGTAAGTTATCATTTGTATATGTTCAGAAATATCTTCTCAAAAGATCTTCTCATCATGTTCACAATTCACACAGATTTCTAAAAAATAGTTTTTCATACAGACCCATTGCTTCATTAAAAGTAGTTAATTCATGTCTATGTTTTCTCTAACCTACTAATTTTGTTGAGATTATCTCTCCCTTTCAGCTTACAAAATAATAGTAAATTTAGGACACATTAATACTCTATCTGGATAATATTCTGATATTGGTCTGGAAAATTTATGAGGGAAGGATAGTAGAAATTTAACATAATCTTTTGAGATTAACACTTGATACTCTTACTTATTTTCTGGACATTTAGTAATTTCCTTAAACTTTTTACTAGATGTGGGGAATTAACTTTTGTTTGTAAGTGTCCTATCTGCTCATTCCAACAACGTCTTTTGGACAGGAACACCTGTTAGTTGAGTCCACTTCATTCAAATAAACATACCTGTTCCTTAAAATAAACATACCTGAATAAAAGGTCTGAATTTCACAAATGCACAAAATCACTACTTGAGAAATAAACCTACCTAGGGTGTGATACTAATTTAGCAAAACTTTTATATATCAAATTGCTGTGTTATATATAATAACATATATTTTCAACCTCTGTATCCTAATAATTGCATCTTATTCTATTAAAGATATATACAGGAAGTTTATGGAGATATGTTGGAGGAAAAAAGAGTCATTAAGTCTTTAGAAAGCATGCACATAGTAAGCTATGTGCCAGGCATAAAACAGATTTAATTGCAATTGACTTTACTTTTTGGCTTTTTTTTTTTTTTTAACTTTCCTTTTCTCCTTTTCCTGACCCTTTAAACATCTTTTTTCCTGACTTCTTTGCTAATATTTTTTTCTTATTTTTCTATTTATTTTTCTTCCTTTCAAGGTACTTATCAAGTGCTTGTACCTAATATGTCTCCTAATCTATCATTTAATTTTTTTCCACTTCTATTAATATTTTTTTTGTAACTGAATTTGACCTCAAGTCAGCCATGCTCAGGGCTAGAACTTCAATAATGTTTGGTTTTCATAGTCATCTCAAGGGAATGCATTTGGTGTTCAGGACTAGGTTGCAGAGGACCGTTGACTCAAACACAGATGTCCCATGTTAAAAGCAATGGGCTACTGGTTACTGGTTTGGGTAAGAAATTAATTGAATGTGTGCTTGGGTGATTAAAAGTCTCAGCATTGGGTACTGAAAGCAGTGCAGACATTTCACTGAGAAGAATAGAAGGGAAAATAAGTATTAGTTTGACGCAAACGTAATTGCTGGTTTTGCCATTACTAATATTTAGTGAGCATGTGCACCCCAGGTCCTGTACTAAATACATCTTTATATATTATTGATTATTATATTGTTTTCTGGAAGCAGGCTAACCTCACATTTTTTAAGCAGCTAGTCCTGGAAGCAGAGTAAAGTTATGACCAACTGAATCTCTTAGTCAAACAGATAACTAAAGAGCAACACAGTTTAGTAGAAGGACCACTTCAAAGTCAAATACTTTATTTGGGCAAGGGCTGAAATTATAAGAAAAACCATACAGATAAATACCATTTACCATGAATAGTGTACCCAGGTGTACCAAAAGTAAAATGTTTCCTCTTACTTTGAAAGTTTATCTGTTAGGAAAACACATTTAGAAAAAAATGTATTAGTTACATTTATAATATATACATATTTGTTAAAACAGTTCACGGTTTATTTGAGCAGCATTATAATCAGTATTTTCAAATCACTGAAAATATCTGTTTTTGAAAGTATCTCTTAAAAGAAATAATTATTTGCGAATGCTATGTAAGTAACATAAATCATGTTTACAAGATACCTTTTAATCATTATAAAATTGCTGTCAACATAGTTAAAATGCCACTGTATGGATATTGTATGTTTCAAACTAAGTATGCTATATAGTCATTTACTGTTGCCATTAATTCTAAGAAAATAACATAAGTCAACTCACTTTCTTTAATAAAGAAAATAAATTATGTTTTAATAATGTCAAAATCATTCTTAAAATACTATAGTAGGGAAGCATTTTATAATGTACCCAGTAAAATATGTACAGGGATATATGTCATTTCACAGACATTTTGTTTATATAAATTGATTTAGTGTTGATTAGACTTGAGGCTAATGAGGCCAAGACTTGCTAAAAGCTGTAGTTAACGACTGCATTATCGATAGCAAATTACATTGGTTAAATTAGCAACCTTACCCAGGAGCATGAACACTTGATCTTTTTTTCTTTGCTTTTTTGTCACATGGAAACAAGAAGTGAAAGCTTGACTATGTGTTTCTCTGTTAAGACAACAGAACTGTTACTTGCTGTTCTTATCAGTGTGCTCTTTGCCTGTGTACACTAGTTTTTAGTGGAAGTATAGCTGCCAGTTGCCTTAATACTTCCTGGGCTTTCCCAACTGTATTGGTTAAGAATGGGTAACAGTAAGAATGCAGGGATCACAAGATTTGTATATGAATGTATATCTAGAAAAAGTGATCCTGGTTTAACAATGTATTGGCTTTGTAATACCTTGACTATTGCTTAACCTCTCTTAGCTTCAGTTTTGTTTCATCTTTCTATAAAATAGGAACAATAATACTCATGTTGTTGCTATGTACTGAATGTTTGTGTTTCCACAAAATTCAAATGTTAAAACCTGATTCCTCAATGTGATGGTGTTTGGAAGTGGGACTTTTGGGAGGTAATTAGCTCATGATGGTGATGCTCACATAATGGGGTCAGAGTCTGAATTAGGTAGGATTCTCCACAGCGACAAAACTAATAGGATATACATATATAGGAAAGGGAGTTTATTAAGGAGAATTCACTCACACGATCACAAGGTATTAGTCCCACAATAGGCTGTCCGTAAGCTGAAGAGCAAGGAAGCCAGTAGTGGCTCAGTGGGAGTCCCAAAACCTCAAAAGTAGGGGAGCTAACCATGCAGCCTTCAGTCTGTGGCTGCAGGTCTGAGAGCCTCTGGAAAACCACTGGTCTAAGTCCAAGAGTCCAAAAGCCACAGAACCTGGAACCTGATGTTCAATGGCAGGAATCATCCAGCAGGGGAGAAAGATGAAGGCTGGAAGACTCAGCAAGTTAGCTTTTCCACCTTCATCTTCCTGCTTTTTCTAGCTACGCTGACAGCCACTGGATGGTGCCCATCCAGATTAAGGCTGGGTCTGGCTCTCCCAGTCCACTGACTCAAATGTTAATCTCCTTTGGCAACACCCTCACAGACACACCCAGAAACAATACTTTGCATCCTTCAATGCAATCATGTTGACACTTAATATTAACCGTCACAGAGCTCTTAGAAGAAGAGACAGGAAAGAACTTGCTTTTCCTCTTTGTTCTCTGCCATGTGAGGATACAATGAAGTGACAGCTATCTGTGGACCAGGAGATGGGCTGACAACAAAACTCTAACCATGTTGGCACCCTGATTTCAGAGTTCCAGCCTTTCAGAACTGTGAGAAATACACATTGGTTGCTCAATCTGCCCAGTTTATGGTATTCTATTATAGCAGCCTGAACTGACTAAGACACTTGTCTTACCTACTTCAAAAAGTTGTTCTGAAAATCAAGAGATTTTGTCAAAAGCAAGTTTAAATATTGCAAAACATATAAACCTTATTTTTCCACTGCAAGACTACATCATATCTGAAGTACAGTCAAAAGGGAATAACATATTACCTTTATCCTGCTCCTCAAAACAGAGTGCAAGTATCCTAGACTTCCCAAATCTCTTTTTCTGGGACGGGACAGGCTAAAAAGAAGGCTCACCTCTAGGACTCATGGAGTCTAATCCTCACTACGTAGTCTCTAGTTCCACTTCCCTTCACTGAAGCTCGTCTCTTAGTGACTCAAAGGACGTTTGTTACCCAGTTAGCATTTCTCTCTCTATTCCTTCAGCAATTTTGGCTTCACCAATGATAAATTTTGTGTTTTGAAACTCCACATTCATACTTCTGACTTCTGTTTTTCGTCATCTTCAGGCTGTGTGTGAACTTACACCCCCAAATCTCTGGAGCTATCATTCTTAAATAGCTTCACAAAGAGAGAGGCCCCACTCGCTCTCTAGAATGAAACTTTTTAAATGTGGCAAAATTTCTCTTGGAGGCTGATTTAGAAACGATATGAGTGCCATAACACAGATTACTATATGAAATGTTTTTTTTTCTTTTCAGTCTTCTGTGCGATATCAGGCACCTTAAC
The DNA here is from genome assembly GCF_000001405.40 of Homo sapiens. Taxonomy (NCBI): domain Eukaryota; kingdom Metazoa; phylum Chordata; class Mammalia; order Primates; family Hominidae; genus Homo; species Homo sapiens. Next base: position 175,486,775 of record NC_000003.12, read on the forward strand.
TCTCACTCAGTTGTTTAGGACAAAGACCTTGGAGACCTCTTTCACTCCTCTCTTTATCTCATACCACTTGTACATTTCAGTGGGAAGTCCTATTGGCTCTCTGTCAGCCTACAGCCAGGATGCAACTGTATCTTGCCACCTTCTCTCCCTCCACTCTTATCCCATCTAAGATGATTTCAGTAGCCTTTTAACCACTTTCCTCCCCTTTGCCCCATACAACCCATTCTCAGCAAAGTAGCCAGTTATCCTTGAAGACTTAAGTCAGATCATTCTGTGCCCTTTCTCTCATTTCACTTAGAGTAAAAGCCAAAGTCCTTATAATGGCCGGAGAGGCCCTGCAAAACCTGGCCTTCTTACTTGACTGACCCTATCTACTACTCTCCCCTTTGCTCACTCTGTTGCCATTGTGATTTTTCACAGCGAGACCCACCTCATCTACCTTCTGTAATTTGCAATCCCCACTGCACCCAAGCACTACCAAATCCCTTACCCTGTACTATCATAGCACGTATAATATTCTATGTAATCTACTTATTGACTGTTTCTGTCAGTCCCTCCTTCTAGGATGTAAAGCACAGGAGGACACTGAGGCATAGTTGTCTGTTTTGTACTCTGATGTATTCCTGAAACCTAAATGTGTATCTGGTACTTAGTGGGTTCTAAAGTAATTATTCTACAAATGAACATAATTTATTTGCCCATCCAAAGCACTATCCATGAACTAAGAGCAGATTTCTGTGTTTCTTCCTCCAGGAACCTTAGTTCCAGGTTTGATGATTAGTCCTCAGTATATCCACAGAGCTCTTATATGAAGAGAATTCTTCCTCTTCTAACACACATAATAACCTATGAAGATATTAAATATTTTGCCCCTTTCTGGAGTCCAATCCACATATCATTATAAGTTTTCAGAATTATTAGTACAATGTCTTCTTAAATAAATGCAAACAGTGTCTGAACAACTTAATGTAAAGATACATTGTAGTAGAAAAATTTACTTGGAAGACTGTGTGTATGTAGCAGAAAATGTGTCTAATCCAGATATGGTAAGTAACTTCTTGACAAGGCATAGGATGTCTGCCATTCCCAGGTTTGCTAGAAATGCATGTTTTTAAATTATTTCCTTTACTGTATATCTATCAAAGAACTATGTAGTCTGGGAAAGACTGGCACCAATTTAAGTAAGGGGATTAATAGGCCAAAACAAAGCAAACACTACTGAAATGGAAATGCCAAGAGGAAAAGTGACATGATAAAGCTGACATTATTGAAATGGAAAACAGTGTAGAGTTTAATAGCATGAATAGCTGAGATATTCTCTTGTCAGAAAAAACATTGCCCTTCATTGAAATACTTCAACTTTTGTTTAATTCTACATCAAAGATGTTTCTTTGAATGTTTGACATAATTAGTAATTTCTCTTGTTATTCTTTCAAAAGAAATTGAACAAAGATTGTGGGCACACATAATATGAGTTAGAGGACAAGCACGAATTAGTTTGAAGACCTAGACCTTTATTTACTCTAGTGTTGAGTCTAGCTATAATCTAGAACATGTAGACAATATGATGACCAACAAGCATTCTATTACTTGACTAAAATTTGTGGGATATGTTAAGCATTACTCAGAAATAATTTCTATGCCAGCTTTTCCATTTGTCTGGTGTGTAGGTGCTGGGATGTGTGTGTGCACACATACGTGCACATTCATCTATGTGTAAATTAAAACATTCATTAAATGTGATTTTTCTTAAATTTGAATTTTTAAAGTTTCTCTCAAAACCAACAAGTTAATGAGTAATAAAGTGTTTTCCCCCCTCACATGTTCTAATTTTACTTTCAAGTAGATCTGAGGTTAGAGAAACTGAACTGATTGTGAGATTAAATGTTTACCTTTGAGATTGTGCTAAGGCCATACTTCACATGCCTGCTCCATAGAATTCCATTTTTCTACTGATAAGTTATTGGAAAAGGATGCAATAAAACATAAATTTTATGAAAACGTGTTTGTACTTAGACCAGAATCCCTTCCAGGACATCCCCGGCTTGACTAGAAGAGGCTGGAAGATTTAGTCATGTAGAATAACACTATCACTGGTTATAAGCCAGATATATAATAAAAAGCCAATCTGAATAGCTGGTGACAGTGGTTATTGGCATGAGCATGAAATGGCTGATGGATTTCCCTGTGGATGGCAGCCATGGCAGCAGTTGCTGGGGCTTAACAGACCAGGATTTCATCTTAACATCCAGAAATAAAATAAAAACTGCTATTGAGGAAGAATGAAAAATTACGTTTATCAAAGTGATTGCTTTTGTGGATAAGTATTTACGCTGACCCTAAAACTTCAAATAAAACTAAGGGTAGCATAAAAAGATATTACACAAATATTTAGAAAAATATATTAAAGGAATATTTTGACAAGGCAATTAAGTAATACTATTATATTAAAAAAAATTCACACCTATGATCTCAAAGAAGAATGGGTTATAGTTAGGGAAGCATAATGAAAATCAAGCAACATATTTTATTATTTTATATTTGGTTGCATGGATTGATTAATTAAAAATAGTTAAATTGGTATATGGTGTTCATAGCCATGTATAGAATGAAGCCTGTTCTCATTACCCATATTCCAGAATATTAGAAAGGGGAGGAAATGCCACGGCAAACAAATAAGGCAGATGTTTCCTCAAGTCATTCTGATTCAAAAGAGAAAGACCTAAGTTGTTAGCATATGAAATTTTAAAAGCTTGACAATTCTAGATAAAACTTTTCAGTTCTGGATCACTGATCTGAAACCAACAGATGTCATGTCATAAGAAAGTAAAACTCATTACCATAGTGTCTTATGTGAAATAGGGTAATTCTCAGTTATTTTCCCAAGAGTAGAAATGACCATGCATGCTATTAATTTTTAGAAGTAAGCTAAGTTTGCAATTTGTTGAGTGAAAACAATTAAGTTAGATGGGATACACAGTCTTCTACTCCTTGTAGAAGAGACTTCTTTTGAGTCTTCTACTCCAAAACCAAATATACTCTCATTTTAAAAATAAAGCATTATTCCTTATGAAACTACTGTAAGTAGAAGTAATAGTCTCTACATTAGTATATGACAATCGACATTTTTGCTTTTAATCTACTCCCTTTCTTTTAGGAAAGTAACACCTAGATTTTTCTTGGTACCCATACCCTCCTCCGTTTTTAGCCAGATGATATGGGTAGATTGTCCTGACCCTCACTTCTAAAGGTGGGTCCTACTTGACTTAATCATCGCGGCCCATCTCTCTGTCAACAATGATCAGTTCATGGATGGACACATTACAAAAACAGAGCCAATGAGGTAGTGAGATGTTGACTGCCTTTCAGGAAATAGGAGTTTTTCTGTTTCCTTTGAGAGTGCTGGGAAAGATAGCCCTTCTTTGCTGTAATGGTGTGAAGATAGGTCAGAGAGACAGAGAGGTATTAAGTCCTTGATGATAACCTTTAAGTTGCTAGATCAATTCTTGCCCACTTTAGAGTTTCTATTAAGAAAGTAATGAATTCTCTTTATTGTTTTAATGAATCTTTTTCCTCGCTTAAAACATAAGTATCTATTTGTTTTTTTGTTGTTGTTGTTTGTTTGTTTTTGAGACAGAGTCTCACTCTGTCACCCTGGCTGGAGTGCAGTGGCAGGATCTCAGCTCACTGCAAGCTCTGCCTCCCGGGTTCACACCATTCTCCTGCCTCAGCCTCCCGAGTAGCTGGGACTACAGGCACCCGCCACCACGCCTGGCTAGTTTTTTTTTTTTTTTGTATTTTTACTAGAGACATGGTTTCACCGTGTTAGCCAGGATGGTCTTGATCTCCTGACCTCGTGATCTGCCAGTCTCGGCCTCCCAAAGTGCTGGGATTACAGGCGTGAGCCACCGCGCCGGACCATAAGTAACTATTTGTATGGAAAGTACCATCAGAAGCAGGATGGTAGCAATAATAGACCCTAAATGTGGGAGTGGATGAATTGGAAAGTTACAACGAAAGAAAATGGAGATCCCCTCTTCCCCACCAAACAGGGAGGTAGGCAATCCGTGGAACATCATAGCCAAATAGCTGGGTTAATTATTACCTTATAGTTAGGAATTCAAACCAAGACTATGCACTTGAGGTACGAGATTTTAGAAAATTTTAGAATGTTGATATATAATGACTATATCTTATAGCCTTCAAATAAGGTTACTTTGAACAATTGAACACAAGGATGGATAGAGACTTTTTTTAAAACATTTAAATTCCTTTCCAGCAGCAGCATTCAGATAAGTCTGTCCAAGCTCTAAGAACATTCAATGGCTGCCACTTCCAACACCCCAGAGCTGCAACATTTCTTTCTTTTTTTTTTTCTGTCAGGAAATATTTTATTGTCCTATAAAATAGTATTTTATTGTCCTATAAATATAATAAAATAAATATTATTTTATTGTCCTATAAATATAATACAATAAATATTATTTTATTGTTCTATAAAATATTATTGTCCAATTGTTTATTGACTTGAATTTTTTTGTTTTCATTGGATTTTATTTATATTGAATCTATAGTAAATTTTGTCTCCCCACTTTTCAATCTGTGTATTTGTCTTCTGTGCTTATCTAAAGCTTCTTAATAGTTTGTCTTTTGAGTATGCCTTTATGTGTTTTAAATTTTTATATAGTTGAGCTTTTAAACTTTTGCTATTGTTAAGAGACTAACTTTGGGATTAAGTTTGTCACAGCTGAAAGTTTAAAAATCATTCCCGATATATGTTTCTAGTTATTTACTGTTTCATTTATATGAAATTTGATTTTTGAAGAATAGAATTATTTTCCACATTGTTATACTTATTAGTTGTGGACAAGGCACACTGAAATGTACTACACTATAAAATATCCTTATGGAACAAGACTTTCTAACTGGTAGGCCATGCCACCCTGCCACGCTACACATGAGGATTACCTGAGAGGCTATAGAGAGCTTGCAGCTGTCAGCACCTACAATCTATCTCCATCTGTGGGCATACACCAACATTTATAGCAATGATACAAATGTTATCAGTTTTTGTGTGCCATAAAATGGAAAAAAGACTGAGAATCACCTTTTACTAAAATTATGATCGGAATAATTTGCAAATGAAACTCAAAAAAAGACTCAGAAAAAATACTTTTGATATTTTCTGACCTCAGCAAGGTTATCCATTGCTTAGAATGGGTCCACCATGCAAGGTCATAATTGAACCTCTGGGTAAAGCTCTGTAGCAGTTACAAAAGTACAAATATCAGACTTACAAATTGTTCAATACAGGCATATAATAAGAATTTTTTCAAAAGAATTTCCACGGTAAAATGTTCTTTTTAGTTTTGACATGAGAAAATGCTGCCTCTTAATGTGGAATAATACTGTTTATCTCTTACAGTTGAACTCTACATCAAAAGTTTTTCCTTCCACAACTCCTTTTAGTTCAGCATGATTGGACTCAATTGCTGCTCATTCTTTAGTGTATGGAGTAGTCAATCAGGCAGCTCTGAAAAGTGCTGAAATGAAGCCCTTGAAGTTGAATTTGAGGCTTTGAGAGACAGGATACTTTTCATCTGCATTCCCACTTTTATCATTGTCCTTAAAGTATCTTAGAAAGAAAGACATTAAGATATATGGAGTATAAAATGCTAATCAGGTAAGATGATAAGTGCCATTCAAAGGGAGAGATGAAACCCACATAATGGATCTTGATTATGAATATCTGATAGTTGTGCCAACAACTAGTGCCTTTGGCAGGGAAACAGTACCCGGAGCGAAGCCTGTACCCATTTTTCCATGACAATTCCAAGCATTAATAGATCGTTCACATTCATTTAACCCATTATGTAATTCACATACAAGTGAATTACTAAAGCACACACATATTCATATACAAATGTAAATTATATGTGTTCATCTATACGTAAACATCTGTATAGGTATATACATATACAGCTGTGTAAATATTATTCCACTAATTTTAAATAACACCTTTAGAAATAATTACTGGATGATAAGAAAACCATCTAGTCCCCTTTATTTTCATAACTACGTGACTGATATCTAGAACATATGGCTCTTTCTTCCATTAAAAACATCTTCTAGCTCTTTTCACCATTAAGCGTGTTATAAATATGCTTTTATTTACCTGGAAAATAGGTTCATGATACATTTTTAAAGTGAAAAATTATGTTTATAACAGATATTTATGTGTACATATGTTAATGTGCATAACTTATGTACACATATCTTTCTGTATATTTATATTCATATAAATATGTATGTATTTATACATACGTATACACACATATAAATGTTGATAACTAAATGCTGAATGCACTTAAATGATAACAGTGGGGTCATGGAGTTTTTGATGGTTTTCTTCTTATTTCACACTTTCCTCTATTTTCTGAATTTGATAGTAAGCACATTAATTTTATCATCAGAAAATATAATAAATCTTTTTATTTGAGAAAGGAATATGAAGAGCCACTCTTTCTAGCAACCTCGCGTTTGTATAATTTGGATTTACCTTCTCTTGAAAACAAGACTGAAGTTGTCAAAACTGTAGTAAAATAGGGATCATCCAATGCTATAAAAATGTGCTCCCCTCTTAAGGAAACATAATAGGTAAAACATTCATCTCTTACACATGTTAACTATTTACTGCTCAAGTTAATCCAAGCTCAATTCTCATATTACACCAGCTCACCGGAAAGCAACATAAGTTAATCATTTAACTTTGCCCTGCACAATATTTCTTGTACAAAACTTCAGTTGACATTATGCCTGTGAAAACTGCATATTTTAACCAAAAGACAGCTCAAGGCAACTTAACTTTGGTCTGTGTAGCATTTCCCTTACCAAACATTATTATCTATGTCTTTTCCCAAGGGTCGATGTCTATAATAGTCACCGGTATAACAAATGCAACTGTTTTTTCAATCTGCTAGTACAAGTATTGTCATTATGTTGTTTTGCATTTCTTTTTGGATGCCTTATTAAAAACTATTGTCGGAACTCTTAAATAATAGACATACACATACACACAGTGAAAGCTGTACTATCTGTGGAGTCTTCTTATTTCCCTAGGAGCTGGGAAGCTCAGATACCAGTTTGAGAACTAAGTAGGATTAGCTTGGATGTATTGGTGTAATTTCATCCTCTCTATCTTGTTTGTAACATACAAGGCTTAAAAAATGTTGTCTCATGTTAAAAATATTACATACTTCTTGTATACAAATTTTAAAATGAAGAGAAACATGCAAAAAATATAATTGTTTATAAGCTCACCATTTTGGAAATTATACTGTGAGTTTTATCTCAATGTATATTTATTTATATGTATATTTTGCTTCTCATAAACCTTTTACATACTATATATAAACAACCTGATTTTTACTTAATATATTAACTATTTTCCCATGTTATTAATTAATATTCTATAATTTGTGATGTCTACATATTTTGAAGCATTTAAACCATTTTAATTTTTCTGTTACAATATGGTGATAAACATGCATGCATACAGAAGCATTTCTAGCAATTAGAATCCCAGAGTAACAATGTCTGTTTATTTTTAGGAATTTAACACTATGGGAATCTTTAAAATAAACCTGTAGCTTCAGGAGATCAAGGAAATTATACATTCCCTGTCTGACTCGAGTTCCTAGGGAGACTTACAAACTTTCAACAGCTCTGAGATCACTCATAAGCTGGAAATGAATGGAAGGTCAGTTTCTTCAGTTCTAGTTACCAGTATCATCTCAGAGTATAGCATAAGTTCAGTATATTCCGACTCTCCAGAATCCATGCTTTTTCGTTATGAAAAAGCACAGGAAAACTGTTCTACACTGATGTGACTAATACCCACAGGTACCGATTTCCAATCGGTACCTAGGACACGTCTTTAAATACTATGGACCTATCGTCTGCTGTCCCTTACCATCGGGTATCGCAGGCCTTCATACATATATGTGTGCTTTTTTCTCACTGTAGTATTTTGAAGATTTTAAGTACAATATCTTTTTAGTTGGTCTGTCTTTTCCAGAGCAAGAGGCTTTTGATATGCAATGCATATTGTGACTAGAAATCTATAACTGACTTCTCCAAATTCCTTATTTTTTCAAGATTTGCAGTATTTTCTCTCCTGAAATATTCTATTGTCCTGCTTCAGTCTGGAACAATTGCTTACTAAGACTGTTGCACAGTTATCATCCTGGGATTTCTCATTGCTGCTCTTCTGTTTTGGACCATCTGTATAAGCAATCCCATATATATATATATATATATTTTTTTTTAATTTTAGATTATTTCTAGATCATGCTGGAGCACATCAAAGAGTAGCTTCCAAAGTATGCAAATATCATATATTTATTGAATTCTTAAGTGTCCAAACATCTTTAATTTTGCTCCTACCTGTGATTATTAATTTGATTTCATATATAATCTTGGTTGAAAATTATGTTCTGTCAGAATTTTTTGTCATAGGTCTGGTAATATTTTTATTTGTTCAACTTAAGATAAGGCTCACTCCATCCTGCACTATGCCTGATGTTGATGAATGCCAAGTCATTGTACTATGTCCAATTCATTCAGAGAAGAACCTCTGCATGAAACGGGGACTAAGAGTAGCAGAGGTGTTAACTCTTCATGTTTAGACTTTCAACTTACTTCTAGGTTGATGCAAAAGTAATTGCGGTTTTTGCAATTACTTTTGCACCAACCTAATCTTTTCTGAATCATGTTTCACTTTCTTCCTGTGCTGTCAGGGGGCCTTCAAGTTCTGAGGCTGTCTTGAACTTCTGCTTAGTGAATTGAATCTCTTTGCTTGTACCCTCTGCACACACTTTATCGTCATTTCCTTACCCCAGATGAATCATTTACCACTTACTTCCCCATGTTCTATCTCTTCTATTGATGCCTCTTCTCTTCTCCTCTGTGTTTTTGAGAGTCTATAATTGTTTATATTCTACTCTTTTCTTTTTATTTTAATTGTGTCTAAGGAGGAAGGTTAATCACAAATGTGATTAACCTGCCATTTTTTTTTAGAAAACGGTTTTATGTTACTTTCAGTCACCCAAACATTTCATCCAGTGTGCTAGTTAATAGCTGCTCCTAGATTTTACTTCTTCCAATTATATATTTTATTTATGACTCGACAACTTCTTTACATGATGTAACCTAATTCATCCCTCCATTTATTCAAGTGCCATCTACTCTAATGTGACAAAACATGTCTGACACCCATTTGTACCTGTGGCAGACATATTTATACTTGGAAGCCTGTGTCACAGTCATTAATATGAGATAATGCAAATAGTAAGTAAATTTAAATATTAAAACAAGATACAATGTATTTAGATCACAAAATAAGTAGATGCCAGTAAAATTCACACCAGAATTCACAGTTTGTCTGAGATTACAGGTTAAATGTCTTTTGTAATTATAGTTTGTTGAGATTTCAGCAACTTTAAGACTTGTATTATATTTTGCTATTGTTTGTGATTTATCATGTCTTTTAATTTATATTCTATTATATCTTTAAAAGTTAGACAATTTATGTTTATCTTTTTTATTTTAAAAAAATAAATTTTCTCTACCCATATATTTTATATATTATCATTTATATAAAATTATTATTTCAATCAACAAATTAACTTCATCTCCTGGCAAACCAGATGCACACCAATTTCATATTTGGATTCTTTCACTTCATAATGTATTTATATTGAAGCTAACACTATTTTGTTGTGGTGGTGGTTCTTTTTTGATACAGGATCTTACTTTGTCACCCAAGCTAGAGTGCAGTGGTGCTATCACAGCTCACTGCAGCTTTGACCTCCTAGGCTCAGGTGTCTCTCCCACCTCAACCTTCGAGTAGGTGGGACCACAGATGCATGCCACTACACCCAGCTATTTTTTGTGTGGTTTTTTTTTGCAGAGACAGGGTTTTACCATGTTGTCCAGGCTGGTCTTGAACTCTTGGGCTCAAGCGATCCACCTGCCTCGGCCTCCCAAAGTTCTGGGATTACAAGCATGAGCCACCAGGCCTGGCTGATAACACTATTTATTGAACACTTTGTATATGTCAGATGCAGTGCCAAACACTTTACACAGAGTATTTTATTTAATACTCCTTATCACATAAATATTATTATAACTTGACTTTATAGATGATAAATTAAAAACTAAATATTTATATAATTTGTTCAAGATCACACAGACTGTATTAATGGGATACAAACCAAATGGCGTGTAGTGTTTTTAATTTTAATTTTAATTTTTTTAGAGACAGGTTCTCACTCTATTCCCTAGGCTGGAGTGCAGTGACATGACCATAGCTCACTGTAACCTCAAACTTCTGAGCTCAAGAGATCCTCCTGCCTCAGCCTCCCCGAGTAGCTGAGACTTACAGGCACCTGCCACCACAACTGGCTATCAGACAGCTGGTTTTTATAGCTCAGCCCTTAACTAAAACATTATACCTCCTTGTACAAATCAGACACAAAATAAATGTCTGGTAAATAGATGAATGTAAACTTTACTAATCTTTTTCATCCTTAAGAAGTTCAGACATTTGCAGAATCCACTTTTTACAAAATGTGTAATATTTTAATACTTACTAAGTGTGAAAACCTCTACCACAATTTTTTCTTCAGTTGTATTAATTTGCAATCATTCATATAAAATTTCAATTTATACCCCTTTTAGAGCTTTTTGAAAATTGTAAATGTCTAAGGAGTAGTTTCAGGTAGACAATGACCATTAAATCACATGGTTGGAACGAATGACTGACAATAGATAGATTAGCCAAACACTTAATCTAAATTCTCAAGGTCGGTACTGTTCTTTTTTTTATTTTTTTCCTTTGGGTGGATTTTGTGAAAATAGCTAACATATTACAAGGATGATGTTCAACTACTATTTTAGTTAGAAAGTAAAATCTTATTTTTAAAAATGCATATGCAGTATATAAGTGTTGTAATATAGGTGCTGGAGTCAAACAGCATGAGTACAAATCATAACTAAGTTTCAGTTTGTTCCTCTATAAATTGGAGATAAATAGTTTTGTTTTGTTATCAAATGCAATATTGAAAATGCTTGAAAAGCACTTGATATAGTGCCTCTCTCAGAAAAACCACTCAATTAATGTTAGTGTGCATGTAATATTTAGAAAGATGAAAGAAATTGCAATAATTGATAAGTTTCAAGCAGAAATTCAGTAGCTGAAAAATGCAATTTAGTTACTGAAGAATGTATCAGAGTCCCTTACCAGCTGAATTGATCAAACAGAAGAATTAGTGAACTTGAAAACAGACTATTACAGATAGCACAGTCAGAAAGGAGAAAAGAACAGAGAATAAAAACGAATGAAAGAATGCCTACAAAATATAGAAAATAGCCTCAAAAGGACAAATCTAAAAGCTATTGACCTTAAAAAGAAGGTAGTGAGAAAGGTCAGAGTAGAATGTTAATTAAAAGGAATAATATCAGAGAAAATACCAATTTGTACTCTTCAGCGCAGTGTATGAGTGTAAACCAAGAAAGTTTTGATAGGAAGGCAAACAATAAAATATGGAGCCTTAATCCCCAGTCCAAGAAGTCTTTATTAATTTAGGGAAGTGAAAGATTATTGAAAGTATGTCTTGATATTTTACAACCTTGCCTATGACTGACCTAGGTTACCACTCTACTAAGAATAATATTTTGCCTGGAAATAAACTATCTTGGAGTTCATTTGTAGTACCATGTGGGATATAAAGTTCAGGATCTATCTTGAATTAGGCTCATCTGGATTTTTATAGGTGATTTTGCTTTCTAATCTCTACATGACTATTATGAACAGATCTACTTAAGAGTTGGACTTTATATTTAAAAATAATATATGAATTGTCCTTCCTGCTGATTTACATTTTAGGGGCAGTATTTAAAAAGCTATTTGCACCAGAATTGTTTTCCCCCAAAGATTCACATGTTGAAGTCCTAACCCACAGTACCCCAGAATGTGACTGTATTTAGATAGGGTCTTTAAAGAAGTAATTAAGTTAAAAGAAGGTCATTTGTGTGGCAGCCCTAGCAAAGTAATGCAATCATGGTAAAGCACACCTCAGAGATCCTATCTGCATTCTTACATTATTAATTTTACTTAAAACCTTTATTTTCAGTTATTATACTACTTAAATTTACCATGCTATGAATTTCAGGTTATTTTCTCATTTCTGAGAAAGTGCTCAGTATACAGAGGCTACTCTACATACTTATTATGCATTTTCTTTGTATTTCACTGTAGGGTTAATGCAGATTAAAACTAGGTATTTGAGATATGACTCATTATTGGAAAACCCATACCTCAGTGTGTGATAGATTTGTTAATATTCAAAGGGCCTTAGTGCAATGACAGGAATACATACAACTATTTTTACACTGTCTAATTTCCAATTTGTTTTACCGTTTTTCGAATGATTAACATGCTACTAATAAAACTAATAAATTTGCATATAACCAATGAGATTTCACCAAACATTTAAACTTTACTTAGGAACTTAAACACTGAATTCCTTCAACAAGTCTAGCGTAAGAGTCTCTTAATGCTTTAAATTTTTGTTTAAAAATTAAACAAATAAACATATAATTATTTTAAATTACTCTTTTAAATTGGGTACAAAATGTTAAACCTAAGGAATTTTTTTTTTCTGAGCTCTAGTCTTATTCCTGTTTTTAACTTCTGAGGTTTTAGTTCTTAGATCTACTTGGTATTTTTTTGCACCCGACTTAAGTTCTAGGGTTTCAGTATGAATTGTGGGATTTATGCGACAGGTCCGTGATTCGGATTGGAGCCTTACGTGGGCATTTCAAAATTATTCTTTTTGAATCTGTTTCCAGTTGGACAGATCCCACTTATTTAATTTTGCCAATTTCATCAGTTATTGCACAAATTATTGCCTCTTACATATTAGCTGTGTTTTTATTACAGTATTAGTCATTTCCTCAAAATAATACTTGATTTGAGTCTTCTACTTGTAGGAAGCCTGCTATGTATTTTCTTTATTATAAATAGATAAAACCAAGCTTGCAGCTATGGGTCTGAGTAGAGTCTAAAATGGTGCAGGTGAACCTAAAGCTTTTGGCCTCTTTGGTTTGCTAATATTGGAATATTACTTTCTCATAGTCCAAGTAGAGCGTCAATATTGACATCTATATTTATTCCTACTAGCAATAAATCTTATTATATATTCATGATAGTCATATTCACTAACACAAAAATAAATACCGAATGACTACCCCATGCATGACCCTCTGCTAGGAGCTATGGGATACTACAAAGAGAATTATTCTACCTCCTAGAATCATTATCCTTTAGAAATAAGATAATGCGCATACATACATAACTCTAATGCAAGGCAGGGAAAAAATCGCTGCCATTAGTGAAGTCTAGATAATCCAGAATGAGGTATTTTGCAGGGGAGGAATTGCATTTACTTTTGGCTGGAGGAATCTGAGACAATTACCTCAAGTAAGGTATTGAAGTAGAGATGGTAGTTTTTATGTGTAGTGTGGAAAAAAAAATTCTAGGCCAAATCAATAGTAGGCAAAAAGGCACAGAAGTAGAAACATGGATAAGGGCCTTCTTTGGGAGCAGAGAGGTTTGTTTGCTTAGGGAACAAGGAGGATCAGAAGGTGATTTCATTCATTCATTCATCTAGTATACTTCTAATGGGGGCCTCCCATGTATCAGAATGTGTTACACACAAGGGCTACAAAAAACAAGGTAAAATAAAAGCCCTGTGCTCTAGCATTTTACTTTCCATAACTAACAATTATCCTGTGTCAGGCATGCTTAATGTGCTTCTCTATTATCAAGTACTTTAATCTTCTTAACAACATTATGATATGGGTGCTATTATTATCTCCATCTTACAGATGAAGAAAGTGGCGCATAGAGAAATTAAGATACTTAAAAAAATGTACATAGCTAAAAAGTGGCAGATCCCAAATGTGAACTTAAGAATCTGGTTCCAGAGTCTATTCTCATCAACACTACATTTTGCTATATGAAATAGTGCATTGAAAAATAATTCTCTACACACACAGATAGACAGTGAGTGGCTTTGAATGACAAGCCAAGAAGTTTGACCAAATCAAACTGTAATTTAGAATGATAGTTCTGGGAATAGTGAATAAGACTGATCAGAACAGGCAAGTTTTACAAGTGGGTGGCTACTGCTTTACTCTAGATGACAGATGAAGTTTTGAGTTAGGATGGTTTCTGTGATAATACATAGAAGAGGATTTTATAGGGGTAGATTAATCAGGAATTGAATAAGAGAACATGAGTCAGATATAATGGCTTGGGCATCAGTCAGGAGTCCATAGATTACAAGTGACAGGAAGCCAACTCAAACTTGCTTAAACAAAAATGAAAATTTATTGGTTCATATATTTGAATCAAGATATTCTGTCTCTTGCTATTTCTCAGAACTGCTTTCCTTTTATTGGCTTCATGTTCAGGTAGGTTCCATATATGTGGTGGTGAAGGTGGCTCCTGCCACCTCCACAATTATATTACCCTGGAGGTTAAAAGATTGTTATCAAAAGGGAACATCTTTTCCATACGTTTTAGACACACACACACACACACAAAGGCAGCATATGATTCTCATTGGCTCAGTGTAGGTCAGATGTTCACATTTGGAGCTGGAGGTTGGGTCAGCCCCATTTTAATACCTTGGACTGAGAGACAGGGAAGATTTCCAAAAAGAGTGGGTACAAGACAGATAACAAACAGGTAATCACCTCACACAGTTTTGAGCCTTAGTGATTGAAGGTCTGATAAATGTCCTTTATCTGAAATAAGGCACATAGGGAAAAGAGCAATAGCAGGTTTCAGAATAAAAATTAATCACTTTGAGACAAATTAAGTTTGAACACTTGGATAGAAATGACTAGTAGTGAAAAGTTTGAAATTATGAAACTTGAATTTAGGAGAAAGGTAAATGCTAAATATAAAAAATTAAGACTCAAGTGTGTAGAGAGATGATTGCTGTGAACTGTGAACTTTAGTAGTTTTAAGAAAAATGATAGTCACAAATATCAAAAAAAGTTCCAAAGTCAAGTACTATCATGGAAACCAAGAAGTAAGCATTTCAAGAAGGCATGTTAGTCACCAGGATCAAAAGCGATAGTAAGATCAAAAAGGGCTGATTAAAAACACATTGGTCTACATGAACAGCAAATCAATGGAGACTTTGAAGAGAACAATTTCAAGTAAAATAAAAGCACATTGTGGGGAACTAAAGAATAAACAAGGGAGAATAAAGTGGTCATAAATTCCTAGTCAGTCTACTAAATAGCTAGCTATGTGACTATGATGGTTAGTTTTGTTAAAACTTGACTGCACCAGATATTTGGCAAACCATTATCCTGGGTGTGTGTGTGTGTGTGTGTGTGTGTGTCTGTGTGTGTGCATGTGTGTTTGGATGAGATTAACATTTGAATGAGTAGGCTGAGTAAAGCAGATTTTCCTGCCTAATGTATGTAACCCTCATGCAATCAGTTGAAAGGCTGAAAAGAACAAAAAGCCTGACACTGCAACAAATGAGGCAATGCGACAAGTAAGAGTCAGGTTGACACTGCCTCACTGCTTCGATCTGGGACGTCAGTCTTTTCCAGCTTTGAGAATTGAACTGAAACATTGGCTCTTCTTGCTTGAGCCTGATAGCTTTAAGACTGGATCATATACACCATCAGCTCTCTTTGCTTTCAGGCCTTTGGACTTGGACTGGAACTATATCACTTCTCCTGGGTCTCCAGGTAGCCCACTGCATATGTTGGAACTTCACAGCCTCGTTAATTATGAGTCAATTCGTTATAATAAATGTCTCTCTCTCTCTCTCAATCCCAGTATACATACATATATATATTGCTTCTCTGGAGAACCTAAACATCAGGATATGTCTATTCATTCTTGTCCCACCACTGTAGTTTGAACATAGGTTTACAGCTGGAGAGGAATTTTGCCTCATGAATTATACCTCAAATCTCACCCATACAGAAGTTAGATATATTTATTTTTCATTTTAGTTTTTGTAAGAAGACAGGCTTTTTAATGAGATTTTTTTTCTCTTTTTTTTTTTCACCATTATTTTAGGTTCAGGGGTACATATATAGGTTGTTTTATGAGTAAATTTCATGTTGCAGGGGTTTGGTGTAGATTATGTTGTCACCCAGGTAATCTGCATAGTACTGGATAGGTGGTTTTTCAGTCCTCACCTTCCACCCACCATCTACCCTCAAGTAGGCCTTGGTGTCTATTGTTTCCTTCTGTTTGTTCATATGTACTTGATATTTAGCTCCCACTTACAAGTTAGAACTTGGAATATTTAGTTTTCTCCTGCATTAATTTGCATAGGTTAATGGCCTCCAGCTCCATCCATGTTGCTGCAAAGGACATGATCTCATTCTTTTTTATAGCTGTATAGTGTCTCATGGTGTCTGTGTACCACCTTTTCTTTATCCAGTCTACCACCGATGGGTATTTAGGTTGATTCCATGACTTTGCTATTGTGAATAGTGCTGAAATGAACATACATATGCATTGTGTCTTTATGGTAGAACAACTTATATTCATTTGTGTGTATACCCAATAGTAGGATTGCTAGGTGGAATGGTAATTCTGTTTTAAGTTCTTCGAGAAATTGCCAAACCACTTTCCTCAGTGGCTGAACTAATTTACATTGCCACTAGCAATGTGTAAGTGTTCCTCTTTTCTCTACAACCTCACTAGTATGTGTTATTTTTTGACTTCTTAATAATAGCCATTCTGACTGGTATGAGATGGTATCTCATTGTGGTTTTGGTTTGTATTTCTCTAATTATTGAAGTTGAGCATGTTTTCACATGCTTGTTGGCTACACGTGTGTCTTCTTTTGAAAAGTGTCTGTTCATGTCCTTTGCCCACTTTTTCATGGGGTTGTTTGGTTTTTGCTTGCAAATCTGTTTAAGTTCCTTATAGATTCTGGATATGAGACCTTTGTTGGATGCATAGTTTGCAAATATTTTCTCCAATCCTGTAAGTTGTTTGTTTACTCTGTTGATAATTCCTTGTGCTGTGCAGAAGCTCTTCAGTTTAATTAGGCCCTGCTTGTTAATTTTTGTTTTTCTTCCAATTGCTGTTGGTGTCTTCGTCACGAAATTTTTGCCAGGTCCTATGTTCAGAATGATATTTCCTAGATGATCTTTCAAGGTTTTTATAGTTTTAGGTTTTACATTTAAGTCTTTAATGCATTTTGAGTTGATTTCTGTATAAATGTAAAGAATGTTTTAATCTTCTACATATGGCTAGCCAGTTATCCCAATACTTTTTATTGAACAGGGAGTCCTTTCTATTGCTTGCTTTTGTTGAGTTTGTCAAAGAGGACATTTTATCAAAGAGGACACTTTTGACTTTTGTCAAAGAGGGCACTTCAGAGTTGATGCTGGAATTAGTTAAGAATTTCTGGACGGTTGGAATTGAATGAATATATGTTGCATGTGATGACATGAATTTTGGGGGGCCAGGGTGAAATGCCATGGACTGAAATGTATTTCCTCAAAATGTGTAAGTTGAAGCTCTAGCCCCTAATGTGACTCTTTCTGGAGATAGGGTCTATAGGAGGCCATTAAAATGAAATGATGTCATCAGGGTGGGGCCCTAATCTGATAGGATTGTGGCTTTACGAGAAAAGAAAGTTTTCTCTCTTCTTTCTCTCTGTCTCTCTCTGTTTCTCTCTCTCTCTCTCTCTCTCTCTCTCTCTCTCTCTCTCTCTCTCTCTCTCTCTCAGACACAGTGAGAAAGCAGTCATTTGCAGGCCAGCAAGAGACCCTTCACCAGAACCCAACCAATGAGAAAATATTTTTCTGTTGTTTAATCTACTCAGTTTATGAAATTTTGTTATGGCGTCCAAGCTAAGTTAGTGACCATGGACAAAAACTCAAAATCTCTAAATGAAGATAATAGTAGTAATATCTAGCTTAGAGATTTTACTTGAGGTAATGTTCAAAAAATACTTGACAGAATGCCTAGCAATTTACAAGCTCTTGATGAATGTTAGCTATATGTGTGTGGATGACACAATGAGTAGGAAGGATGTGACGGCAGCAAATGTTTAAGATTATTACAAAAATGTTTGACGCTAAGGAAAGTAAAGAGATATATGTGGAACATTATTTGACGTTTCTCTTATTGAGAGATGGATCCCAGTGGCTTCCAATTCCTGTCTCTCAAACTCTGGAGAAAGCCAGTCACCATGTAAAAATCTCCTATTATGCTGAGACTACCATCTGTGAGAAACTCTACCTAGTTACAAAAGAGCCTTGGGAGGCTGAGGCAAGAGGATTGCTTGAGCTCAGGAGTTCAGTGTTGCAGTGAGCTATGATCCTGCCACTGCATCCAGGCTGGGTGGCAAAGCAAGACCCTGTCTCGAGAAAAAAAAAAAAAAAGAGTCTGCCTGAAGACAGAGATGTCAGATCACACATGTGTGACAATGACTTATGTCTCCACAGCCCCAACTACCATCTAACAAAAACTACATGACAGACCCTGAGTAAAATTTTCCCACTAGAACCAAGTCAACCCACAGTCCATAAAGATAAGAAAAAATTATTGTTTTAATCCAGTATGGTTTGTTTCATAGCAAAAGATAAAAAGAATAGACACTACTTGTAGGAATGAAAAAGTCTAGGGACAATGTTGTTGGCTTATTTTTTTTTGTTGACTTTTGGTTTGATTTATTTAGAAAGTAGACCTGAAATGTACGTAAGCTGAGGATTTGAATTCAGAAGAGAGAGAAACTTAAGTTACAAGAAAGCCTTCACATAATGAAAGCAAGGGCCTGGAAAAGACAATAAAAATGTGTTCAAGATCCTAGGGAAAGGAGTTTGTCTTAGCAAGCAAAATAAATACCTCTTCTTCTGAGAAAGAATAAATGAGAAGAGAAAGAGCAAAGTTTGAGGTATAGAGTAAGAACTATAAGAGGTGTAAGATAGAAACAAATTTTCTCCATTCACTTTAGATTCAGCTACCAAAGACTTACATCATTGGATTTTTTAAAAAGCCTCTTGGCCTCTTGAACGGTGTTTCCTTCTCCTTCTGGGTTCTGGTGATTGGTATCACTTCAAGACCAATCAGAAACATGAACACCCAAGGTCTTGAGCAGACCTCAGCAGGCTTTGGGTCATTTACTACCAGATTCCCTTTTGACCTAAGAATTCTGACTACTGCCATCATTACCTTTTTCTGATACCTCAAGACACTAAAATTATGAGCGGTAGCACTTAAAGATTCCTTTAACACAGGTATTTCATTGCTTTTTGCTCAGGTGAAATGGAAAAATAAAATAAAATAAAATAAAAAAACCTTAGCTATGGAGTGGTGCTTCGGCAGAACTGCCAGTTTATCTTCTGCAGTATGTGCCATGTAAACATTTCTGACTTTATTGCACTACACATGCATCATCCCTGAACGTTTAGTTTCATTGCTGCAGAAGTAATTTCCGAAGGTCATCTTATAACGGATGAAAACCTGAAGGTTCATGCAATTTATGTTCATTTTCGATAATATTGTACAACATTTAGGAACTATCATCTTCCACTCTCTAAATGTTTAATCTAATAATTTCAAAGATAAAATATGTTATCTACCTTTTGGAAGCATATACACTTGCTGTGAAAAATCATATTCAGATATAGGTTGAAAAATGTAAACTACTTACTTTTACTTAACAGATTTTAATTCATCTCAGTCACACTTCACTGGACTTAAGATAGTGAGAGACAAAACAGAATATTTCTAGGAGTGTAAAAGTTACAGGAAAGACTTAACCAAATTCAGAAATGTACTTATTTCGTTCAACAATATATAAAGTAGGGGCTTTTTAGATGTAAGCTCTTGGGCTGCTTTTAAATATACTTCATAGATACATGTTAAGCAATAGTCATCATGCATAAATATTCTTGTCATAAAAAATTCTCCATACTTGGTTATTCACATGTTAGAGGTCATAGTTATAAGGTGCTCCTGATACCTTTTAGCCTCACTTGCTATGATGATACCCCCTGTTCACTCTTTCTTCCTTTAGAGGGGGAAATGACATGCACGGGACATGTCAGCCAGCTCTGTCATGAGTAGTCTGACAGTGATGAAACTGAGTACATCTGCTATCAGCCCCTCTGCACATCCTCTTCTCCCACATCCTCAGTCATTCTCTCATCACTAGCTCTTTCCTATTGACCTATAAATGGACAATATTTTTTCCTACCCTTAGGAAAAAAAAAAACCACTCAACACAAAAGGCTAATAAACCTTTCTTTCAACGTTCCCTCTGTCTGTAGATACTGCTCTGTTTCATCCTCTCTTCTTCTCCAGACACCCTAAAGTTGTTTTACTAACAGTGCCTGTTTCTAGGTCTTTGATCTACTCCTCTTCAGATAGTATCCAATTTGCACTTTTGTGCAAAATTTTTGCTCCTGCATTGGAAAAGGTCAGTGGGGACATTTTGGTTCCCATGTCCAGGTGTCTCTTTTCAGCTCTTAACTATCCAGCCTAATCTAAATCTTTCTTATTATTTTGATTATTAGGCATTATTAATTTTTGTTTTTTGAGATGCAGTTTCACTCTTGTTGCCCAGGCTAGAGTGCAATGGTGTGATCTCGGCTCACTGCAGCCCCCGCCTCCCAGGTTCAAGTGATTCTCCTGCCTCAGCCTCCCCAGCAGCTGGGATTACAGGTGCCCGTAACCATGCCGAACTAATTTTTTGTACTTTTAGTAGAGATGGCGTTTCACCATGTTGGCCAGGCTGGTCTTGAACTCCTGACCTCAGGTGATCTGCCCACCTCGGCCTCCCAAAGTGCTGGGATTACAGGCGTGAGCCACTGTGCCTGGCTATTAGGCATTATTAATGCTTTATTTTCCTACTTCAACCATCCAGTTTCTTGCCATCTCTGTATTCATCTCCTAAATATTTCCCCTCCGCACTCATGTACATGCATAAGCCCATGGTTTTGTCCTCAGGTTTTTTCTTCTTTTTCTTCATACTCTGTTAGGTTGTTCTTGCATTGATATAAAGAAATACCTGAGACTGGGTGGTTCCTAAAGAAAAGAGGTTTAATTGGCCCATGGTTCTATTGGCTTTACAGGAAGCATGGTGCTGACATTTGCTCAGCTTCTAAGTAGGCCTCAAGAAGCTTCCAATCATGGCAGAAGGTGAAAGGAGAGCAGGCACATCACATGACAAAGGCAGGAGCAAGTGATAGAGAGTGGGGCAGAGGTGCCATACATTTTTAAACCACCAGATCTCACATGAACTTAGAGCAAGAGCTCACTTATCACCAAGGGGATGACCCAAGTCATTCATGAGGGATCTGCCGCCATGATCCAAATGCCTCCCATCAGGCCCAACCTCCAACAGTGGGGATGATAATTCAACATGAGATTTGGTGGGGACACACATTCCAACTATATCACTCTACTTGGGTGATCTCATTAAATCCTATGGGTGTCGACTACCATCAACACCCCAGGTCACCTGAACCTCTCTTTTTAGTGCCTATTTACCTCCTTAAATATTTCCAAACACCTCAGCTCCTCAGACTTCATGCTCCTCTTCTGTATACTCTCTCAGTTAATGAGTTATCCATTTACTTAATTTAATATCTAGAAATCTACCTATTATCTCATTAACTTGAACTTTATCACCAACATTCTACCATTTTTGACATGCAAAAACAGCAATCTTCATAGTTCTCAACGTAATTGTTTTTATTTTCTTTTCCTCTTGCTTATCTAGCCAGTCACCAAGTCCCATACATTTTACTTCAGAATGCCTCTAAATACATTCATTCTTCTGAGTTTTTAACTTCCACTGCCATAATTCAGACCTCTTAATAGCTTATTTACATTATTGAAATAATATTTTAATTGGTGCTTTTGGGTCTATTATTTCTCATTTTGAAAGTTTTTTGAATATTCACATTACATTGTCTTTAAGATCAGAGGACTATGCGCGATGGCTCATGCCTGTAATCCCAGCACTTTGGGAGGCCGAGGGAGGTAGATCACCCGAGGTCAGGAGTTCAAGACGAGCCTGGTCAACATGGTGAAACCCTATCTCTACTAAAAATACAAAAATTAGCCAGGCCTGCTAGCGCACATCTGTAATCCCAGCTACTCAGGAGGCTGAAGCAGGAGAATCGCTTGAACCCAGGAGACGGACGTTGTAGTGAGCTGAGATTGCACCATTGCATTCCAGCCTGGGTGACAAGAGCAAAACTCCGTGTCAAAAAAAAAAAAGAAAAAAAAAGAATAGAGAACTGCCAACAAAGCCTCTATGTCTTTATGTCTTGCATGTTCCTATACTGTAATATTTCTTTTCAGTATCATGGCACTCATGTCCTAGTTGTTGATAACTGCCACAACTTCAATAGTAGCCATCCTCAGGTGCCCCACAAGACCTGGTCCTACTCAGACTTCCTACCATCAGACTTGCATGAGTAGCTTGCTGGCTCAGGAACATATTTTGCCCTGTAGGGCTTCAGATAGTGATTCCAACGTGAACATCTCTCTTATTCTTCCTCTCTTGGGGATATGTAGCTCATTGTACACATATCACCTGCTCCATGAGATCATAACTGATGTCTTCTCCTTCCACTAACACCATGAGAAAATAAATCACTCCTTTTTTGTGTATATTATAAACAGCTCTATTGTAGTAATGGTCACATTGTATTAATTATAGGTGTTTATTTATTTGAAATTTCTGCTATAGCATTGGCTCTTTTTGTGTCATAGACTAACTACTTAAATGTTAAATGAATTAATTAATAAGCAGATGAGTAAATGAATATGTGTTAGTCCATTCTCCTGCTGCTATAAGGACATGCGAGAGACTGGGTAATTTATAAGGGGAAGAGGTTTAATTGACCCAGAGTGGCGCAGAGCTGGGGAGTCCTCAGGAAACTTACAGTTGTGGCAGAACAGGAAGCAAACACATCCTTTTTCTTTTTTTTCTTATTTTATTTTATTATTATTATACTTTAAGTTTTAGAGTACATGTGCACAACGTGCAGGTTTGTTACATATGTAGACATGTGCCATGCTGGTGTGCTGCACCCATTAACTTGTCATTTAGCATTCGGTATGTCTCCTAAAGCTATCCCTCCCACCTCCCCCCACCCCACAACAGTCCCCAGTGTGATGTTCCTCTTCCTGTGTCCATGTGTTCTCATTGTTCAATTCCCACCTATGAGTGAGAATATGCGGTGTTTGGTTTTTTTTTCTTGCGATAGTTTACTGAGAATGATGATGAGGCCAGCAAGGAGAAGTGTGCGAGCCGAGTGAAAGGGGAAGCCCCTTATAAAACCATCAGATCTCATGAGAACTCACTCACTATCATGAGCTCACTCACTGTATGGGGGAAACTGCCCCCATGATTCAATTACCTCCCACCAGCTCTCTCCTACGATATACAGGGATTATGGGAACTAAAATTCAAGATGAGATTTGGGTGGAGACACAGCCAAATCATATCAGAATAAAAATTGGAGGTCCCTTCTGTGTCTCAGTTTTGTTCATTCCCACATGAATGAGACATGTCAGTTGGCTTTGTCATGATTAGTCTGTCAGCAATGACACCATGATTAGATCTGCAAGTCTCCTAAAAAGAATATTACCACCTGCTGGTTCAGTTGTACCAACTGTTTGGAAATGTTTTAAAAAAATAACTGGTATTTATAATGTGTTTTATAATTTCCAAAGTCTTCCTTTATAAACTACCTCAGTCACTTTTGCAACAACTCCATAAAGTAGGCACTGTTATTGGGAGACACTCAGAGAAGTTAAAGAACTTATTCAAGGACACACAGGAAGACAGGGACAAAACTATGAAATCATCAAGGATTTCATACTTTATCTTGGTATTTGTACTTTGGATTCAGAATGCCTGGATTTAAATCCCAGGTCTCCCACTTAGTAACCCTAAAACCCCTTTCATCACCCCTAAAGTCAGGATGATAGAACTACCTACCTCAAAGGTCCTTGTGAAGAGTAATGGACTTAACATGTCCACAGCTCTTAACAGGGTGCCTCTCATATACTTAGTACTCTACAAATGTTATTTGTTACTATGGTGATGATGTTATCGGTCCTCTCTATAAAAGAGGTACTGGACTGGTAGCCTAGATAGAATATCTCTCTCAACAATTAATTTAAGAGGCTAAATTCATAAAAGTATGTAAGTCCGGGCAATATCACAGATGATAGTAAGATAGTAAAAGTCAAATAGATGCATAGTTAGTGATTGGAACCACCAATCACTCCTGCAGTGGTCGTTCCTAGATAACCTGACCCAAGCTAATCATAATCTAGTCTCATGAAACTCTTGTGAGAGACTAAGAGCCAATGTCAAGGGCTGAATTGTGTTCTCTCAAAATTTATGTTGAAGCCCTAGTCTCTAGTACCTCAGAATATGATTCTATTTAGAGATAGGACCTTTGTAAAGAGCTGATTAAGTTAAAATGAGGCTGTCAGCCTAGGTTCTAATTCAATCTGACTGATGTCCTTATAAGCAGAGGAATTTGGACATACAAAGAAAGAACAGGGATGCACATGCACAAAGGAAGGGCCACGTGGCAATACAGTAAGAAGAGAGCCATCTGCAAGCCAGGAAGAAATGCCCCAGAAGAGACCAAACCTGTGAACATGTTGATCTTGGACGACTAGTCTCCAAAACTGTAAGAAAATACATTTCTGTTGTTTAAGCCACCCACTGTGTGGTATTTCTTAATACAGCCATGGCAAATAAATACAGAGACTCTCACTCATTGTTATCCCACAGTTTAGTCAGGTGGTAACTAATGTGTGGAAAGATTTAGTGACTTGCACCAGATCACACAGATTCTGACAGAGCCATAAACATGCCAATTCTACCTCAGGGATAGAGTTTGCGCTTCTGCATTAAATGCATTCAAATGCAGTAGGAAATTCCAAGTGTGAGGAACTACTATGCAAAGAGCTAGTCCTTGTTACTTACAATCATACTTTAACCTAGGGTATGTTCAATTTTGTCTAGATTATGCTTCAATCAATAGTCCTGTCTACTAATTGGCTTAAGAAACAGGTTCCTAGGCTGGGCATGGTGCCTAATGCCTGTAATTCCAGCAATTTGGGAGGCTGAGGTAGAGGATCGCTTTGAGCCAGTGAGTTAGAGACCAGCCTGAGCAACATAGTGTGACCCCCATCTCTATGAAAAAAATTGAAAATTAACTTGGCATAGCGGTGAGTAGCTGTAGTCCTAATTACTCAGGAGGCTGAGATTGGAGGATTAATTGAGCCCTGGAGGTCAAGGTTTCCTGTGATCCCACTACTATACTCCAGCTTGGGGGCAACACAGTGAGACAGTTTCAAAAACAAAAGAAAGAATGAAAAAAGAAACATGTTTCTTGAACTTCTGGAGCATTTTCATAAGCAATTAAGTCCTATGTTAAATGTGAATGATCCTGGATCAAGTCTGCAGAGGCTGTATCATGGTCAATGATATCACCAATTTAATAAAAGAATAACTGAACTTTTAAATAATTATAATATTAATACATTGAATTTATAAGGCATTGTTAACTGCTCCAAAGCTTTTTATTTCTCCTATTTAAGATTTTATGAGGAAAAGCCAATTCTTAAAAACTATATCCAACTTTATTGGTACTTTATAGAAAGAAAGAAATGAAAACTTCAGGTGATAACAGATCTGCTTTTCCACGATTATTTTTATCATATGAAAGACACAAGATGGAAGATAAAGCAAGAATTTATGGTGGTGGCAATGTGGTGAAAAATGTTCTTGAGTAGGAGCCGAACTACTATACAATTTTCTTGAGAAGACCAGCAGTCTTCCAAATGAGATATTATCTGCTGTCACTTCTCTGAAAAATATAGCACCTGCTTCTGCATGTTTCTTCTTCTCTGAACAGTTCTCCTGGGTGAGACGTGAAAGGCGGCCAGCAGAAGCAAACAATTTGCCTTTGTTTCCTTGGATCAGCAGCCCCTGACCTCACATTCTTTCAAATTCAGAGTTGAGCTGCTATTGTCTAGTTTTCAGAGAGTTCCTCTATTGTTCA
This sequence comes from Homo sapiens, assembly GCF_000001405.40. Lineage (NCBI taxonomy): Eukaryota > Metazoa > Chordata > Mammalia > Primates > Hominidae > Homo > Homo sapiens. The sequence goes on from NC_000003.12 coordinate 175,512,947, forward strand.
GACTTCCCTGTTTGCATTGCAGAGTGAAAAAAACATATTCAGAAGCAACTTTACAAGAAGCTACTCTAAAATATACATGCAGTTATTACTTATTGAACATGCTGTTCTGAGCTCAATGCTGCCCCAGTTTCTGTGTGCTTCTTATTTCAGTTTTTCAGGAAGTAGAAGTGAATAGCAGTGTACACAGTCACAATTCACTCACTTACTTATTTAATGAATATTATTAATGGAACATGTTCATTAAACGTGCAGGGTACAATCCTGGAGACGAAAAGAAAATAAAGATCCTAAAAGAAAAACGGTCTAGACCTGAACTGCTCAACAGTGTAGCCATGAGCCATATGTGGATTTTAAAGTTTAAATTTAAATTAATAAAAATTAAATAAAATGAGACATTGAGTTCCTCAGTCATACTAGCCACTTTTTGCGTGCTCAAAAACCATGTGTCAGTGACTACTCTGCAGAGCAGCATAAAAGAACATTTTCATTATTACTGAAAATTATTTTCTGGTCTAGTGATTAGCATATCCAATAATGTGCATATTCTGATATAGCACAGTTTAATTCTGTTCATGATAGGCAATACTATGGAGCGATCCAACCTATTTTAGCCAAGGTAGGGAAAAAGTAATTGATGAATATATGTAAAAAACAAGCTTTTACATTTATGAAATATGTAAAAGACTGTACATAAAAGATCTTTTATTTGTTCTGTCCTTTCTAAAATGGGAAATATGATTTACAGTGGGCAGTCTAAGGGATGCCAATGTCATAGTACAATAGACAGCAGCGTGTGGCATCTTGGATCCCAAGGACTTCAGAAAGATGTACATTAGTAGCCAATACAGTTATTAAATTATACAAAGGGTCATCAAGCTTTCTCCAAGGTCAAGGAGTCCTGTCATAGTAGGCAAATAAATCTATAATAGGTGGTCAGGCAGACATCTGCCTTTCCAAAGGGTGAGAGGATCAAAAATGTAAATATGGGAGACAAAGCTAGACATAAGAACCAGATGTGAGCAGTGAATCAACCACAGGGCAATCTACATGGATTCCATTGAACAGACAGCTTGCTTTCTCTTCCAAACGTATTGATTACGAGGCTTTACAAGTGACCTCAAGGTCACTCTTTTCCAGAAACAAGATGGGTAACTTTGGGTTGTATAGGGTCATGGTTAAGATTAATGTGGTAAATGCAGCATGATAATTGAATGCTTCTATAACCCTTGTAATTCAATTAATTTCTTAATAAACAGTTGTAGTTATTTTTCTCTCATACTTTTCTTAGTGCACATCTATAAATTCATTACTTGTGGATTTAAATGGTAGGTTATGTTGTTAGACAATGAATATTATCACTAATGTTGGAAAATGTATAGGTTTATTAGAATTTATAATGTATTAACTATAACATAATGAAAGAGAAAATGATAATATTCACTCTGAAAATATGAGGGTTTTCATCACATTTTTCATTGTTTTTATCTTCTTTATGAGTACAAAAGACATTTTAGGGGACATTATGTATGGTTATTTCTGCATTAATCACTACAGTGGTATTATGCCAAATCTCATGAGCTTATCAAATTTGGATTTGTGATCTCGCTCCTTTACCTGTTTCTGTATTATCCTCTCTTCCGGTTGGAATGCACCAAAAGTGCATGTAGGGGAGATATGGAGAAAAGTGCAGGAAACAGTTACAAGCAGCGGTGTGTTGTCTTTGAGAAAGAACTCCTGATAAAATCTGAAATATGGGCCACACAAGCACACAGAGTCTGTGGCAATTATTAAGAGGCACACTAGAGGCAAATAAAAGAAGGAAAACCAGATATAAATGAGAAGTGGAGTTAATACTGAAAGGAATAAAAAAAGTTTCAAATATTAGTTCTGTGTGTATAGACACATGTCAGCAGTTAGGATTTTGATATTTTCTAAGCAGATTCTGCCTGAGTGTCTAGTCTCTATAGCACAGTGTCTCTTCACTGGGGATGAATATCTGAATTACCCATGGAGCTATAATATATGTATAAATCCCTAAGCTCCACCTCCAAGAAATTCTGAGATATGGTAGCTTGTATCCCATTTAGGCCTGTGGAGGCGTCTCTGTTTAAAAGCAAGTGCTTCTTTGCCTACCTCTTGTAGAACTATCAAAGGATTCAATCTGTGTCATGGTGTTTGATCAATTTTCTCTTCTTCAAATCATGTAAGTTCAATTTTTGTGGATTTGTAGAAAGCTAAAGTAATGTTGCAACAACTTGTTCCATTAAAAATAGGCTATAAATTAGAGCAAGAAAATTCTGTCACACAGAAATAGCTAGTATCAAACAGAGCCTGTGGTTTCTGCTGGTAGAGGCCTCAACAAATAGTCTTGCTCATGACTCCTCTGCTTCTTGCCATTTCTCTGCAATCATTGAGAGACTGCCATCCTGCCTTCAGAATACAGCCAAGAAAGGCAATTTAGAGGCTGATGTTTTGATGATGAATCTTATGATTATTGATCCTAGCAATTTGGTATCTAAATTAGCTCAATGTTATTTGTGGAACTGAAAGGAGTAGTGTTCTGTACATGGTCTTAGTTGCAAACAACAAAAGAGAATTCTAGCTAATTTTTGGGAAAAAAAAAAAAAGCATACTGGATAAATACACAACTGCCCAAAGAGTCTTGTTAGAAAGCTGGAGGACCCAGCTCTGAATTAGGCACAAACCAATGAAAGTTGGGCATCAGATAAGCCGGCAAATCAAATCCACTAAGACAGCCTGGCTGGATGGACGTTACAGGCACTGGTACAGCCTGGAACTCTCCAACAGCTTCTCATTGCTGCTGTGAATGATTTCCCAGTTGTTTCTCTATTTTTTTCCTCTCTCATGAGACATAGTTCCAGGAGGGAACCTCTGATCACTAAGGCTATATCATATGCCTGTACCTAAGTGTGAGAGCAAGATGAAATGTGTTTGGTTGCTTCAATTTTTACAGGGGAAAATGCGGCTCTAATGAACATCTTTCACTTCAAAATCCTTTTAAAATAAAGCTGTTTTATTTTAAAATAAATAAAGGAGAGGTATAGTCTTTAGGGAAAACGTTTATGACAGACAATACTCATAATGCCCATTGGCAATTACCATTGACTAAACTGAGCATGTGATACATTTGCCCCTTTGACAGTTAGGAAACAAAGTCTCAAAGCTGCATGGAATGTGTGGTAATTGCTGAGGCCATTTGTAACATTGATTGTTGTCACTAACATGCATAAGAGTTGACTGTAAAGAAACACCAGCAAACAGAAAGTTCTCTAGGACTATGAGATAGCCCTATTGTTTATCTTTTGTTTAAATATTGGCCCATATCTCTTCAGGCTGAGAAGCAGACTTTTACCTTGCTTACATAGGCAAGGAGAAGGTATTGTCTTAGGAGTAGAGAAGAGTTGACATCAAGCTTTAGTGTTTAAGTGTATTGATATGTGTGAGATAAGTGTGTGTGATAAGCTATGCAAACTACTTCGTGATACCAGTGTGATCCAAATGTGCACTGTTAGTTGAGATTTTCTAATTTAAAGGTCGGGGATTCAATAATCAATCCCCTTTCTGAGATTTTAGCCATGAACCTGAAATTTTCAAATAGTAAAGGAAAACTGATATTGGAACAACTTATTTGCCAATTATTGTTTTGAATGCCAGTTAGAAGAAAGAAAATACCGTGAGGAGTATCTTTATATTTTAGAAATGGACACAATTTGAACTATGGATGGCTCTAAATTGCGATCACTTTACTCAATTCATTCTCTGTGGATTGTGAAATTTTATTCAGTTTTAATGATTTCAAATATAGCCATAAGAGGACTCAATATTTTCTTTTAATGAACTTCCCTCCAAAACCTGGACATCTACTTGTTAGTGTCACTTCTGTTAACTCTAAGTTGTTTTTAAGTAATTTTCTTACCATCTCTGTAAGTTTAACTTGCCATACCAGCCTTGCCCACCTTATATGTGCCACTTTTGGAGATGATACAATTGTGTAGCTAATTTTTATGGGCCTGTATCTGTATCTATTTGTCTTTCTAAAATTCTTCAAGAACAACTCTTCTTTCAGTACAATAAAATAGTCTTTAATTTGTGTTTATGTAGTAGTATTTTTAATAACAATTCAATCTTTACCTATTTTAACACATGGGTTGATGACATTGTATCCCAGTCTATGCCCTTTATATTTCTTCCAAAGTTTCTACTCCTAAATACATAATCTTCATAAGACTTATAATGGCTCATATCTGCTCCAATTTATCAGTAGGTGGACAAACATTTCACAGTGGCTTTTACAGTTTTGTAAAAGGATGAGGTCCAACTATGATTTTAAGTGAATAATTATTTTTCATGACATCATGCATTAGTTATCTTTGAATGGTCCTTATTGTTCAACAAGGGCTAAATAAAGATTCAAAATATTTTTTTCTTTATTCATGTCAATTTAGAAAATATTTTTTCTTACATATTTCTGATATACAAGAATATTACAGAATTAAAACTAAATTTTTGACACATATCAATGCATCATATAAATACATTTCATGGCAAATTTGCTATTTGTGTTATTTTCTCCAATTTTAAATTTAAAGATTACTACAATTATTTAATTAATATAGAAAACCAGTTACTAGCCTACAATTAGAATTGACAACAAAACAGGTAATGAAGTGGCATCGTTGTCTGTGGTAAATCCTCGAGGTTCATCATCTCATGCCAAGAAGATTAAGGGCATGGACACACACAAGGAGTGAGTTTAGGAGTAGAGTCTCCATAGGAAAAAGAAAGATAAAGGAAAACGGCTCTCTCTCTTGAGAGAGAGAAGGGCACACAAATGGGAATTCCAGCCCGTGGCGGAGTACACCGGATTTTATAGACAGGCTTGAGGAGGCAGTGTCTGATTTACATAGGGATCGCAGATTGGTTGAACCAGGTGTGATATTTACATAATGCGTGGGGAAGGCTGGCCACCCCACCCTAATCTTGTTATGGAAATGGGCTTTCCACTTGGCCAGTGCCATGTTGTCTGCTTTTTGCTGTACGCGTGGCTGGAAAGGAGGAGAGAAGATGGAGCTGCCGTTTTGAACATGCCTAGTCCCAGATAGCCTTTTCTTAGTGGCACAACTGTCAGCATTCACCCACGCAAACTTCTAGGTTGCTCGTCTATGTTTACATCTCGATTTACAGGCTGCTCTTTGTTAGAAAAGAAAATGATTTTGGGCTGCCTTTCATTAAAAGGAAAATCTTCAGAGGACTTCCTTACCCTCAGTATCTGCCTAAATAATTTCTTCTTAATTCCTGTATCAGTAGGAACTGCATTCATGAGCTTCATCCTCTTTCCTAAATTTTCAAACAACAATTAAACCAGATGGCCTCCCATTCCTAAGACCCATAAGGCAGATCCTAAGCAGGAAGAGCACCTATAATTCTTTACGTCTTCTTTACTCTTATAGCATGTCATTCAGTGTGGCCACACAAATATGTATACATACTGTCTTAGTCCATCTTTTGTTATTTATAACAGAATATATGAAACTGGTTAATTTATTTAAAAGGAAATTAATTGCTTACAGTGCTGGAGGCTGAGAAGTCCAAGGTCATAGGGCCCCATCTGGCAAGAGCCTTCCTGCTGATGGGGACTCTCCAAGTCCCGAGGTGGTACAGGGCATCACATGGTGTGGGGGTCAAACACGCTAGTTCAGGTCTCACTTCCTCTTTTTATAAAGCCACCAGTTCCACTGCCATGATAACCCATTCATCTATTAACCCATGAATAGATTAACCCATTCATGAGGGCAGAACCTTCATGCACTAATCACCTCTTAAAGGTCCCACCTCTCAATACTGCCACAGTGGGGATTAAGTTTCGTAGATCAAAAAATCAACTTACAAAAGGCAGATTAATAGGAAAAAGGTCATACAAATTGTTTTAATATGTATACATAGGAGCCTTCAGAATAAAGACCCAAAGATACAGGGGTAATTATTCATGTTTATGCTTAGGTTCAACAAAGCATTGATAGCTTTGTGGAAATATGATTGAACAAAATGGCTGTGATCTAATGTTAATAGCCTGACTGGGGAACCCAGTATGGCCTATCTGTATAGATTCTTCTTGGCCTCTCTGAGCATGTATTCCTTCCTTCTGGGTATAGAGCAGGGACCCCTCTGGAGTGGGGCTCTTATAACCTACAGACAAACCAAGTAGGTCAGATTTTCTTTATGGCCAATTTGTACTTAGAAAGGCAGAGGGAAAATTAGAATGATATATTTAGGTTTTATATCTGACTTTTAGAAAAGCGGTTCTAGTTTCTCTTACACACTTTAGGGAAGAGAGATTCTAGTTGCTATGGCTAGACTCAGGGGAGAATGGGACTGAGACAGGAGAGCAGGAGGGTGGAGAAAAACTTTTGCTTCTGAGGCTGCCACTGAGGCCTTCATTTTAGGATGCTGTTTTATAAGCCCCAATAGTTTCAACATGGGTTTTGGAAGGGTCATTCAAACCATAGCATGCACACATAAATGGGGGCACACAAATACACATAGAAATATGTCCATTTGCAGAATAGAGACAGACTTGAACACATAAAACAATATATATTTATTGAGTTAATAAATAGAAACATTATGGAGGTGTCCATTAAGAGGTAAATGATCTGACTTGTACATTAATCATGATGATGAAATCCAAATGGTTAGAATGACAAATAAAATTGAATCCACTTAATTCCTATTCACCGAAATAAAAGATAAGGTGTATCACTAGAATGCTATAAAAGAAATTTCCTGTATATACTTTAAAATACTAGAATTATAAAATATTAAAATACAATGCTTCTGGTTACTGTCAGTACAGTTATCCACATTACATTCATATCTTTTCTATTATCTCTGAAACTTTACTATTTTTGACCATTTCACTAGGATACGCAATTAATGACGTCAAATTTCAAATCAATCTGTTTTTATACTTTTTAGTGATTCTGTAGAGGCTTAGTGTTAGAATCTTAGACAAATGAATAAGATGTAATTGAAGACTTATCTGTGGGTTTTAATTATTCTTGCTAATGCTATAGTTTCTATTATAATAGATAATTAAGGGAGACATGTCTTAGTAACAGCACATGTGGAAAGCTCTAGAGATTTTATTTGGCAACAAGCTAAATATGAAACAACAATGCTACATAAGTGTTAATAGGCTAACTTTACCTTAAATTAATAAACTTTATATAAAGGAATAGGGATGGAAGTCACTCAATCTTTCACTATTCTTATTATACCACCTGTGGAGCATTTGCATAAATTCTAAAGAATGCAATTTTTTTTTTTTTTTTTTTTTTTTTTTGAGACGGAGTCTCGCTCTGTCGCCCAGGCCAGACTGCGGACTGCAGTGGTGCAATCTCGGCTCACTGCAAGCTCCGCTTCCCGGGTTCACGCCATTCTCCTGCCTCAGCCTCCCGAGTAGCTGGGACTACAGGCGCCCGCCACCGCGCCCGGCTAATTTTTTGTATTTTTAGTAGAGACGGGGTTTCACCTTGTTAGCCAGGATGGTCTCGATCTCCTGACCTCATGATCCACCCGCCTCGGCCTCCCAAAGTGTTGGGATTACAGGCGTGAGCCACCGCGCCCGGCCCAAGAATGCAATTTAAGATGGCTATATATCCAGAAGAAAGTGAGTAAAATAGTGAATGCATCTGAAATTGCAGGATGTGAAATATAATTGAAGTAACTGATCTGTCAAGCCTAGAGTAAGAACTTAGGATGGATAAGAAATCCTCCCTCACATATGGCAAAGGGATTAGATGTATTCTTATAAATTAAGGAGATATAACAAGGACAAATGCAGAGCATTAGAAGAGAGTGTTTGTTGATTGGCCAAGAAGAGTGAAAAATCCTCTGCCATTTATAGATGTCCAAAAGAAAGAAGAAGAAGAAAACAAAGCCCTACTTTTACGGGTAAAATTAGAATCAAGGATTAGAATCTAAAATTTCGTGTTCTGTTGGTAATTTGAGAGAGAGATGATTGTCTGTCATATAAAAGTTGAATAGTGTCTCCCTTCAGCCCTAGAGAACACAGATTTAGAATGCTTCCAACAAATAAAATCTAAACGTATCAGTTTCATAATATTGACAATGCAAAAATCTGGAAACATTATAAATTAAAAGCTAATATATCTAGTATGATGAAATATCTACAGAGACTTTATTTGTCTCAAGGGAGTATACATTTTTCCCTTTTTTATAATTTTCTGAATATTTAAAGTGAATATGATTTCTTACAATCTGAATAAAATAATAATACTATTTTAACTTGAGACAAAAGAAATGATATTCTATCTTTGGAATGAATCTTGTAGTTAATATTAATTTGTATATTTCTACAGTTCTCAAAATAAATAGATTTTTGTTGTTCAAAATATATACAATTTAATTAGTTCTAACTTTTTTTTTCCAGTGAATAAGCACAATATTCTGCTTTCGATGCTAAGTGGTTAAGTATCTATAGAAGGTGCTTTGGGTTGAATTGTGTTCCCCAGAGAGATATGTTCAAGTCCTAACTCCCAGTACTGATGGATGTTACTTTATTTGGAAATAGTCTTTGCAGATGTAATCAAGTGAAAATGAGGTCATACTGGATTAGGGTGGGCTCTAATCCAATAACTAATGTCCTGGTAGTTAGAGAAATTTTAGACACAGAGACACACACGGAGATGGCCACGTGAAGACAGGGGCAGAGATTAGAGTGATGCTTCTACAAGCTAAGAAGTGCCAAGGATTGCAGGCATCCACCATAAGCTAAAATGAGGCAAGGAAAGATCCTTGCCTAGAGCTTTCAAAGAGAAATGTTGGGATCCAGAACCTGAGACAATGAATGTCAGTTGTTTTAAGCCATGCAGTTTGCAGTGCTTTGTCACATCAGCCCTAGGAAATAAATACGGAAGAAAATTCTTGATGATAGATTTTTATTAAATAGGAAAATTCTCAGGATACTATTAGTAAGAAAAACAATAATCAACATTTTTCTGCTTTTTAACTAAGAAACCAAGTCATTATTTAAAAATGTCTTTCCCATATTATTTTCCTTTAGTGCATGATATGAAGATTGTATTTAATTTTCCTATTAGCTATAAAAACAGTTGATTGAATAATCAAATATTTTAAACTAAAATCTCAATAATTTGGAGATAAACATCTCTAAGTCTTTGCTTTATTCTCTTCTAAGCACATTATTTAAAATTATATTTATTTTACATATATATTGATTTACTATTCTTCACTATAATGTAATTTCATTAGTTGTTTTAATATTGGCTGGTGAATAGAAAATACTAACAAATATTCGTTGAATGCTCCTAATATATGAACATCAGCAGCTTCAGGCTTAGCATATACAGTAGGACAAAAAGTTTCAACTGCCTGGGTTGACTTATGAAGGCCCCACTGAGGTCATGTCCCATACCTGAAATAATATCTGGAGCAGTGAAATGGCGTGCGCTGAAATGGCATGCTCTGGGTTAGTGTGCTTTTCAGTGGAAACAAAAGGTGGGTCAGACTAGTGACATCTCAGTGATCAGAATAGGAGGTGAGATATGAGTTCTCAAATAAAATGTGGTCTGCTCTAAGTAAGATATAGTTGAAAGTTGCTAGTCATGTAAAAACAACAAATCTAACTACAACAGCCTTTGTTAATTAAATACTTTTTCTCATACCTGATCTCACTTCTGATATTGTCTTCTCAGTACACATTTAGTATACAACCTCTAATTTTAATTTAAAACTTGCCTGCTTTCTCCACAAAAAAGTAATCTGAGTTATTTTGATTTTGATTATGGAAATTACTTTTGGTAAACTGTAGTTGGGGAGTCTTTTCTCTCATTTCAGTTATTTCTATCAACAATATTCAATTTCTCTACATATCCCTTAAAATCATCCAACTGTATATAAGGTTCAATTGCAAGAAATAAACATTTATGAAAGTTTTCCTGGAAGACACATAAGCTACCATTCCTTTAAACGAGAAGTTCTTAACCTGGGTACACAGGGAATCCATGAGCCCTGAAAATTACATGTACATTTTTGGTCTACATATGGGATTTTTCTGGTTAAAGAATCCATAGCTTTTGACAGATTCTTAATGGAATCAGCGGTTCTACCAAGTAGTGAAAATTAATTCTCTAGAGACATAGTTATCAAATAGGGGTGATGTTGCCGCCTGGAAACATTTGGCGATTTTATTTAGTTGTAATAACTGGAGAGTCAGGAGTTGTTAGAACTGAGGAGTGGAAGTTATTACTGGCGTCTAATGGATAGAGAGCAGAAATGCTGCTAAATATTCTAAAATGTATCAGACAGTCTTCCACAACACAAATTAATCTTCTTTATAATGTCATTACTAATGTCACAGTTTAGAAACCTTGCTGTAGATAATCTCATATTCTGCCCCTTTCTACCCAAAATTAATACACTATTTAGAAAACTTGCTCTAGATAATCCAATATTCTGCACCTTTCCACCCAAAATTAAGACACATAAACAGTGTTATAAATAAAGTTTTGGTGCCGCAAAAGAAATAGCACTCGAATATAAAATTTTCTTTTTAATCCTCCGCACGGCAAGTTACTTCTCTAGAAGCGAAGCAATGGAGCAATGGTGAGCGTACACTTGGACAAGGGAGGGAAAGGGGTTCTTACCCTGAGGCGTGTGGCCCCTGCTGCTGTGTCCTTCCCCTTTTGTCTAGGGTTAGACCGCACAGGCAAAACTAATTCTGATTGGCTAATTTAAAGAGAGTGACGGAGCGAGTGGTTTGGCAGGAAAAATGGTTATGACAGAGCAGGTAATCGGTATGAGTCAGGGTGGAGCAGGTAATTGAAAAAGTTTGCTTTATGAGGAAGTTAAGTTTAAAAGTAGAAGACAAAGAATTGACATACTGACATATTGATTCTTTGAAAAGAAATTTAGAACTCATATCTAAGTGCAAAATACTTGAACTGCATTCTTTTAGTTTCTCTCTGATTTATTATAGTTCTTGTTTGCTAGCATGATGCTGTCACCCGATTTCAAGGCATGTTTTAAAAAGCTTTCTCTGGAAAGTGATTTTATGTGTTGTGGTGCTGTGAATGGTGCATCCCACACAGGCTTTGTCTTATATACCCACAGGTTTTCTTAGGAAAATCTACGATTTTAGGAAGATCAACTGTGATATGTCTTCAGGATAATTTGAAGTAGAATTGATCTCATTTCTTTTTTGGTTTTGGTCTTTAGGAAGATGTGAATTCAACTTGAAGACCATCATCTAGTCCTCTAAATAGTGTATTAATTTTGGGCAGAATATTAGATTATCTAGAGCAAGGTTTCTAAACAGTGACATTAGTAATGACAGTATAAGATCTTTGAATAATGATCTTATTCTGGCTTTAATTTGTTTCAAGCCTTTACTTACTAACTTGTAATTTTTTGTGTGTACTTTTATCATAGGTAACTTTTAATATAATCTACATTTTGGGAGATGAGGTAATAAATAAAATCCTGTGGTTCATAGGACTTAACACAAATGCTAACATCTAAGTAGTACATGATTTCTCTTCCTTATATAGTTTATACCACTTAATTCTGTAATATCAACACCATTTCATATTGCTATTTCTCTTTAAATTATAGGCTATAAATCTTCCAATCATTTTTGTTTCTTCTATGGTTACAGTTATTAGTATATTCCCTTTATTCTACCAAAAATTTGTAACACTTATTGTGCTAGCAGACACTGAAGATATAAACATGAATATAATAAAGTATTTTTCTCAATAAGTTAACAAGAGAGATAGCTTGTTAACAAGTGAGACATCTTGTTAGCAAACATGTTAGCAAGTAAGATAGATACATGTAGCTATCATATTAAAAGCAAGATAATTACATATATGTTAACAAGTGGCCTAGCTACATAAACTAATAATGATAGAGAAATATACTAACTCTTATAACAGGAACATGCTTTAAACTTGTGTATGGCAGCAAAAAGAAGGCAGGATCAAATTGGGCAGATGCTGATTGACAGAGAAGGGTGCATGTAACTGAACAATCTCTATTTTTTTATTTAAAAATTATTTAAGATATAAAGTGATATATGTGTATTGTTAGATATAGACATATAAATGTATATAGATAATAGTTTGATAGATTCTGGAAATTTCCTATTGCTTTTGAAGTTTCTTCTGGTTAATGTTATCTAATTTTTCATTTTTTAACACTTCTGTGTATCACCTTAGTCATATTTATATGTAATCTACCCACTTAATAAGGAAACTAATCCAGATCATTTTAATAAAGGTAAGTAGGACAAAGCTCAAAATTAACTTGGGTAAAACCGAAGTATTTTATTATTTTATGTTTTCTTCCTCTACCCCATCGTCCCATTTCTCCACTCACTGTCAATTTACTTATCCATTCTCTGAGTCTAGCCTGTTGTGGACACATCTAATGGGAATGGGAATTAACGTAGTTTTATAACTTATTAATGAGTACACATTTAACGATCAAAGCATTTAAAACTAAAAAGTTTTTTAGGCTTTCTCAAATCTAGTTTTCTCAAGCTTTATTCCTCAATAATTATTTTGAAAAAGGATTTTTTTTTTGTCAGATGCATTTGAGGAAAACAGAATTAGTCAAAGTTGAGTGAGTTTTTCAAAAATTGATGGACTTCTTTGTGCCTTCATTTGTGCTAATGAGCAATCCTCAAGGGGTGGGATTATTATATAAATGTTTTCCTATAACATTTGACTATAGAACACCTAATTAAAAAGATGTCATATATTACAAAGTTTCTTCTTACATTGTGGTATTTAAATGATTATATATTTGTAATGATTATATATAATCATGTACTTTTATGGCAATGACCTGGTCATTATTAGTCATGATTATTTTTCCGAAAAGTAACACTTTAGCATTAGTCTTTCTCTAAGGGATATAAAAGCCAACGCTGAGCCAAGTTCCGTTGGGAAAGTACTTCCAAGATCCCTGGTAGATTTTAATATTTATCAGAACTGTGTGATACAGAGCAGGAATGCCTGGAGACTTTAAAAAGAATAATCTACAATTCGCAACCAGTATCTTTAAAATGTAAAGTATCAGCCTTTTTAAAAATGAGGACAGTCTTGTCAAATGCTAATCTTGGAGCTACTTAACTGCTGTTTTTGCAGTAGCAACTAGTGTTAGCACAGAGGAAAAAATAACATTAGAACAAGCCATGCATTTTATAGTAAGCTTCAGTTTTTAAAAAAGGTATATATTATCCTTATTCATTTGCATTGGTACAGCTGTGCTTTACAGTATATTTTGGTGCATGTATAGATGTTAGCTAGAACTGACCCTTATTTTACAGTTAAATAATTGGAAGGAGGAATTTGCAGTCATTATTCCCTATCCTTGCTCTTTAAGCATTTTATGCATTCCAAAAATAGTTGGAAAATTTGCACAGATTAAATCATTTAGATTTTGCTTAAAATGAGAGCTAAAATTTAAATGAAATGAAACTTATTTAACTGTTGGTTAATTATTTTTTCTTTCTATAGTATCTGTAGGTCAAAGTGTGTTTACGTATTTAATGTTATTTCAGGTTATCTAAGCGGACAAATATAAAGTGTATTAAAATGGGAGGTTTGTTAAGAAACTGGCCAGAGGTGAGGTGGGGGGTGGGAGTCATTTCTCTGCTAGGCAGAAGCTTAATGAAATAGATCTTCCAAAAAGACCTAAAAACCAACCAACAAACAAAAGCCCACTATTGTTCTGCTTTAATTTGTTCCACGGGTCCACCAGCAGAGATGAGGAACTTTCTTCCGGGGAAAACCGAGAGCATTACTTTCACTTTTAGGTGAAAGTGTTTGGGTGAATCCACTTTCAGAAATTAGAGCATTTAGCTAAAACCCTCCTGGCTTTTTTATTAGCATAAAAAAAGAGGAGTTACACTCCAGGCTTGAGATCACAAGTCCATTTCTAAAGATTTGTCATTCTTTGCCCCAATTTTTGTCACTTTCCTTGTACTGTTTCCTTTTCTTTGAAATAATTGCCAGTAAGAGCTTTAAAATGAATGGAGCCTGAGGGCTTGTCATCTGAGCCCCCAGGTAGAGAGGATCCTGAGGAATCTGCTAATCTGAGGAAGAAAAGGGACCTGCCACAACCAATCTAGGTGGGAGGAAATTTGGGTTTGGATTGGTGTTTGCCCTCAAGTGAAATCATGGTTAGAGCTTTGCTTTTACATTGACTTGAAGGCTACATTAGCCAGTTTTCAGTGTGGCATATTTACCTGCCGTCATAGCTGATGAGGCCCTTCAACACAACATTGTAGCTATAGACGGATAGTAAAGTTACCTATAATTATAATCTAGGTTAATGATGGACTGGTAATATCTTCTTGATGGTCAATAACCCACCAACATTTTCTTACGATAAAATACTTTTAGTTACTCAACTAAACCAAAATATACTTGAGAAATTATTGTTGGATTAGGCAGTCTTCTAAGCCCCATCTACCCCTCTACAATTTTGATTCCACCAATAAAATAGATGATCCTAGATAATACAGAAATAATACTCAAATGAGTGAGTTAGTCAAGTGGGTCAAAAATCGCTGAGTTAGAAAAGGCATTTTAACATCCCCCTCACAATATGTGATATGTACTGAGTTGAGTGCCATTTTAAAATAATGACTACTTCTCAGCTTCTTGGCTAAGATCAAGGGTAGTAGCATTTTAGAGATTAATTTAAATGCTGTACATCCCCAAAACATTTTATATTATGCTTCTAATAGATTAAGATTTTATAAGTCATTATATGCATTATACATGCATATTTGTTATATCACATACACATTGCCATACATTTGAAAAATAGTTATACACAGGTTATACATTGACTTATTCTACAGACAATTCTTTGTGCTCATATTCTGGGACCACTTACCATGATCTCATGGTCTCTCCTAGGGGTTGAAGGTCCACAGATTCCGAATCTTGTTGATTCTCAAGAGATAAGAGATGGCACTCTGTACAGGGTTTAGTGTGTAGTTTGAAAAAGTATACTCATATTTGCATAACAAAGCACTTTTGGTTGGTGAAGTTCTCGGAGAAGGAAAGTGAAAGAAAATTCTGAATTAAATTATTTGGTGTATTAGTCAGGGTTCTCTAAAGGGACAGAACTAATGGGATATACATGTATATATATATAAATAACGGGGAGTTTATTAAGTATTAGCTCACAAGATTACAAGGTCCCACAATAGGCCGTCTGCAAACTGAAGATCAAGGAAAGCCAGTCCAAGTCCCAAAACAGAAGAACTTGGAGTCCAACGTTCAAGGGCAGGAAGCATCCAGCCTGGGAAATAGATGTAGGCTGGGAGGCTAAGCCAGTCTAGAGTTTTCACATTTTTCTGCCTGCTTTATATTCTAGCTGTGCTGGCAGCTGATTAGATGGTGACCACCAAGATTAAGGGTGGGTTTGCCTTTCTCAGCCCTGACTCAAATGCTAATCTTCTTTGGTAGCACCCTCTCAGACCCACCCAGGATCAACACTTTGCATCCTTCAATCCAATCAAGTTGACACTCAGTATTAACCATCACAAGTCCACCCCTTGTCAACTTGAACCCATAAACATCTCCTGAGATCATACATAAACTTCAAATAAAGACAATAATAAGGTTATAATTATGCCTAACATAATACAGCTATCCTTTGCACAACTGAAAATGCACTAATCCCCAATTCAAATACTATTATATAAAGTTAACAATATATGCAGATATGAAGTCAATAAATCTTATGTCACATGATAAAGGAAAAAGGAAATAAAATGAAGATATTTTGTTAGTACAAGAGTACACATGCACAAACATGCTTTTAACAAAAGAAGGAGGAAATACTCATGACAATTACCATCCTTGTTTATGCATCTGGTCACGTGGTTGTAGCTAGTATTGATGACTACCTTCTTCTACTACCCATTCTGTATTCCCTTTGCCTTCAGCAAGCACCTCAGCAGGTCGTGGATTTTTTCCTGGTGGAGTAACCCAAACCTTCATTCCTGAAGGGTCTGGGCCATTTGTAGTCCTGCCTGGATTGAGCTATAATTTCCCATTGACCTTAATCACAGGGCATGGTAATACTAAGAGACGCCCTAATGGATCTCCTGTATTCCATGCATACTCTTCCTTACCTCTGTTGTGAAGTAGTAGACTGATTTCATCTTGATATTCTGGGTCAGCCACCCCAGACAACACTGTAACTCTCTTCTTAGCCTGTTGACTTAAAGGTAAGAGGAGCCCAAAGTGTCCAGATGGCAATCTTAACTTCCAGTTTAATGGAATCCTTGTGTTTTCTGGTGGCAGCATTCCTCCCTCTGGAACTAAGATCTCTAGCCCAGCAGAACATAATGTGGCAAGAACAGGAAGCAAACAGTTTACTAGTGGCTCACTAGGGGTGATGGTGAGTGGTGCCACTCCCACTGCTACCCCTTGATTCCTGGACCTGTGAATCCTGGCTGTGGGAGAAACAGGACCATATATTGGACACTGAATAAGAGCATACATGGCCTTCTGGAGAACTTTGCCCTAGCCTACAAAGTATAGTCACCTAGTTGGCAGTGTAATTGTAATTTCAAAAGGCCATTCCACCATTCTGTCAATCCAGCTGCTTCAGGATGATGGTGAACATGGTAACAGCAGTGAATTTCATGAGCATGAGCCCACTGCTGCACTTCTTTAGCCGTAAAGTAAGCACCTTGGTCAGAGGCAATGCTGTGTGGAATACCATGATGTTGGATAAGGCATTCCGTGAGTCCATGGATCGTAGTCTTGGCAGAAGCATTGTGTGCAGGATAGGCAAATATTATTCTGGATAGGATATCCAGAGTAAGTGTCTATTCCAGTGAGGACAAACCTCTGCCCTTTCCATAATGGAAGAGGTCCAATATAATCAACCTGGCACCAGGTAGCTAATTGATCACCCCGAGGAATGGTGCCATATCGAGGGCTCAGTGTTGGTCTCTGCTGCTGGCAAATTGGGCACTCAGCAGTGGCTGTAGCCAGGTCAGACTTGGTGAGTGAAAGTCCATGTTGCTGAGCCCATGTGTAACTTCCATCCCTGTTACCATGGCCACTTTGTTCATGGGCCCATCGGGCGATGACAGGGGTGGCTGGGGAAAGAGGCTGAGTGGTGTCCACAGAACAGGTCATCCTATCCACTCGATTATTAAAATCCTCCTCTGCTGAGGTCACCCATTGGTGAGCACTGACATGGGATACAAATATCTTCACAGCTTTTGACCATTCAGAGAGGTCGATCCACATACCTCTTCCCTAAATTTATTTGTCGCCAATTTTCCAATCATGCTTCTTCCAAGTCACTGACCATCCAGCCAAACCATTGGCTACAGCCCATGAATCAGTATGTCATCAAGCATCTGGCCATTTCTCCTTCCATGCGACGTGCACAATCAGGTGCACTGCTTGAAGTTCTGCCCACTGGGAAGATTTCCCTTCATTGCTGTCCTTCAGGAATGTCCTAGAAAAGGGCTGTAATGCTGCAGCTGTCCACTTTTGGATGGTGCCTGCATATCGTGCAGAACCATCTGTGAACCAGGCCCTAGCCTTCTCTTCCTCTATCAACCAATCATAGGCCACTCCCCATGAGGCTTGCAGTGCAGGCTGGAAGACAGAAGGTAGGGTAGCAGGAGTGGAGACCATGGGCATTTGAGCCACTTTCTCATGTAACTTACTTGTGCCTTCAGGACCTGCTCGAGATCCATCACGTATATACCACTTCCATTTGATGATGGAATTCTACTGTGCACAACACACTTTATGGCTAGATGGGTCAGAAGGCACCCAGTTCCTGATGGGCAGTTCAGGTCATGTGGTGACTTGATGACCCATAGTCAAACATTTAGTTTCCACCAAAGCCCAGTAACAGGCCAAGAGCTGTCTCTCAAAAGGAGAGTAGTTATCTGCAGAAGATGGCAGGGCCTTACTCCAAAATCCTAGAGGCCTCCACTGTGATTTACCTATGGGGGCCTGTGAAAGGCTCCAAACAGCATCCCTAACTACCACTGATACCTCAAGCACCATTGGATCTGCTGGGTCATGTGGCCCGAGTGACTGAGCAGCTTGCACAGCAGCCTAGACCTGTTGCAGAGACTTCTCCTGTTCTGGACCACACTCAAAACTGGCAGCCTTTCAGGTCATTCGATAAATGGGCCAGAATAACACACCGAGATGAGGAATGTGTTGCCTCCAAAATCGAAATAGGCCCACTAGGCATTGTGCCTCTTTCTTGGTCATAGGAGGGGCCAAATGCAGCAGCTTATCCCTCACCTTAGAAGTAATATCTTGACAAATCCCACACCACTGGACACCTAGAAATTTTTCTGAGGTACAAGTTCCCTGAATTTTAGTCGTATTTATTTCCCATCCTCTGGCACACAGATGTCTCACCAATAAGTCTGGTGTGTTTGCTGCTTCTTGCTCACTGGATCCAATCAGCATGTCATCAGTGTAATGGACCAGTGTGATATCTTGCAGAAGCAAAAACTGATTAAGGTCTCTCTCAATAAGATTATGACACAAAGCCATAGAGTTGATATACTGCTGAGGTAGGACAGTAAAGGTATATTTCTGGCTTTGCCAGCTGAAGGCAAATTGCTTCTGGTGGGCCTTATGGACAGGAATGGAGAAAAAGGCATTTGCCAAGTCAGTGGCTGCATACCAGGTACCAGGAGTTGTATTAGTTTTCTCAAGCAATGAGACCACATCTGGTACAACAGCTGCAATTGGAGTCACCACTTGGTTAAGCTTACGATAATCCACTGTCATTCTCCAAGATCCATCTGTCTTCTGCACAGGCCAAATGGGAGAATTGAATGGGGCTGTGGTGGGAATCACCACCCCTGCATCTTTCACGTCCTTGATGGTGGTGCTAATCTCCACAGTCCCTCAAGGGATGCAATATTGTTTTTGATTTACTATTTTTCTAAATAGAGGCAGCTCTAAAGGCTTCCATTCGGCCTTTTCCACCCTAATAGCCCTCACCCTACCAGTCAGGGAGCAAATGTGGGGATTCTGCCAGCTGCTAAGTGTGTCTATGCCAATTATGCATTCTGGAACTGGGGAAATGACCACAGGACCCACTGGACCCACTGTAAGTCACACCTGAGCTAAAACTCCATTAATTACCTGACCTCCATATGCTCCTATTTTAACTGGAGGTCCACAATGACATTTTGGGTCCACTGGAATCAACATCAGCTCAGAGCCAATGTCCAGTAGTCCCTAAAATGTCTGATCACTTCCCTTTTCCATAGCACAGTTATGCTGGTAAAAGGCCTGAGTTGTCCTTGGGGGAAAATGTGAGAAAGATTAACAGCCTAAATTGTCAGTAGTGTAGTGCAGTCCTTCCTCAAGGGGACTTGGCTTCCCTTTCATTCACTGGTGTCTGGGTCTGTAAACTGGCTTAAGTCTGGAAATTAATTGAGGGGCCGTGATTCTCTGTTTTTATAATTCAAATTAGTCTTTTGTCCATTCGACCTAGAAGTTTTCTGCTTACATATATTAAGTAGGAATGCAGTAGGCTGCCTATCAATTTTACTTTTAGGAACACTGTGATTAATTAGCCAATGCCAGAGCTCTACACAAGTCAGACTATACCAATTGCTAATTGGTCTCTGCTGTCCATTACGGTGGCTACACCCACCTTGCCTTTTACATATGAGTGTCGCCACCTGGCTCCTGCCACTTTGGTATCCAATTATTGCCATTGTATTTAAATTTTGCAGCTGAGTGACTGTGGATCCCACTGTTAGATCTGACATGCAGAGAAGAGCAATTACAGGGCTCTTCAAAGATGCAGGTGGTGCTCTCACAAATCTGTTTCACAAGGCATTGGTCAAGGGTATATCTTCTGGACGCTCCCAGCTGGGATGAGTAGGTCTGAAGTGACTAATCCACTCCATCATCCCAATCTCCCTAAGCCTTTGGATCCTTTCCTCTTCATTAAACCAAAGGGAGATCAGGCATTTCCAGCTTGCTTACAGTGAGCCATTTTTAAACCGTATTCCAACTAACCAAACAAATAAACTCTTAGAACCTTTTTTATCTCCCTGAGCTGCAACATTAAATGCAGAGTCCCTACTTAGTGGGCCCAAATCAATAAATTTAGCCTGATCCAACTCTATGTTCCTTCCACCATTATCCCATGCCCTTAATATACATTCCCATGCCTGTTCTCCCAATTTCTGCTTATATAAGATAGAAAACTCAAGCAGTTATTTTCAAGTGTAGCACATCTCCTCATGGGTCACACAATCACCCTTGCCCCTAGGGGCCCACTGGGACTTTAGTCTAGTTATAGGTCTAGAAGCAAACAGGGGTGTTGGGGGTGGCTCCTGAGGAGAATCAACATTATCTTGCCTGGCAACTGCCTCAGGGGAGGCCATCACTGTTGCCTCAGGCAGCACAGAGTTTGATCTCCTCAGAAAGGCTGATGGCAGCATGGGTCGGGGAGGGGATGTTGCCACTACTGGGGATGGGGAAGCTGTTTATTCTGGCAAAAAATGCTCATCAGAGTTTACAAATTCAGTGTCCCCAGCTTCATCAGGGTCCTCCCACACGTCCCCATTCCAAGTTGCAGGGTCCCAGGTCCCATTCTTTCCCAATCAATGCCCTCACTTTAACAGTGAACACCTGGCGAGGCTGTGCGTGCACCTTTCCTTGCAGGTCAGCCACTTGCTTGATAAGAGCTTGTGTCTGTTTTCCACAATTTCAGCTTTTTCTGTACAGGAGGTAAGACTCTCACTCAGGCCAATCTTAGCAGATTTGAGGCTGAGGATCTGCTTCTGAAGCCAGGAGTTAGAATTCCTGAGTTCATCATTTTCTTTCATCACTTTGTCCACTGAGCTTAAGAGCAACCAACCAGCTTCATTGTGTTCCTTGGTTCTCCACATATGGTCAAAGGTATTATGTATAGAGTCAGTAAACTCCTTGCCTCTCATGAGCAGTGAATCAGGAGTGTCAAATGCATTTATTTATTTATTATAAATAAATTATTTATTTATAATAAATAAATTATTTATTATGCCAAGGATTATCAGTGTTCTCCATACTATTAGAAGTAGAGTCCTTAGCATTTTGGGGATGAATCATATTAAGCAGCCAATCAAAACCAACAAAATAACTCCATCCTTAATATTCCGTTCCTCTAGAACCACTCCTGGTACCAAAATCTGTATTAGCGTTCTCTAGAGGGACAGAACTAATAGGATACAATAGAATAGATAGATGGACAGGGAGATAGATAGATTTTATTAAGTATTAACTCACACTATCACAAGGTCCCACAATAGGCTGTCTGCAAGCTAAGGAGCAAGGAAAGCCCATCCTAACTTGGAGTCTGATGTTCAAAGGCAGGAAGCATCTAGCATTGCAGAAAGAGGTAGTCTGGGACTAGGCCAGTCTAGTCTTTTCACATTTTTCTGCCTGCTTTAAAAGTAGGTTTTGTCTGAGCCAAATGATGCTGGTGACGTAAAATAAAAAGGAGCACACAATCAGTCCTAAATGTGTCCTGTCTGGATGACTTTATACCCATGGCTTCAGTTCCCACCTTTATGCCAATGTTCCTCACCCTCTTCCACTTGCATTTATATTGTCAGCTTTTTTTTTTTTCTTTCCAATTAACAGAAAACACAATTCAACTGGGTATTTAAATGATAAAGGAGGCCTATTGACTCAGTAGTTTAGGACTATGCTCCTGGTAAAAGAATGATCTTTCTCCATTTCTTTAGGATTTATTGGTTCTATGATTGGTTTTCTTAGAGTCAGGTTTGTTCCCAAACTGGTTTATCTCAAAGTTACACAGCAGTTGCAGTAGTTCTTGCCTTTCTTTCTTTGTTCACACTGTTTAAAAAAAAAAAAAGAACATATCCTTTAAGGGCTTCGTCCATACAACGAGACCTACTTGTTCAGAAGTCCTCAGGGTCAAAATCTCTACTGGCCAAGGGAAGGTTTTGTACTATTTGGCTTCAACCTGCTTCCCTAAACCAGTCACTGTGGTGCATTATTAGAGCAATCAGATTCACACCTAGAATGACTGAGTAGGTAATTCTACTCAGTCATACGGCTGCTATGTAATATAGAAATAACAAATTGGATGTTGGGGAGATAACAATGTCCACTATTCCATATTTTCTCCTAATATGTTTCCTGTCTTAGGTTACAAAAGCAGAGACCTTGAATGAGCATAAGTGAAAACATTTGTTGGATAAAAAAGGACATACAACAATATTGAGGAATGTATTTTTGGAAAGATAGGCTAACATCCCAGAACTTGAAAATTATCAGCCATGTCTCAGTTCTTTGTATTGCTTCATGTTCTGTCCTTTCAGCTTAACTCTGCATTTCTGTTTTACTCTCCTGCTACTCTCCACGACAGTTGTCTTGCTCGGTTTATTTGACAGACAGTATATTGTCAAGAAAAAATGATGTAAGGCCCTAGTTTACATGGCCTAACACCTACCATACCCACAGCAATGCTTAGTCACACTTTCTGTCTCAATCTCAAATTTCTAGTGACTTGCCAATCCAGTTCTATTGAGTGTCCATCCATTTGTTTTTGTGGGGGGCAATGGAATGTCACTTGATTTATAGCATTTCCTCCTCAAGGGTGAGAAAGGGATAATAGCAGGAGGGAAATGACATATTTATATACTATAGGAACATATACTTTAAATGTTGGGAAATTGAACCACCTGTTTCTCAAGTTGGAAACCTGATAATAAATTTTTTGTGTTTCTCACTCCTTAAAGTCTCACCTCTTCCTGAGGTAGCATGATATAATAACTACCTGTAAACGGGTGAGATCTCAAGCAATATAAGTGCTTTGTATATAGTATCTCATTTCATTCTGTCAGCACACTTATGTGAAATGCACTAGTATGTCCATTTTTTAGGAGCCAAATTGAGGCGCAACGCAGTTTAATACCATTGACAGATGGCAAGTGTGATATTGTATCCCAGATCGATCTGATAACAAAACCCCAACTTTTTGCACTGTTCACAACCATCTGCACATGGGCTTTCAAACCAGGCAGATTTTAGATTGAATTCTCGCTCTGCCACTTCATTTTCTATAAAAATCAGAGGACAGCAGAGTGCCCTTGAATCGTGCTTAAAATAAATTCAAAAGTAAATAGCTGCGTATTTGGCAAATAGAAGGTTATCAATAAATACTACTTTCTGTCCCATCTAATCAATGGAATAATATTTTTGGGAAAAATATGTTGGAATTGAAAGGGCTGTTAAACATCGGTTTAAATTTGGTAGTTGCCATTTAGTAGCTTTCTGATCATAAGCAGGTTACCTAACATATGACCCCCAATTTTCTCATCTCTAAAAGCAAAGCAATACTAATTTTGCCTACAATGGTTGTGATTGAATTGGATAATATAAGGAAAGTCTTTTTTGCTAGCCTAATTTTATAATGTATTTACTGTACATGATAGTAACAATTTATCATGTATTTACTAAATGGAAATACATGATATTTAATTGATTAGACTTGAAATTAAATATTAAATTAATAGACTTGAAAGATGGAAATTTTTAAAAGGTATATACCAAAGGGCCTTTGTATTGCTAATTTAAAAAAAAAACCTATTTTATTTTGTTAAAATAAGAATGTATTATGTTTAGTTTTAGCAGAGACAGGGTTTCACCGTGTTAGCCAGGATGGTTGCGATCTCCTGACCTCGTGATCTGCCCGTCTCTTCCTCTCAAAGTGCTGGGATTACAGGCGTGAGACGCAAACCCCGTCTCTACTAAAAATACAAAAAAATTAGCCGGGCGTGGTGGCGGGCGCCTGTAGTCCCATCTACTCTGGAGCCTGAGGCAGGAGAATGGCGTGAACCCGGGAGGCGGAGCTTGCAATGAGCAGAGATCGCGCCACTGCGCTCCAGCCTGAGCGACAGAAAGAGACTCCGTCTCAAAAAAAAAATACCTAAATAAGAATGTATTATATTTATTGAGCTACTCTGACAATCCAGACACTGGGTTAGGTATTAATAACTTGTGTTTGTATCTGTAAAATCTCACAAAAATAGGCACTATTATTATCCTTTTAGAGAAGAAGAAACTGAGGCTCAGAGAAAATATATAACTTGTTCAAGGATATAAAGGTTGTTGGCAAAGTAAGACCAGATTTGTCTGATTCTAAATTCATGTGCCTTTTTTGAATACTGCCGCTTCTCAAAATATATTCTATTTACAAAAATGAATTGGTAACACTTTTAGCCATACAGAAGAGATAACCTATGACTTTGACAATTTATTATATCACTGTAGCTTGTACTGTAAAATTAGAGATTTTGTTTTCTTTTGTGTATGAGGGAAGAGCAGAGATTGATCTTAGAAAGTGCATATTTTCGTGTATGCTCACAAAAAGTGTAGGACAATTAGATAATGAACTAAAGGTTTATATTGACTTTTACAATTATGGTTTAGTGTTCTCTTATACAAATAGCAACATTAATTAACAAATATAAAATGAGAGCAACTTTCAAAGTACCATATAACCACATCAAAAAGTTGACTTAGAACTAATTTAAGATACAGATTCAGTGAAAGTAACATACCTTAGAGAACCCTCTGCTGCCAGCTTCCCAAACTGAAAATTTACATGTTGTGAGTAGAATCTCACTACCTGACATTGTCATATGTCAGGCATATGACACAGCATAAATGATGAGGTTAGCAAAGATCATCAAAGTTTAACAAGTTTGCTTTCTATTTACTGATGTCTAAATAAATTTGAAGAAATATGCCTAGCATGTACAGAATTGGGAAGAAAATGCTAGTGGTAAAGTTAAATATTCGAAATCTGAAATGTTAGACTTCTATTTGGTAGGTTTCATATGATAAGTTGATGCCTTCTGTATATTTAATTGTATAAGAAAAGAATTTTAACAAATTTAAACTGGCAAGGATAATGTGTCTGAAACCTTAAGACACAAATTGTGATTTTCAGATACCTACATTTTGTTGAAGTTTTATAAAGCTCGATTAGATGTTATTGTTGCCATGTGGTTTAATTAAATTATATTGGGAAGTGAAACAGACTAAGTAATATCAGTGACAGTAGTCCAGAGAAATTTCTGAAAATATCGTGTTTACTTTTATAGACAGAATGTCCAAATTTGATATTCATTTATTATATTCATTTCATATGATAGGTATGTTGATAAAATTCTGACATTAGAATATTTGACTTTAATGTATACCTTTTAATGTTAATATAATATTACACCAATTATTTTAAGAAAACCTAAAACAGGGTATAAAATATTAACATTTTTTCCTCCTTAAGTAAAGTGCACATTTTAGAAAGTTAAAAAAAAAAAGTGTATTTCAGCTATAAGGCAGGAAAGGCTCTAGATTACCAATCCCAAGGGAAATTAAGAAATATAATGGTGTCTACATCACACACAAAAATATGAGCCCCATAGAATAGGTCCTGGCTTTGTTCAAACTTTCTTCCCAAACAAACATTAGCTGAAGTTTTCTATCCTAATATTGAATTATATAGATATAGGAATAGATAGATAGAGATATAAATGACTTTTTCTTTCCCTTTTTCTCCATTCATATTTTTGATATAATTTCTCAGTAAGAAATTTTAATTTGAAAAATCCAAGAAGGTACAACCTATGTAAATTTTTAACTTTTTAACTCTGAAATATTTTATATCTGAAAAGCTCTTCATTTAGTTAACAAGTATTTATTGAGCACTTCTTATACAACAGATGCTAGCTACCAGGGCTAATGTGGTAAATAAAACCATCCAGCTTACCTCTTTCCATTCAGGGAGACAAACAATAAACCATGTTTCACAGCTCAAGGACAGATTTACTAGAATTATATAGAATCACAATACAAAAAGGCAAGAGCAGGCAGAAAAATTCATGGTTCATATTTTTCTACAAAAGGTAACAGTTTTCTAATTGGATTAGATAAACTAAATAATTGTCTTCACTCTTAGGAGACAAAATAAACACAGCATTTGAAGGCCAATGAAAAAAATTAGACCTACATGACTGTTGTAGTTGGAGAGATCCCTAAGTGGGAACCTCAAGGGACCTCGGGAACATGTTCTGTTCTGAGTCTTGAGTCGCAGCAGTTAGAAGGTCTTGATAGAATCTTGATGGAACCACTAGCATTACCAACTGGTAATTCCCCAAAATACCACCAGAAAAAATACTTTTGATCAAGCAAAGCTAAATTGGTTAGATTTCTACAGTAAAGTTGAACACCACCTTGACAAAATCCTTTTTTATTATTAAATAGAATCTGTTTATACCTCCAAAAATCTATTTTTATTGACAGTTACGCATTAATCTCCTAATAATTGAACCCATTAAATATAGGGGCTAAGAAAACTGGTATTGTACAACATTGTGTAAACAAATATAAGTAAATAATTATAGTTTATTGATTTTTTATTTTATTTTAAATTTTTTTTTAGGTTCAGAGGTACAGGTGCAGGTTTATTATTTAGGTAAGCTCATGACTTGGAGGTCTGGTGTACAGATTATTTTGTCACCCAGGTACTAAGCATAGTACCACAGTTGTTGTCGTTGTTCTGAACCTCTCTCTCTTCCCACTGTCTTCCCCCTTGACCCCTTGACAGAATCATAATAGGGCTTTAAAATGGTAAATTGGGGCAGATTGTTCATAGTGTTAGGACATGGACTGAGCAATTTTGAGATAGGTCTTGTAAAGTGAGGAATGGTTGGCACTGAGAAAAATTTTATGACATAATTCCTTTGAACTGTAGGGCATAGTGAGGTGAGGGTCTTGAAGTGAAACTTGATAACTATTTGTTTATGATTCACTCATATCATCCATGTGCAGGTATTGCCTTGAGTAAACAGTGAAGTTAATTTGCTTGCTATCAAGCAAAAGGAAAAAAAGTACACTTCATAAAATTACTAGAATTACTGTAGAAATTTAATTTAGCACAGTGACAAGAAAGTAAGTTTGAGCCCAGAATTATTCAACACATGGATAGGAAAATATACGTGTTCCCGTAATTTTTGACACAGAAATAGGGGATTACTTTGACTTCAGATTTCAGATGAAACAAACAGATGATGTAATGTCAGTTGATAATAAGTGCTGTGAAGAAAAACAAAGGAGGCCAGGAGGACAGAGAGTAAGAGGTATTAATTAAGCAGTGTCATCAAGAAAGATCTTTCTAGGGAAGTGAATTTTGAGCAGAGATTTGAATGAGGTGATCCTTACGGATATGTCTGAGGGAAGAGAAAATGAAGTGCCAAGGCCTGAAGTGGCAGTATGTTAGAGGGCGATCAAAGAAGCCAGTAAGCCAGAGGCAGAGCACCTAATGCCTACACTGGGAGATGATGAGGTCAGAGAGCACAGGGGACAGATTTTGTAGGACCTTGGAGGCCATGGCAGAGCCTTTGGATTTTATTCCAAGTACCATGAGAAGCCATTGTAGGGTTTTTAACTGGTGATTGATGTAGTTTATTTTTTTTTAAAGGTCATTGGTTGCTGGGTGAGGCTATGAAGCTCTGGGAGGAGGTATCTGACAGGAGGAAGGCCAGATAGAAGGCCATTGCAATAGTAATGATGGTTGGTTGGACTCAGGTGGCACTTCTGGGCCGGTGAGTTGCAGTTTGAGAGTAGGGTTGACAGGCTTTGTTGATAAATGTGATCCAAAATACTAGTGAAAGAGAAGCATCCAGGTTTCTGGACTGAGAAACAGGATAAGTGAATAGTAGTACCATTTACTAAATAGGGGCGACTACTGAAGGACTAAACACTCGCCTTCAGTCATTTTACTTCGATAATATTAAAGAGCCAAAGATTTCTTTAGAAAGAAAATTTACCTCAAAGCTTATTACAATGCAGTAGGTCAGGAATTGGATCAGGTAGGTCAGGAAACAAACTGAGAGAGATAAGATGATTTAGTATAAATGCCATGAAGAAAATAACAGTGAATAGTGAAATAGAAAATCACTAGCTACAATACTTTCAGATGAAGACCTCAAGCAGAAATAAAGCTTGTGCTAATGAGGGGAAAATGCTACAGACCAACCTGACCAATCAGGCAAGGCCTTGAGATATCTTTCGAATCCTTCAATCCCTTCACTCTTAATCCCTTCACTCTCAATCAGTCAACTTGTGAAAACAAACTCTAATAGCCAAATCTGTTTTTAACTGATTTTACTTCTTCCTACTCTCCAAACAGTAGAATGTACAAATGTTCCTCAATTTATGATGGAGTTATGTCCTAATAAACCCATCAAAAGTTGAAAATATAAGTAAAAAATGCATTTAATACACCTAACCTTTCAAACATCATAGCTTAACCTAGCCTACCTTAAAGGTGCTCAAAACACATTAGCCTCCAATTAGGCAAAAGCATCTAACACAAAGCCGATTTTATAATAAAATGTTGAATATCTCATGTAATTTATTGAATACTGTGCTGAAAGTTAAAAACAAAATATCTGTATGGTTACTCAAAGTACAGTTTCTACTGAATTCATATCACTTTCACACCATCATAAAGTTGAAAAATTGTAAGTTGAACTATCTTAAGTCCAGAACAGTCTGTGCAATGGAGGCCAAGATACACTTGTTTCCTTTTTTTTCCCCTCAAATACCCTAAGGCCAATATTTGTGTGCAGTTGTTTGTTGATCTCTGCTTGTTTGTTTGTTTTTTGAGACAGAGTCTTGTTCTGTCACCCAGGCTAGAGTGCAGTGGCATGATCTCAGCTCACTGCAACCTTTGCCTCCCAGGTTCAAGTGATTCTCCTGCCTCAACCTCAAATATCTGGGATTACAGGTGTGTGACACCACGCCCAGCTAATTTTTGTACTTTTAGAAGAGATGGGGTTTCACCATGTTGGCCAGGCTGTTCTCAAACTTAGCTTCAAGTGATCCACCTGCCTCAGCCTCCCAAAGTGTTAATTGTAAGTGTGAGCCACTGCACATGGACTATGTGCAACTTTTAATCTTCTCTTGAAAGAAAGCCATTGTCAACAATCTCTAATACCCAGAGAAGTTTTTAGAACAATAGAGGGGAGAAGAGGATTTTTTATATGAAATGACTGTTAGTGTAATGGCTTTGAATGAAAATCCATCAAACACCATGAAAAATTTACAAGTGATCTCTTGCATAAAAGCACTTTTATTATTAATATTTTAATGTTTTAATGAACTAAGAAGTTTCTAGACACAGGAAGATAACTTGGTATATTTTGTGGAAAATGAGCACATAATGAAAATGAGAATTTAAACTATATTTCCAGATGTATGTTATAACACTTCTAAAGAAAACCCCCAAATTGTCATATGTATCTGTTTCCTGGCATTTGTGGGAAACTGGTTCCAGATATGCCCAAATCTGTGCATATTCAAGTCCTGCAGTTGGCCCTGTGGAACCCACGTGTAGGAAAAGACAGCCCTCCATTGTCCTTGGGTTTCACATCTTGTGAATGAATGACGTATTTTCTTTTTTTAGTAGAGACGGGGTTTTGCCATGTTGGCCAGGCTGGTCTCAAACTCCTGACCTCAAGTGATCCACCCACCTCGGCCTCCCAAAGTGCTGGGATTACAGGCGTGAGCCACTGCACCCGGCCTTGTATTTTCAATTTGACTTTGATTGCAGAGGCAGAATCCATGGACATGTGGAGCCAACTGTAATTATTGAAAAAAAATCTGATGTAAGTGGACCTACACAGTTTAAATTCATGTTGTTCCGGGGCCAACTGTATGTTAATTCTGAAATATTTTGATAAGCCAATTCAATTCACTTGTGACCTTGAAGTGCCTTCAAATGCCTTATTCTTTAGGTGAACTGGAAAATGAATAAACAGGAGGAAAATGGGTAATAGACTGGATAGAGGTAAATTCCTATTAAAATTTTTGATAGCCCCTTACTCTCATTAGGATTCATTATCCTGGCATCATTTAAAGCCTTATGTAATGTTGCTTCAACCTATCATTTCACCTCTACAAACAGAGAATTTCTTACATGAATCCAATTTTATCCAGTTTCTATGACATATTTAATTTCTAAAGAGAAGCAACTCACTGTTTCACATAAATTCTTATCCACCTAATACCCTGTTTTTTCCACTGCCCTTCCATTTCTCTCCCTACTGCCTATTGATGTAGGTTCAAACTCCTCCCATATCTTGCAAGGCATATGTCAACATTATTGACAGAAGACTAACCAAGACACCACAAGAATGTCTTGTAGGTCAGTAAAATTAAGTGTTTTAGACCTGCTGCAGTAAAAAATGAACACCATATTGATATTATTAGTAATTAGGAATTGAGAAGTGGCAGTCAGGGGAGGATATTTATAGAGTTTAGGGGTGTTAAAGACAATGTACCAGGTGTATTAGTCCATTTTCATACTGCTATGAAGAAATACCCAAGACTGGATAATTTATAAAGAAAAAAGAGGTTTAATGGACTCACATGTCCACATGGCTGGGGAGGCCTGACAATTATGGCAGAAGGGGAAGCAAACATGTCCTTCTTCACGTGGTGGCAGCAAGGAGAAGTGCCAAGCAAAAGGGGAAAAGCCCCTTATAAAACCATCAGATTTCATGAGAACTCACTTTCTATCATGAGAACAGCATGGAGGTAACCACCCCCGTAATTCAATTACCTCCCACCAGGTCCCTCCTACATTATGTGTGGATTATGAGAACTACAATTCAAGATGAGATTTGGGTGGGGAAACAGCCAAACCATATCACCAGATAATTAATGGTAAGATTTTATTTAGGTTATTGCAATAGAGAGAACTTACATTAATAAGGAACCTCTCTAAGAAGATGGAAAAAATGTGGAATTTTGATAGAGGTAAATACAGAAAGGCATCAAAAGGAGGTCTTAGCTGACATACAAAGGCAGGGAGTTCTCTGAATATCTGAAGACAGAATAGTCCTTTGTGGTTAGTTACTTCTCAGAACATAAAAGCATATCTGTGTGGAGGGGTAAGGTTGGGAGTAGGAGGTAGTTTTCAAAAAACCAAGGGTAGGAGGACAGGGCTCGGATAAAGTTCAACAGTGTCAGGATTCTGGGCTCAGTTGAGTTATGATCTTCTAATGTGAAAAAATGGGTGGCTTTGAGCAAACTGTAATAACTTTATAATTGCTAGACAAAGCAAGGTGAGAGTCCTGAATATAACCTTGATGAGTAAATTATTTTTGATAAACAAGCTTTTTGCAATAATGAGCAAGTTATTTGTCTAGACAAATTGGTTTGCAGGAAATTTCTGATTCAAACAGTAATGTTAATTTATTGGCTTACAGCTTTACCTTCCTGCAAGAATTTTCTGGAACAAATAGCTAAATCATGTCGACATGATAGAGATGGTCTCGGTTTTGAGTCCTGATTGTTAAGATATATGGATGCAGGCAGTTTTTATTCTCAAAAGTAACTTCCATAAATTTTTACTGAAATTTTTCGTATCTTCTTTTTCCACCACAACTAAACTAAGCTGTTGAATCTTTATAATAATTATTTGGTGCATTATTATTTTCTTCCCATAAAAGCCTCCTGTGTATTTGTCACTATTCTGTACATTGGAACTCAAAAGATCAGAGTGGATTTGGATATTTGCCTATTTTATAATGTTTTTTCAATGCTCCTTCTCCCTTCATTTGGCCTCCCTCTTTCACTCCTTTTCTCCTTTTTATACCGTCTAAGCCCTTTTATATTCCCTTCATTATGTCCAAGTCGATGCCACTCTGCCTGAAAATCCAGTGTTCACCTAGCCAAGATTTTTCTGCCTATGTTATGGGCTATCTAGAATTAGCTTTTCACTTGTCCCCCATCCAAGATATTTCCATGATTTAGCATTCAGCAAAATCATCTCCGGCAAGCCTTCTTTCCAATGAAATTAATACCCAAGGACAAATGTACAAACACTCAAGATTCTTTCGATGGATGGTCTTTCTATAGTCTGGAATAACAATAATGCTAATGTTTTCAAACATTTGTATGACAAACAACAAAATTCAAGTATTGTCCATACCCATTTAGATTTTTCCAAAAACATTATTAGAGAGGCCAGCAGATATTATTATACTCATTTAACAGAAAAAGAAACAAGATCAGAGGTCTTACATGACTTATATGATCTCACTCAACTAGTAAATAGTAAATATCCAGAATTAAAAGGAAATCCCCTCATCTAGGTCCAATGGCCCAAACAGCCTTAGAGTAGCCAATCATTTATTTTCTGACAGCCCTGACTAGTGAAGTTAGTTTTAACTTGTAGTATGAAATCTATAACTATGTCTTTAAATATAACAATAATGGTTGTTATATTTACTAATTTATTAAACTGACACCAATGAATACCACCACTTACCATCTTGTAAAGGAATGAATGATTTCCACAGTTTCTGTGTTTGGCTTTTGTATTGTATTTTTTTTTTAGAAGTTATTCCACAGTGTTTGTTGTGTTTGCAGACACTTTCCCCCTTGAATAATATTGTTGGTTCTGTGATTGTTTAATAAGAGATAACCTGCTAAAAGCACTGTATCTGGCATGCAAAGCACCTTGCATTACTATAATGTTAAATATTTATTATCATGCTGTTTAGATGCTAACAAACTTCAACCCATGTTTTAAAACTTATTTTATATTCCAGGGCTTGTTAGCTTAATAAAAGTTGAACCAAACTGTTAAATGCCAACTTACATGAACATGAATATTAATATTCTCAACACATCAAAATTCTGAAAGATCTGCACATAGAAAAGTTTACTTCTTTAATATTTAACCATTGTAATCCAAGTTTTGCATTTCCATTCCATATCACCATAGATCTATTGATGAACTTAACAAAATATTTGCTATGTGCCTACTTTCTGCAAGACAAAGTGATTTATATGGTGTGAGATACAAATAAAAATAATACAGACCTTTGTTCTCAGATGTCTGGTATTTTGATAAGGTAAATAAAACATAGATGTAATAGAGTACAATACACCTTAAAGAAATATCAGTGAAGAAGGCAGCAGGGAAGTGGAAACTGGTAGACTAAATGCTGAGGTATTAAGACAGCATGAGCATTGTGTTCACAGGATGGATAAGAAAAGACTTCATTGTCTTTTTTGATCTTTGTTGGTTTAAAGTCTGTTTTGTCAGAAACTAGGATTTTAACCCCTGCTTTTTTCTGTTTTCCATTTTTTTGGTAGATTTTTCTCCATCCCTTTATTTTGAGCATATGTATGTCCTTGCATGTGAGACGGGTCTCTTGAAGACACCATACCAATGGTTCTTGGTTCGTTATCCAGCATGCCACTCTGTGTCTTTTAATTGGGGCATGTAGCGCATTTACATTTAAGATTAATGTTGATATGTGTGGATTTGATCCAGTCATAATGATGTTAGCTGGTTATTTTTCAGACTATGTGGTTGCTTTATGATGTCATTGGTCTGTGTACTTCCGTGTGTTTTTGTAGTTTATGGTAACGGTATTTACTTTCCATTTTTAGTGCTTCCCTCAGGGGCTCTTATAAGGCATGTCTGGTGGTAACAAATTTCATCAACATTTGCTTGTTTGAAAAGGATCTTATTTCTCCTTTGCTTATGAAGCTTAGTTTGGCCAGATAAATTCTGGGTTGGAAATTCTTTAAGAATGTTGAATATTGACCCACAGTTTCTTCTGGCTTATAGGGTTTCAGCTGTTAGTCTGATTGGCTTCCCTTTGTAGATGACCTGACCTTTCTCTCTAGATGCCTGTAACATTTTTTGTTTCATTTCAACCTTAGATAATCTGCTAATTAAATACCTAGGAATACAGCTAGCTAGGGAGGTGCAGTATATCTACAAGGAGAACTACAAACCACTGCTCAAATAAATCAAAGATGACAGAAACAAATGAAAAAGAAATACATGCTGATGGATAGGAGGAGTCAATATCATTAAAATGGCCATATTGCACAAAGCAATTTATGGATTCAATGCCATGCCTATTAAACTACCATTGACATTCTACACAGAACTAGACAAAACTATTTTAAAATTCATATAGAACCAGAAATGAGCCCAAAGAGCCAAGGCAATCCTCAGCAAAAAGAACAAAGCTGGAGGCATCACTACCTGATTTCAAATATATTACAGGGTTATAGTAACCAAACAGCATGGTACTGCTGGTACAGAAACAGACACATAGACCAATGGAATAGAAGAGAACCCAGAAATAAGACTGTACACCTACAACTATCTGATCTTCTACAAACCTGATAAAAACAAGCAATGGGGAAAGGACTCCCTGTTCAACCAATGGTCCTGGGATAATTGGCTAGCCATATGCAGAAGATTAAAACTGGGCCATTACCATATACAAAAATTAAGCAAGATGGATTAAAGGCTAAAATGTGAAACCCAAAACTATGAAAACCCTAGAAGACAACCTAGGCAATACCATTGAGGACATAGGCATAGACAAAGATTTCATGACAAAGATATCAAAAGCAATTGTAACAAAAGCAAAAATTGACAAAATGGAATCTAATTAAACTAAAGAGCTTCTGCACCGCAAAATAAACTATCATCAGCGTGAATAGACAACCTGAAGAATGGGAGGAAATTTTTGCAAATTTTGCTTCTGACAAAGTTCTAATATCCAGCATCTATAAGGAACTTAAACAAATTTACAAGGAAAATACAACCCATAAAGTAGTGGGCAGAGGTCACAGACACTTTTCAAAAGAAGACATACATGTGACCAACAATCATATGAAAAAAAGCTCAACATCACTGATCATTAGAGAAATGCAAATCAAAACCACAGTGAAACAACATCTCATACCAGTCATAATGGCTATTATTAAAAAGTCAGAAAATACCAGATGCTGGTGAGGTTGTAGAAAAAAAGGAATGCTTATGCACTGTTGGTGAGCGTGTAAATCAGTTCAACTATTGTAGAAGACAGTGTGGTGATTCCTCAAAGATCTAAAGATAGAAATACCATTCAGCACAGCAATCCGATTTCTGGGTATATGCCCAAAGGAATATAAACCATTCTGTTATAAATACACATGCACACGTATGTTCATTGAAACAAAATTCAACATAGCAAAGACATGTAATCAACCTAAATGCTCAACAATGAGAGACTGGATAAAGAAAATGTGGTACATATATACCATGGAATACTATGCAGCCATAAAAAACAATGATATTTATCCTTTGCAGGGACATGGATGGAACTAAAGGCCATTTTCCTTACCAAACTAACACAGGAACAGAAAACTAAATACCACATGTTCTCACTTATAACTAGGAGCTAAATTATGAGAACACATGGACACATAGAGGGGAACAACACACACTGGGACCTATTACAGGGTGGAGGGTTTGGAGGAGGAAGAGGATCAGGAAAAATAACTAATGGGTACCAGGCTTAATACCTGGGTGAAAAATAATCTGTACAGCAAACCACCATGACACAAGTTTACCTATGTAGCAAACTTGCATTTGTACCTCTGAACTTAAAATAAAAGTTAGAAAAGAAAAGACTTCACAGATATCGTTGGAATAGTTGAGTGACATGGTAAATTGTTGTTTTATGTACTCCTAAGCCTTGCTAAATTTAAGTACTGCTAAGACTGCCTTTATCCCTATGAAAGACAGTGCACAGTGCTAGAAAATGGAGATTGAGATATAAATAGTCCTGGTTACAGCTAAAGTTCAAATTCCATACTGATTTGGTAAATGGTACAAAGTGAAAAAAGTCTAATTGAAATATGAATATACAGAGGAAAGGATCATTAGTGCTTGCTGAAGGGATGATACTTTACCTGAGTTTTAAAGTATTAGTGGGTGATTCATAGATAGTAGTTAACAGAATCAAAGTTTCATAGTTTGATTCTAATGCTTCTACCATTTATTATTCCTATCACACTCCAGACCAGAAAATGCCTGAATTGTGTTCCTCAAGGTTTCTAGATATCTGGATTGTCTTGCAATCTAAGAAATTCAAGCTCTCCTTCTGAATTAATATGTCATTAAATTTTTTAAATTTTTCTTATAGTATAGTTGAAAGTGACTTTTTGATACTATATACATACAGTTTTGAGATTATCACTTATTTTCCCTTGCATTGTTTTATTCTTTCATTGTGTAGTTCTATGATATGATTAAGACTATTTTCATTACTCTGTAAATAATACACCACCCTTTTTGTTTAGATTTGGAAAGCCAAAATGGAAACCAAAAAAATTGGATGTGTATATCTGTTTAGACATCTAACTGTCATGTTATTTTCCTTTAATGAACATTACAATTTATTCATATTTCAGTTGTGCACTCTCTGAATGTTAAATCTACTCTTAAAATTATTTTTTGCATTATAAATACTCTATTATTTTGGTCTATATGAATCTAATCACACATTTGAACTTATTAACTTAATTTTGTTCATTATGAAAATGTATCTAATTTGTCATCATAGTAGTGAACTCTTATCATGGCTCCATGATAAGAGATGACAATACAGCTTTTTGGAGACAATCAGAGACTGTGAGCTTGAAATTCCTGATCTACCACTAATCATAAGACATAGAACATTCTGTTTCTCATTTTCTTATTGTGAACTAATGTCAATAATTAGAGTTAATTATTGTTTGTTCACACATTTACTGAATGTTTATTATATGTTAAATGTAGGCAATACAAAGGCGGACTGCAAAAAACTTAAGTCTTTAAGACTTACAGTCAGAAGTTATTATTACACTAGCAGTGGAGGAAACACATCTCCCTTCCTAGATCAATCACTGACTGGGGCCTGTTAATTGAACTGACAAAATACAGATTAACAAAAGAAAATCATATCAATTTTATTTGATTTTAATATTTTAGTTTTTATGTCTCTGCAGTGGCTTTTGTATGAAAGAAACACAGACGCTAAAGAAATAGGTAGGCCCAGAAGCTTATATATCATTTTAACAAAGAGTGAACCCTGTGGTTATGTGACAAGACAAAGAAAAAAGGGGTTTAAGCTAGGGCCACTATTATTAGTTAAGTGTAGGATCACCTATACGGTTTTAAATCCTAAGTTTTCTTTCTATTCAATCATGCTGTGAATTTTTATTGAGGGGGAAGTTAACAGACAGCCACTGACATTTTGAGCAGAATGGTCAGAAAATATACTGTCAACATGATATTTTAAAAGTATTTGGGAGACTCTGGAAAACATAATAGGACTTTTAGTGTACCTTAATCTAAATAAACTGGTTCCACTACACTGGAGACCTGGATATGAAAAAGCAAATAAAAAGTGGCTTTCAGAGAAGAGAGAAAAATAAAAGGAAGAGGAGAATAAATTTTCCACTTTGAGATACATGGCCCAAGGAAGATTCCAGACAAAATAGTAACTTGACTAGGTAGAAACAACATGAAGGCAAATATTAAAATTTATTGTTTATAGATCCTATAAAAAGGCAAAAACTATAGCCAAGCTATTTTTACTGATAAAATAAAGATATTGTTAAGGATACTGATTGGTATTTTACTCCCTTCTTACAGGAAAGCGGTGATTATAGATTCTATATTGTGACACTTGAGGAAGGTCTTAATATTGTCCTTAATCTGCTTGGGCAGGATGGATGCATTATTCTGATCTCAATAACATATTTGAAATAAACAATGATGGCAAAGAAGTAAGAATCTCTAGTTGTGCAGTGGTTATTGAGCCAGTATTTCTGGAGGGGGAACTTCCAATAAGGCAGCAAACATGGAAACTTTCTGTGTATCAGGAATCTCTAGATATATACTGTTTGAGGGAAAACTCACATATGCCTAAAACATTTGGCTGATGCCATTTAGTTTGGAAGATGCAAAGCACTGGATTGATTTAATTTTCTCAAAAGAGAAAAGAAATGTTATGATAGGATTCAAGGTTGATTTCAAATGGATTTATCTGTTGTGGTAGAGTTGGGCATAATTATGGAATTTGTCTGAAAAGCATTTTTTATCAAAATCCATTTGGAGTTTGTATAGTGTGAGAGAGACGAGTGTGTGTGTGTCTCTGCGTGTGTGTGTGTGTGTGTTTCCTAGCTGAATTTTCTTAATGGAACATTTGTTGAGGTGATTGTGAATTTGGCTAAGCTACAGGCAATACTTAAAAGTTTAATGATCTGAACCAACCAATCAAGAAAAATGAGTAATTATGGGATCCTTCATCTGAGGATGAGAAAAACTCTTTCATTTTGATTGTATCTAGAGACTGCAGCAAGATAGGCTTTCAGAGAGTGTCGGTGTTGTAGGGAGGGGAGTTTTTAGGCTAGGCAAAGACAGTAACAAAAACGATAGAAATACAATATCATCTGTCATCTCTTGGTCAGATCTCTTACTCATGTCAATTGGATATATAAAACAGCTGTTGACTGACAAGATTGGTTGGCTTCACATTTTTAAAACAGTTCATACATAGTTGTTAAATCTTCCCCTATACAATCAAATTAAGGGTCCCATTCATAGTATTTGAGAAGTGTCATCCCTCTCAAAGTGAGAGTTATTCTCCACTGTACCACTTTGTATATGACAAAGTTCACACAAGAGGGGCCGGGCGCGGTGACTCACGCCTGTAATCCCAACACTTTGGGAGGCCCAGGCGGGTGGATCACAAGGTCAGGAGATCGAGACCATCCTGGCTAACACGGTGAACCCCGTCTACACTAAAAATTCAAAAAATTAGCCGGGCATGTTGGCAGGTGCCTGTAGTCCCAGCTACTCAGGAGGCTGAGGCAGGAGAATGGCGTGAACCTGGGAGGCGGAGTTTGCTGTGAACCTGGGAGGTGGAGCTTGCAGTGAGCCGAGATCACGCCACTGCACTCCAGACTGGGCAGCAGAGCGAGACTCTGTCTCAAAAAAAAAAAAAAAAGGGAATTATTTTTCTAGGTTATCCCCTAGTATATTCTGTTTGTGATAAATGTAGAAATTTAATGTCAATGTATCATTATTTTATTGATTTATATTATCTAATTTCTTGGCTTAAACCTATGTGTATATATAAAATATGTAAGTATGTAAAGCCATGTAAAATATATAAAACTATGTACATATTGTGTATTATATGTACTATAATGGGAATAACTATTTATAACCAAATGTCTAAGTAAGCATCAAAATGATAATAAAGAAAATATTTGTTAAGTAGTGATATGCAGTCCATTGGGAATACAATGAGATAAAATGTTGCTGTTCCTTTATTAGAGGTGTCTAAAAGAACAGTGTATTCACTAATAAATGATGTCTTCATATTTGCTTTTTTCTTCTCCTTTCCAGAAGGCCTCTAGTGAAAAAAGAAAATAGAGTATTAAATTTTGCATGGAAATTTTTAGTAGTTTGCAAATGACTAGGGGCAATTCTGCCTATTAAACTATTTTATTCCCACTACTGCTATTTTAAGATGTTGAACATCCAGTTTATGTTGAAATATACAGCTATACTTTTACATTACCAAGATTTACCATATTATGTAGTTGTCAAAATCTGAATGTTTCTTTTTTATAAGATATTAAAGAAACGTCCTATTAATATGTGTGCTCTTGTCACATAGTCTTACAGTGCTATGTTGGAAGCTGAATATTTAATAAAAGCATAACAAGATGTGAAGCATGTATTAAACAATATAATAAAATTTCCTGTTTGCTTCTGTTGTATTTTTATATCATTTTATTGATTTAGAAATATACTGATGAATGTAATGCATTATAACATTTTTCACAGGTGGAGATTCAAGTATATACCTATGATATGCCATATATTCCTGGAATTAATTGCTTAATTCAATAGAGGATAGGGAAGATGTTTAATATAATCTCATTTAATTTTAAGTGATTATATTTTAAGAGATACTTCTGGTGACAAATAGGTTATTTTTATATATTTTATCATTTTTATTTTATCAACTAAATCAAATGCCATAAAATTGAATTTACTCTTAAAGATTTAGATTTACCCTTTACTTTTTTGCCTTTCAGTATACTCAGTGTACAAAAAGGGATTATAGGTAGCTTGTTAAATATCCATGTTTATGCTTATAGCTCAGTGTGTATTTGCTGAGCATGATGTCAAGGTCCCAGAAAGTAAACAGAAATAACTCATCTCATATCTAAGTCAATATATCAGTTATTTCATGTAGCAGTTGTTGAATAAATATGCCTAAAACCTGAGAACAGTCTATACATTCTGGGTATCTCCTGACCATTGGGCTCTACGCCAAATGATTGAAATTAGGGTAATTTGGGTTTGGAATGTCCTAAAAGAGCAAATCATAAGGGATGAGAAGATTTTAAAGTTCCCTGAAAAAAGTTTCTCCCAAAATATTTTTAGGATGCTTTTTCTTCTCCATGAGTCCAAATCCTTCCATGTATTTTAGGATTAAGCTGTGTCTTCTCTGTGAAATCTCCTCCAACAGCTATATCCCACATGACTCTTGTTTTTCTTTATATAGCTCTTGTACTTACACATTGAACTAGTTTTTTTCTTAATTACATATTGCTTTGGACTTTTGTAAAAGTTTGACATCATGACATTTTATTTGCTTCAAAAAGCACAGCTCCTGAAAATGATTCATTTTGGGAGAAATATTAAAAAAAAAAAAAATTCCAGAGGCTATTCCCAGGGGTAATGGTACCTGAGTATTATAGCCACCAAATTAGGTATTTTATATGATAATATAAATTTTCCATGTAGTTATTTTTAAATATATTTATTTTTTCTTTTTAAGGATGTTTATATTTAAAACATTATCAGTATTGATTAATTTATTAATTTGAGAAATATTTATAAAGCGTCTTCTATCTACCAGCCATATTATTACAAGATAGGGGCTTTTATGGAGTATGCATCCTAGTGGAAGGAGTCAGGTGATATACAGGGTAAATAAAGAAGTAAACACAACATTATCAACTGATAATGAGTACTATGTAGAAAATTTAAGCAAGGTGACATGATAGGAAGTGGCTGACTGCTTCATATTGGATGGTCAAGGAAGTCTTCTGGGAGGGGTCTTGTGGGACATTCAAATTAATAGTGGAAGGAGCTGGCTAAATATAGACCAAGGAGACAAGCATTCTAAATATTGGAACCAAGTAGTCCTAAGTGGAGGATGTTAGAGGGTGAAGCAGAGTACAAGAGGAGACTTGTGAGGCAGCAATCGGGAGCCATGTCAGGATGGGATTTGTAAGCCAGGGTCAGTTTTTCAGTTCTATTCTGAATGCAATGGGAAGCCCTTGGAAAGTTTAACTCAAGAGGGAGCATTGTGGCAGGATTCACATTTTTAAAAATAAGCATTATTTTTTCAAAAGCATTTTTCATACTACTTGCCTTTATAATCATTATCTTTAATAGCTACATAATATATCATGACATGTAATTTAAGCGTTTATGTTTTGGGGTATTTAGGCTATTTCTAATATTCCCTACTTATATAATATATTCAGAAAGTATAATATAATATAGGTAATGATATAGTCAGTATCTTTATGTAAATGGCTTTCTTCTTCTGGTGGGTTACATGGGGGTACCTTCTCAGAAATAGGGTCATTGGGTCAAAGGATAAGAATATCTTTTTTCAAGTACTTAATACACCCTGATAAATGATGGTACCAATATAATTTATTGTAGGGTTAACAACTTTAGAAATCATTTAAAAATCTTGTTAATTTAATAAGCAAAAATCCCATAATTACATTAGTACATATTTAACTTAAGATAAAAAATACTGCTTAAAGTGAAAAATAATAAACACAGCTGTATGAATTCTAACTTATCTCAGTTTATATGTATATATTTTACCTGTTATCAATTGCTATTTACCTTATTCTAACCTGCTATCCTGGTCTAATTAGAATACACTGTGCTGTTTTCAGATCTTGGATAGCAGCCTGAATCTTGGCAATGTAAATCTAAGAAAGACTTTTATAGATTTTTCTCAGAGTCTCAGGGATAGGATAATTTGGCATAAAGCTAGTCACTTTAGGGATAGAAGATTGCAAGTACTTTCCAAGTCTACTTTCTATGAGCCAAGACCCTATCTATTGGTGAGTCCCTAATGTTTTTGTTGTTTTTGTTTCTGTTTTGCCTTTCTTTAAGTGGTTTCATGTCAGAATGAGGGAATGATACAGTACTGTTTGGCTCCATGTATGTGAAACAGAAGCCCACACTTAATTGACAAAGTGATCACATTAGTAATTTACCTGTCCACTATAGTGCTCAATTATCAGAAAAGAATCTTCTAATTAGCAATTCTTATTGCTAAAAACTTCTGTCAGTCTTTCAAATAGCAGTGAGTACATTTATTGCATTATTTACTAACCTCTTTGCTATTGCCACAGATTTCTTATCTGTAGTCAAATGTACTGAATTTGTGTTAACGTCGTGAAGTAATTTTCAAACCCGTACACTGTACCCTTTAAGGCACTCTTTAAACAATATATTCCTTATCATTTAAACATTTCACATGGGTAAGCATTTCCTACCCAACTGTATCACAAGCTCCTTGACAATATAAAATACATATTTGTTCATAAGTTATGTTTTCTAAAGCATGTCATACTTAGCACATGTATAGTAAATAGCTGTTGATTGTGCAATGATTATAAAATATGAAAATATATATATACACACACTACACATATATATGTATATAACATAAATATCTCTGATTATTTACTGGGATGCATATTGCCGATGACCCTGAGAGATTAAAAATGATAATTCTTAATTACTTCTTGAGAAAGGAGCACAATCTTGTCTAATTGTTACTGTCATATTTGGCTTATGGTTTCTAGGCACTAGGATTCTTAGCGGAAAATTTTACCTTCTGTTGAATGTTTGAGATTGGAACTGAATTGACTTTCCAAAATGAAAAAGCCTCTTAATTCCTCTTAATTCTTTGTTTAAACTTCCTTTAACTTTTAAGAAGCCATTTTGAAGGATTGTTGTACTGATGCAGCCAAGCCAGAGAACAGCAGACTCCAGAGCTAAGGGCATCGTCTCTGGGTAGCCAGCGACTCACTTCAGCATTTATTAATGGGATCAGCACCATACAGTATAAGGGGAGGTAGTGATAACAGCCTGTCTCTTGCTTCCTCCTTGGCACACATTCACTAAGAAAATAAGGTTCAAACAAGGGAGAAGCTTTTGAAGCAACAAGTATTTAAAAAATATTTTGAAAAGTCATGAAGACGATTTAAAAAAAAAACTGAAGTAGGAGTCAGGTTCTACTGGAGCCTCTACTACCTGCTGTTTATGATTATTAG
Organism: Homo sapiens; assembly: GCF_000001405.40. NCBI lineage: Eukaryota > Metazoa > Chordata > Mammalia > Primates > Hominidae > Homo > Homo sapiens. The sequence continues at coordinate 175,556,326 of NC_000003.12, forward strand.
CAATTTTTTATCTATCCATACCTCAGTTTCCTCATCTGTCAGATGACTATAATACCCAAATTACCTCAGAATACTATAAAAATGTAAGATTCTTTAGGTTGGAATCCCGTCTAAAGTGCAAAGCACTTAAAGAATAAGATAATATACCTTAAAAAATAGCTCTCAAGCTAATAGTTTATAAAATAGTAAAATATACACTTTTGATTTCAGATGATGGGAGTTGCACTCCAGGTGGAAAGCTAGTATAGATTTCTGTATGAAATTGTTACTGCCATTTAAAATTGACATCATTTTGCTGAATGCCAAATATATAACAAAAAAAAATCTCAGGAAAGCAGACTCGACTATGGGGAATAAAGTTATTTTTGAAAAAAGTCTCATTTCTCTGAAGTTTAAAAACTATCTTACAAACTTTTCTTCTATATATCTTAACTGTTTTTAGAATAGTAGCAATTCACTTGATTTCTCTAATCTCTTATCCCTTATTTATTGGTGTTAACATTAATGGGGATAATTTTCAGATGGTTTTAACAGTCTCATTCTTAGAAACAGTTCAGGAAAAGTCTTACTGCTCTCTGCACAGCAGGCAGCACAAACAGAATGACAAAATGTTTATGCTGACAAAGCCTAGAAATGGGACCAAAGCTATGCCTTAATTCAGGGTTTACACCAGCTCATTGTCAGTTTTGAAAGTATTCATGGAAATGTACATAAAAGTGAACCTAAATATGTAATAAGTGTGTATGAATACATCTGTACAGACATTCTCTAAGACTAGAGAGCAAAGACTGACCTTCGATATATTTCTCAACTCAAAATCTGCTGTAAATAACTCCTATAAAATATCCTATGGAAAATACATGCTCATTATGTTTCCTTTTCACCTACCAAATTTATCTCAACATTTCTGTTCTTTTAATTTATTTTCATTTTTAATTTTTGTGGGTACATGGTAGTTGTATATATTTATGGGTTACATGAGATATTTTGATGCAAGCATGAAGTGTGTAATAATCACATCAGGGTAAATAGGATATCCATTACCTCAAGCATTTATCCTTTGTGTTAAACACAATCCAATTAAACTCTTTTAGTTATTATAAAATGTACAATTAAATTATTTTTGACTATAGTCACCCCATTGTGCTAGCAAATTCTAGGTCTTATTCATTCTTTCTAACTATTTTTTTTGTACCCATTTACCCTCCCCACTTTCCCCCAATCCCCAACTACCGTTCCCAGCCTCTGGTAACCATCCTTCTACTCTTTATCTCTGAGAGTTCAATTATTTTAATTTTTAGTTCCCACAAATAAGTGAGAACACATGAAGTTTGTCTTTCTGTGCCTGGCTTATTTCACATGACACAGTGACCCCCAGTTCCATCAATGTTGTTTGGTTCCCATTTCTCCACTTCCTTGCCAGCATTTGTTTTTGCCTGACTTTTGGATAACCGCCATTTTACCTAAGGTGATATGATACCACATTGTAGTTCTGAAGTGCATTTCTCTGATGATTAATGATATTGAGCACCTTTTAATATACCTGTTTGTCATTCGCATGTCTTCTTTTGAAAAATGTCTAATCAGGGCCGGGCGCGGTGGCTCACGCCTGTAATCCCAGCACTTTGGGAGGCTGAGGCGGACAGATCACGAGGTCAGGAAATCGAGACCATCCTGGCTAACATGGTGAAACCCCGTTTCTACTAAAAATACAAAAAACTTAGCCGGGCGTGGTGGCGGGCGCCTGTAGTCCCAGCTACTTGGGAGGCTGAGGCAGGAGAATGGCGTGAACCCGGGAGGCGGAGCTTGTAGTGAGCTGAGATCACGCCACTGCACTCCAACCTGGGCAACACAGCAAGACCCCGTCTCAAAAAAAAAAAAAAAAAAAAAAAGAAAGAAAGAAAGAAAAATGTCTAATCAGGTCTTTTGCCATTTTTAAAATCAGGTTATTAGATTTTTTTTCCCTATAGATTTGTTTGAGCTCTGTATATATTCTGGTTGTTAATCCCTTGTCAGATGGATAGTTTGTAAATATTTTCTCTCATTCTGTGGGTTGCCTCATCACTTTGTTGTTTCCTTTGCTGTGTAGAAGCTTGTTAACTTGATGTGATCTCATTTGTCCATTTTTGCTTTGTCTGTGCTTGTGGTGTATTACTCAAGATATCTTCGCCCTGTCCAATGTCCTGGAGAGTTTCTGCAATGTTTTCTTTTAGCAGTTTCATAGTTGGAAGTCTCAGATTTAAGTTTTTAATCCACTTGAATTTGATTTTTGTATATGGTGAGAGAAAGGGGTCTAGTTTCATTCTTTTGCATATGGACATCCAGTTTTCCCAGAATCATTTATTGAAAAACACTGTCCTTTCCCCAATGTATATCCTTGACAACGTTGTTGAAAATGATTTTACTGTATATGTATGAGTTTATCGGTGGATTCTCTATTCTGTTCCACTGATCTTTGTGTCTGTTTTTATGCCAGTACCATAATGTTTTCATTACTATAACTCTGTAGTATAATTTAAAGTTAGGTAATGTGGTTCTTCCAGTTTTGTTCTTTTTGCTTAGAATAGCTTTGGCTATTCTGGGTCTTTTGTGGCTCCATATAAATTTTAAGATTTTTTTGTTCTATTTATGTGAAGACTGTTATTGGTATTTTGGTAGGGATTACATTAAATCTGTAGATTGCTTTGGGTAGTACGGACATTTTAACAATATTGATTTTTTTCAATATATGAACATGGAATATCTTTTATTTTTTGTTGTCCTCTTCAATTTCTTGCATCAGTGTTTTATAGTTTTCATGGTAGAGATCTTTCACTTCTTTGGTTATAATAATTCACAGATATTAATTTTATTTGTGGCTATTGTAAGTGGAATTACTTTCTTGATTGCTTTTTCAAATTGTTTGCTGTTGGCATATAGAAATGCTACTAATTTTTGTATGTTAGTTATTTATTGTGTAATTTTTTTTGAATTTGTTTACTAGTTTTTAAAGTTTGTTGTTGTTGTTGTTTTGCTGGAGTCTTTAGGTTTTTCTAAATATATGATCATGTCATCTGCAAACAAGGATAATTTGACTTCCTCTTTTCCAATTTGGATGCCCTTTATTTTTTTCTCTTGTCTGATTGCTTTAGCTAGGACTTCCAGTACTATGTTGAAAAACAATGCTGAACATAGGCATTCTTGTCTTTTTCCACATCTCACAGGAAAGGCTTTATGTTTTTCCCCATTCAGTATGATATTATCTATGAGTCTGTCATATATGGCTTTTATTATGTTGAGGTATGTTTTTCTATACCAAGTTTTTTGACGGTTTTATCATGAAGGGATGTTGAATTTTATTAAATGCTTTTTCAGCATCAATTGAAATGCTATACAGTTTTTGTCCTTCATCCTGTTGAAATGGTGTATCACATCGACTGATTTGCATATGTTGCACCAATCTTGTATCACTGGGGTGAACCCCACTTGATCATGATGAATGATCTTTTTACTGTGTTGAATGTTATTTGCTAGTGTTTTGTTGTGGATTATTGCATCAATATTCATCAGTAATACTGGCTTATAGTTTCCTTTCTCTTTTTATGTGTCTTTGTCTGGTTTTGGTATCAGGGTAATATTGGCCTCATATAATGAACTTGGAAATATTCCTTCCTACTTCATTTTTCAGAAAAGTTTGAGTAGCATTGGTATCAGATGTTCTTTAAATGTTTGGTAGAATTCAGCAGTAAAGCCATGGAGTCCAAGGCTTTTCTTTGCAGGGACATTTTTTTATTACAGTTTTGATGTCTTTACTTGTTATTGGTCTGTTTTTGAATTTCTTCATGATTAAATCTTTGTAGGTTGTATGTGTCAAGGAATTTATTCACTTCTCCTAGATTTCCCAGTTTAGTGGCGTAGTTGATCATAGTAGCCACTAATGATCCTGTAAATTTCTGTAGTATTAGTTATAATGTCTCCTTTTTCATCTCTGATTTCATTTATGTGGATCTTCTCTCATTTTTTCTTACTTAATCTGGCTAAAGGTTCGACAATTTTTGTTTATCTTTTCAGGAAATCAGCTTTTTGTTTCATTGATCTTTTTGTCTTGTTTTCATTTTAATTTCAATTTTGTTTTCAATATTGTTTTTATTTCGTTTCAATTTCATTTATTTCTGCTCTGATCTTTATTATTTCTTCCCTTCTACTAATTTTGGGTTTGCCTTGATCTTTCTTTTCTAGTTCTTTCAGATGCATCATTAGGTTGTTTATTTGTTTTTTTCTTCTTTTTTGATGTAGGCACATAGCTATAAATTTCCCTCTTAGTACTTCTTTCACTGTATCCCCTGGTTTGTTTCAAGAAAGTTTTGTTTGCAGTGCCGCAATTTCAGCTCACTGCAACCTCCGCCTCCCGGGTTCAAGTGATTCTTCTGCCTCAGCCTCCCAAGTAGCTGGGATTACAGGCACGCGCCATCATGCCCAGCCGATTTTTGTATTTTTAGTAGAGATGGGCTTTCACCATGTTGGCCAGGATGGTCTCTATCTCTTGACCTCATGATCCACCCACCTTGGCTTCCCAAAGTGCTGGGATTACAGGCGTGAACCATTGCGCCCAGCCCATAACTGAACATTTCTAACATTATTTGAAGTGGGTTCAAAAAGGAAAGTAAGGCGAGACGACAGACTATTTGCTTACCTTATACGATTTGAATAATGTATTCTCCCAACTACTGTCTTATCTTGAAAGGTGGAAAACTGTCTAAGGCCTGCTATTGGGAAAAAATTTGGTTTATAAATTTATAGCAAGTTTGAAAATTGATATAGTATTATAAGTGTTATATACAGTTATTGGAGCATTGGTTCTAAGACATCCTATGGGTGCCAGAATACAAAGATACCAAAATCCCTGATATAAAATTGGATAATATTTGCATATACCCTATGCACATCCTTCCCTATACTTTAATCTCAAGGTTACTTATAATACCTAATACAACAGAAATGCTATGTAAATAGTAGTTACACTGTGTTGTTCAGGGAATAATGACAAGGAAAAAAAGTCTGTACATGTAAGTCTGTACATGTTCAGTATAGGCAGAATATTTTTTCAAATATTTTTATTGAAACTAATTTTTTTTAGTGGATTCAGTTTCCAAAACCCAAAAACATAGTACCTGCTTGTTCCCTTATTTTGTAAATGTTAGATGAAATATAACAGCACATTTTGTAGACAGTACTATCAATAGATAGTATTTCACAGACATGCTATCTACAAAATATGCTGTACAAAATATGTATACTGTATGCAATATCTATAGAAGTATGTATATAGAATTGGTCCATTATATCCATGGCTTCCACTTCTGTAGATCTTATAAACATGCCAGCCCTACCAGATTAAGGCCCTACACTTATGACTTAATTTCACCTTTATCCTCCCCTCATAGACCTTATCTAAATACAGTCATTTTGGGAATTAAGGCTTTAACATATGACTTTTAGGAGGGAACACAATTCAGTCCATAGCACTTTAAGTGAAATCACACAGGGTATCTTTTTTGTGTGACTAGGTTATTTCACAGCATAATGTAGACTTCAACATTTGATGTGTTAAATTTGAAGTAATTATTTGACATCCAAGTGAGATGCCAAGGTGGCAGTGGTGGGAGGACATACTAAATAATCATTTGTGTGCTTTTTGTGTCTGTCTGCAAAATGCCAAATTCAACACAAAGTCTCAGATCAAATTAGTCTGTATTTGATCTGACTCTGTATTTCACAGTGATTTCAGTTCCCGATGTGGGTGGGGAAGAGAGAATTTCCAAGGTAAATTTTGAAATCTGACTTTTTTGGACTCCCAGTATGGGGTTAAAGAGTCAAGAATACTGGACTTAGAAACTATGGTGGAAATGTTGGTCTTATCACTACCTGAGTGACAATAGATGATTTACTTAATCTCTCTTAGCAATGATAGCTTTAAAACTGATTGAAGGTAATTATAAAGATATTGTATATGAAACCACCTGGTGAACTGCAATAAGTATTTAGAACTACAATAAGTATTGTTAAATCTAAATGTATTTTATGTATTATGTACATATTATTATGTATATATTATATGACATATTTTTAAATGTTAGATCACTACTGTTTTGATATATTTTTACCTCTTTTGTTTTCAGTTATACCACTATTTTTGATACTATTTTTTCTTGTTTTCCAATCACAGATTTATCTTGATTCAATTTATATTTTATTTAAATATCTAATGAGTTTATATAGATTGCAAGTACAATATCAATTTCTGTAATTATGTAGTGTTAGAAATTGCTCTGTAAATAAAGGAATTTTATTAAGAAAAAATATAATTTAGGAAATTAAAAAATGCATGATAGAAAATTTCTTGATACTAAATGAACAAGTATGTAATGATTATTCTATGATTTCTCAGGAGTAGATAATCATCTTTTACTCAGCCTAAACCCAATTAAAAAAAGTCTTCTCTATTCTTATATTGTGTAAGGAATATAAAGGGAATATAATATTGGAAAGATTTGACTTTCTAAATATGATCATTCTACATCTTAAAAGGCAGGAGAAAACACAGTTTTAAGTAGATTTGGTAGAAAGGATTGTCAAAAATATAGGAGGGGTGTGTGTGTGTGTGTGTATGTGTGTGTGTTGGTTATGTAGTAGTAATGATAATTTATAATAATTACAGTATGTAATAAGTGCTTTACACTAGATGAGTGCTTTTATATTTTGTATAACTTGGCATTATTTAATTTATTCTCTTTAGTCTTCTAATATTATGAACATATTCCCTTTTCACATTTGGGAAATTCAAGGCTTCAAGAAGTTAAGCAACTGCCCTGTGGTCATACTGCTAAAGAGAAGCATCATTGCTTTTTAAGGGAGAATGCAAAATTGTCTATCTCATCTGCAGTCATGGCTTTGATTGCTCTTTTGTATTTATCTCAAGCACCTACTTTTCACAAGGTATTTTGTGATGTCTGTACACACTTACTGACTTCCTACAGATGCCTAATGGGATTCACAGTTTACTTGAAAGCAGGTTTTGCCCAGCAAGAAATTAAGAAAGAATGTTTTTTAGAATTGTTATGATTCATAAAACTACCTGAGGTCAACTTCAAACTTCCTGCACTTTGGCACTCCGAGTCTAATTATTTTCAGGTCTAAGCCTACTCTAAACTGGATGGTGTTTGTATAGTTCTAATCTTCTTTACCATTCTGTCCCAGTGGAAGAATTAGATAATAAGTGGATTGACCTCCGTTTTACAAACTCTTTTAAGTATCTATTTTATTGTGCTGATCAATATAGGGGCAATAGAAAGAGAGACAAAAGAAATTCTCTGCCTTCAAAAACATGTAGGAGAGGCAGAAAAAATACAAAGGTGAACTAAGTTAAAACAGTGATATGAGTGAAAGACTCCTTGGTACAGTCCGACCAAGGTAATGGCCCTTACACCTGGAGCAAAGAAATCTAAACCTTCAAGGATTAGCATTGGGGTGTGAGCTACGGGTAGTATTTGGGTGTCCTATACACAGTGCTCCTTGAATACAATGGTGTCCGCAAAGGTCTAATGGGCTCACTCCAGCAAAGCTATCCTGAGGATAGCAGTTAGTTTGGCCCACAGTTTTAAGGTTATGCGATGATGCTGTCATCTGTCAGACTTGGACATATTACTGCTGATGGCGTTATTTCCTCTGCCCGATTTCTCACTCTCAGCATTTAACCTGCTTGAAATGGTAATGTGTGGTGATATGCCATCCACATCCTTTTGCCCTTCTGTTTGCCAAGTCTGCATTTTTCAATTTTTTTTCTCCCTGTGCCCTCCTAAAATTAAACGAATTACCTCTAAAAAACCTGAGAGCACCTACCTGATTTACAGCTGCCCTCTAACCCTGGTCACAGAGAGGACAGCAAACTTTTCCCTGGTATCTAGTGAATGATGCTAATACGCAAAATAATTTGAAATGTTTCTTTGCTTCTGGTTTACTTTTTAAAAAATACGTGATTTTTTTAAAGGAAGGTACTAAACTGCTTCATCTACAGAAGATTTAATTTAAATATTTCATTAAACATATTTGCAGTCTGAGAGAGTTAATATGGATTTGAAAACCAGTTAGATTTTTCAGTTAATTTTTTTAATGCCTGGCAGCTGGAATACATCACTGACATGCTGACACCATATTATTTAAAATAGCATTGCCTGTGAGCCTAAGAGAAGCTATTTAAGATAAACCTCAAGAAGGCTGGTGAAATAATAGCTGAAGTTATGTTATGTCAGCCAGTTCCTCAGCATGGAACAGCATTGTGAGGCCAGAGTTGTTATCCTTCACTGAGACATAAAATCTATATCTTGATTCTTTTGGTCATTTAAGGTCCTATGGGAATTGTACCCAGAGGGAGTGTGCTTTTATCCAGGTGTCTGGTTTATCCAGTGTCTTGGCCAAAGGTCAAGATGGATGGGACAGTCGTATCTTTTCAACGTGTTCAAAGTTTCATTTAGATATGATCAGAGTACAGTTTTTGGAAAGGCTCTGGATTTGTCATTCTATATGTAGTTTGCAATTTGTGAAGAAGTAGGTTTAGCTGCTGGAGTGACCAATATCAAACCTGCTAAAAAAGTGCCAATGTGGCAAAGGAATCCATGGAGTCTTTTAATCTAATAAATTATTTTAACTTCCATTTCTTTTACATTGAAAAGGTAATTTTAGTTTGGGTGATTAATCAGCAGCTTAACAGCGCTTTTTCTATAAGTTGAGGAACTTATTCCTTGTTCCCTTAGCTAAATGGGAGGAAAAATCTTTAGGCCAGCAGTGGAGGTTGAAGAGAGCAACAATCTAAGTTAGAAACTTCTGCCTGCCATTCCATTCACTATTCTTATGTCTATAGGGGATAACAAAACTTTTAGTCTGTAAAATGAAATAAAAAGAACTCATCTCATAGAATTGCATTATCATCTAATATGATGTCCATTTGTAAATGGTAAGTCCTTATATAATTGCCTCCTTGGACTGAGTGAGGTGTTCCATATTTAGCATATTTTGATAATACATTGATACTTTCCTAGAAAATGCACACACACACAAACCGTGTAAGCAAGAATGGTCCTGAATTATAATCATGAAATGGATGGTGTTTTGCTTTCCGTGTTGGCCCACCATCTTTTGACTCTTTATTCTCTCCTGGTGTCCTGCTGGTGACTTGGGTTGTCAACTTAAGTGTCCCTTACCCCAGCAGAGGCCTCATGCTGTTGTCCATTCCCAAAACCTCTGTAAGAGACCCTGTTTTTCCCTAATAAAGTGGCAATTTCTCTTATCTGTTCTCTCCCCAGTGATATATGCATTTTTGATGGTCCCAAATCTGTTTCACAACTCTAAATACCCAATTTCTCCACTGTTAGGCATTTCTTCAATTGTGAATATTTCTGAAACTGGGCCATATCTGTTACATGGTTTGTTTATTCCCTATGTCCAAACAAAAAACAAAAGCCCCCCCCCTTTTTTTTTTTTTTTTTTGAGATGGAATCTCACTCTGTCCCCCAGGCTGGAGTGCAGTGGTGCGTTATTGGCTCACCGCAACCTTCGCCTCCTGGGTTTAAGCGATTCTCCTATCTCAGCCTCCCGAGCAGCTGAGATTACAGGTGCATGCCACTACACCCAGCTAATTTTTGTATTTTTAGTAAAGATGGGGTTTTGCCATGTTGGCCAGGCTGGTCTTGAACCCCTGACCTCAGGTGATCCACCCACGTCGGCCTCCCAGAGTGCTGGAATTACAGGTGTGAGCCTCTGTGCCTGGCCACAAAAGCCTTTTTAAAGCCTTTTTTCATACTATATTTTACAATCATGGGAGTCTTAGAATTGGGGACACGTAACATATAGTTCAGAGGGAATTTTAAAAATGTAACATTTATTTTTTGGAGAGTTGCTTCATTCACAGAAATACAAAAGTAATAAGCAAATTGACAATGGGCAGTTTTTCTTCTAAACCCATTCCTCATACCATTGTCTCTCCCCAGAGGCAAATGGCATTTGAACATATTAGAGCGTATAGACTTTTATTTTTAATGTTTGAAACACAAATGATATCTTACAGAATATCTCAGCACATTATTTTTTAGGTAGAAATGTATCTGGGAGATTGTTCATTATCAGTGTGTAAACAGATTCATTTTTCTTTCTAAAGACTGTATATTATTTCATTATATGTGTGCAATCTAACTTATTTAAATTTTATAGAATTTGTATTAATTTTTTTCTTCAGTATGAGGCGCCAGATTTCTCACAGTCCTTCAAGACACAGTCCATATTCAAACAAACTTGACAAGGTTTTTGGGACTAAATATAAAAGTCGCTTTATGTGTCTTTTATGTATAAAGGCATTTATAATAATTTTTTCTGGGTAATATCAGTTCATCTTCATTAATTTTTTTATATCAGCATATCTTTCTTCTTTATATATTATAGAAGCTAGCTATTTGTCTGTTAAATAATTTGTAAATATTTTTCCAGGTTTTCATTCATGTTTGTTTATGGTAATTTTTGTCATACAGAAAAGTTATAATTTTACGTAGTAGGACTAATTAATCTTTTTTATCTTTTGAGTTTGTGTCATATTCAAACATGTCTTTTTCATTCTGAGGTTATTAAAATTATCTTCCATTGTTCCCACTACAATTTTATGATTTAGATTTTTACATTGTAAAGATGGATTCATCTGGAACTTACTGTGGTTTAAAATACTGTAGAGTAGGTACTATTTTATTACTTTACTGGAGGTTTTTACTTAGATGCAACAGTTTGGTTGAAATCTGAATATTTTCTAATGTTTTAAAAGAACAAACCTGTTTTTATTGTTACACGAAGTCTTAAGTGGAGAGAGAAAAAATGAAGAAATCCATCGTCTTCTATCTTGTGACTATTGGTGAGGGATCTTGAACTGGTCAGAGAAGAGGAAGAGGAAATGAAGGTCGGTTGTTGAGGGAGTAGAGAAGAAAACACCAGCTAGAAGCTGGAGTAAAAATAAGAGCAAATATTTTCGTATTTCTCTATTTTTTTTTTCTTAGAGATTGATCCTTAAAGCACTCATTAGTACATAATGAAATTTTAAATTTTAAATAAAAAGTATTTCAAATATAAAAGAACATTTTTCTATACCCGATAACAAGATTAAGGTCGTATAAATTAACAGAAGAAAGATGAGAATTAGAGGGTGTTTTCCAATTTGGCAATGCTACTTGTGTAGACTAGAAGATTAGCAATTTTTCACTAAAGCTGAAAATACTTTTTGTTAACATCCAGTAAGTAGGTTTTAAATCTTTGCTGAAACCCTGAGAAATTGGAGATTTTGAAAACCCCATATTATGGGTTGAATTTTTCTTTTTCTTTTCTTTTTTTTTTTTTTTGAGAGAGAGTCTTACTCTGTCACCCAGGCTGGAGTGCAGTGGCACTATCTCGGCTCACTGCAAGCTCCGCCTCCTGCATTCAAGCAATCCTCCTGCCTCTACCTCCCGAGTAGCTGGGACTACAGGCGTGTGTCATAACACCCCGCTAATTTTTGTATTTTTGGTAGAGACACAGTTTCGCCATGTTGGCAAGGCTGGTCTCGAACTCCTGGCTTCAAGTAATCTGCCTGCCTTGGCCTCCCAAAGTGCTGGGATTACAGGTGTGAGCCACTGCGCCCGGCCCCAAAAATTTCTATTTTATGATAAGATGAAATCTGGTTTTCTTCCCTTACCCAATTTAATCTTTAATAAAGGCATTGCAAGTTATATATTAATTTTTAATTTTTTTTTTTTTACTATTCTGGAGATATTTTGTTTATGAGAAGCTCATTAGATGTCGGCATTTAGAATAACTTCTAGTATAAAATAGTAGAAAAAGTCAGTAATCATAACCTTTTGTTTTCTTTCAAAGATTATTAGAAGACATCTGCAATGCATCATTAAATATTGGGTATTGGGTTCACATTTTGGCATAAAAATACAAGTTAAATAAATGAAGAATACATGGCACACACAGTAAATAAGTATTGAAGAAAAATTATAGATGCGTAGTTTGTTACAACTAGATCTGGTGATGCAATATGATAAAAATTTAAAAAGACCCATGGAATCCTAAAAAGGACACATTTAGAAGTAGTTTATTCCCATGCGTTAATGTGGTTTGTGAGCTGGATATATCAATATAGTACATAAAAAGGAGCATTGCATTTGAAGTGAAAAGTTCTGGGATTAAATCTCAATTCTATTAATTTGGGGGCCTTAATTTTCTAATTTGTAAAGCAAAGCTATTTTGCTAGGAGAGTTTCCCTGCTGTGGGCTATTTTGGCAAGCTGCTAAGCCCTATATAGACCCAGTCTCAAAAATTATGTTTCAACTGCTTCAGTTAAAATGCACAGGGTTAAAAGGAAAGCAATGATATTAAACTGCAATTACCTAAGTAACATACAAATTTGCATTTTTGTAATATATAGGCTTTTTAAAATTAACACATTAAATGACAAAAGTCAGCAAAGTGTCTCATAACTGCAGTATTTCCAAATTAGCAATAAGTTCAAGTGATATTTCAATGTTTTGGCAATAACTGAAATATGATATAAAAACATGATTTTATTTGGTTGCAAAGTTACAAGTACTACTAATATTGTAACAAATGTTACTGGGTGCGTGGCCTGTTTCATAATTGAATGGAATGTTGAATTTCAGTTAGAAGCAAGTGAAAATAAAGATTTTTATTTTTTTCTGGTTCACCAAGTTCTCAGATCTTTAATTCTATTTGTGGATCTCAGGGTAAGAACCCTTGGGCATTAGGATCTTTAGGTTCTTTTCTCAGTTTCACGTGTAATGATTTATCCATGATCCTTCAATGTTTACATGTTCACACTGCCCAGGACCACATCTATAAAGTTCTAAACTAAAAATGTTATAACAAAATTTTGTCAAATTACCTCCAGCTAATCAAATAACACAATTCTTCTTACTACCATTAGTTAGAAATTAAAGTTTAATTTTTCACTAGTTCTAATGAAAATTTCTTAAAACAAACATAAAGGTGACCTACCATCTAAGAGTGCCTATGTTAGTCAGAGTTCCCCAAAGAAACAGAATCAATAGGATATATCTTGCTATAGACTAAATGTTTGTGTCCCCTCAAAATTCACACGTTGAAGACAAAATCCCCAATGTTGATGTTATTTGTGGGTGGGGCCTTTGGAAAGTACATAGGTCATGAGGATGGAGCCCTAGTGAATGAAATTAATGCCCTTATAAAAAGAGAGGTAGATACAAGATCTCTCTCTCTCTCTTTCTGCTCCTCATCACGTAAGGATACCACGGGAAAACTGGCATCTGCAAACCAGGAAGAAAGCCTTCTCTAGAACTTACCGTGATGGCACTCTGATGAACTTCCCAGACTCCAGAGCCATTATAAATACATTTCTGTTGTTTAAGCCACCTGTTACAGCATTCTCTTATAGCAGCCCAGACCAACTAATACACACACACACACACACACACACACACACACAGACACTTTATATATACATTAATAACATAATTATACAGTAATATATAACTATATGAATTTGTGTGTGTGTGTGTGTATTTGTAGATATAAGGAGATTATAAGGATTTGTCTCATGTGGTTATGGTGGCTGACAAGCCCAGAGATCTGCGGTTGGAAAGATACAGAGCTAAGAGAGACAATAGTGTAGTGCTTGTCTGAATTTGAAGGTCTGAGCACCAGGAAAGCTATTAAGTTTCAGTCCAAAAGCCAACAGGCTTGAGACTCTTAAAAAGCTTATTTTTGGGGGGTTCAGAACCAAAGAAAGGAAAAGACCAATGTTCTAGTTCAAGGCAGTCAGACAGAAGGAGTTCTCCCACTCCCCTTTCTTGTGGGAAGGTCAGCCTTTTTGTTCCATTCAGGTCTTCAGCTGATGAGATGAGGGGTGTCCACATTGAGTAGGGCAATCTGCTTTACTCAGCCTGTCAATTCAATGTTAATTTAATCTAATAACACTCTCATAGACATACTCAGAATGATATTTGACCAAATATCTGGGCATCCCATGGCCCAGCCAAGTTGACACTTAAAATTAACCATCACACTGCCCTATAGCAAGAAATCATTTTTTTAACATCATTGGTGTCATTGTAATAATTGGTACTTTACTATACTGTAAAAACCAGGAAAACCAGTGAGATAAATTATTTCTACAAAATTGAACTTACAAGACTATAACTGAAACGAAAAGAAAGTGACTTAATTTTGGCTGGGCGAGGTGGCTTACACCTGTAGTCCCAGCACTTTGGGAAGCCGAGGCGGGCGGATCACGAGGTCAGGAGATCGAGACCATCCTGGCTAACATGGTGAAACCCTGTTTCTATCAAAAATACAAAAAATTAGCCGGGCGTGGTGGCGGGCGCCTGTAGTCCCAGCTACTCGGGAGACTGAGGCAGGAGAATGGCGTGAACCCAGGGGGCAGAGCTTGCAGTGAGCCAATATCGTGCCACTGCACTCCAGCCTGGGTGACATAGTGAGACTCCATCTCAAAAAAAAAAAAAAAAAAAGTGACTTAATTTTATTATGGTGTATTGAATATGGTATTTTTATTTTGAATGTTACACTTTTCTTGCTGTTTAAGTAAATAATCAACTTAAATTTCCTGTGCATGTAGAGTAAATGCTTATGTATGCAGGAGAAAGCAGAATGTGGGGAAATAAAACATTTGAATTATTAAGCAGATTTTAAAAATACTTTTAGAAACTTGTCAATTGTCTTGGCATCACTATTTAACTAATGCAAGTATTGACTTAATTTTTTTATCTTACATGATCATTTACTATAAAGTTTTGCCTTTCATCTTAAAACTGTACTTGCAAAGAGCATACAGATTTAGGACTGAGGTAGTGATTTCATTTCAGGTCTTCTATGGACTTGTGGGTGGAAAATTAAGCTAGTGACATAACCATGGTCCTTGCCTGAACTTGCCCCTGTTATGAACTGGAATAAAAATGCTTGTTATCAAACATTAAATATGAGGCATTTTGAACTCCTTGGATGAAATTCTTAACATGAATTTACTCAGCCTTGTAAATAAATTTTAAAAATTAATTGACCTGCACAAATTTGCTGCCAACCTCCCCTCTTCCATGGTGCTTAACTTCTAGTAAAACAAAGAAAATTAACATTTCTTCCTACTAGTCTCTCAAATATTAATGCTTATGAGGGTTGAGTAGATCAATGTCTATTACCTCACATGGATCTGTTATAATCCACTGAAGTGCTGTGAGGAAAAACTATTCACATTAGGATTGAATATAGATTTACAATCACTGCAGGTCTGTGAATTTGGCCTTAAATTCATTACATTAAAGTAATGAATAATGAAGATTTAGAGAATAGTGTTTCTATGCCAGGAATGTTTTTCTCTTAAGGGAAATCCCTAGATAAAATGACCTTGGGAAAAAGAAAAACCCTCAAATCTGCAAATTGGGTTCCTAGCTTTTGGGTTATCTGGGCAAATTGGGTTATCTGACTTTTTAACTTTGAAGCTAGTTAGAAACAAAAGCATGAAAGGACAAAATGAACACAGGTTTGAAGGTAATGTGCTTCTTCCCCTCATCACTGGTTAAATTAGTGAGAGTGGGAAGTAAAGAATGAGGTAGACAAAGAAAGAGAGAGGAGGAGAAAAGATTGTGTGTGGAGTGGGGATGGGGTGGGGGAATGGTGAGTTAAGTCCTCTGCAAGGCCAACAGAGAAACTCTGGGTTCAGTAGGTGAGAAACAAGCTCCAGGAGTATTCCTCAGAAAACTGTGTTGTCCCTGAAGCCTCCATCTTGGTTTGGCTTTTTTGAAGCATTTTCCCTCCCTTTGGGCTTGATGATGACATGAGGCGGCTCAAAAGTTAAGTGCTCCCAGCTATCAGTCACTCAACCCTCTTTTTCTATATGCTATCCCCTCTCCATAAATAGTCCACATGTAGCATCAGAGATGTAGTTTAATAGATCTTAACCCTCAAAATAGAATTGTAAGATATTTCTAGATAATGCTCACTCTGTTGCCATCTTAGTTGGTTTACCAAAAAAAAAAAAAAAAAGTTTTTATATGGCAGAGGCAGCAATATAAACCTTTAGGGAAAAAATTAGACTTTTAAATAAATAGGCAAGGCAGAGCAAACTATAGTAGGAAGAATGCAGAAGTGTTTGGGGGAGTGTAATCTTGAAAGCTGAATGCTGCCCTTTTGATTTGCCTGAACAATACAAAACATGTAAATAATTATGTACTTAAAAGAAACCATGGAAATGGAATGCAATGAAAATATTGAAGCTAAATGATAGTAGCTATAGCAAGAACAGAGAGACTAGAAGAGAACTCACAGTGGCTTCAGAAATAACAGGCTGAGGCTAAACCAGAACTGTGCTCTATGTAACTGTTAGAGCAAACAAATGTTGCAAGTAGCTGGGCCCAGTAGTCCCAGCTATTCAGGAGGCTGAGGTGGGAGGATCCCTTAAACCCAGAAGGTCAAGCTCAGCCTGGGCAACATTTAGCAACATAGTGAGACTCTATCTTGAAAAAAAAAAAAAATTGCAAGGATTGATTGGAATGGGGTCATTTGTGCAATGTTAGAAAGGTGCATATGTAAGAAACTAACACCTTTTGTCAGAGGGCAGCTATTATATAACTAAATGTTTATATAACTAATGATGACAATGAAAATATCAAATATTAAACTTAAATGCAATGTTTATTTTTTAAAAAATAATTTTTAATAGGCACATATTGTAGAATTTGACATTGTTAATTTTTGACCATGACATTTTTCTGTTGAGAAAAAAATTTCGATCTAAGGAGCATGGCTGAGCATGGGTGGATGTTAAGAGTTAACGTATGTAAAACAAAATTAATGCCAAATCTATATTTTCATTTATGTTGAGTAGGATGCTTTTGCTGTCTTGAAAAGACATACATGTTACTTCATTAAAGAGAAAGTAGGTCATTTAAAAATGATTTTTACTTTCATCAGTCAGGCATCTGGAGAAAGTAAAGACCAGATCTTATCATATCCTCATTAATGACATAAAATGGTGCAACAATCTCGATTTCACAAATTCAAATACCTCTGGCCCTATTCAGTAAATCTGAATGAGTAGAGCAGGCTCAATGTGAGACACTAGTGATGGATGTTAATAAATGTCTTGCCTGCCTCAGGCATTCAAATTCAACTTAAAAACAAAGAACAACAACAAAAACCTAGCTAAACAAATACCTCCAGAGGTGCTCGGGATTTATAACATGATATAAAATAGTTTGTTTTTCATGTTCTAGTGCTTAAGACTAGCTCTTCTTTGGGACTATTCAAGACCCTCTCTAAACTGTCCCAGCTTAATATAAAATCCCCAGGAGTCTTAAGCCAGAGGAATGTGTCAGAAAGTGAAAAAGGATTACCCCCACTTTCGAAAAATTCAGCTTTGAAAAGAAGCAAATTGCTGGTGGGGGGTGGGGGTCACCATAAAAAGGATTAAGTTGCTACTGATTAGACTGTATGGTAAAAACATTCTTTTTCTATTTCCAAAGTGGTTAATCAGCCAAAATAGTTGTAAACACATTAAGCAGAAACACTGCCTTGTCTGTAAACTGAAACCCTGACTTGCTTGTAAAGGTTCATACTGGCTTTCCATTTTAATTGATGTTTAACTTTGTTGCAAAGATCTTTCCATTAGGTCTTCAAAGAAACTAGATAGTTATTAAAACATTATTATATGTTTATAACATCCAGCACTGTGGTTGAAAAAAGTTGGAATAACTTATTTTCTTAATATTACACCACATATTTTCAAGTCTTTTGATAAATATTAGCAAAAGACATGGTGATCTGAAAAGGAAAAGTGGGGAGCTTTATTTTCTATTAAAAACAACCATCTGCAGACTAGGGAGGCACAGCTTTTAGTAGAAGTGAAAGTGTATTTTCTGAAGAACAAAGGGAGGGTCTAGCTTAAATAGGGAAAATTCCCCACTCAGTTCTCAATCAGGCCTGTTTATGCAAATGAAGGATTCAAACTTGTTTAGTTCTGATTGGTCAAAATAGTAGAGTACTGATTGGGTGTTTTCTATGTTCCCAGAACTCTCTGTCAAACTTTTGATTGGTTGTTTTCTATGCCCCAAACGAGAACTCTGTGTCAAACTTTTCTTTCAAAGGGCTGGTGAGGGGTGGTTTCCAGCTCCAGTTTCTCTTGTGTCTGGTTACAGGAACTGTTCTGGCTCAGGGTGTAAAGCAAATGTTTGTGGAGCTGCTTTTTCCAAGAATGGAAAAAGCTTTTTCTCACTCTAGTAAGTCCACTTGCTTCTGTTTTTAAATTTCATCGTCCCTGTTAACCACAGGGACATCTACCTCCCCTGTAAAGCTTGGGTCTGATTTTATAGTTTTATTTTATATAGATTATATTTAAAAGTATTTTTGAAATTATGTCACGCCAGAGAAGCATGAGAGGTTGAAAAGTTGATGTCTTGATTCAAAGGCAAACATGGATTGAGTACATACTTTATGCGCTTGTTATGACACTTGATGTTCTTATACTTATTGTCTCATTTTCTCACAACTGTCCGGGAGATTGCTATTCTTCCACGTTTCATAGTTGATGCCATTGCATCTCAGAAATGTTCTAGATTTTTGAGAAATTTATTAAAGAAGACATTTTAATGAATATTAATTATAAAACCCTTTAGTTTGTTTCATTTTCGTAAAGCTGCTGTCATTTGTTTTGCATGCCAGACAACTCTTAGTTTAAGAAATAATAGCCTATATCATCTTATATTCCCCAGAGCTTGAACTTAGCTGTGTGGTTCACTATGGCCCACTGTAGTTGTTGGCATATAATTTTAAAACATCTAGGAATATGCTTTCAGGAAGAAATGAAGAAAGTTTCTTCTCTAGTTTTTTATTTTTATTTTTATTTATTTATTTGTTATTTATTGAGATGGAGCCTTGCTCTTGTTGCCCAGCCTGGAGTGCAATGGTACACTCTCGGCTCACTGCAACCTCTGCCTCCTGGGTTCAAACAAGTCTCCTGCTTCATCCTGCTGAATAGCTGGAATTACAGGCTCCTGCCACCACACCCGGCTAATTTTTCTATTTTTAGTAGGGACGAGCTTTCACCATGTTGGCCAGGCTGGTCTCAAACTGCTAACCTCAGGTGACCCGCCTGCCTCAGCCTCCCAAAGTGCTGGGATTACAGGGGTGAGCCACCACGCCCGGCCTCTTCTCTAGTTTTTAATAGACATTTTAAGAAGAACAGAATTATACCCTACAAAGCATTCTTTAAGTTTATGGGAAACCTTAATTAAAAAAACAAAATGCTACACCTTTTTAGAGACTCAACATTCTTTTTTAAATATCGTCAGAGTCATCAGAGTTCAAATTCAGCTTATGATAAAAAATGCTTTTGAAGCAACAACAGCAAGCAAAGCTTTAATTCTGGCCAATGCTAGTTATGCTTCAGTGAGCGTCAGAATCAAAGAGGACAGTTACAATGCAGATTCCTGGGCTCTACCACCCATTAGGTAGGACAGTGTGGGGCCTAAGCATTTGCATTTTTAACAGTCTCCAGGGAGACATTGATGCTGCTGATCTGTGGACCATGTTTTGAGTAGCACTGATCTAGGGATGACCTGGGAAGCATAGTATGTGTTAACAATTTAAATTATGTTTTTCAGAAAAATAATTTCAACTGTACCAGAAGAGCCCAGTGCCCAGAAACCAATATCAGTTCTATACAGATACAAGGTGATGCTGATTATTTCATCAACCATCTTGGAGTTCCCATCGTGCAGTTTGCTTACGAGGACATCAAAACATTAGAGGTGATTGTTCCTAAAAAATGCAAAACACACACACACAATATAGTAGACCTGCAGAATTTGATTTTATCCTGGCTATTCAATTTTCATATCAAATAGGTCACTATAGAAAAGCGGCTTCATTTAGAGAGTTATTCTTGCTTTTTCAAAGGCTTTGTAATAGTATTTGAAAACATCAGCTCTTTTCAATAGTATTGAATTCAATTTAAAAAGATTTATACTGTCACTCACATTTTCACACAGTGCTCTGCAATGAGAAATTTGCAGTAGTTGGATTAACATCAAAACATAATTGTAATCTTTGGTATTCACAGAAACAGATGACATGTGCAATAGATTCTCCTCTCCTTGCCCAAAGGAAAATGCACTTCATGGTCTGTATGTTAATGTGAGCCTTGTGGATTAGCTACCCAAAGTTTGTCAATAGTTTGCCTGCTTAAAAAAGATAGTACTTTTTTTGTGAAGATGGAAGCATTTTTTTCCAAAGAATATCACAAAAGCATGATTCACCTTAATTAAGTCTCTGTTCATCCATCTTTTGGACTTCAATCCTTCTAATCTTTCTCAGAATTGTGTCTCAGGAAACTGTTTCTCTGTGGATCTAAACCTGTTGGGACATTTTACCTTCATTTACAAATTATTTATGCATTATTCGGAGCTATTTGAAAGCCTCTAGAATGGCTTACTTGAGGTAATTATTACATTAACAAAATAATGGCTGGAAAGTACGGTAAAATCTGCCTTGCTCTTCAAATATAAATGTTCCTCAGAAGGGGTGCTTAAATTATGTTTGTATAGGCTCAACTTTAGATATGCAATATCTTAATTTTTAATAGCATTGAGTAATATTTGGCTTTATGTTTCTCTGCAACCACACAGAAAATATTTTAATTCTTACTTATTATGTGTCTAATTCATCTTGGTTTAGTTTTAAGCCAAGAATTTAGAGAGAATAGTATAGCCTTGGGAATGAGATGGAAGCCCTGACTCTGACACTTACTCGACAAATTATTTAACATCTTTCAAAATGATTTTACAAATGAAGTACTTTGGTATATTTAGGGACTCTACAGAGCTGTGGTGAGGATTAAATGAGACTATGCCTGTAGAGGGTTTAGCTAACCTTGAGCAGATAATAAGTCCCCACTATTGCAGTTATTATTGTCTGATTGTAAGTACAACATATTAATGGGGTAATTTCTAAACTTTTTAGATAGGAACACATCAGTAGAAGGGAGTAGTTTGTTAATTGTTGAGGAAAACACATTTATCAGGCTGAGGAGGTGGAATTTGATGAGGATCAGCTGGAGGATCTGAGGTGTTAATAGGGAGAAGATTTTGAAACAGGGACCAGTGAAATTCTAAGAAGAACCGTATTATCCTAAGGCTAAAGTCTATCTAACAGAACTGGCTTAGTCTGAAGGATCCAATCGTTTTCAAATTATACCCAGAATATCTAACTCCCACCATCAAAATCATTTGTATTATTTATCTCCAAAAAAAGAATTAAAATGGAGTCCCCTATGCTTTATAATAAATGACCTTGTTGATATTGCTTTAGTGGGAGAATTTTTAAAATGGATTTATCCCTTACAAAATGTGAATGCTTGAGATGAAATAATTTTTTTGAACTCTCTGAGGAACAGAATACCCTTTGCTTTCTGTGTTAACCTATAATAGATATTGGTATACAGCTATTAAGAGGAATTTTAAATATTAAAAAAAGGCCTTACCCATGATGTAAAAAATATTTATCCTATATCAATTAGTAAAGCAGGTAAGGAAATTAGAGCTTTTTTTATGAAGTCACAGTTACAAATATATACGGAAAATAGATTGGTAGATTTGGAATTAGGAGGCCTGAAATTTTAAATCGCTTCATGTTAATGGTCCAGTTACATTGGTTTCTGGGCTTCTGCTTTTTTTTAAAAAATCCGTATCTTATTAAAAACAAAATAAGAATAGGTGCAACGGTTCATGCCTGTAGTCCCAGCACTTTAGGAAGCCGAGACGGGCAGATTGCTTGAGCCCAGGAGTTTGATACCTGGGCAACACGGTGAAATCTTATTTCTACGCAATAATACAAAAATCAGCTGGCCGTGTTTGCAGGTGCCTATAGTCCCAGCTACTGGGGATGGTGGGGAGGGCTGTGATGGGAGGATCGCTGGAGCCCTGGAGGGGGAGGTTGCAGTGAGCCAAGATCACACCACTGCACTCCAGCCTGGGTGACAGAGTGAGACACTATCTCAAAACAACAACAACAACAAAAGAAGCCCATAATATCTACCACTTATTGCTTATTTACCACTTATTGAGTACTTGCCATGCTAAGCATTTTATACCCCTTATATCATTTATTATTTAAAACATCACTATAAATTAGCTTTTATTATTAACTCTGTTCATGCTGAGAATGAAATGGAATTTAAAAGCTAGTAGCTTTTCCAAGGTCGTAAAGATTAATAAATGGCCAAGACAGATGTTGATCTAAGATATGTTTGACAGTAAGCCTATGTTCTCAACTATTATACCAAAGACTGCAAATTGGAAGCCCAAGGGCAAGAGATAGTCTATCAATATATTTTGTTTGACCTATAAGTTACTGAAAAATTGAATGTCTGGAAATATTGTGTACTTTTTCTCCACGGAAACAATCAACTAAATGGGCACTGCTCACTAGCCTGCCATGTTGTTTGTCCAAGAGTGCAGTTAAGAAGAAAATTTTCTTCAACACCTGTTTCTGTCAAAGATTAGAAGATGAATACTCAACTAAGGGTCAAATGTTTCACCAGACTTGTGTCACTTATAGTATCTGTGTGGCCCCTGTAGGGACTGAGCTCATTATCTCTGCACTCACTTTAGTAAAAGAGTTAAAGTGAATAATTTTATAGCTGCTTCCACTTTCAAAGGGTGTTTTCTAAGAGAGTTAATTTTATTATTATATCCATGGTTTTGAAGAAATCATCTATTTGACATTTATTTGGGTGATTATAATGCAAATCTTAGAATTACTATTATCTATCTATCTATCTATCTATCATCTATCATCCAGTGAGATTGATCATGGATCTATTATATTCAATTTCAACAAGTGAATCATGATAATAGGTGAAAAATTGAACTGTAGGAAAATAAACTAGTGCAATAGAGGCCAATTTTTATGGACATGTCAAAAAAACATGACATTTTGTAATATCTATCCCCAATATTTCAAGCTATTCCACATTCCCACCAATGGCTTTTACCTGTAGTTTCTCTGGATGCAAACACATTGCATAAAATTGCTTAAAACACCTTTGATCTTTAGCTTTTCTTGGCCTCTATACTCTAATTTTCCAATAATTAACTTTTGCAAATGCATTGCGATCTATGGATTTGCCAAATGTTAGAATGATTCCTTCTCATAAAATAGTGCCTTGTTAATTGAAACATTTCCAGTTGTAAGCTTCATTTAAATAAGGTTTTAGATTTATTAACACCATTGCACCTGTTGTGAGAAGCATTCTGTACAGATTAAATACAATGCGGAGAATGTCAAAAAGGAAAAGACAGATGCTTTCTGATTAAGAGTGCAATATTTATGGCAGTCTGGTGATCCAATGCACATTTCCTCTGTCACTTAACAGCTGTTTTACATTTTTGTTTCAATCAGTATTTTTATTCTCTACAGGGCATGCCAGAGGGTCTATCTTTCTTAGTATATCAGAAGATCAATCCATGCCCTAGCAAGCTTCATATCATAAATTGAAGCTCTGATTCCTCACTCTGTTTAACCTTATACTTTTCGCTGTTCTGTTTGAAACATTCTATTTTAAACCCAATTTACCTCTATAATAGAGCATTTAACATTTAAATAATAATGAGATAAAAGAGTATTATAGCTTTTATGTAGCAGGAGTCATGGCATAATTGTTTCAATATCATTTAATAACCCAGGGACAGAAATTCAAGTACCGTAGGTATTTTGAAACTCTTACTAAATTTTTTTAAAGCTAGATAACTTTGATACCAATTCTAATTTTTAAAGCAATATACAGCAGTATGTAATTATGCCTCTGTGTGTGTGTGTGTGTGAATTTTAACATTGAGGTAATTCTATGAGATAAAAGTAATAAAAGTAGTTCATTTGTGCAAATATAATACAGATACAGTTTGACAATACACATATACAGATGTTGGAACAGTGTAACTCATAGTTTACCTGCTGATTTTTCATGTTTTACTTTAAGTAGAAGAATTTGTTACTTTCATTACATTTCAGTCTTTCATTACATTTTCTATTTGGAACTGAGTCATAATCAATGTTAGGTAAACAGAAATAGTTCCAAAGTCCTTTAAAAGTTCTTGATTTAAGGAAACAAAATGGTTACATTTAACTGTGTATACGTTCTACTGATGTTTTGCAGTATCTGATGAAATCTGTTTCATGTGGGTAACTACAAAACTTATATAAAGTCACTTAAGAATGAAATTTTACCTTTTCTACTTCAAAGTGTGCCAGTTGTAAACAAGATGAAAAGGGGTTCATTGGTGTTCTCTCTAGATCATTATCTTTCTTTGTAACTTATTTTTTTAAAAATTTCTTACAATATGGTATTTAGATATATGTCATTATTATTTTCAGATCAGACTTGCTTCATTTAGTGCTGGGGTTCTCACATATTTTGGTCTAAAAATCCATTTACCCTCAAAAGTACCAAAGATTCCTCAAAACAGAGTTTTGATTATATGGTAATATCTACATAGTAGAAACTAGAAGTGAGAAAAATACATAATATTTATTTTAAAATTATTTCATAATATCAATAACTAAATTAGTATTACATTGTTATAATTATTAGCAATATAAATAAATCTAATACAAACTAATGAAAATAACTTATTTTATTAAAAAATATTAACCAAGACAAAAATATAAATGAGAAGAGTGATGTTATCTTACAGTTTCAAAAATCTCTTTAAAAAAGGCTGAATAGGCCGGACGCGGTGGCTCATGCCTGTCATCTCTGCCCTTTGTGAGGCTGAGGCGGGAGGATCACCGGAGGTCAGGAGATCGAGACCAACCTGAAGAACATGGTGAAACCCCATCTCTACTAAAAATACAAAAATTAGCTGGGCGTGGTGGCGAGTGCCTGTAATCCCAGCTACTCAGGAGGCTGAGATAGAAGAATCACTTGAATCCTGCAGGCGAAGGTTGCAGTGAGCCGAGATGGCGCCACTGCACTCCAGCCTGGGGGACAGCGTGAGACTCTGTCTCTAAATAAATAAATAAATAAAGCCTGAATACAAGACAATTGGATTTTCATACCTGTTCCTGCATTATCTTTTGTAATATGTTGTTTTATTGTAAAAGTATGAAGAAAAATCTGCTCCAATATTTTATTCATATAATGACAAGTATTTTTCTTTGGAGCTACATTGAAACTTAATGAGTATTAGTTTCCTAAAGGTTAATATCAATGTGGAATCTTAATCCATCTTAATAAACTTTTTGTACTCCACACACTTGTGAATGTAGAGTGAAAATGAGAGTGAAAAGGGCATATAATGTTACTAGCATTATAAAAATAGTTTTGATCTCCTGATCCTTGAAGGTCTCTGGCCCACACTTAGAGGAATGCTTATTTGAGGAAATGGACTTGGTTAGACCAGTCTACTTTATTTTTTGTAATGTCTGACAAGGCATTCAACTACATCTTATTCAAAGATTTGAGCTGTGATTCTATATAAAACTGTGTATCTTTTCTGGGCATCTTTGAGTATTGCTATCCCATTCACCTGACAAACAGCATGAAGTAGAGAATAAAACACTGTCATAAACTGTGCTTCTACAAAGAATTCTGCTTCTTAAAGGCATTTCTTTAGAAGAGAAGGTTAAACTCCAATCAACAAATCAACAGTTATAGAGCAGACTTGAAAACCTTGATTGTACAGTATATGAAATGCCTGTCATAAAGGAAGCCTGTTAAAATTACTGTATACTTCCAAGAGTCTGAGGAATAAACACAAGAAGTTGAAATATGAGACAAATACTAAAAAAAAAAAAGAAGAATGGAGAATGGAGATACACTTAAAACACAAATGGATAATTTAAAAGATCTACTTCAAATTGCCTAATATTTTGAAATGGCTGCAAGGAGGACAGCTTTCCCTTAGCAGTTGTCCTTGCTTAGAAATCTAAATAAGAATATTTATTCTAAATGACTATATCATTGGATCAAAATATATAGCATACGCACTATATTTTAATTCTAATGCTGCTTTCAGTGATTATCTTGTGATCATCTTTGTTATGATGAAAGGAGTTTTCTAATAAAGCCTTTTTAAAAATAATTTCAATAATGCTACTTGCAGGTGGGTTAATGATAAACCATGTTATAAAATTGACAACAGTCAAGTTAAGAATATAGGACAACTTTAACATATTTTATTAACTGTTAACAGATATTTGTTATTTAGCCAGCAGTTATTAAGCACTTGCTGTGATCCAGGCACTGTGTTAGAAATACAAAGATGAATAAAACATGCCCCTCTTTCTCTCAAAGTGGTCACAGTCTAGATTCAAACTCAGTCGTATAAACAATTAAATAAAGTAAGTACAATAGAAGTTCTCATCATTGACTTCCATTTAACCAACACGCAGAACTGATTGACAATTTCCACTCCTTTAAAACGTAATGGCCAATGATCAAAGATTTCTGAAGCTCCTCACAGTAAGACCCTTTCTGGAGTTTTGTGGACTTTTATTCTCTCAGGTTCAGTGATATGCTTGCGTGGAGTCAACTACATTCTCAAATCTATACAGATGCTACTCGACTTACAGTGGGGTTACAGCCCAATAAACCCACCATATGCTGACAATTTCCTGTCTAAAATGCATTTAATAAACCTAACCTACCAAACATGTTACCTTAGCCTAGCCTATACTCAGAACTCTTTCGGTACAGCAGTCAATAAATTACATGATATATTCAACAGCTTATTATAAAATAGACTTTGTGATACATTATTGATCCCAGCATCAAGAGAGTATCGTGTTGCATATCACTAGCCCATAAAAAAGACCAAAATTCAAAATTTGAAGTATGGTTCCTACTGAATGTTTATCACTTTCACACCATCATAAAGTGGAAAAATTGTGAAGTCAAACCATCGTAAGTTGGAGACTGTCTGTATATGCCCTTTGCAAATG
This sequence comes from Homo sapiens, assembly GCF_000001405.40. Taxonomy (NCBI): domain Eukaryota; kingdom Metazoa; phylum Chordata; class Mammalia; order Primates; family Hominidae; genus Homo; species Homo sapiens. The sequence goes on from NC_000003.12 coordinate 175,583,377, forward strand.
CAATTGTATCTCATGATTAGACAATTTAATTGTTACATAAGCTTGTGAATCGTGAATATGAAAGAAAAGCTGCTAAGAAACCTATATTTACGACAATCTGAAAGGATGAGCTGCAAAAAAAAAAAAAAAATCAGATGTGTGGGGAACCAGGCAACTATCAAAGACTGGAGGAAATTGATAGTAATCTGGATGCATTCTGAAATCAGTTTACTTCATGAGTATTTTTAAAAGTTTTAAACAAGAGGCAGTAATGCAGATAATGTATAGGGCAAGAAAGAAATAATAGAATTTTATTCAACAAGACAATGTTCAGAGAAAAAGCCTTGGCTTTACTTCAAAATATTGGCCAATAAATGTGCACTCACAGGTTTTTAATTAAAATACAAAGTTTTACTTAATTTGGTTTCTTTTTAAAAAACTGATTATTTATATGAACTAGCTTCTAATTAATTAACCTGTCAACCAGTAGGACAAATCATATTTGCCAAGAGGACAGTAAAATGATAAAGGCAAGGTAGAGCAAGGAAAATTATATTGAACAAACACTTATATAATGTTTGCGTCAGGCATTGTTCTGTTCTAAGTCTTTTATACATGTTAACTCAATTATTACAGTTATAAAGTTGTAACTAGCACCAGTGAGGAAGGTACTATTGTCACTACTTTTTTTTTTTTTTCTGCGATGGAGTCTGGGTCTGTCACCCAGGCTAGAGTGCATTGGTGCGATCTCAGCTCACTGCAACCTCCACCTCCGAGGTTCAAGCAATTCTCCTGCCTCAGCCTCCTGAGTAACTGGGATTACAGGCATGCACCACCATGCCCAGCTGATTTTTGTATTTTTAGTAGAGTTGGGGTATCACCATGTTGCCAGGCCAGTCTCGAACTCCTGACCTCAGGTCATCCACCCACCTTGTCCTCCCAAAGTGCTGGGATTACAGGTGTGAGCTACCACGCCCGCCCTACTGTTATCACTTTTATTATAGATGAGGAAACTGAGCACAAAGCAGTTAAGAAAACTGGCCAAGGTCACCCATCTATTCAATGATAGAATCAAGATTCCAACCTAACATTCTATCACCAGATTTCTGGACTCTTTTCTCTACTTTTATGCTGTTTCTCAAGGTTTTCTAGACAAAATGATGTATAGTCATGTGTCTCTAATGATGGAAATATGTTCTGAGAAATGTCATTAGGTGATTTTGTTGTGTAAACATCATGGAGTGTACTTACACAAAACTAGATGGTATAGCCTCCTAGACACCTAGGCTATATGGCGTAGCCTATTCATCCTAGGCCACAAACCTGCACAGCATGATACTGTAGACTGTACTGAATACTAGAGACAATTATAATACAATGGTATTTGTGAATCTAAACATATAAAAAGTGCAGTAAAGTACAATATAAAAGTTAAAAAGTGGTACACATGTATAGGGCACTTATTATGAATGGAGCTTTCAGGACTGGAAGTTTCTCTGGGTGAATGAGTAAGTGGTGAGTGAATGTGAAGGCCTAGGACATTTCTGTGCACTATTAAAGACTTAATAAACACTATACACATAGGCTACACTAAATTTATTTTAAAAATCTTTCTTTAGTAATAAATAACCTTAGTTTACTGTAACTTTTTTACTTTGTAAACTTTTTTTTAACTTTTTGACCCTTTTGTAATAACATTTAGCTTAAAACCCAACATATTATAGAGCTGTAGAAAAATATTTTCTTGTTTGCTATCCTTATTCTATAAGCTTTTTTCTATTTTTATAAATTATTTATTTATTTACTTTAAAAAATTTTTTTTGTTAAAAACTAAGGCACAGACACACACACTAACCGAGGCCTCCACAGCATTAGGATCTTCAAGACCTCATTAGGCAACAGGAACTTTTCAGTATCATTGTACTCTTATGGGAGTACCATAGCATATGCCATCCATCATTGACCAACATGTTATGCAGGACGTGACTGGATTTCTAAAACACCTTTTATCTTCTGCTAGATTCATGGTGAAGTATAATGCAACAGTGCTTAATTCTTATTCTTCTAGTTTTCTATACAAAGGTCCTAAATGTTTTAGCTTTGGCCATTCTCAACGTTAAGCAATAGCTATAAATGGGTAATATTTCTTAGCTGAATTGAAAATAAACTGATAATTTATAAATACTGACAAGAACTAATGTTAATGTTTCCTTGTAGTAGTTTGTTTATTGTTTTACAAAACAGAGCCTATAACTAGATTCTATGCATCCAAAAGTTTACATTTCCAAAAAATATAAGTGGAATGAATTAAGGGCATTATAGGAAAAATATGATAAAATCAACCTACTCTAAACATGAGTATTTAGTTTCCTAAATTAAAAAAAAATAAAGATATGATGACGATTTTCCTTGTCTCTTCATTCCTTGGTAATTGTCCGTGTAATGTAAAGGTGAGTTGCTTTTATGTTGCATTTGTTCTATCCCTTGTTTCCTAATTTTATTTCCAAGTTGATTTTGGAATATGAGGAGATGAACAAGTTCATGTCTTCTAATTTCCATGACAATGCCACATTTCTTTGAGTAGAATATTTTTAGATTTGAAAATATTTTGGAAACTAATTTAGATGATTTTTTTAAAAATTTAAGATTAAAATGTTAAGAACAGGTTTGATACCCATGTGCTCTAACAATAAACTCCAGTAGGAAATGACTCATCTGGAGCTCAAATAGCTGTGGATGATGACTATGGCCATGAATGAATTTCCACGCCCTGTTCTTGAATCTCCACAACTTAATCTTATTTTATTTACATCGGGAATGGCAGGTTTCTATGTCTAGTTCACAGCTTGTATACACAGAAACTTATCTTGTTTTTATTTTTTAAATAAGCAAATGTTTCTGTACAGACTACAAAGAAGACATAGCCTTGAAGTCTCATAAATGTTAAAAAATAAAAAAAAAATAGATTGAGGTCAACGCTACTTGGCTTATAAAGATCACTACTTCTTCTTCATGAAAGTTTTGGCTTTTACATTAGTCTCAAGAGGGCTGCAGTTGTCTTCAGTCTCCTTTCATGCTGTTTTTGTTCCTGTGACTTTAAATGGATGGAAATAATGCTGAAGAGAACAAAGTATTTACCAGTATTTTGATTTCTACAGTCTCTTCTCAATAGCTATAGCCTTGAAATTATTCATGTCTAATATTCTGTTACAAGTGAAGAACATTTTAATTCTAAATAGTGCAATGTTTATGTAGTACTGAAAGTGGACAAAGGTGAGAAAAAATAAACTCTACCTTTATGTACAAGGTCATTTTCAGTTTCCTAAACCAGTACTTTGTTGCTTTATTTTTATTCATGATGATTCTTATTAGAGCATTAGAAATTTTACATATACTACATGCTTACAAATAATTTCTAATTAATGACTCAGGTATATATAATTAATACAACCATAATACATATAAGAATTTTGGGTAAATGCTGCTGGGACCTATGCTTAGAAATAATAACATTGGATTAGGACATTGCCCATGGCAAAACATTGGGGTTAAATTTAGGGTGCTTTGTCTCCCACTACTAGGCAAACCCCATTGACTACCACTGGTTTGAAGACTTCCAGCAGTTCAGGGATGATTTTGAACAATCCAAATGATTAAAGTAAGATCAGAGGCATCTTTGGTGAAAGGATGGTCCCAAGAGTAGTGGGTCCACGGATGTGCATGGCCCTGACTCCCTCTGATGGACTGACACCAACACTCATTGACTCATTGATTTTTAGAGTAGCATTGATCGTGGATCCCAAATATTTTTATTCATTACTCTATAGTAAAAGGAAATAAATGCTTAGACAGATTCATTCAATTGACTGAAAGTTTTTAATAAGAGTTAATTGCAGACTTAGTTCTCCCTACTCCCAGTGCTTTTAAACTCCTATATGTTTTATTCTTGCTCTTGCTTCTTTTTCACCTATGTAGTTCAAACTCATAATGTTAAAGGGTCAACAGTATTTTCAGTTTTTTAGTTGATTCTGAAATTTAGTCTATTTCAACTGATTAAACTTGATATTTTATATTTGCTCACAGATGAAGCCATAGCCTGGGCTTCTCCTAAATTTTCAGGTGAACATGAGGCAATGGTAGCAATGAAGGCATATATATTACATGGAAAAATAATAAATATTTAAATGTCATGAATCAAATTAAAACACTGTTAAATAAAATTTTATCTTCCTTCCTAACTTGAGAAAAACCTATTTAACATGATTGGGAAGGGTGGGTTAAAATTTAATGTTCTTAGACTCCCGAGAATCCCATGCCCTAATGTGGTAAAAGAGGAAGTACTGGTCCCCAAGCCCCTCATTAGTGATTCTTGACCTATTTTTCCTTTGCTGCCTACTTTGACCCCGTCTCGTACCATGAGAGACTTTGCATATGTGTGGACACCCAGTTTGCATTTTTAAGCACAGTTCATAACCCACACAAATAGTTGCTCCTCACCCACTTCCTTGGCTTTGTATTACACTGTGGAGGGACAGACGACAGACCAGATGTGATACACCTGGAGATGATACACCTGGGGAAGAGGACAACTCAATCACTGGAAGCCAATATGGGGCCATTTGTGCAGGGAATTCTGAGATCCTAGAACTCAGGGTAACTAGAACTTGATCAAAAGGGGAGTTGTGGACTCTGTACACATCTATGTTGATTTAACTTTGAAAAACCTTGGGGTAAAAAAAAAAAAAAATGCCTAGACTGTACAACCCAAACTTTGAGTATGCCAAAAGACAGTAACGCCTGGTAGGAAAAGTATGTATATTCTTTAATAAACCTGATCCAATGCCTTAATCTTGTTACCTAAGATTGGTCCCTAAGAAATGTGGACACCTGAGCCAATTATTATAGAGTCATTGGCAATCTCAATTGGGTTTTGGTCTAAACTGGGTTTTAAAAGGTGTAGCTGTTCAGTGGTTGTGACCAGAACCTGTGAGGTACTCAATACAGCAAACCATTCCCAGGATATGGTTGAAAATAGATTTCAAAATATAATACTATAGGGGTATAAAAAGAAGTAAGAAGTTGTCCCAAAATGTAGAATCTTCAGTTAAAGAAACACAGTATCTGGGAGATGTGTTTTTAAGAAAGAGCTCAATTTAGGAGACTTTCTTTCTTTCTTTTCTTTTTTTTTTTTTTTTTTTTTTGAGATGGAATCTTGCTCTGTCGCCGAGGCTGGAGTGCAGTGGCACGATCTCGGCTCACTGCAAGCTCCGCCTCCTGGGTTCACGCCATTCACCTGCCTCAGCCTCCTGAGTAGCTGGGACTACAGGTGCCTGCCACCACACCTGGCTAATGTTTTGTATTTTTGGTAGAGATGGGGTTTCACCGTGTTAGCCAGGATGGTCTCGATCTCCTGACCTCGTGATCCGCCCGCCTTGGCCTCCCAAAGTGCTGGGATTATAGGCGTGAGCCACCGTGCCCTGCCAGGAGACTTTCTAAGCAAAGAAATACATAATCAAACTTGATCAAACTACGGGCAAGCTCAAAACGTTTACTAATTGCCATCAACTCCAATTTAAAGATTATGGCCACATACTACTTTGAAAAGTTTGTAGAATGGTGTGTTTTATAACCCATAAATGGTGTGTGTATACATACCAAAATATTTTAGGCAAAGAAACATATTTAGATATTTTTTGACAGAGGATCATTAGAATTTATGTGTTTGAATCTTAATGAGAAGCATGTAAATTCTAAATTAAAACAGTAGAAAGAAAGAAGGGAGTGTTGGTTAAGAATTTAATCTGAATTTATTCAAGTTACTTTTGTTCTACTGGTAGCCATAGTACTTTAGTTTATATCTTGCAGAGATAACCCTGCTGTGTAGCATAATATAAATAAAATATTATACCAGAAAGCTAAATAGTCCTACTATTTGCTTGAAACATTGGTACTGGTAAATAAATGGATAAATCAATGTATGGATACAATTTGTTGTTACCATTTTGATGATAGTTACTAAGTGCTCACAAATATTAATTCCCTCCTTTCTATCCTTATTTTCTTCCTTCTTTCCTTCTCTCCTTTCCTTTCTTCCTTCCTTTCTTCTTTCCTCTGTTTCTTCTTTTTTAAATTTCTACCTTTAATTAAAATTTGATCATTGTGTATATATAATTCCTATTTATCTATCTAAAATAAAATTAATATAGCTTTTCATGTTATTTAAAAACACGTAAACATACCATTACATAGTTGCATCATAATTGATATAACTATTAAATGCTGTTGGATATTAAGTTTGCCTGCATTGTTTTGTTATTATAAGAAACCTTTTGTTGAGCATTTTTAGAATTGATATTTGTTCCTCTCTCTAATTCTTCTAGGATAAATTTCTAAGCATAAAATTTGGACCAAAGTAAATATTTAAGCCCCTTGACAAAATTGAAAAAAAAAACAAAAAACCAAAAACCTCCCCGAATGGTGGTACATTTAAAAACCTTCGTGGCAGAGCATGAGAGTACTGTTTAAAGTCAGCTTGCCAAAAATGTGCCTTTAAAAATATATATTTACCAATTCTTGGCCGGGTGTGGTGGTTCACGCCTATAATCCCAACACTTTGGGAGGCCGAGGCAGGCGGGTCACGAGGTCAGGAGATCGAGACCATCCTGGCTAACACGGTGAAGCCCCATCTCTCCTAAAAATACAAAAAATTAGCCGGGCGTGGTGGCGGGCGACTGTAATCCCAGCTACTCAGCAGGCTGAGGCAGGAGAATGGTGTGAACCCGGGAGGTGGAGCTGGCAGTGAGCCAAGATTGGGCCACTGCACTCCAGCCTGGGCGACAGAGCGAGACTCCGTCTAATATATATATATATATATATATATATATATATATATATATATATATATATATATATACCAATTATTTGTTTCAATTGATTTTTTTTGTATATTAACATAATCAATGTCAATTGATTGACCTGTTGAATTTTTTTTTTTTTTTGGAAAGAATAGTCGATATAGTGTCTGTATCTGGAAATAAATATAGTAACATAGCAAGATATTTAAATCTTCTTCCAGATGTAAGAATAGAAATAATATGGTATAGAGGTTACTTTGAGGACTTATCACAAGACATTATAAATTTGTGATTAACTTAATAATCAGTACCAAGATGGCATTTATAAAGGAATCTATGTTCAAATTTAGCAAGGTATGAATCTATCTGCAGATCAACATGATCAAATTTTGGAGGCTAAACTTCATTAAAGCTTTGAAGTGTTGAAGCTAGGAAATAGAAAATGCATGATGACCAGGTTGACAGGTATCAGGGACTGGCTTATGAAAGTCCCACTATATTGATTCAATCTACTACAAGGACATTGTATATAGAACCCCTTCAACAAAGTCATAGAAGTTCCGAAAAGGGTGGGAGAGAGGATACAATGAAAACAATTGGAGTTAAAAGTGTGCATAAATCAGGGTTTAATGATTTCAAGGACATAGTTTGAAAATTATAGGTATTTGCTTTCAGTACTGAACAAAGGTATGTGTGTGTGCTTAGGGATGAAGGGGGGTGCGAATTATTAAGAGGCCCAGGGCATGATTAATGTTCCTGTCTAGTGGGCATGCCACCCCTTCAAAATAGCTTGTGCTGTTACTACACTATGATTAACCTGTAAGGCAAGAGAAAAATAGACTCATACGGCATTGCACTCTATCATTCCCTGATATTTTTTAGGAGGTGTCATAGGAAAAAATGACACTTCAACTTGTATAGGTGGGTGGATGGGGTTAGTGTGGAAGTGGAAGGTATAGAGTCCTGAATATAAATGCTATTTATGATATCTCTATTTTGTCTGTTTTATTATTGATTTTCCTGTGTTTTCATATATAAAGCATATTTTTCTCAATATGAAGAATGAAATTTAACTTAATTTAAACAGAAGATTTAACTCTGATGCTAAAAGAAATATCAGTCACATAGGCTTAGAAGTTTCCTAAAAGCATTTGTTCAACTAGTTTATGTTTCTGAAAAATATTCCAGAGGGGAAAAAATGGAAAGGAACAAATGTGGTTTGTTAACAGAAAATAATTTTTTTTTTATTTCTTAAAAATGTTAATCATCATCCCAATTAGGTTTAATTGAGCACAAACAATGTGCAGAACACTATGCTATGCATTAAGAACAGATAAAGCTAAGATATCATCCATGATGCTCAAAGGATTTATAATCTCTTTAGAACATCCAGGCATGAGTATAAACAAACAAATGACAATAAAAGTAAAGTGAAGTTCAGTGCCAAGTAATTTCTGTAGACACTAAGGGTATCTGAGCCATATCAAACTGAGTGACTCATTTAACATTTTAATTATTTTTATTTTTCTAGAAATATATATTTATATATGCGCATGTGGTGTGTGTGTGTGTGTGTATATATATATATATATATATATATATATATATATATATATATGTATGAAAATGCTTTATATATATAACATTGTCATAGATTCCTGGACAACATTATGTAATACAGATACACCCATCATAGGTGAAGTAAACCTCAAGAGTAATATAGTGGAAAAATAAAATCTGAGGCTGTAGCTATCAAATGATAAATCAGAGAGGTAGTCATTTCAGCAGAGAGCAGGTCTTACAAGTCTGCAAAGCACTGTACTTCTCTGGAGCTCAAAGTGACTGCACTATAAATGCTATTCTTTCATAGTAATGTTCAGGGTCAGTTTCTAAAATCATCCGTTGATTGGCTACCCATAGAATTCATTTATAAAACTTTCTGGGTATAATGGTATCTTTTTAATTCAGAATCTAGGCTTCTGGAAACACTCCTTACACAGGACATAGCCATAATTCCTTTCATGCAAGCATTATTTTTGAAATCATCATTGACTATTTTGTTCCTCACACCCTAGTCTATTCTTTTCTTTTTCTTTTCTTTTTTTTTTTTTTTTTGTCAGCTACTCTATTGCTGAGTTCAATTATTTTTTCTTATGGTCTATCTTACAGTTGTCATTTAATCTTTAATAATTGTTACCTAATTCAGGCAATTCATTATTTCTTCACATCTAGATTTTTGGTTTCTTTACATGTAGACTGTAGTTACCTTTTCACGACCATGTCATCCTATAAAGTACTTGGAGACTAACTTAAAAAGCTGTTTTATACACCATGGAATACTATGCAGCCATAAAAAATGATGAGTTCATGCCCTTTGTAGGGACATGGATGCAATTGGAAATCATCATTCTCAGTAAACTATAGCAAGAACAAAAAATCAAACACTGCATATTCTCACTCATAGGTGGGAATTGAACAATGAGAACACATGGACACAGGAGGGGGAACATCACACTCTGGGGACTGTTGTGGGGTGGGGGGAGGGGTGAGGGATAGCATTGGGAGATATACCTAATGCTAGATGACGAGTTATTGGGTGCAGCACACCAGCATGGCACATGTATACATATGTAACTAACCTGCACATTGTGCACATGTACCCTAAAACTTAAAGTATAATAATAATAAAATAAAAAAAAGAAAAAAAAGCTGTTTTGATTATGTCCCCTCTCCTCTTAATTTCCTTCATTTAACACCTTTCCATGCTTTCATTGAACAATTCTTTTTTAAAAAAATTAATTTTATTATATTTTAAGTTCCAAGGTACAGTGCAGGATGTGCAGGTCTGTTACATAGGTAAACCTGTACCATGATGGTTTGCTGCACCAATCAACCCATCACCTAGGTATTAAGCTCCGTATGCATTAGCTCTTTATCCTGATGCTCTCCCTCCCACTGCCCCCTCAAAAGCCCCCAGTATGTGTTGCTCCCCTCCCTGTGCCCATGTGTTCTCATTGAACAATTCTTAATGATACCATAAATAACATAATATTTCCTTTTAACACAAGTATTTTCTTTACCATTGTGATAACGTCTAAGCAGGTAATGCCTTGAAGTGGTTTATGTTTTCTTTTCTCTTCATAGTGAGTATGCTAATTAAGCTAGAGGTTTTGTAAGCATATTTGTATGGCACATTTTTGCCTAGAGTGTAGAACCATGAAACAGGACAGTGAAGTGGGTTAATGCCTAATTAACAGTGTATTCGTTTCTTGGAGTTTCCAAAGTCCCACAAACTGAGTGACTTAAACAAGAGAAATTTATCATTTAATCATTCTGGAGACTAAAATTCCAATATCAAGATGTCATTAGGTAGGATTGGTTCTTCTGAGGGTGGCAAGGAGAAACTGTTCCATGCTTTGCTTTTAGCTTTTTGTGGTTTGCTGCCAATGTTTAGCATTTCTTGGCTTGTAGAGCATAATTCCAGTCTTGACATGATGGTTCCCCTTGTCTGCTTTTGTGTCCAAATTTCTTCTAAGGATGCAGTCATATTAGGGCCCACTCTCAAAAAAAAAACCTCCCGTTAACTTAGTCACCTGCAAAGACCCTCTCTCCCAATAAGGTCACATTCACATGTATTGAGAATTAGGGCTTCAACATCTTTTGGGGAAAACCAATTCAACCTGTGACAAAGAGTAAGATACCACCTTTATGTGGACTGCAGAGGATTGTTATTTTTAGGAAATAGGTTTCTTACTTGATCATGTTGCTATTCTTTTTTTTTTTTTAATTTCAACTTTTCTTTTATACACAGGGGGTACATGTACAAATTTGTTACATGGGCATGTTGCACAATGCTGAGGTTTAGGGTACAGATCCTGTCACCCAGGTAGTGAGCATAATACCCAATAGGTAGGTTTTCAACCCACGCACGCCTCCTTGGTCTCTCTCCCATCAAATAGTCCTCAGTGTCTATTGTTCCCATGTTTATATTCATGTGTGCTCAGTGTTTAGCTCTCACTTATAAGTGAGAACATGCAGTCTTTGGTTTTCTGTTCCTGCATTAATTCATTTAGAATGATGGTCTCCAGTTCTATCCTTGTTCTTTCAAAGGACATGATTCAGTCTTTTTTATGGCTTCATAGTATTCCATTGTATATATATACCACATTTTCTATTCAGTCCACTACTGATCGGTACCTAGGTTAATTCCATGCCTTTGCTTTCCACCTCTTTGCTATCACAAACACCATAGTGATGAACATGTGAGTACCCTTGTCTTTTTGGTGGAATAATTTATTTCCCCTTGGGTATGTACCCAGTAATGGGATTTCTGGGTCAAATGGTGGCTCTGTTTCTTTGAGAAATTGCCAAACTGCTTTCCACAGGGGCTGAACTAATTTACATTCCCATCAACAGTATATAAGCGTTACCTTTTGTCTGCATTTTTGCCAACATTTGTTGTTTTTGCCTTTTTAATTATAGCCATACTGACTGGTGTGAGATGGCATCTCACTGTGTTTTTGATTTGCATTTCTCTGATGATAAGTGATGATGAGCATTTTTTCATGTTTGTTGGCCACTTCTATGTATTCTTTTGAGAAGTGTCTGTTCATGCCATTTGCCCATTTTTTAATGGGGTTATTTTTTGCTTGCTGAATTGTTTAAATTTCTTATACATTCTAGATATTAGACTTTTGTTGGATGCATAATATGTGAATATTTTCCCTTATTCTTTAGGTTGTCTGTTTACTCTGTTGACAGTTACTTTTGCTGTGCAGAAGCTCTTTAGTTTAACTGGCTCCCACATGTCAGTTTTTGTTTTCTTGTAATTACTTTGGGGACATAGCCAAAAATTCTTTGTCACAGCCATTGCACGAAGGGTATTTCCTATGTTTTTGCCTAGGATTTTTATAGCTTGAGGTCTTAAATTTACACCATGAATCTATCTTAAGTAAATTTTTGTATATAGTTAAAAGTAGGGGTCCAGTTTCATTATTCTGCATATGAGTATCCAGTTATTCCAGCATCATTTATTGAATAAGGGGTCCTTTCTCCATTGCTTGTTTTTGTTGGCTTTGTCAAAGATTAGATGGTTGTAGGTGTGTGGCTGTATTTCTGAGTTTTCTATTCTGTTCCATTGGTCTATGTGTCTGTTTTTGTACTAGTACCTTGCTTTTTTGATTAGTGTAGCCTTGTAGTGTAGTTTGAAGTTGGATAGGAAAATAAGTCAAAATATCTCTCTTAGCTGATGATGATTTGATACTTGAAAAACCCTAAATACTCCACCGAAAGGCTGCTAGAACTGATAAACAAAGTTATCAGTTTAGCAAGATTTTAAGAAACAAAATCAGAGTACAAAAATCAGTAGCATTTCTAAACACCAATAATGCCCAGGCTTGGAGTCAAATCAAGAACACAATCCCATTTATAACAGCCACAGAGAAAATGAAAACCTGGGACTACAGCTGCCCAAGGAAGTGAAAGATCTTTAGAAAGAGAAGTATAAAACACTGTTGAAAGAAATCAGAGACTACAGAAATGAATGGAAAAACATTCCATGCTCATGATTTGGAAGAATCCATATGGTTAAAATGACCATACTGCCCCCAAACAATTTATAGATTCAACACTATGCCTATGAAACTACCAATGTCATTCTTCAGAAAATTAGAAAAAACTATGCTAAAATTTATATGGAACCAAAGGGGAGCCTGAATAATCTGAGAAATCCTAAGTTATTCTTCTATTCATGAAGGTTTTCATTAGATCCTGTAAATTACATATAAAAATATCTAACTTCTCCATTTTTTAATTCCTTTTAATATTTTTAAATATAGATTCAGAATACTTGATATTAAATTTTAATTCTGTTTTTTAAAAAATAACTTCAGCAGTTTGGGTTAGGAGGCCCTGATAAAATACTGAAGTATTTCCAAGTGAATTGCTGTGCATTTGTTTATGTTCCAGTTAGCTGAGTTCATTGGTCTGCATGATTATCTAATCACGTTACTATACAATATTGCAAAGTAGAAGTCTGCATAAGCTTTCCATGATTGGTCATCATAGAAAATAGAATCTTGATTTGCTATGGTTCCAGATGGTGGTTTGCTTATAATAGTTTAGATTTAATCATGATCATTATAAACTAAACAAAGCTAAATTATACTATTTTAGAGAGAATTTTTATGTTATTTGCAACCATAGACTCTCACAGAAGGCACGTCCTTATCCATTGTAAATATAGGAATAGACTATTATCACTATGACATTCTTTGAATGTTGACATTCTCTTTACCATATGAAGAATTTAATCCTTAAAATTAGTGTTTCCTAACTTTGAAGTTATTTTTTTGCTATTCATCTTTTGAGCGAATCCAGACTGAGTTTTTTTCCCATGTTGAGAAGTCTGCTCTCCAGTAACATGGCAGGTATGTTGAGATTATTACTAATATTATCAATTTGTTTTGAGAAAATATTTTAGTGTACATTACCATAAAATATCCCTAGTTTTTTAAATTATTTATTGGCAGATATAAATTCAGTATGTAATATTTTATGATAGCTGTCCAGAACCTAGCTGTATATGGCTTACAGAACATTTATTTTTACCGCCTAAGTCCTAAAAGTTGTTTTCCATATCTGCAGTCAAACTTAACTACAGGCAAAAAGAAGTAGAAAAATTACCTGTCACATTATTCACAGGCCAGACCAAGATACTATAATACTATGGCCTGCTAAGCTAATTTAGAAGAAAAAATGGAAAGAGGTTTTTAAAAGATGGCATTTATATGTAATATATGTAGAAGGGTTTAGGGTTTTGACAGTTTGAGATTGTATCCTCTTTAGAGAGAATGCATAATGACTTTTATTTCTTCTGAAATATGCATAACTTCTTGAAGGTAACTTTCAACTCTTATTAGCACTTTTCAAAGCAAGTTTTCCATCTCTGTGAAAGCAGAGGGTACAACATATCTGAAATTCAAATAGAGTGAATGTTTATTTATCAACAATTCAGTCATTTTTCCTCTTGTTTGGGATTTCCATTCCTTTAATTTGTGAAGGGAAAACCCGAATATGGATATAAAAGTTGAGGTTTGTTGCTATATCTGTGAAGTCTCAATAATCAATACTGCAAGACCATGTCTAATTCTACCTAGAATGAGAGATGTGTTAAGATCTTTTAGTGAGAATGAATTTGTAGAAGTGTGGTTTTAGGAATCAAACTCCCTGGATTTAAATTCTAGCCTTGTTTCTTACTGGATTGTAACCTTTTATAAATAATTTAATATCTTTAATCTTTAATCTCTTTATCTATAGAGTGAGAGTCATGATACCTGCCTCATGATTATGTTGAGTATTACATCAGGCTATCTTGACCTCAGCACTATTGGCATTTTGTCCCAAGTAATTCTTTGTTGTAGGGGTCTGTCCTCTGCTTTGAAGGGTGTTTAGTAACATCACTTGCCTCTGCCTACTAAATGCCACTATAGTTACCATTCTCCCCAAGTTGTAACAACCAATATTGTCTCCAGATATTGCTAAATCCCCCTCTCATCAAAGGATAAAATTGTCCCCAGTTGAGAATTCTGAATTACATGAATATCTACATCTATATTTATCTAGAATTAGAGTTTGCACAGTTTCTAGCATAATGCTCCATAAACTTCAGGCATGATTATCTCAAATAAAAAATTATGATATTTTCTCTGAAGAGCCATACTCTTAAAGAATATGAACATTATCTCTATTCTCTCCCTACATGTGTATATGTGTATAGACATACATTTCTGGGTATTTATATACATATAGATGTATGTATACGTTGTATTATGTATCTTCCAAATATTATTCTATGTAATGAGGGGCATAGCAAAACAGATAAAACCATCAATCTTGTTAGTTTCATGCTCTTTGCTACTAATTATTTTATAAATCATCAAGACTTTGTAAAACAGTCTTGTTTTGAATGACTTTGGACTTCAATTTATCTAATTCTGCTATGTGACCCCATAGGCGGAACACCTAGATAGGAAATTACATACAGTAGGCTGAATAGATTGTTATCTTTTATACAAAATCTTCCAGATAGTAAAGATTTTTCCTCTAACATCACAGTTGGGTCTAAAAAAATAGCCCTAAGATTTTTTTTTTTTGTAAATGCTATTGATTCTTAAAATGGAAGGAGCAGGTGAAAATGAAAAACAGGTTCAGGTAATTCCATTTTCTTAATGTTAATAATAACAACATCTTGATTTGTTTAGTTTTCTACATATTTCAAGGCCTTTCCCCTTGTTTCATATAATAACCAGAGCTCTGCTATTTAGGTAAAGATTATTGTCACCATTTTATGGATGATAAGACTAAGACAGTCATATTAAGTGACAGATCTGGGATAACTATTATGACTCAAAGTATTGAAGTTTCCCCGCTATCTCATAGGTCTTCAAATGTTAAAGCACAACTCCAGCTGCAATAGCCAATTGCTATTCTGAGAAATATATATGATGTTCTCACACTTGGAGCCTTTTCCGTGTATTTACCTTTCTTTCCCACTGTTTCAGGTTACTTAATCCTTCACAGTGCACTCAGGTGCATTCCCTCTAACAGCCTTTGGTAATGCTTTTAGTACATTACTCTTCATGAATTGTGCTCTTAAAAATTCCCCTGGACACTCGTTTAGTTGAGTTTTGTAGTAAGAGCGCACTGACATTGTTAAGGTTAATGACTCAATGTTTTACAAGTTGAAACACATTTGAAGTTACATTGTTTGGATCCTTCTTTTATTCAACAATGTGAAGGCCTTGAGTGCAGGTGTTACTTAGCGCCTTGGAAGAACATCTTTGTTATACTCTTCATGGTGTGGCCTCAGTGGCAATAACATATTAGCAAACCTAGCACCACTCCAGCAGTGATTCTGAAACGTGAACTATGAAAATTACTGCTAATGAATTTACGCTGGCATATAGGTACTGTAGGATAACAATTATGAAGAATTTTATTGATTATGTGGTATATTCATTTGAAATCCTGTCACATAGGAATCATTATTAATTCCATAGTCCCAATAAAATTACTGATCATCTCAGTTTCAGTTTCTTGACAAAGGTTATCATTATAATTATAATAATAATAGCTAACATTTATAGAGTAATTACTATAAAATGAGTATCATGTTAAACATCTTATTATATATAAATTCCTTTATTTCTTTGAAAGTTTAAGTAGCTTTTATAGCTATGTAAATATGAAGGATGAATCTGAAGCCAGGTGTCTGATTTTAGAGTGAGTTCTCAGCTTCTGCCCTACCCTTCCTCAAGTACATTCATAGAGATGGACCTTGAGCCAAGTCCCCCAAGTTCTTTCTCCAACTCTAAGTTATATTCTATTTGTGTTAACATTCAGGCTTCTTCATCCTCACTGTAGTTTCTTTTTTCCCCTTTGTTTTACTGTGTGAGTATGTGTGTGTAAATACAATCATTTTCCAGTTAATGGAGGTAGAACATATATAGCTTTACTCAGTAACAGATTTCTACAGT
Source organism: Homo sapiens (assembly GCF_000001405.40). NCBI lineage: Eukaryota > Metazoa > Chordata > Mammalia > Primates > Hominidae > Homo > Homo sapiens. The sequence continues at coordinate 175,599,746 of NC_000003.12, forward strand.
AGTTGAGGCTTTCTTTGACCAAAATGGTATCTTTATTATGATAATATTACCCATTACTATATGTACTAGTCAGCATTATTATAGAAACAGTTTAAGATATTTGCCTTCATTTAATATTATGTGAATACTTGAAAGTAATATTTAGATTAAACATTGTTGCCTAATTGTTTTATGAATTCAAATCTTAGGCCCATATCAGCTGTGTGAGAGCAGGACAGTGTTATATCCCACAGTTCCTAATATTGAAATTCAATAAAATAAATATCAGGTATATCATACACAATTTAAGATTTTGAACATGGAAATCAAACTGCACATAATTTTAAAGACATATATCATTTTATATATGTGCATGTATATTTTATATTAAAATAAATATTCAATAGATATATTTGAATTTCATATGCAAATACACTTGATATATAATCAAATCAGTATATATATCTAACATATATATGTATATATTCCTCTTTCTATATAAATCTCTCTATATTCTTTTATCCCCTTAGTCTCAAGACACTCATTTTTAAATGTATGTACATACACATAATCTCAAATTTCTTAAGTTTCTGAAGAATCACATCTTATTGCATAGCAGATGTTTTGTCTTTTAAGGTATAAACTATCAGTGAAAAGTATTAGATGAGCTCTTGGAGAGATATGGAAAACCTACATATGTTAGCTTTCGTAAGCTTGAAATGAATTAATATTTTTCTGAGCATTTTTCCTTACTGGTGTCTGTACTTCATTTGCCTTTTGTCCCACAAATGTGTCTTAGTCTTTTTTTTTTTTTTTTTTTTTTTTTTTTTTGAGACGGAGTCTCGCTCTGTCGCCCAGGCTGGAGTCCAGTGGCGCGATCTCGGCTCACTGCAAGCTCCGCCTCCCAGGTTCACGCCATTCTCCTGCCTCAGCCTCCCGAGTAGCTGGGACTACAGGCGCCCGCTACCACGCCCGGCTAATTTTTTGTATTTTTAGTAGAGACGGGTTTTCACCGTGTTAGCCAGGATGGTCTCGATCTCCTGACCTCGTGATCCGCCCGCCTCGGCCTCCCAAAGTGCTGGGATTACAGGCGTGAGCCACCGCGCCCGGCCGTGTCTTAGTCTTAATCAAAGTTGAGCCAACTAACCAGACCATGTGGCATTGAATTATATTCTGTGACAAATGGACCTTGTTTCATTTCAAAAGATTTGAACTTGAAATCACTCCCAACGATTTTAAAGCAAATGTCTTTCCTCCTGTCAACCATTGCCTAATTTAGTCTTTCCATCTGCATTTCTAATTACAATAAGGAAAAATCTGTGTTAAACAAAGTGGTTTTTTTCCGCTTAGAAAAGACAATTTTAGGCATACGGATAAATGAAAGATAGCATTTTTATTTATGCCTAAAATGACTTCTAATTATTTAAATTTATTTTGATGTACCTGATGTTTACTTTGAAGCACATTTTAATATTCTTATGAATGTTTATATAACCCTTTACTTTTAATGTTTTAAACTAATTAAAATGGAAATAATTAATAACACCATATTAATATCAACATATTGTATGTGTATGTTAAAAAATTATATTTAATTGTTATTTCTGTACTTGACATAGTGAATGCATTTCACTAATGCTTTCTTACACCAAACAGCAAAATGGTTTTTATTATTTTTAGCTCTATGATGTTGGACACATTATGAAAAATCCCACTTTATTTTGATAAAGTGATTGAATATAATGCATGTGTCAGGAGCACAGGATATCTGGCGATATGGAGCAAGTTATAAGTTCACAGCAATATATTGACATAAAGAGTGTCAGAATCCAGCATTTTAGACTTTATTTCTCTTAAAATACTTTGAGTAGGTTGAACAAACTGAATGAATCATACTATCTCCCATAAAGATATTTATTGTTCTAGGTAAAAATTGAAGTCAGTTGATAAAATGCCTTGACATACACCCACACAGTAGCTGACCCATGAGTAAACAGAGGGTTTCATTCCTAACACATAAATTCAATATCTTTCATAAACGCCAAATGCCACAACCAAAAACCAGACTGTCAACTTTATGTTTTTTATAATGTCTTTAGCCATAAACCATACTTTGAATAAAGATATATGGCCATAGTTATATTGTAGAAATATTTACCAGAAGTTATAAAACTTTTGCTTTAGCAGAATTAAGCTGCGTGCTTCTTAGAATTTGTCAGCATTTATTTACATTTTTACCAATTGCAAAAACATGATAAACAGTTGATATTTTTATAAACTGGGCTTTAGATAGGTATTAATACATATACTTTTGTGATTGTATATTCAGGTAGACTTGAACTTTGTTATGTGTGTAGGGAGTTTTTCCAGCATTAATGACCTATAAGCATCTCTTCAAAAAGTGTGAATTTGAAAGTCTTCTTATCTACGTATTGTAACTATTGATAGAAGAGTAGATAGGAAAATAAAAGACAAGGCAGAGAGGTATGATATAGTTTAGTATACAGGTGAATATATATTTATATCCATTTCTATATAAATTCCTCATGGAGTAATAGTTAGCATTAATTAGTTAATGATTAATCACTAATTAATTTAAAACATTTGTTGAATGCATAATGTAGGTATTTTGCCATATTCTGAACTTTAATACACAGTGATAAGTACTATATATCTATATATGTAACATGTATGTAAACATAATATGTTATGTATTTATTTGTATGTGTGTATCTATATATATAGAGAGAGAGAGAGCGAGCTAAATATAATGTGTGTGTGTATATGTCAACACACACACATTATTTTTAGCTCTTTCTATATATATGTCCCAATAAAGCCAATGCGGTCAAAGAGAAGCATTTAATTCTGCCTGGGAAGACTGGAAATGATAATTGATCTAGACTTTAAAGCACCAGTAGATATTTATTATACAGAGGAAATAGCAAAGTTAAAGGGTTTGAACAAAACTCCATGCTGTGATTCAGCGTTATCAGTTTCAGCACAGTGTTGTGGGAACTGGAAAGAGGCTGCAGAGATAGACTAAAGCCAATTATGAAGAGCTTTAAATTCCATATGCAGGGTTTGTAACATTTTCAAGCTTACAGAAAAGTTGCAAGACTAATAATAAAATAATACAAATAATCGTAGCCCTATATTTACCAAGATTCATCTATTGTTAACACCTTTCCCCATGTGTCAGTCATTTGTTCTCCCTTTCTCTCCTTCTCCCTATATAACTTTTTTCTTGAAATATGTCAGAGTATGTTATATACATCATGTTCTTTTACCTTAAATGTGTCTTTGTATGTTACCCAGGAATAGGAACATTCTTTTACATACTTCAATGCAGTAGCAGCTTCAGTAACTTTAAAATTAACACAATGTCTTTCATCTAATCTACTGCTCATATTCTAGTTTTTTCACTTGGCCTAATAATGTCCTTTATAGCGTTTATTTATCTACAGTACAAGATTCAATCGAGGATCAGATATTTCATTTAGTTACATTTTTAAAATGCATTTATTTAGAATATTTCCACAGCCCTATACCATCTCTTTTACTTTTTGAAAACATTTTTTCAGTTTTATATATAACATAAAATTTACCATCTTAAAAAATCTTAAATGTACAGTTGAGTTATAATACATAGACTCATATTGTTTGAAACCATCACCACCATCCATTTCCAGAATTCATTTCATCTTGCAAAACTGAAATTCTATACCCAGTAAACAATGATTCCCCACTCCCTTCTCCCTCCAGGCCCTGACAACCACCTGTTAGTTTCTATCTCTATGATTTGGACTATTCCAGGTACCTCATGTAAGTGGATTCATCCAGTACTTGTCTTTTTGTGATTTTCATATTTCACTTAGGATAAAGTCCCCAAGGTTTTTTCATGTTGTAGCATATGCCAGAATCGCCTTCCTTTTTAAGGTTGAATAGTATTCCATTGCATGTATAGGCTGCATTTTGCTTATCCGGTCATTTGTAGATGGATACTGGGTTGTTTTTATTAGCTACTGAGAATAACGCTGCTGTGAACATGGATATAAAAATACCTCTTAAAGCCTGGGTAACATGGCAAGACCCCATCTATAAAAAAAAACCACAAAAATTAGCCAGGCTTTGTGTCACACACCGTTGGTCCCAGCTACTCAGGAGGCTGAGGTAGGAAGATCACCTGAGCCCAGGAGGTTGAGGCTGCGAGAACTATGATTGCACCACTGCCCTCTAGCCTGGGCAATAGAGTAAAATCCTGAAAGAAAAACAACAACAACAACAACAAATATCTCTTCAAGACCCTACTTTCAGTTCTTTGGGGTATATATCCAGAAGTAGAATTTCTGAATCATATTGTAATTCTACTTTTAATTTTTGGAGGAACTTCCATACTATTTTTAATAACAGCTGTCCCATTTTACATTCTCACCAATAATGCAAAGGGTTCCAATGTCTCCATAGCATTGCCAAAACTTGATATTTTCATAGTTATATTTTTTCATAGTAGCATCGTAATAAGTGTGAGGTGGTATCTCATTGTAGTTTCTTTTTCTCATATGACATTGAAATTTTTTTTTTTTTTTTTTTTTTTGAGACAGAGTCTCGCTGTGTTGCCCTGGCTGGAGTACAGTGGTGCCATCTCCGCTCACTGCAAGCTCCGCCTCCCGGGTTCACACCATTCTCCTGCCTCAGCCTCCCGAGTAGCTGGGACTACAGGCACCCACCACCACGCCTGGCTAATTTTTTTGTCTTTTTAGTAGAGACGGGGTTTCACCGTGTTAGCCAGGATGGTCTTGATCTCCTGACCTCATGATCCACCTGCCTCAGCCTCCCACAGTGCTGGGATTCCAGGCGTGAGGCACCACGCCCAGCCGAAATTTTTTTAAAGTCTTCCCATTTCTTCTACTGTTTTAATAAAATAGTCCTCATTTTGGGTTTGTCTAATTTTTCCTCTTGATTAGGTACAGGTTACATATTTCTGCCTGAACCACTATCTATATAATGCTCAGGGTTTCATTCTTTATATGAATCAGTGAAAATTAAAAGATTTTAAGCATGAAAACATCCTTATCAGGTATCCATTTTAGAAAAGTGGCTTCAATGTTGAAGCACAAGATGGACAATAATGATGAAGACCAATTGGAGGGCTACTGCAATAGTCTAGGCAAGAGAGATTGGCAGTGAGGATATGGTGGCAGTGCTGATTAGCATGAGTCCTATAACTCTGGATAATCCATGGCTTAGACGGTATCACAGGTTCTGCTTATTCATACTGAGTTGGAGCTAAGTACAGGATTCCCAAATCATAAAAATTGTTCATTCTCTAGCTATTCCTTTATGAAGAAAGCCTTTTACCTTTTGTGCTTGCTAGTACCCACACTCTTACCAGAATCAGCAGAGATCTGATGTCATTCATCTACTCATGACCTCAATGCCACCAGACCCTTTGCAGCTCATTTGTTCCTCCCTCAATAAGGACTCCTTTAGGGTCTTTCCTTCTGAGTTCTATACAGCAATCTGACATGAGTCATTTGTGCACCTTGAAAGAAAGTCTGTGGCAATGATTTTTTAGTTAATGTTTGCTCAAATCTACATATGTTTTCTAAGCTTTTATTTCTAGATATGGATGGGAAAGATTTTATTCCCATTAAAAAAAAGATATTGCAGTGCATCAGCAGGAAGTAGGGAAACTCTTATGGGGAAATAAAATTATGTATTTATGTATAATGCAGACTGAAGACCTCATTCTGGTAACTGAGTTGGTCAGAAAAAAGATAATTTAAATTTGGAGGAAGGAAAAAGATAGGCTTATTTGCCTCCTCTTTCAATGTAAGCATATGTTTTACTCTTCCTCCTTCCCCAGCCTTCATTCACTCCTCAGGCTGAGGACACCTAGATGTATATTGCTTGTTTTTTTTTTTTTTTTAACTGTATTTAGATAACACGTAATTATAATTCTACAGCATAGATTAACTGTGTATTGCTGTTTTTTTAAACCTGTATTTAGATAACATTTAATTATAATTTTACAGCACAGACTCCTGGTTTTAAATTTTTGGGATAGTACATTGCTCCCTATATTAATATCTGTGCTAATTCATAAATTATTGGACTACAAATTGCATCACTAGAGCATATACTCAGGGTGAATAAAATAACTACTTTCTTCAGAGTATTGCCCTGTAGCTCAGTATCCTTTGGTGGAAAACAGCAACCCAAAGGAAAATATTTGTCACAAGACTGGTGAGGAAGAGAATCTATGACGACATTCTTCAAGCCTGCTTAGCTACTTGGACCTCTCAGCAAGTTTTAGCAACTGTTCTTTACATCACTACGATGTTGTATGTCCTCAGAAGGGACAAAGGGAAAGGAACAAAGAGCAACAGAACAAAAGAAGCCTTGTGTCTCCAGAGGTTGTTGATCTATTTCTTTTTAAAGTGCCAAAGTATTTAAGTCTGAGGAAAACCTCAGTAGAAATGAAGGTTTCATGCCCAGCACCTTGGTTAAAAACAGGTGCTGTTACTACCAGTTTGATGAGGGATACTTGATAGAAAAGCAAAGCCACTGGAAGAGCAAATCCCAATCCTGATATTTAGAGGAAAAGGAAGTATTGGTTTCCCTTTTTTGCTAGTCTAAGTAAAGTCAGAGAAACTAGCCTTTTTTTTTTTGTATATGAAAACGCCTTTGCTGCTGCGGATGTCAGAAAATAACTGAGGGAGAAAGGGAATAACAAAAAAAATCTATTTTGTCACCTTAAGGGCAAAAGATATTTTCTTTAAGCTTAAATTCACCTAAAATATACATAATATTTGAGGTGTAATATTGCGGAACTCCTTACAGCTGAAACCACTAGCTATTCACTAACAGATCTTTCTGGTAGAGCAACAGATGTAGCATCTACAGCCTTTGAATCCCAGCTGTGCATTCAGATACTTGAATGGACTGTATTTAATTTATTCTAAATCCATATCATGATTCGCTTCTACTTGAGGCAAACAGAAGAGTGTAAGGAAAACCTAGCATACTTCTGTTCCTTGGTCTTAGTTTTCTAGCTGAAGTGTCAGAGAAGAGCAAAGCAATTTTGAGTCACCACTTGCTTTTCCTGTAGACAGGTGGGCAGGGAAGCTTACATTTCAGCAGCATGTGTGGCTGTCTGTGGTAATTTTGCTGGATCAGTACATATCCTTAACATAAAATTTAACAAGCAATTGAGTTGCTTGTATTTATTTTTTTGAAATATCTTTTATACCACACCAAGTGGAGAGAAAAAGAAGACCACAAAAGCTATTGAACTGCAGCTCATTCAATGAATGTATGAAAGAAAATTACACAGAGAGAGTAAGAAGGTGTATTGTGAAGTTTGGCTTCTTTTTGAACCTGAAGAAAATTCTGGCATTAAGCCAAATGTTTTTCAGATGAGTGTTCCATTGAACTTAGATTATATATTTTTTAAATTCAAGTGTTATTTGTAAATATAATATGCACACATGCTAAAGAAATGGAAAGCAAATAATAGTATAAAGAGAAAAAGAAATTTATAATCTCATATTCATTGTTACATTTTATTGTATTTTTCTCAGATGTTTTCTAAGTATTTTACATGAATGATAGTAGTATGTGTATAATTCATAATTATGCTTTTTTCCTTCCACTCTGCTAACTTTATACATATTTTGTCATATCAAAAACTTTTTCAACTCATAATTTGAGACAGAATCACATCTGTGTAATCCTTGATAGATTTACATATACACCATAAATAACCTAATCTCTATTTTATGGGCAAAGGCAATAGAGTATACAGAAATAAAGGTGGTGTGGAGGGGTCAATATATGACTTACTAGTTCCTGTTTTTTCAAGGGTAGTAAACCATCGTTTGAAATGTTAGAAAATCAGTTAACAACTACCGAGTAGTTCAAATTGGTTATAAACTGGCATTCCTTAAAAACATGTGATTATGCTTCTTGATCACACCTGTAAAAGAGGGAAGACGTTGACTCTTAATAAAGGATTTTGTGAAAATGTATCTTTTAAGATCAATCTTATTATTCAGTTTTAATTGTTCTGGATGAATTTCAAGCATCCGTGAGTTTTAATCCAAGTGATTCTAATGAGCAGCTAGGAATGAGAAACAATGGGTTAGAGACAGAAGAGCAGGTGACATGGAACACACACACACACGCACACACACGCACACACACATCATATTCAATCTGAAATTTGAGAAATTTAGAATTATACCATATTAACTAAAAACTCAAGGGCAATAATGCTAAGGATTTTTGCCCGAGGTCACTATGTCAGTGACAAAACCTGGATTAGAATCCTATCATTTGATTCCCATTGCTACCAGAATGTGTGGCCACTCAAATATCATGTCCCACAGATGTTATTATTAATTACTTATTTCCACTAAGTGAGAAATTAATTAATTAATAATGACATCTGTGGGACATGGCATTTAATTTTGAATAAATTAGCCCATAGTCCACAATCTGAAGTTCTAGAATACTTTCCATTTTCAGATTGTGGACTATGGGCTAATTTATTCAAAACATCATTTTTATTAAAATATTGTTCCTCTTTTAATCTTTTAATGAAGATTAGCTCCACTTTTTCCTAAATCTGCATTTTCTGTTTTAAAAAATTTCCACAATATAAAATTTATTATAAGCAGTTTATCTGCACAATATGTTCCGTGTCCAGCGCTTTATTTATTGAACAGGAAATCCATTCTATAAAGACACAGAGAGCCTGCAGTGCAGACACAGGAGGTACTTTTGTTCTGCTCTTCTTTTTATCCTCTCTCCCAGTGTGTTTTTCGCCTTCATGCTTCCACAGACTTTGGCATACATCCTGAATGCAAAATGAGACAATCCTTTAAACATTGTTATAACGATCGTGTAGGAGTTATGAAATTTGGGAAACAATGAGTCTTTTAGATATAAGTTGATTTAATAGTATTCTCAGTTGTATAATAGGTTAAATTCATGGAAACTATACTGATCCTTCATTTTTCCATCACAAGCTTAGTGAATGTCTATAATATGCAAAGCATAAATTGCTTCCGAGTGGTATCATAATTGAAATTGCAAATGTTACCGTTTTGCCACTATGCATAGCTTACCTTTTATTTATATAATTGACTTTTATTATTTGTAAAATATTTACCAAACAAAATAAATGCTGATGTGTACCACTATTCTGAGCTATCACCATAAAACATACCAAAGAGATAATCGTCTTGATCCAAGGCCCAGTGTGATTTTTTTTTTTTTTTAGTAGTAGTAATTGTTTGTACTAAGCGCTCTTTCTGTGTTGAGCCAGTTTCACTTTGGAGCAGCAGTGTATAATTGCAGGATCATGAAATAGAATGAAAATAGACACCCAGATTAACAAAAGGTTTTCAGTGACAGGTCTATTGGCCCACATAGAGATTGAACACTGATTTTGGCCTCATCATCACAATTCAACTGAGACAGCCAGTAGGAAAAAAAAGTGTAGTCTGAAACATTGGAAGCAATGAGAAGTGTACAAAGAACATAGAATTTTTAAGGATATTAATATAAATAAGACCTCCATTTAGAAATTAGAATGGCTTTATTAAAGGAAGCATAGAAAAGATTTCCATTGAAGAATGTTAAAATACATATGTGTAGTATTTATATCATTGTCATATTTATAGTATATATGACTTTTTTTTAAGATATGGAATATGTTTCTTTCCTTTTTTAAATCTTTGTAGTTAGCTTTGTGCAGTGGCAGTATCGTAGCCAATGAGGTTTATCCGAAGCGCGATTATTGCTAATTGAAAACTAAATCTTTGTAGTTTACTTACATAGGCATATTTGTGACTGTGTATGTAATTCTTCCATTTTGGGGACTATTGTTATAATGAACACATTACCAGAGCTCATATTTTGTTTATTCTCAACCTTTTTTCTTTCATTACAGTGTATGAACTAAGCAATGGACAAAACTCTAGATGCTGGACAGCATAGCAGAGGGGAAATTAACTTACACACTTCTTCCCTCTCCCATCTCCCTTCCAACTGCTAGTCACTAGTCACCTTTGTATTGTGAACGACTTGCAGTTTTGATGAGGAGTTTAGGAAGGGTACTTGGCATTATTAAGTGGCACTATGGTGACTAGAACAAGCACCAGTCTCTCAAAGTCTATCCTGAGCTGTCCCACACATTAGTTCTCTTTATACTGGGTAAATCAGTCACCTTCTTTATGCTAGTTCTTTTCAATGTAAAAAAAAAGGAATTTACCTAATTTATAATATCTTTTCCAGCCCTCAAATATCAATTCTAAATTTAAAATAGGAAGCTAAAAATTAATTTCTAAAAATTGTTAATAAACTTGTGTTTGTTGAGATTTCACTCTTATCCATTTACACATTAAGGACTTAAACATATATGATCTCATTTAAATACAAGTAGGAAAACATAGAGGATCACCCTATGTAAGTAGATTTTTCTAGCTTTCTTAGCAAATTGGGAAATGAGAGTTGTTCTGCAAACAACAATCTGATAGCTAATGGCATTTATCTACATTTCTGTGTGTTTATATATTCTGTTCTCTCTTCTTTTTTGTTTATTTAACAATGTCAATGACTGTGTTTTTTTTTACATGTTCAATGTACAGATAATGACCTGTAGCATAATAAACATTTGTTGAACTGTTACAGATGAGGGAGAAAGGATGAAAATATTTAAGAATTTTTCTCATGACCACACAGATGGCTATGATACTTTATTCTCAGGATCTTAAGCCATTGTATTCTAGTTTTCTGGTCTTCCAATGAATTACCATTATTTACTATGTTGAATTTTTAATCCACAAATAATACTGTAAAAATTCTATCAAATATTCTGGACATTTTTGAGCCATAAAGCCATCTTACCATCTTCTTCCCTTTTGTGTGGAATTTTTGATCATGTGTGTTTCTGATAAAGATTCAGAGACATTGCATTCACATGAACATGTTTATCAGTGTATCTGAAGAAATACTAAGCACTGGAGATGCAGTTTAATAAGATCCACTAATATAATAATAATAATGTGTTGGCATTTACTGAACAGTTCTCTGTGCCAGCAACCATTCTGAGTGTTTTGCTCATTGTTCTCGTTTAATAATATTGAATATTAATATATAACTGTTAGTATAGATATGATGAAAATACAGTATGCCGTATATGCAAATATAATAACAATATACAATAGCACTCTGAAGGTGATATCAAGATCCCAATATTACAGGTGAGAAACTGACTTCAGAGAGCTAAAGTGCATAATTAAAGTCAACAATGGTGAGTAGCAGAGCTAGAATTTAAACCCAGGCCCCAGATTTCTACTTAGCTAAGTCTACCATGCTATCTGTATGGAGAGTTTTGTGAGAATTATTGCTCTTCAGATTTGCTTATTCTATTAAATCACAATAAGATAACTTAATGATTGTATAGTTAGATGTGGTACTTTGATTAAGGCACTTTTACAAAGGCAAATAATAATTTCAAGTGAAATTAAATTTGCACACTCAACTTTTTAAAAAATACCTTATAAATGTGAAATTTGCTCACTGATAAATAGTTAACTTGAGAGAGAATTGTCATTTGTAAAATATTGGTCATAAATTTTGTTAAAAGAAACAGTTTTTCTATTTTTTTTCCAACTTGAAATCGCCCTTCAATTGATTCATAAATCAATTAATTACCATTGAGAGACCTGAGGGCAGCAGGAAATTGGGTCCAAGTTAAAAAGAAAAAAGAGGCAATTTGTTTTAAGTCTAGAAGTTTAATGTTCAATTGAAGTTTAATCAGAAGTGATCCATTGTTTGAAAAGTAGAACATCAATGTCTTTTTAATTTCACTGTCATTAAATTAGGACTGGAGAAAATCGAGATAACTGATTATTCTCAAATGAAAATTAAGGAAAGATGCTATCAGAAATCAACTAAAAGCATATTTTCTTTCTTTATATTTTAATTTACAAAGGAAATAGTCTGTTCTATGTTGGAGGTTGGATAATTTGTTGAAGTGAAGCATGGTATATAGTCTTCAGAGACACTCATTGAGAGACAAACTAAGCCATACATGTTTTATCCACTGGGGCTAAAATAGTGGCTTTCTTTAACAACTATTCATTCAGTTAAATGGAATTTTTGCTTTAGTGAATTGCAGAATTAATTTAGTGCCTTTATTGATTTCCAGTTGAATAAATGAAAAGAATGATTAAAATAAATGGATTTAGCTAAAGGAAAACATTGCCCTAAATTACAGATATTCCAGAAATATTCTTAGCCTTTGAAATTAAATCTATCTGTACTCCCTAGAAATACATAGAAAAATAAAGACTTGCATTTAGCCCTTGGTAAGTAGTAGCAGGAATAGAAATATATACATAATTTATCCAGCGACATCTGACTGTATTAATATGAAGTCATTCATATGTTGCCAAATGAAATCCCATGGGGTGAGCTACAGGAGAAGAGGGAAGGACAGTTGGGACAGATTTAAACAACCATTCATTTCTAGAATGGTGTCTGTCTTATTTCTGCACAATTTTACATATTGGGCTTAATATTTGACAAAAAGATTTTCAAATAACAATGAGTAGTACAGTAAGTGATAAAATCTAGATAAGCTGTTGTTCCTGGTTTCATTTCCCTGGGTGTTTTCACCCAGATTATGAAACATGAGGTCATGATATAAAGGTACTCTCTTCCTATTCTTGGCCAAAGGACCTTGAAGGGCTATAATATCTTTCTCAGGATTTGACGAATGTATTTGTTTCTTCTTAACCCGATGTTTAGATTCTTTTGCCCTTAACTTTAAGACCTTTAAATCCCCCATTTCTTTCAGAGTTGATTAAATACAGCCCTGAGAAAAGCCCTGACTGACTGTTAAACAGAAAGCTTTTCAAGAGGCTAACAGGCTCTGACCTCAAAAAAAAATGCTGTTGTTAAATTGACTTGAGGCTTTACCAGAGAGACCAGGTTTTATTAATACTAAGACTGCATTAAAGTTTGGATTTCTTATGATTGAGACAATTTCTCCTCCTCACCACCCCAAATTTGAGAATATCATTTTTTCTTTTCCTACCTTGCAATTTATTTGTGTACGTTCTGCATTCTCAATGATACATAAAATGTAATTTTGTATGTTAATAATTTTATTCATTGTGTTACCATGACGCTGGGTGTGGCACCTCTACCCCAGGGATAGCCGGGATCCACCACTGAGAGCTGAATCACTTACAACAAAATATGTTAGCAGAGTTGGTAAACAGCTAGGGCTCTGAGACTTTGGCGTGTCTTTCCCTCATCCATAATGACTCCTCCTGGACCCTCCTCCAGGACTTCAGATGACTGGGTGTTAAATAGTTATAGAATCATCTCTTGGTGTGTCTGATATGCAGAACATCTATCTCCCCAAAGAAAGGAGAGAAGCTAAAGAGAAAAGAGCTCTCAGTTAACCATTTAATGACTTAACGTTATGGTACTAATTCCTTTACTAAACAGTCCAAACTCCATGTGAAAAGAAAGATATCTACTTGCTTACTAGTTAGTGAAATGATCCAAAATATTTTGGAAAGTTATATTTTCATATGTTCTGTCTTAAAAATTGAAATACGATAAAGTAGTGCATAGACTTAAAATTACTGAAGAATGGGCAAGCGAAGATTTTAAATTACAACATTATGCATCGTAGTGTATTTTATTCATGTCTGAAATTTATATGAAATGAACATACATTTTATTTTTTCTCACCTGAGATGATTCTCAACAATCATTACTACATTATAATTTAGCAGGAATAGAAATGCATAATTTATCCAGGGACATCTGACTGTATTAAATATAAAGTCAATCATATGTTTCATTTGGCTATTGTCTATAGTATAGACAATGTATTTTCAAATGGTTAAGAGCACAGATAATGCCTGTGATGATTTCCTGGTTTTACTGCTTGGGCAAGATATTCGAACTCACTGTACCTCAGTTTCTTCATCTATAAAATTGGGATAATAATAACATTTACTTCACAGGATTTTTCTGAGGGTTAATTGAGCTACTATTACAATGTATTTTAGCATCATTTGCCATTATTCATAATACATAAAATATTTTTTCAATTCATGTTATAGAATACAAGGATTGACATAATCTCCCATACATTAGGATATATCCATCTATAGATATTCTCTTTGGGGAATATCTGTAGGTAAACATATACCTTTTACACATCAGTGATTCTCAAGAGATATACAATATCCCACAATATACTGCTCTCACAAAGTAGGCATGCCAGAATCTGTCTCTTTTCTTTTTCCCAAGACGGAGTCTTGCTCCGTCACCCAGGTTGGAATGCAGTGGCACAATCTCAGCTCACCGCAACCTCCACCTCCGGGGTTCAAGCAATTCTCCTGCCTCATCCTCCTGAGTAGCTGAGATTACAGGTGCGAGCCACCATACCTGGTTAACTTTTGTATTTTTAGTAGAGACCAGGTTTCACCATGTTGGCCAGGCTGGTCTCGAACTCTTGAACTCATGATCTGCCCGCCTCGGCCTCCCAAAGTGCTGAGATGATAGGCGTGAGCCACCACCCTCGGCCTGGCGTGCCAGAATCTCTTAAACAATCTAGATATTTAGTATTTATTTTTGAATGACACTTGGCTTGAAAATGTTTAGAAGCTCTAGCTTAAATTATAATACATATTTTATGATCAGATTATTTTTAAGTGTTGATAGCATTGTGACATTCTAGCAGGTAGTATTTAGCATATATATTGAAAACTCTGTTAAGCCTCCTGCCTATCAGAAAATCTGTATTATCTTGACATTTTGCTGTGTAGCTATTATATCTATAGAAAAGTGATTCAGGTTAGTGTTTTGTTTATTGTTTTGAAGTCATGAAACTGCCTACTAACCTTCTAAGGCTATTTATTATTGAAGGAGAAGAATATTTGGATATAGTGTTTTGAATATGAGTGCATGCATAAAACTCAGCTGATCAAGGTTGAAATTTCAGTCCTGACACAAGATATGCAACTATAAAAAATTAAATAAATTTGCTGAAAATCAATTTTTTTAATTTCTAAAACTGGCATGACAAAGGCCTAAAAGATTTAATAAGTACTTCTTAGATATTAATTAATTCTTTAGGACAAATGAAATGAATCATAAAACAGAAATTCTGAGATTGACCTAGAATGCCAACTGTAAATTTACCAAGTAAGCAGGTTAGGACAAAACAAGTAAACAACAAAACAGCAATCTACTCTCAATTTATTTCATGAGAGAAGAAATATTTTAATATCAAAAGACAGCTGAAAACACAACTTCAGGAAAAAGGACAGCTCTTTGATTAGAATATATTTAGTTTTATGAAAAAATAACTTTCTGCATTATTATTATCATTGTCATTTTGTTATGCACTGAGCTACAGCACCACCCTATGAATTGGCATTTAATGACCACTGAATTAACTCAGAATAAGTGAGTCCTATGCTTGCATTAAAATTCTACCAATGAGTAGATGTATTTCATTAGGCAGATTTCTTCACCCTTGTAAGCCTCTTTCCTTAATCTGCATATTGGGAAAAATAATAAATACCTTTCTGAAAAAAATTGTTTGATGAATAAATAGTTCTAGACATTATTTTTAAGAATTTTACATATATTGTGTCCTGAAATCCCTATGATGATTTTATGAGAGATAAAATTATTGGTATCCATTTTATAGATGAGAAAACTGAGGCACAGATAATTTAAGCAACTTGCCATAAAGCAAATATTCAATAAATATTGCTAAATCTTTAATAATATTTATTAGTATTGGCCGGGCATGATGGCTCATATCTGTAATCCCAGCACCTTGGGGGGCCAAGGTAGGAGGATCACTGGAAGTCAGGAGTTCAAGGCCAGCCTGACCATCATGGTGAAGCCTCGTCTCTACTAAAAACACAAAAATCAGCCAGGCGTGTGGCACGCACCTGTAGTCCCAGCTACTTGGGAGGCTGAGGCAGGAGAATCACTTGAACTCAGGATGCGGTGGGTGCAGTGAGCCCAGATTGCACCACTGCACTCCAGCCTGGGTGACAGAGGGAGACTCTGTCTCAAAAAATATATATATATATGTATAATATATATGTATATAAAATACGTATAATATATATTTATATTATTACATATGATTATGTATGTTATATAGTATATATTATATAGCATGTTACTTATAATATATATTATATCATATATACATAATTATAATACATATTTATATATTACATATACTGTAATATGTATTATATATAATATGATATATTTTAGTATATGTTATTTATAGTCATTTTAATAAAAGGAATATTTATCGTATATATCACAGATAAGTTTGATATATTATATAAATGATATATGTTTTATATAATATAAATGTGTCTATATTTTATTACAAGCAATCATATTCAAAATATATACATTTAATATTTACATTTTAGAATTATTGTATGTATTCAACACATCCATTTATATTTAATTATAAATATAATAAATATGAATATAAATAAATGTTTAAATAAATCTAAATAAATATAATAAATAACATTATTATTGCTATCACTATTAAATCAGTAGTACTCACGTTTAAAAAATCTACATATATTTACATTATTCTGAATATAAACATTAGGTTTCTGGAGCAGAGATCAGAGTCATTACTTACATCTCATTTTTTTGCTCTTTCTAGAGTGAGGGAATAAGAGCCAGCTAGAAGAGATTGCATGCCATAGTACAATGTAGGAACTCTGAAAATATGAATCTGGGAGTGTATATGTGACACAGAATTCCTTCAGTGCCACTTCGCAAGCTGGAAATCTCTGCAATGCCGTGACCTCTGCCTGGGGCCTGGGGACCCCTGGGCTTGCTCCACCTGCTCAACCCAGCAGGCTGCACTCCCTTGTGCCAACTTGGATCCCAGACCCTCTGCGATTCCATGTTCAGTTTGTGGGTTTCTGTACCCCCAATATTGGGGTAATACAAGGGCTGTTGCAGGGTTTGAGGAGGCCCTGCATCCTCAAGTTATTGCCCATGGCTTCTAGCCCTTTCGTAGCTTCTGCTTTTAAGGGATATTGTCTTTGGTTAGGGAGGAGGTGGGACCCCTAAGGTAGATCTGGATCAGTATGGCGGTTGCGGTTCAGCGAATTTTCCCTTGAGTTGCCCAAGCTTCTGGATTAATGTCTGAGTCCACCAAAGGGAGAAGAAGAATCTGTCCTGGAGTCATGAGGATGGTAGTTCCCATAGGAACTAAAATATCCCCACCTAGCAGAGGAGTTGGGCTTTCAAACATGATTAAAAAGGCGTGAGTAAAACAAGAGGTCTCCTCAACTACAACTAAGGCATTGGGAAAAATATCAGGTTAAAGGCTTTCCTGAGATGTCACTCACAGTCATGCTAAGGGAGGAGGGGAGGCCTGGATTGAAGAGGAGAACAGAAATGGTTACTCTGGAGGAAGTCCACCTTCCTTCCTTCGACCTCCAGAATCACCTGGGACTCCTGGATGGTAATGGTGGTCTGAACCATTGGAGCTAGGGAGAGGAGTGCTGGGACCCATTTGGTCCTGCTGGACCATTTGAAAGACTGGCTCTGGACCCTGTGACTTGTATCTCGGGAACAGTCCACCCTCCAGTTGTCCCCATCACAGATTGGACAGGGTGGAGGCGGCTTCCTCATGCTGCCTGGGCAGTCCTTCCTAAAGTGCCTTGGCTTGACACATTTGTAGCAGTTACCAGGTGCATCTCAGGGATTCTGGGGTTTGTAAGCCTGCCAGGCAGCCATTAGAGCCTCTGTCTTTTTCTTGCATCTATTTTCCCTCTCTTGGGCCTCCTCCCAACCCTATTCTAAAAGACTAACGTGGCCACTTTCAGAGCACTATCTGGTCCTATGGCCTGTTTCTGTAGCTTCCTCCTGATATCAAGGGCCACCTGAGTAATAAACTTGTACTTTAGGATTAAGTGTCCTTCAACTGAATCAGGA
This sequence comes from Homo sapiens, assembly GCF_000001405.40. Classification (NCBI taxonomy): domain Eukaryota; kingdom Metazoa; phylum Chordata; class Mammalia; order Primates; family Hominidae; genus Homo; species Homo sapiens. The sequence continues at coordinate 175,617,770 of NC_000003.12, forward strand.
GCTAGAGAAGCTTTACCAAGGCCTCTCTCAGCCCTTCTGGGAAGGCAGTGAGATTCTCATCTGATCTCTGGTCTGTTGTGGATAGTTTGGAGTAATTGAGAGGCTTAGTTCTAGTCTTACGTAAGCCCTCCAGTATGCACACCTGAAAGTGTTTCCTCTTCCATTCTCCCATTTCATCATCGGGGTCCCATGTAGGGTCCTCCAATGGTACTGCTGTTCTTCCAATTGGATAAGGCTCATCCCCTTCCTTGGCACTATATGAGATAAAAAACTCATCCCCAAACTTCTCTGCTGCTTGCAGGGCAACCTCCTTCTCAGCAGTAGTCAGGGTTTGATTCAAAAGTAACATATTGTCCTTTCAGGAAATTTCAAATACTTGAGTTAAATTCTGGAAAGCCTCTATATACCTGTCACGGTTGTCTGAAAACTTGCCAGGAACCCCCTTAATTTGGCTTACGTCCTGTAGAGAAAAGGGGACCTGGACTTTAATGGGGACATATTCACAAGGCATCTCTTGTAGGAGCAGAAGTGAGGTCAGGACCTGCCTGAAACGAGGATTTCTAGGATCAGACAAGCTTGAGAGACAACCTGGGTAGGGAGAAAGGGGTGGACTAGGAGGAGTAGGACCAAAGGGAACTGATTCCCCTGCTGGAGACATCTCTGCAGTTTGCTTCCCTATTCCCTTGGGATTGCCCTTTGCAGCTTATAACTTGACCAAACCCTTATGCAAAGGAATATAAAGCATTTTTTTCCTCTAGGGTCTGAGAGTCAAAGGAGTTCTAGTGATTCAGCATGCACTTGAGGAGTGCAGGCTGAAGAAGGTTGCTTATTCATCTGGAAAGAGAGGGGAGAAAGGCATCCCTTAGTCGCCTTCCTCCTTTTGGAGTGACACAGGATGGAGGGAGAGAGAGAAAAGGTGTCCCTTTTCTTCTCTTTTTTTCCCTATATTACCAGGGTCCCAGCGCCCTTGCAAGTGCTGCCCAGGAATGTGAGTGCGAATTCCACCCATGAAGAGGGAAGGCCTAGTAAGTAGAGATAGTCACACTTACCTACACCGTGCCCTGGCTTTCCGCTGTTGGTAACCTTTGGGTTCCGTATACCTCATCTATACCATGGATGTGCACGAGTTCTCCACCCATGAAGTGGGAAGACCGAGTCAGAAGGGATAGTCATGCTCACCTGGGCTGTGCCCTAGCCTTCTACTGTTGACTGCCTCTGGATCCCTCAGATCTGATTTTCTTTTAGGGCTTCAGACTGAACCTTGGAATAGAATCTGGGACAAAAAGGCGCCTCTGGAGGGTGTATGGAGCCATTAAATTTGTGCCAAGTGGCCCTTGCTAAATTGCAGCCAACAACTGGTGGAGCATCTCCTCCATTGCTTCCCTATCACAAGCAGTATGCTAAAGTGAAGCTGTTGAACCAGATTCTCCTCAGACAAAAAAAAAGAGAGAAAGAGAGAAAGAAAGAAAGGAAGGAAGGAAGGAAGGAAGGAAGGAAGGAGAAGGAAAGAAAGAAAGAAGGAAGGAAGGAAGAGAAAGAAAAAGTAAGAAAGAAAGAAAAGCAAAGCAAAGAAAGAATGAATCCCAGGAATTGGGGACCTGCACTAACAAGATTGCCTCCCAAAAGGAAAAAAAAATAATCCATTGCATAGAAAACCTTCTTCTAGTATTTGCAGGACTATGTTGATTCCTAACATGGTGGGAAAAAAAAAAAAAACAACTTAAATGCAGAGGAGGGAAGGTGCCTGGGGGAAATAGCCTCTTGCTCTATGCTAATGGATTTTTTCAACAAGGGAAAGAAAACTCTCAATCATTATATTCTCCTTGCTTCTAAGAATAGACAGAAACCACATTGTTCTGAATTACACTCCTGATGACTGAGCCAAGTGCACATTCTACTCAGTTATATTGTCTCTGTGGTTTGCAACGACACCCTTAACATTGTATATAAGAACACATAGGAGCCCTAACAGCCATAAAGGAAAGAAAGAAAATGTGATAGGAAAGACTGGAGGTCCTAGTGCTGACACCATAATGGACTGTTGGGGACTGAAGCCAGTCCAGGAACCTTCAAGTAATGCCAAGGTGTAGCTTGGGCCAGGACCTTATTCTGATCCCACGTGATGGCTAGACCTCTATGAAGCCAAACTGGATTGGAAAAAAGCCAACATGCCCAACCCCCCGAGGGGTGATGGAGAATTGACAAAGTCCTCCCCAGCAAGCCTCTCCTCCAAGTCTGAAAAATGGCAGGCACGCTACTCACTCTTAACTGGCTTACAGGGGCGAGAATTTTTATCTCTTTTTGGAAAAAAAAAAAAATTGGAATTAAAAAGTAATAGGTTTGCACTTACCCTTCCACCAATCCCAGATGAGCCCCCAGAAATGACATAGGATTCCTTTGGTGCCACTTTGCCAGCCAGAAATCTCTGTGGCTGCTGCAACCTCTACCTGGGACCTCACTTGGGCCCACCAGGCTCACTTCGCCCACTCGACCTGGCAGGCTGCACTCAGCTCTTGCTCGCTGGGATTCCGCCCCTGCCATGGCTCCACGCTTAGCACGCAGCTGAGCTGGGTGTGCTGCAACCAGCATCCACGTTGGGCGCCAGCGTCAAGATGAGGGGAATGCAATGGCACCCGAAAACTAAAAGAGATGCCAGCAATCACAGATCCCTAAGGGGTGTTACAGCTATAGCTCGGGGAGTCCCGGGGTCTCGGCCCCCAGAAGTTTTGCTGCTCTTTCTCCCATAGTCCACTGCTTGGGAGCATATTACAAGCCCATTTATTCCTGCCACTCACAGATCGGCAGGCAGAAAGGAGTAACACTCAGTGGCTTTTTCACTCCCGCAATTCGGCGAGCAGGAGGGGGTGTGTTACAGCTCTCTTGTTCCTGCTGCCTGCAGCTCAGCGAACAGGGGCATGTCACAGCTCTCTTGTTCTTACCACCTGGAACGGGTACATGTTGCCGCTCTCTTCGTGCCTGCACATGTTGCCGCTCTTTTCGTGCCTGCAATCTGGCAGGTTACAGGTTCTTGTCCTGTGACCAAGAGAAATGAGGTATGCGGACACAGGATAGCAAATAAGGAAGAATAGAAGTTTGAGTGAAAGAAGGAAAGTTTTCAGCTGCAAAAGGCGACCTGAAGTGGGTAGCCCTCAGCTTCAAGAGGGGACCCAAAAGCGGGTAAGTCTGTGAGGCTGTCTAGGGTTTTTATAGGTTTGGAATAAGGAGGCTCTGACCGGAGGTATTTTTGGAAAAGGCAACATTCAGTTGGTTAAAAAGCATTATTCGGAAACGACCAGTCAGGAAAGAGTGGGCAAACAGGAACAGAAGCTCTCACTCCGTCACGGATTCTACGTAAAACCGGCAGCTCGGTTTTCCGGCTTTAAACGGTCTTTGGCTTGAAGGTCAGGTTTCACTGGGGACCCGTTCCTGTCTGTCTAGGAATTTGTCTGTCTCCTGCGCTATCATACACATGTCACCATCACCCATTCCCCCTCCTAAGAGAGGGAGAGAAAGTTAATTTTCCTAAGGCAACAAATTCTACTTAGGAATAAAGGGAAAGGTCTGGGAGTACCTACCCTTTGCAATGTAATGTTACCTATGTTAGGCATTGTTATGAATGTAATATTTCCATGGTTCTGGGTTTTATACCCCTTTCAAGTGTAAACATATACCTCCATCTAGGTAATTCTCTGGGTTTCTCCATCTATTCAGCCATTATTTAATTACCAAGGCTTGGCCTCTAATACAGTTTCCGGTAAAATTTCCTCAGAAAATTCTCCATGCGGAAATACGGTTGGCCCTACATTTCTGCAAGTTCTGCATCCACAGATTCAACCAAGATTGGATCTAAAATACTTTCAAAAACACAATAGAACAATACTACAATAAGAAAAATACTATAAATAAAAAATATAACAACTATTTACATAGTATTTACAATGTATTAAGTCTTATAAGTAATCTAGAGATGATACAAAATATACTAGAGTGTGTGTGTAGATTATATGCAAATACTATACCATTTTATGTAAGGGAGTTGAGCATCTGTTTTGGTGCCCACAGGAGTTCTAGAACAAATTTCCCAAGTATATCAAAGGATAACTGTACCTAAGTAGACACTGGCTGACAGTACAGTACACAGGCACTCAGCAAATTGTAGCTACAGAAATTGCTATTATTGAACTCATAGTTTTCTAGATAACAGCTTCTTGACTTTGTTTCAGTTTCCTATTATTGCTACCACATACTAAAATTTTAAGTTCTTATTTTCATTTGCAATGCCAGAAGAATTAAAGGATAACAATATTATGTATAAATACATTTATTTTATAAATTCTTGAAATTTTCTGATATGTATTAACACTTATCAAATTAATAAAATATTTTTCTTTAGAACTGCACATATCCTTTGCCTTCCTTTTCTGTAGCTCCTAAGAAAGACTTCATTGATTTCATTAATAAAAAGGCATTTATATTTAATACTCATCTAGTTGAGCCTTGGAAAGTGTAGAGAAACCAGAAAGGGAGGTCAAAGAATTCTGTGCCTCTATTCATTCAACAAGTGCCGTAAAACAGCTCAACTATCACTTAATTGATATACGTGACGAATTTTATCATGAATTTTAAAATCTTAAAACGAACTCTAGTGTATTCAGTTTCGTTTCACAGGCTTGAACACTTCTTATTTTTGTTTTGCAATTTCTATAGTGTTCTCTGTATTATCTGGAACTGACTGTCAACCTGGCTTTATCTGAGTACTTGACATGCAGGGTTATGGAGAGTAAGTAGCAGTAGATTGACGACGAAGATGTGAATTCCAGTCCAGATTCTGCCACTTACTAGCAGAATCTAGTCAGATAAAGCTTCTGAATTTCAGTCTTCTCATCCATAAAGTGAAGGTGATTGACAACAGTTTACTAATCTTAAATAGTTGGGACTATACCTGTATCCCTTATCTCATGTTCCCCATAAATATGGGCACATACTATATATGAATAAAAATTAAAACTTAAACCACAATGTGTATTAAAGCATCACATAAAACCTTAAAACACTCAGTAAATTTTAAGAAATGATGGGATTAAGGAGACAGCAGACAAGGTTTTAGTAATCTTAAACAGATGAGTAGGAGAGCAGATAAAAATTACCCATACCTGCAATAAAATAGAAGACATAACCTAGATCCCATTAAAAAGGTGATAAGAAGATGTTGTGAACAATTTGAAAACAATATATTGGACAATTTAGATGAAATAGACAAATTATTTGAAAAACAGAACTTAATTAAAACTGACCTAAAAAGAAGGGCAAGAAGGATCTCTTTAGGATAATAGAAATGTCCCATAGAAAGGTTGTTTTACGTTGAGGGATAATTTATGCATAAAAAAATGCATAAATCTTAATTTTTAAGTTAGATATCTTTTGACAATTGTATATCCATGTAAACACCATCCAAATCTAGAAAACCGAATTTATTTGTAGCTAACCCATAACTATTTAGTTAATACAGCTTTTATTTGTGCCTTACCTAAAGGTTCTTTTATAAATGTAAAATACTTCCATTTTATAGTTAGTCCTGAACAGAGGAGAAGGAAGACAAATGTCTGAACTGGAATTAAAATCTTGAGGTCTGCTCTTAGAAGCACTCTTCCAAGCTTTAGTTCAGAAATCTTATTGAAGGCATGGGGATTATAGTGTGATAGTTGTTGGATCTTAAAGTGAACTTAGAACCTGTTAATGTGAACTTATATGGAAGAAGGATATGTGAAAATAAAATTAAATTATGGATCTTGAGATAACTGGGTGGGCTCAAAATCCTATGACAAGTGTTTCTCTAACAGAGAGAAGAGATGACAGATAGAGGAGGTGGTCATGTGAAGAACAAAGCAGAAAGAAGAGCTACACAGCTACAACTAAATAATATTTACAGCCACCAGAATCTGGAAGAGTTAAGGAAGGAATCTCATAAAGCCTCAGGGAATGAATAGAGGGGTGCAGAGCCATAGGTGATATCAATATGGACAGCAAAACAAAAATGCTCCTGAGTTCTCAAACATCTTTCTAGCTCATAAGCTGATGGTTTGTTTTTTGTTTCTTGGCGTTTTTTTGTTTGTTTGTTTTTGAGGCATAAGCTAAAGGGTATCTAGGTTTCAGATAACTCTCTTGAGGTGTAAATGAAAAAAAAAATACACAGGGAATATTATTATTTTTTTCCTTCCTGATGTGAAATCATGCTGCATTGGTCACTTGCACTGTGTTAGGTACAAACAAGTTGTTTGCCTTTTCCTCTTCTTTTGCTAGAAATAAACAAACGAAAACAAAACAGAATTCTCAAGAAAGTTGAAGGGAGAGGATGTAAAAAGAGATCTCTCTGTGACTCATATGCAGAGTTAATAATAAACTCTGTATAGTTACTGCTATGAGATCTTAGAATTTGTGGGGCTGATAAATAGGATCTTGGAAGTGGCCTCAGTCATTTTTTTAAGTCAACTTATTAATACAACCAAACTTTCCAGAGTTCCTCCTCATTTTCCTGATCTTTATGCCAGACATTCCTAAATGGATTCTTCTTTTTAGAATAACAGCACAGATTTGGAAGCATTAACAAATACTAATCACTTATTTTACTGCATGGAATATTTAATATTTATTAAGAAAGCTTAATAGCTTGGCGATATCTATTCACTCAATTATTTACCTTCAAAATATTAATTAAAGGCATTCATTATTAGATGCCTTAATTTGTGAAATACTCTGCTAAGTGAACCTTTTATTATTTCTTTGTAGTTGTCCTTTAGCTTTTCCAACCTCCTGATCTGACTAAAAAGTGTGATGTAACAAAAAATTACGTAAACATAAATTATGTAGCTAATGACACATGGTATGTATAATACATAGGATAAGTACACATTCAGTGATTAAGGCAAAAGATATCAGAGATTAGCTTGAAGAAAGCCTAAAATATGAATACTGCATCAAATGGATGTATTTTATTGGCATATAAGAACTTTAAGACTGAAAACATATCTGGATTAATTGAAATGATTCACATTTTTAAGATTGGCATTATAATTAATTACCCCCACCTCAAAAGTACTTTACAAGAAATAGCAAAATGTTTAGGAAGCACAGACACATGTATGTACACACTGACACACAGAGTTGATTTCTAGCATCGAGTTCCTAACAACTATTTTGTGACATTGTAGAATTATTAATCACTTGTTTTTTCATGTTTTACTTTGTATATTTGGGTAGAATTAACATTTCTAATATCTCTTCCAAGTCTAAAATAAGGATACTAAATCAACCTAGATAGAAGTACAGAAGTGCCTTGAATATTTTGAATAAAGCTAATGCTAGGACCTGAAAAGTGTAATATAAAAACGAGTGTATTCAGAAAACAATGTGCTAATATTGTTCCACATTTGACCCTTGGATAGTTACAGTTCTATTTAAACTCCACATAACCTCAGGTCTATTTTACTTTGAATAGTGATGAGAATGTCATGTTTCAAACATTATGGGTGTTATTACCTTTTTCCTCTGTCCAGCGTATTATGAATGTCAGTGCCATTCAAAGCTTGCTTGCAAGTGTTTTAATTTCACATATTAAATTTAAGTATTGATGTGTATGCCTTCTGATTGCAGAAAAGAGAATATTGCAATGCGAGAAGTGCACATGGGACTTTTTAGATTTAATTTTATTTAGTCTAAGCAAGGAGTTTTTGATGATATCATTTAAACTGTGCGTAGTGTTTTTGCTGCATGTTGAGAGTAGATAGATGAAGGCTTGCAGGAAATTGGAATAAAAGGTGGGGAAATGATCTTTGTTAACATAAACACACAGAATCTTGGGATATTAATCACTTTGGCCATAGAGAAGTTTCATGATATAGGAATGAAAGTGTCGGCCGTAGCCTCAAATAAACCTGGGTTTGAACCCGAGGTCTACCATTTATTCATGGTATGATCTTGGGCTAGCGCTGGAACTCACTGGTTCTCATTTGTAAAGAGGGAGTAATAATAGTTTCTGCCTGATAGGTATGTCTGTTGATTAAACTAGGTGACATATGGAGAGTACTTATCCCAGTGCTGATACATGGAAAGCACTATAGTTATTCTATTCATCTCAGGCCATGTATCTTTGAGTGCCAACTAAAGAGAAGGCATTGATTTTGTTCATTTAATTGCTACTAACCCTATGTGACAAAATGTTTTAAATTATTCTTTCTGAAAAACATGCAAAAGGGTTCATTTTGGTGTGGTTGTGAGTTGAAGTTTGGTTAACTCACTCTAGCCTAGAATGTAATTACACATGACCCTGGAATATTTTCTTCTCCTCCATGTATGTGCTAACACTGAATTTCACCATATTTACATCCCACCCTCATTTCAGTGTCTTTGTTTCTATTGGTTCATCTACTTACAATGGTTTTTCTGGGTAACTTTATTGAACTCTGAATTCCTTTTCCTGAAGACTATGACCCATTAATTTATCCCTCATATTTTTTGTATTTTTAATACAAATACTCTTCTGGGTACTTTCTCTAGCATTGAAAATATGTCCATGTCAATGTTATCTTAAATACAGTGAATACACTTTTTGTTGATTCTTTAACTTTCTTTAGCTAGTAATCTATTTTTTAACTTTTCAAGATAATCTTAATTTCTAGAAAGAATAATGTAGTTCATAGTTGATGTCTCACTTCTCCTCATATTTACTCCTCACCTGATTTTATTCTGTATCCTGTTCTCGCAACTCCACAGAATCTTCTCTGACAAAAGAAACCAGGTATCTCCGAAATGCCCCCTCTAAGGCATAATTTTCACCGTAATCTTATTGTATTTCCTTGCTTTCTTTCCTGTATTGATTATTTATTCCCAGTCTCTACTTTTTGACTCCCATGGAATAACAGTTACATGCTTCTCCATATACTTTTCTGACAATTCCATCTATAACATCTTCATGAGTTTTGCTTTTATCTTTCCACCTCTTAAGTATTGGTGCCACTCAGAGATCTTACCACTCAGAGATCTGTTCTACACTCAGTATACTTCTAAGTCTACGTGTGTTTCACATTACATTTTAACTACCATGTAAATGTTTCTCAAATTATTGTTATATCTCCAGTTCAGAATTTGGTCTTGAACTTCAGACCAATATAGTCACACACCATCTAGATGATTAGATGATTTTTTGAATGTCCCACAAACATTTCACCTCAAATATTTAAGATTTTCTGTCCTAAACTGTCACATTTCTATAATTGCTAAATTAATTAAATATTAATCTATTTATTCTATCAAACAAGATGGGACATAACAAGTTGATGTGTCTGATCATTTTAATTTATACATATTCTGGGATGGGTAGTTAGATCAGGAGAATGAAATCCAGCAATCAACAGAAACCTTAAGGCAATTTAGAGTCCTTTTTAATCTTTAAGGAAAATCCAATAAACACTTGAAAAACAAAATCGATAAAGAGTTTTAAATGTTTCTTTTTTGATTTGCCGCAGGGTCCAAGTTTTCTCTCCGAGGCCCGTTTTTCTACACGAGCAACAAAAATTGAAGAAATGGATCCCTCTTTCAACCTTCATGAAACCATTACTAAGGTAGGGGAGAAATGCATTCAAAAATAGGTGAGAAATATTTGTTCTTCTTTATTGGTAGATGGAGCAAAGGAACATAACCAATCAAGAGCAATCCGTATATTTTCATTTGTAGAATATATAAGAAAGGATTTTAGTATATCCTATTATTTTACTAAGGAATAAATAATTCATTCAAGATCATACAGACCCATAACTGTCTGTATGATCATTTGTATTACAAATCAATTTTTAATAAAACAATGAGTTTATTCATGGTATGATCTTGGGCTAGCGCTGGAACTCACTGGTTCTCATTTGTAAAGAGGGAGTAATAATAGTTTCTGCCTGATAGGTATGTCTGTTGATTAAACTAGGTGACATATGGAGAGTACTTATCCCAGTGCTGATAACATGGAAAGCACTATAGTTATTCTATTCATCTCAGGCCATGTATCTGAAAGTAGAGTTGTATAATAATATCAAATATACCTCTTCACTTTAGATCATGGGGAAATACAAAGTGGACCTTTGCATTTTTCTGTCTTCAATAGTTTGTTTAAATAGGTAAGGTACTTGTTTATGATAATTTTTAGTTGCAGAAAAAAAAGGCTACTTTTTAAAATGAAAAAGACCGCATTGATAGTAAGAAAGTCTTTTACTGAATGGCAATCATACTTATATTTTTAACATACAGATGTCCCCCAACTTGTAATGGTTCACCTTTCTATTTTTTGACTTTATGGTGGTTCAAAAACACTACGCATTTAGTAGAAATCCTACATCAAGTACCCATACAACCATTTGGTTCTTCACTTTCAGTGCCGTATTCGACAAATTACATGAGACATTCAAGACTTTTTTCTATAAAATAGGCTTTGTGTTAGATTTTGTCCAGTTGTAGGCTAATGTAAGTGTCTGAGCATATTTAAGATAGGCTGGGCGAAGATAAGATGTTCAGTAGGTTATTTGTATTAAATTCATTTTCAACAGGTATTTTCAACTTATCATGGACATAACCCCATCATAAGTTGTGAAATGTGTGTATTTTTATAGCAGTGAGTTAATTACATAAAGAAAATTAAATTTTACAGTATGGAGCAAATAAATTTAATGTTCCTGACATCACATGGCATCATATGGATTTTTACATTTACCAATTATTTATTTAACCTGTCATCACCTGCCTTTTGGGGATAGACTTTATAGAGAATATTGACATTTTAGTACCATTAAAATAATCTCTCTCTCTATGTATATATATATATATATATGAATTATTTATATTTTTATATTTATGTATGGATTATTTACATATATATACTTTCTTGAAAGATTGAATCATTCTTAAATCTTAGTGAAACTTTATGTAGTTGTTTTTTTCTTTTAAAAAGAGGAAATATGGTAAAGCGAACTGAGTGAGTGTCAATAGAATGAGTTCGGAATACAAAGACTAGAGCCTGTGTCTGTCTTTGACCCTGAAGAGCTGTGTGAATTAATTTTTTCCAAACCTTTAAAATAAAAAGAGTTTGAATTACATTTTACTTAAAATTATTCTAAGCTCAAAATATCTAAATCTCAGCTATACATTTATTATGTTTGGCAAAATCACCTAACAGGAAGCCTATCCCAGTTCTTTATTTAGCTTTTAGTATCTCCCTCCTTTGATCATATTTTTTTGTATATAACAGGATAGAAGTGCACACAAAACACCTCCTTAGTATTCAAAATCTTAGCTGTATTTCTAATACTTGGAGATTATATATATATAATATATATGGACATATATATCATATATATACATATATACACACATACACACATAAAAACATGCATTAATGAATATATAGTTTAATGAATTCATATATATTCATAAACATATATGATATATTTCTAATACTTGGAGATTTTATATATAGATGTATACACGCAGACACACATAGACACACACATAAACATTCATGAATGGATATATATTTTTATGAATTCATATACATTCCTATATATATATGAATATATATATATTTAAATGAATTCAAATACAATGAATATATATATTTGTTCACATATTCTAGACACTCAGAGTCTACATTTATTTATTTTTAAGCAAAACATTAGAGAATTTTAGGGCAATGAAATAGTAATATTTTCTCCATTTTTTTCCTGCTTTTGTGGGAATCAGTAAAATCAAGGATTTTTGTGGAAGGGATAATTTGAGGCAATGTTGCCACGAGAACATAGAATGAAATGATGGTGTCTAGCATCAGAAATCCTCAGCCAGAGAAAATGCTAGGCTTTTCAATTAAGAGGTATAAACATATACTAATTCTCGATGCCTGAAGTCTTGGCCACACTTAAGAATTTCAACTCCTGAGAACATGTCGGGAAGCAAGAATTGGTCAGAAATGGAGTACAGGGGCACAGAATACATCCCGAACATATGCAATTGTTCTTTTTTAATTAGTGTGAAACAGACAGAAAATTAGAGGCCATTAGAGAGAAGATAACAAATTTGTTCACAGATATTGGAATATATTGTACGTGTGTTTTAAAATCTGTTTGATGAGTGAACAGATAGTTATTAACCCATTAAGTGGATGTTGGAAAGAATTATATGTCCAAGAGAAGATAAAACCTGCTTAGGTTCAGAAGCAAGAGTTCCGTGAGGTTTTTTATGATGACATATGACTTACCCAATGTTGATTCTGTTTCCTCAATCATCATGTCTACTTGCACTCATGTTGGAAGCATTGATCAAGGAATGAAATTGTGCTTTACAAGATCAGTCTTATTTCACCAATAGCAGAACTGAGAAACCATAAAATGAAGTAATTAATAGATACTTCATTTTAATGTCAAATTTTATCAACAGAGAAATGAAATATATAGAGGGGTTGAATCGAGTACAGGATATATGGAGCATGGGTTTTAGTTCTATCTTGGCTACAAAATTGTTATTCTCTTTAGTAGAACTTTGTTTTATTTTCTACGACAAAAAGGAATACGCTCATAATGCCCTTCCTCGCTAGGATTCTGTGAGGTTGAAATAGATGATGTATACGTTTTCTCTAGAAATGAAGTATGTATTTAATTAAGTATTACTATTAACTCATTAAAAAAAACTAGTATTAAAATCTTTCAAGTAGGCCCTTATCTGCATTTTCTGAATTTTGTTTTTACTATAAAATATACATATATGGATAATACAGATATAAAAACATAATCAAACTCATTTTAAATGCTAAGAGTACACTAAGTTAGTGTGTACAAATAGAATATAAATTTTAATTTGTGAAGAGTTGAGGCCTTTAGAATACTTTTTTTCACTGAGGATAAATGGTATTTTTATCAACGTATCACAACATATCACAGGTATAGTATGCTTCTATTCTGAATAATAGTGTGATATATAAATAACATTCAGTTTTGAAATTTAAAAACCCATCGAGGTATACATTCTCAGTTATCAATTATGACAAAATCAATTTTCACAAAAATATGAGAAATACTTGGTAAAATTATGAAGCAGAATTATTACTAGTATTATGTCAATATTAAAGCATTTTCAAGAAACTAGAAGTAATTGAAATTCTGAAGATACTATTTTTTATTTCTCCCAATAAAAGTTTGTATTTGATATAGCATCATAGCCCAATCACATATTTTATATTACCTAATTAATTAAATATAATAAATATGTATATCTAATATGAATATAAACATGTAATACAACTATTATCCTCTTCCAATGAGTAACTCTTTTTCTTCTAGACTTTGCTATAGATTGCAAGCATGATTTCATGCCAAATTAAATTTTAATTTCTACATATTAGGAAGTTAATAATTTATAAATAGGGTTTTGCTGAATATGAACAGTATTTTATTTTATTTTATCGTTTGTATAAATTTATGGGGTAGAAGTGCAATTTTGTTACATGAACAGATCTCACAGTGGTTTGGTTAGGGCATTTAGAGTATTTATCTCCCAAGTGACATACATTAAGCAATAAAATAAATAAACCATACTCATACATGGGATGTGAACTGTGAGTCCTTGAAAGTAGCTTTCCACTGTTTCCCTGTAGTTCTTTTTTTTTTTTTTTACAAAGTTTGAATTTGTCTTGGCACTTGTCTTTTTGATATAAAGCATGAAACCTAAGAAAGTAACGAATGAGGCTCAGTATTGATGCCAATAGGTGTAATTCATCATGACTTCAATGACAGTCAGGTGGTACAGTATAAAGTTGCTGAAGGGCAATACATGCTGCATCAGTGTTGAAGATGTTTTTCTTATCTCCTATAATTACATTAAAATTATCATAGAAACCAAACTAATTCCTTCATTGACTAAACCTAAACATGAATTAAATGCCAATGTAAATCCTAGGTGCTTAATCCTTTAATGAGTGATTAAAAATGGCCATGTATTCATGTTTTTAAATAGGCTTATTTCTCCTTCCACACCTAGGAATTTTCTAGTTATGTTTCTAAAGTTTCAACATTTATCTCCTAAATCGTTATTAGCTATCTATGCATTCTGATAATCTACTATAGTCCCAACATTCAGCAAGACACTTGCAATACCAAAATGGTTACTACACAGGAGAGATCTAAGAGAATAAACAAGGTAAATAAATCATTTTAATAAATTATATCATATTAAAAGAGATAATAGTAATGTGGACAAAATATGGGAGGAAAGAAGATGGAGCTTTTTCCTCTGATATGGTTTGGGTCTGTGTCCCCACCCAAATCTCATGTCAAATGTAATTCCCAGGTGTTGCAGGAGGGACCTAGTGGGAGGTGATTGAATCATGGGGGCAGACTTCCCCCTTATTGTTCTTATGATAGTGAATGAGTTCTCACAATATCTGATGGTTTAAAAGTGTGTGGCACTTTCCCCTTCTCTCTCTCTCTCTCTCTCTCTCTCTCTCTCTCTCTCTCTCTCCTACTCCCTAATGGTAAGATACACTTGCTTCCCCTTCACCTTCTGCCAAGATTGTAAGTTTCCTGAGGTCTTCTAGCCATGCTTCCTGTACAGCCTGTGGAACTGTCACCAGAGAGGTGACATTTGAAGAATTTAAGGAATTTCAACTTGATCTTAATGTCAATGAGTTTCTTTTGACGGTGCTTTAAAGATCAGGTTGTAGATAAGAGTGTGTGAAAAATAATTATACGTATTTTGGAAAACAGAGACAGATTTGTGAGACAGTTTTAAGATTGAAGGACAGGATGTATGATATAGGAGACATGAAATAGAGTGAAGAGTCAAAGATAATTTTAATAGTTCTATCTTAAGAAAAGTTGGTATTATTTCATAATTATTAATTCAATTAGGGGCTAGTTTGGAGAAAGCGATGATGACTTTGACATTGGATATATGGAGTTCTGTAGTGCTATAGAGCACCTAGTCAGATACATCAAGGAGGCTGTTGAATATGAGGTTGTAGTTCAGAAAGAAGTAGGGTCTAGAAATGCACTGTCACGTATAGTAATCACTAGTCACATGTGGATTGAAAAATAATTAGATTAAATAAAAGTTCAATTTCTCAGTGGCATTAGCCATAATTCACATGCTTAGTGATCACGTATGATAGTGGCTACTGCATTTGGCAGCACAGGTTACAGGAAATTTCCATCATGACTGATAATGTAGATGATGTTACCTTAGCAACACTGGTCCAGCTGAGGAAGAGTAAAATGAGACAGGCTAAAAGACCCAGGATAGAGCGGTTCATGTAGTCCTCAAGACAGAAATATTATAAGGAGAAAATGTTCAAAAGAGTATTCACCCAATCAACTGCTCACTCATTATAACTTTTGAACCAATTTTTTGGAATTCTTGTTTTCCGCTTCATTTATGCCCAATCCTCAGATCTTTGCTATTCTCAGTAAAAAGCTCCACTTGGCTTGTTCCTCATTACTTTAGTCTACTTTTAACAGATGCAATATCCTGTATTTATTTTATGTTTTTGGATTTAATATATTTTATTATCACTTTCTTGCTAAAATTTTGTCCCTAATAAATACTCAATTAATGATCATTGGTAACTTGTATTAAAACAAATGAAACAAAATACTGTAGCTACATTTAGAAGAGAAAGGCTTTAAAAATCAAATGTGAATATAGGGCACTTGGAGTGCCAGAAGAAGTTCTATTTATTATATTATGGGATAGGTAGTACCTTTCATCTGGCACCTCAAATGCTCTATAGTATATATAAAAATCTCTGAATATGAATGGTACATCTAATGAAACAAAAATGCCCTCATCTATGTGGTACCATGGAAACCAGCAAATGACCTAATTCTTCTTGTAAGTTTCCTCAAGAAATATCAGTTTATTTGTCCTTTCATTGCTTTTCTCATGTTCAGAGAAAAAAATTCCTTATTTTTCAATGGCATAGGATATATAAGATTAATGATATAGGGCTTTCAAAAGATCCTGTTTACGTATTACAAAAACAGGAAGAGATGGATATACGTTTCTTCCTGTTTTTGTAATATGTAAACAGGATCTTTGAGTAAAATTATTTGGGTATTACAACATGACAAAGAAAAAGTAGTAGGAATAATATGGTATTGATTTCCATTATATATGTGAAGAAAGTGTCACAGTGATATTAAGTTTCAGAATAAGAAAATATTTGTGTAAAGCCTGAAAATCAAGGTAATTTTTATAGAGTTTAAATTCTAGCAATAGAGTTATATTTTCCCTTACTTTATAGCTATACATTTTAACTCAGTTTTGCAGTGGTGTGAATAAAGGTTAATGGTGGGGTCATCAATGATTTAAAAATTTTAATAATTTTAATTGTTAACCATTTCTGTAATTATTAATTCCATTTGGCTGTCAATCGTCCTTAGAGTCGATTAACCTTGGTCTCTTTGATTAATAGATTTATATTTGCTAACATACTATTTTAAATACATGACTTGCAAAATATAAATCTGAATTATTTAAAAATGTCATGTTTAAAACATGTTTGTATCAGTTGTTATAATATTCTTAAGATTCTTGGAGCATGGTAACTGAAAACTTAAAATGATCTTCTCATTTTATAACTATAGAATAAAGAGGCAGACTAAACTGTAGAATAAATTATCTTGAGATGCCATTCTAAGCTATAGCTTTTAAAACTATATCTCAGTAGCATTTTATAAAGTAAAAGAAAAAGAAAGATTCCAAATACCTTTTATTTAGTTTCTGAGTTTCAAAAATGTTAATCAGGCTAATAGAATTCCTGGTACACGTTTTTTAAATGCTTAGAAAGCCTGGCTATAATTTTTCATCTGAATGAGCAAATCTGTCTTCTAGGTATCTCTAATGTTGATAAATTGTTTGAATAAAATATGAAAATATTGTATTCTATTTAAGAAAACAAGTTTAAGGATATTCTAATCTGTGTATTTGTACATTTGAGGTAATTCTGAAGCTATGAATTTAGAGCTTTTAAAAAAATTCAATTTTTTTCCGCTATATCAAATTATTGTTACTAGATGCAAGACGTCTCCATAGAGATTTGTACTCTTAGTTTTCATGACATGAGCTAAAACAAAAAAATCCCAAATATGTATTTTCAATGCGAAGGTTGTACTTTGTAATAAAGACTCTTGGTTGGAGCTACTCAAGGGAGATAGTAGCATATTAAAACCAATGCCTTACACTTTGAAGAGGAAATAATATAGGTGTGTGTATTTTCCTCATAAGTGCATAATTAAACTTAATATCTTCATTTACTGAAACTGGAGATTGTGCCAACTGTATTTTCTCTTGCCTAGAGAGGTTTGGTTTATTCTTTTTGATTATACTGAACAAATATAATTTGTAAAGACACGCCTTATACTATCAGTTTCTCTTTTGTCTTTTTGTTTTTATTACTCAAAAGTGAATTATTACACAATATGTGATTGTCAAAATTTGACTCAATTTTTAAACAGAAGTTAATCATCAAAGTAAATACTTCACAAATTCACCAAAAGCTACCATATATTAAGTGTTATTAACACTTATTAAGATAGGAAAAGAAGGCTGCTATTCTTTTATCATACTTTTAAAAATCTTATAAATATATAAAGACTGATTTCGACATGTATTTGTTACAGAATCTAAATATATTACATGCATAAATCAGAATGGAAAGTTCTTTCATCACTTACAATTAGTGTGACAATTTTTTAAGGGCAGAAGAAAACTATTTTAATATGTTTTCATGTTTAATTCAGGAAGTAGAAGTCTCATTCCATAAAGTAACATTTTTGGTGATAGTTGAGTTTTGTATGCTCTAAATATAAGTCCTTCCTATTTTAGGGATCTGTCAATAAGTTGAAAGTGAATTTCGAATTTTGATGTTAATTTCTGCATTTTTTCCTCCCTTTGAAGAGGAGACTCTACCTTTCCATATCGTTCTTGAATAATACCATTCTCAAGGTGCTGTAGAAGTACAGAGACGAAGGGCAGAATACTGAATGCATAACAGAATAACTCTAGGTCGACAGATCAAATATCCCTCCAAAAATGTGTTTAAACAAACTTTCTGTATAATAAAAAGATTTAAAAGCTCCAGACAATCCCTACTTAAAAAAATCAAATGTAACACAACATACCAGAAGAATCTGGGAAAGTTTTGGACCCTGTTACGACAGTTTAATGTAGATATTAAAGAGTCCTGGAGAGAGTACTTACTGCCCCATGGACAACTATAATAAAAGATTCCCCTACATGCACACACACACGCACATACACACATATATGATATGGGCTAATTAATGGCACCGATTTTCAGCGCTAATCACACTAATCAATCTTAGTATTGATCCTCGGAAAATCCTAAATTGTGTGTGTGTGTGTGCGTGTGTGTGCTCTCTTGGTAGACCTCTGCACATGACCCTGAGAGTCACTCATTCTCAGTATATCACCATAGACTGACACTACCAATTGATTGGATTTGACAGATGAGAAAAACCCATTTGCCAAATCTGGATCTAAAATACTCATCAGTTATACCTTTTACCTTTAAAGAGGTGGGTTACCCTTAGAAACTTCAAGGAATCGGCGGGGCACGGTGGCTCACGCTTGTAATCCCAGAATTTTGGGAGGCCGAGCAGGGCAGATCACCTGAGGTCAGGAGTTCCAGACCAACCTGGCCAATATGGTGAAACCTTGTCTCTACTAAAAATACAAAAAGCAGCCAGATGTGGTGGCGGGTGCCTGTAATCCCAGTACATGGGAAGCTGAGGCAGGAGAATCGTTTGAACCTGGGAGGCGGAGGTTGCAGTGAGCCAAGATTGCACCACTACAGTCCAGCCTTGGTGACAGAGCAAGACTCCATCTAAAAAAAAAAAAAAAAAAGAAAAAAAAAGAAAAAAGCTTCTAGGAATCACTGATTTAAGAAACCCCACTAATGTGAGGAGCTCTGTAAGCATGTATATTAGCTGATACGCAACTGATTTTTTGGATAGTAATTTACATTCAAAATATGAGGCACTGTAAAAAATATATGACATTTTAAGACACAGTTTCTTCCTGTCATTTAAGGGTTAATATTCTTGTCAATGTCAGAAACATTTGAATGCATGCCTCTGTGTATAGCAAGATATTTAAATATTTGATTTAATTCATCACCCAAGAACTTCATGTTGAAAATATTTTGTTGAGAACAAGTGGTCATTAATTCATTTACGCTTAACACTATTTCTCCATTTCAACATTTGATCCAGCTTTTAACCAACAACCCGTAATTGCCAATGTAATGAAATAAGCATACAGATATTGTGACACTATGCACTTTAAATATTCTTCAGCTTTGCTGTCTGCATTTACTCATGCCCCAGTTTGATTTCTCATATTCCAGTCTGAGATATGTTTGTCAATGTTTGATATATGGCATGGCTGTCAGTGATTGGTCTACCAAATAAAAGTCTCAAATTTTTATTTCAGCCATAGTTTAGAAGAGCTTCTCTGAAGCCAAAAATTTCTCTTTGTCATACATAGACAAAAGCAAAGATGTTGATATGTGATTTAACAGTTGCTATTGTTTGGTTTGTTTGACTCCTACAAACCTCATGTTGAAATTGATGCCCAGTGTTGGAGGTGTGGCTTCATGAGAGGTGTTTGGATCATGGAGGCGGATCCCTCATAAATGGCTTGGTACCATTCTCAAAGAAATAAGTGAGTTCCCACTAGAGTTGGTTGTTAACAATAGCATGGCACCTCCCCAGTCCCCTCTTGCTCTCTTGCTTGCTCTCACCATGTGATCTCTGCACATGCCATCTGCTCTTTGCCTTCTTCCATGAGTGGAAGAAGCCTGAGGCTCTCAACCAGAAGCAGACGCTGGTGCCATGCTTCTTGTACAGTCTGCAAAACGGCAAGCCAAATAAATAGTATAAACTTATTTTCTTTATAAATTACCCAGACTCCAGTACTTCTTTGTAGCAAAACAGACTAAGACAGCAATTAAATACACACTTTTGGTTAGGTGCTTGAAATGGTAGTAATAATGGATTTTATGGACCTTGGAATTGAAATATCAGAGATGCATATTTAGGCACCTATAGAGATATTACATTAGTTGCCATATGTCTCAGTTATTAACATCCAATTTAATGTCTAAAGAATGGAGGAAGGCATAAAATAAATGTGTGACATTTGGAATAATTTTAAAAAGAGCAATATGTACCAGATAATTTAAGAATATGTGACAAACATGAAAAAAGTTTTGTAAAATAGATGAATGAACAAAGCATTTGAACAATTAGTGTGTTATTACCTCGAATCATAAGAAATTTTATCTAAATTCAATACATAAACATCAACCACAACTCCTGAATGACAATCAGTTTATATGCCGTAGAGATATTTATTCGATCCACATAACTGACTGATTTCCACAGCAAAGGAAATAAAAGAGGGATTCTGTGATTCCTTTTCACCTTTTCTTATCCACTTATTTCTTCAGAGAAGATTCAGACTTCTTCTTCTATCTTCTTCAAAGATAGAAGACTCAGATGCTCTTACTAAAATGGTATACCATTCAGTTTATTCACATCCTTCAGAGGGCCCTAGGGACAACCATGCTGCCACTTTTGGGAATTTTCCTGATGTCAGTGAGTTCATTATGAAATCAACCTGTTTGACTCCAAGTTTCATTCAGAAAATATGGTCACAGTGCCTAGACCTTGTGTCTTAAGTTTTAAGAGTTGGCCCAAGATGACTGTATTCTCTCAATTGGCAACATGGATTGCACAGGTATAGCTTCTTCCGGTACTAGTTATTAGGATCCAAATGCATGAGCTTTTTATGTAGCTACTATTATGATTAAATTCCAAATATTTTACTTTAAAAATAAATTATATAACTATTTTCCAGAAACCAAAACAGATGAAAACATACATCATTTGGAAAATCTGAACAAGTATAAGCCTTTAGGGATATTTATACATTTTTATTTTCCTAAAGACTCCATCAAAACAAATCCCATAACTGAAAATAATGATAAAATATTGACCCTGCCAACGTCCAACACTTAGGCAGCTTTGTAATGAATTGTAGTTGTTCTTGTGTGTACTTTACTTCCTTTAGTAGATTACAGTTTCTGTAGTGAAATTTATCCCTTCTTGTCCATCTTGATATGTCCCAACATGCCTAACAGTGACTTTCACTGATCAGTCATATTAATGACTTGTGATATGTTTTACTATATAAGTGGAATCTCTTCCTTTGAAGGTCTCCTGATTGGCAGGTGCTTTGTCCCCTTTTCAGTGACGCCATAAAGCATCATGTTTGCCCTAATGTTGCTGGGGTTGAGAGTCACAGTTAAGTAACAGGAATTAAGCCCTTCAGGGAGCTTCTCTAGCAAACAGGTGCACCTGTTAACTAATTACTTCACTTGTTCATACTGGCTTATCTACTGAACTAGCTTCTGCCCACAGCAGTTTTTTTTCAAAAGCGTTATTCTTTTTTTTTTTTTTTTTTTTGAGACGGAGTCTCGCTCTGTTGCCCAGGCTGGAGTGCAGTGGTGCAATCTCGGCTCACTGCAAGCTCCACCTCCCGGGTTCACACCATTCTCCTGCCTCAGTCTCCCGAGTAGCTGGGACTACAGGTGCCTGCCACCAAGCCCGGCTAATTTTTTGTATTTTTAGTAGATACGGGGTTTCACAGTGTTAGCCAGGTTGGTCTTGATCTCCTGACCTCGTGATCCGCCCACCTCGGCCTCCCAAAGTGCTGGGATTACAGACGTGAGTGTTATTCTTAAATGTAATCTATTTTTAAGTATACAGAGAATAGGGAACACTTTTGTGGTTGATACACTAAATTTTCTCCACACCTTTAACTTACTTTTTTATTTTAAAAAAATCACTTACTGGATATGTTTAAAGTCCTCTCAGTTTAAAATCCTGAATAGGAACATTTTCTACGGTTACAGTGGGTACTTTAACTTCCCCCACCAACCCCAGTTTGGAAGAATAAATCTAAGAAAGACCAAGAAATTATAGTTCATTGTATCTGCTTGTAGAGTTTAGCAATCTTGGCTAATCCTCACTCTGTGGAAGGAAGGTAGGAAGACAGTTGGATATGCCAGAATGGATACACTAAAAGACTGGGAACATGGAACTGAGTAGTTAGTGCGTGAACTAGAGATTGAAGAGAATATTAGAAAGCAGAGATGCTTCAGAATAGAAAATTTAAAAACGTGATTTGTATGTTGGATGACTTTAATAAATAATAAAAGTATTTTATAACAAAGAAAGGTTATTGCTTTTTTGTAAGAATGTGAACTTCATTAAACCTCTCTAGATTACATTTTCTCTTTCAGTTAAATAGTAGGATTCATTCTTCCTGTGGATTACCCATAGATGCACAGCAAAGAATAATTAATATATTATTAATAAGAGAAAGGTGACAGGCCACAAATGATGTAGAAAAGTGATTTAAGCATGAGAGACAATGCCACTTATGTTAATTTATCAGCAACCTTAATTGTGAAGAAGTGTCAGTATTCATTGGTGTTTTTTTCCCTCATGTTACAAATTCAAATGAGGAGGAAAGAACTAATATTTATTGATGATATATGTGTTCTCACTTTATCCTCATAATAATCCTATGAAGAAAATATTTTTATTCTCCTTGTACAGAGAGGAAAACTGAGTTACTTAGTTTCTTTGAAACTAAGTGAGATATGCATAGATTACAAATGATTGATTCTGATTCCCAGGAAGCATCATTATTTTACTCCACGATGCCTTTTTCATAAACATTTATTTACAGTATATAGAAAAACTCTTTTTATTCACAATAGCATTAACTGTCTTACCCATCATTCATTTGAAGAATATATTTATTCTGTCACACAATCAATGTTTGATACACATGAGTGTATATGCATACCATGTTCTAATTAATGATAATGCAATGTTTAACAAGTGTTGTATACGAGTTTTTATATAAAAAAATTTAAAATCTTATGGAAAATGCAGACAACCAGGAAAATTACAATATGGTTTAATTTATGTCCCAATAAGCATTGCAAAGGCTCTTAAGTAGGAACAGAGAGAGCCAATACATAGATGCAACACTAAATTGTCTATTTCACTAGGCAACTGCTTTCTCCATTCTTTAGCAAATGACTGAGAAGTCCTATGAAAGTCAGGGGTAAAAAAAAGGGATGCATTTATCCGTTGGCTTCTGTACTTCATTGCTCAAATGTTCAAATATGACCCTTTTCTGACTTCATCTTCCATTTCTTGTTTCCTCTTACCTCATGACTAGCTTTCTCTAGAACACTCTCCCTTTGAATATGCATGTGGCTCACTCCCAGGCTTCTGGCAGGTCTCCATTTAAATGCCACTTTGTCTCCCAAGCCTTTCCTGGAGATGCTTTATAAAGTAGCACCCTCCCTCATCCCTACCTTCTCATTCAACTTTTTCTTCAAAGGTCTTACTTTTTGTAAGTTGTAAAATTATTATTTATATTTTCCTTTCTCCCTCTTCCCTCTTTCTTTGCTTTCCCTTTTTCCGTCCTTCAGTATGTTTATGTCTTGCTTCCACTAGACTATAAATTCCTTGAGGGTAGAAACTAGGTCTGTTTGTTTCCAAGTTTTATCTTCAGAGGCTGGGTCATAGTTGGTGCTCAGTAATTATTTGCTGAACAAATCACTAAAGAGCAATTTAAAGCATAGCATGGGAATAAACAAAAACAATGTGATTGCTTCCTCTCAATGCAAGTCTTCTAAGCTACTCCAACCGTGATTTATTGACCATTTGGCATAAAAGTAAACATGAGGCAACATGTCATTTCCTCACCAGTTTCACATTTGTCTTCTCAGAGTATATGCACGTACATTCTGATTCCATACCCAACATACGCACTCTCTTCTCAGGCTAAAATTTTCCTACTTACAGCTATTTTGTAGATTATTAAAAATTACAAATTAAGTAAGAAAGGAAGAAAATAAATATTGTTCCTATAACAAATCAAATTTAAGCATAAAAAGTACACTTGTTTTTCATGATTCAAATGCCAGGTATATTAGTTACCAATACATACCATTAAAAATGAAACTATATGCTATAATTTTTTAGTGAAAAATGAATCATGTGCACAAAAGAAAGTATACAGCATATTTATGTATTAGAGAATGATCATAAACTGAATTGCCGTATGACCACAATCCAGGTAAAGAAACAGAACAATGCCAGTCCCTGAAAAGACCCTCCCTGGGTGTCTCTTCTCAATCACCATCCCAAATCTTTATAAAAGGGATAACTATGTGTTTAGTTTCCTGAGAGTTCTTTGTTTGCATTTTTGAATGTTTTCATCTCCTCTAAATGCATCCTTAAACAATATACTATTTAGGTTTTCCCATTTTTAATTTCTAAAACAGAATTAGAGGGTATACATGCTTTTGTGATTTGCTTTTTTACCCTATAAGATTTACTCTTGTGTGCATAAAACTTTCAGATTCAAGAATGTAAAATAATGCTTTTCTTGATTACTCAAGATGTTCATGCAAGAAGAAATAACGGAGATTGACCACCAGGCTGAACCTGAAGACTGTAAAAGTCTCACAACTTAACACTTTTGTTTTACATATCTTCCTTTATACAGAAACATGCCCAAGATATTCATCACCCAAATCTTTTTTTTTTTTTTTTCTTGAGACAGCGTCTCGCTCTGTCGCCCAGGTTGGAGTGCAGTGGTGCGATCTCGGCTCACTGCAAGCTCCACCTTCTGGGTTCATGCCATTCTCCTGCCTCAGCCTCCCGAGTAGCTGGAACTACAGGCACCCGCCACCACGCCCAGCTAATTTTGTGTATTTTTAGTACAGACGGGGTTTCACCGTGTTAGCCAGGATGGTCTTGATCTCCTGACCTCGTGATCCTCCCGCCTCGGCTTCCCAAAGTGCTGGGATTACAGGTGTAAGCCACCGCGCCCGGCCGCAAATCTTTTTAGGAACTGTTTAGTGATGCTCAGAGGAAAGCAGCCCTATTCCAAAGTACACAAATGTAAAATGGCCTCTAGTCTATATTTGAAAAGTGATTCAGGTATATGTTTTGAAGCAGGAGTGACAATATGGGATATCAAATATACATTTTGAAACCAAGATAAGCACAGTAAACAAGATAATGCACATCTCTGAAAGGAAATCCAGAGATATATTTGAAAAGAAAAAGAGTCACAATATTCGTTTAGGAGAACAACAGTGTATTTGACTTAAAAGAATAAGCATTAAATATATGTAAACCTGGTTTTGTGTTTTAGAGTAGTTGGAGAAATTTTGACTGATAATGAAGAGGGGACTGATCTCCCTACTCATTCTCCATGTTGATAGATGTTGCAATAGTTTGTTTATTTTCATTATGCATTATGCATAATGCATAAATATACCAAAATTTGTTTACCTATTGTTCTACTGTTGATGGGCATTTATTGTTTCCAACAACGATTAAGAGTATTCTTGTACATGTCCCTGGTACAAAAGTTTCTCTAGGATATATATGCTGGAATGCAATTACTGCTTCATAGGGAATGAATATCTTTAAGTCTACTGGGTAACGCCAAATTGCTAGAATAGTTGACTGTCAATGCCTAAAAAGACTAGAATAGCCTGTTGATAAGGCAGAGCTTACTGCACCTACTTCGCAAAGGAAGAACACTATCTTGACTGAATTTAGTATTGTAGTATCTCAGTAGGTGCTATCCTGGATTTATATAGGATTTGGGTAACTGAGCTGAAGTTTTAAGATGGATGTTTTAAGTCAGAAAAATGATTGTCAGTGAGAAAAAATCATTACAATCACTTAGAATTGGTGAACATGGTGAAGGGAGGATTGTTTGATAAAGAAGCTCCTTGTCCAGGTGAGAAGAACAAACTATTTTTCTGGATACATTGATTAACAGAAATTTCTTGAAGCAAACAGTGACGTTATTTATCAACTTAAAGCCTTACCTTCACAACCAAGAATCTCCTGGAATAGTTACATACACAGGCGGCCTCTAATGCTGATAGATAAGCTAAGTGGATGCTTATATTTTTAATTCTTGTAATCATATGTGTGGCAATTTTCCTTGATATGATCCTCTGCCAAACTTGATTTCATTTCGTTTTGTTCTTTGATTTTTTCCAGTCTGATATGTGTAAGAGGTGCCTTGGTGTGGTTTAAGTTATATGTCTTACTCTGATTGCTAATGAAGTTGAGTGCCATTATGTATGTGTGTTGGTTTTCTGGATGTTTGTATGTTTTCTAAGTGCTTGTTAAAAATCATTGCCAAATTTTGTGGGATTTTTTTATTGATTTGCAGCAGATATTTATATACTCTGGCTATAAATTTTTTGTCAATTTCATGTGTTGAAAATATCTGCTCTCAGATTTTGACTTTTATTTTCACTTGTTGAATTATATTTTTATGAATAGTTCGTCATTTCCATGTAATCTAGTTTGCCAATATCTTTATGTTTTTAGTCCTTTGAGGTTCTTAAATTCCTACCTATTCTGAGTAAATATTCTTATATTATACATCTTTATAATTTTTTTCACACTTATTTAATCTACCATGATGTTGATGATACTGAGGATAATTGTGATGATTTAGTTAGGGGCACAATTTGCATTTTTCAATCTAATTTATTGAGATTTCCATTCTTTCTCAATGGTTATGCAATAAAGCTACACTACATATCAAGATGATGTAGATGTATAGGCTTGTTTCTGGGCTGTTGATCCTATTCCTCAGTCTATTTTCTCATCTGTGTATGAACACAATACGTTTTAGACACAGAATTTTAAAGTAAGACATTTTATCTGATAGTTTGTGGTTCCTTATGTAATTCTTTAAAAATATCTTGAGTATTCTTGTCCTTCACATTTCCATATAAATGTAAAAATTAGCTTGTCAAATTCCACAAAAGGCTTGCTGAGATATTTATTTGAATTAAAATAAATACATAGTTGTCCAGTAAATACTTGCTTGATCCAGTGCTGTTGATTTTTCACATTACTAGCATCAAATGAAGTGATTGCAATAGCAAACAATTGAAAATCCTAGTTTTACAGTTGTTTAGTGCTGAAAATATCCTTATAAGTCATCCTTTAAACAATTGAAAATCCTAGTTTTACAGTTGTTTAGTGCTGAAAATATCCTTATAAGTCATCCATTAAACAATTCGTTTTATAGATAATTAACTGCCGCCTACAGTAGTGAAGATCAAGACTACAGAAGCTATGTAGCTGAAATAAGACTCAGGCGAAGCTGTATTTTTTTTTTTTCAATACCTTTCATTTGCACAACAAAATTTTTACTCAGCACCTGTATATGTCCATGAATGTAATAATGAACAGGATAAGAAACTATATTTTCTCAGTGTTTCACTATATCATACTGCCTCACATCCCGACTCAAAAACTACACAGAGCGAATCTTTACTAAACACATTCTAAGTGCTGGACACAACATTGGTTGAAGATAATATGGTAGTAAACAAAAGAGGAATGACTATCTTCCTCATGGGGCTGACACTCCACAGGAAGTAGATATCACAAAAATATATGTATAAATACAAACTATGCTAAGGCTTTGAAGGAAAGTTTAGAGTAACAGTGGAATATGGCCAAGGCTCCGGGGAGTCCTACCTAGTCTGGGACGTCTGGAAAATTTTTCCTGGGGGGCATTTTAAATTTTGCTCTAAAGTGCATATAAGAATTATCTAGTTACAGAGGGAGAAGAAAAAGAGTCAAGCAGAGAAATCTGTGTGACTGAGGTCTCTGAGGCAAGAGACAGCACAGCCTATTCTAAGAAATGAAAGAAGGCCATGTCACTGGAAACTAGAGAACAAGGTAATGGTGGTATAAGTCAGACAAGAGGAAGGTGGGAGTTAGTTGATAACATAGGACCTCATTATGCATCAGATAGTTTGAGATAGAAAGCAAGTTTCCAAGACAGTGTGAAAGGGTTCTAAAAACCAATAAATTGGGGGTTTCAAAAGTCAATATTCACATTCTTTAAAGTAGATAATGATGACTGACTCTATTGATTTTCACTTGGCAGTAAACAGCATCAGACAGTAGAGCTACTCATCTAAGTAATAATTGGTTCAGTGGTCTGACAGTGATTAGATTAAAACAGTAGGAGAAACATGTGAAGATAATCCAGTATAAAATAAGTAGTTTTTGTCAATTTGTAAAACCTTAAACTAGAAATCTAGCTTAAGATTAATTCATATGTAATTATAAACGGAAATATAAACCATTTAAGTCTCCATCTTTTTTGTCTTTTTCAACTTTGCTTTAGTTCATTTCAAATTTTTATGTATAGCTTTTAAACTAACATTTCTGTCACCAATTATGGAACTCAGATATTTTAAAGGCTTATTTTCAGTATGCCAATATATTTAAAAGTGACATTTTACTTTTAAATATTATAATTAATATTTAAACAATAAGAACATGTTCCTACATATTCAAAATAATATCATTACACTTAACAGAATTACTACCAATTCCTCAATATTATCTAATATCTATTTTATATTAAAATGTACCCATTGTCTTCCATATCACTTATGTGGATGGTTTTTCCAAATCCAGATACAATTTGGGACAACACGTTGCATTTGGTTAAGCCTCTGCATGTAGTCATTTTTTTCTTTTTTATGACAGCAATCTGTTGAAGAGACCAGGCTAATTGTCTTGTCATTAGTTTTACCTTTGGGATTTATGGTGTCAGTTAGCCTATTCCTCTATCCCTATGATGTTCTATTAACTGGAAGTTAGAGTTAAAGATATGGTTACAGTAATATTAAGCATTTTTGGCTAGAATACAACATAGATGATCTATATGCCATATTGCCTTCCATCGGAGACACAACTTACCTGGTTGCCAGATCATCAGTGGGTTTCAAGACTGACCACTTAATGAGGTGTGATATCTGATCTACCTTTCTTATATAGTTTCCCCTTGTTTTCAGAAAATCATAGCTCTGGTATATCTTTATCCAGCCGAGTGTTAAATTCCCCATTATAATAGTCAGGAAAGAGTAGATAATGCTGCAGTAACAAGGAGTTCAAAAGTCTCAATAACTTACAGTAACGAAAAAATTCTTACTCATTCAAAATCTGTAAGTTTCCACTTCATGATGACTCAGAACTATATATCTATATGAACACACTCTTTACCAGATCCAAGGCAGAGCAAGAGCAAAATGGACAAGGATGCAGTGGTTCTTAAATGTTTCAGCCTATAAATGACACATCTTGCTCCTATTCATATGCCATTCACCAAAGCGAGTCATATGGCCATGTCTAACTTCAAAGGATAGAAAAATGCATCCTACTGTATATTCCTAACAGAGAAGAGGCAGAAGTCACGTCTGCTATCCATTTATCTAGCTAGTAGTTTTAGTGGTAATTGACAATTTTTGCCAGAATTACTAGTTTGGGTTTGTTGTTTATTTAAGATTCAGTGGGTACATGTGCAGGTTTGTTACCTGGGTATTTTGTCTTTTTATTAAAAAAAGACAGAAATGTATATTGATTTAAGTTGCTAGTTGAGAGTTTTCCTCATTAAAATATAGAAGCATATAATCTTCTTTCAGACCATAACTGCTGCATTCAGATTATTCTCTCATATTTCTCGTGGTGACAATTAAGTCCAATTAGAATATCTGATTACAGAATTTACTATACTTTAATTTTCAAGAGTCTCTTAGATAGAGGACTGGAAACTACAACCAAGAATCATTTGTGAAGACTGAGATCTAATGGGCAGTTTTTGGTTGATGTATTTGCTACTTAAGCTTCAGCAGGAAGCACAACTTACTGAGAAGCACAATGATTTCAGGTAATGTTTGTGAAGTGCTTTACACCTGGAGCCCTGTATAAACCTAAGAACTATCTGAGTAAGACGAGCCTTTGCAGCACTTAGATTAGTGTCCACAGAGGACTTCTTTGACAGTTACTATGGCATTATGGCAAAAAGAAAGTCTCTAGCCAGCCACTCTCATTTCTTGCGCTTGTTAGTTCTCTGTATTTATTGTCTATGGGTTTCCCTTAGAGCAATCAGAGGCAAAGCAATTACTTTACAAGGTTGATTTGGTCTAGATCTGGGGTACCCCCAGTAGATCTTTGTACTAACATTCAACACAAAGTGGTGAGCAGTAAAGCCATGTTTTGTCTTTCCATTCTGTCTCGTGCCAGCTTGTCATATCCCAGTTCACATGACTGGAGATTTAGCATATTTGCTTTAGGTATGTTTCTGAAAATAGTACAATTGGACCCTTGGGGTGGGGGAGCAAATAAACTACAAACACTTATAACAAGTTCCACTTTATATTCACTTCACTTTCCTTGTGTTATTGAGAACACATGGCAGTTTCTCTTATTTCACTGCTTTCCCTTGGTTTTCTCATCTGTAAGAAATGGGCATAAAGTGCAGACATAACAGGGTCTTTAAGGATAATTTATTAAATAATTAAGTTAAATAATATATTGTATATAAAATTTATGGTGTAAAGACTATTTTTGAAAACTGGATATAATTCATATTTAACATACACAAACTAAATGAGAATTTGGAACTATAGTACCCCTGTTGGCAATGATTCAAGTGAAGCATTTTGAAATTCAGACAATTTTCTTTTTTTTTTTTTTTGCTTTCTTCCCTATTTTAATGACTGTTGAATTATAAAGGATACTTTAATTTTGAATATGTGCCAATGTCACATACATTTTAGACTTTTATACTTGGCTAGCAAATGCTTCCAGAGCTTTCAGCTTCAACTGGCTCTTTTAATTTTATTCTCAGATATGTATTCCAATCCATGTGTACTCCAGAGAACTTTCGTTAGATCAGAGATGTTCTATTTTTAAAATATTATTGCTGAACCTTATTGCATCTTATGAAAACAGTGTAGCTTAAAAAGGTATTATTTTCCTCTTTATAAATCCCAACTCCAAAGATAATAAGGTTGAGCTTTGCTTTTTCTATAAGAAGAAACAAATACTTTGCCTGGGGTCATTTGTCTTCTCTCTTCATACCTTCAGTTGTCCCTTTTGTAGACTAGTTACAAGTATTTAGTTCAGAAATAAAAAATTAAGTGTTTTTAATGCTGGTGAATATATCTGTCCTGCCAAAGGAAGTTGCTATTGGCTACAGAGATAATTCTTTTGGCAGAAGCTTAATTCTTATTGTTTGCCTATAATTACTGACTTGGATGCCTGTGAGAACAAGATAATTTATTTTAAAAATCCTGCAGATGGACCACAACTGCAGATATGGCATCAGCAATTTATTTCATAATATTTTAACTCAGTGTACTCTGTTCTGCAACCTCATTATTATATCTCTTCAATCCAAGACTACTCATTATTCTTTATCATACAGTTTTGTGAGAGAAAAAAAGATAAAGAAAACATAAAATAGTCTCACATTTCAGAGGAAGTTCCATATTCCAAGACTCCACTGGCATTATCAGAGACCTTCAATGAAGAAAGACTCTTTCCTGGCCTTCTGATACTTGCCAAGCTCTTAACTGTCCCATAAGTGTCTCTGAAAAAAAAAAAAAAAAAATTGTTGGCATGTGTTTTATTCTGCTTGGGCTGCCATAACAAAATACCACAGACCAGGTGGCTTAGGCAATATAAATTAGTTTTCTCATAGTTCTGGAGGCGGGGAAGTTCAAGGTGCCAGGAGGGTTGGTATCTGGTAAGAGTCTCCCCTTGGGTTGCAGATGGCTGCCTCCTCATCAAGTGCTCACATGGCCTTTCCTCAGTGCACATGGATAGAGACAGAGAGAGAGTCCAAGCTCTCTGGTATCTCTTCTTATGAGTACAGTAATCTCATCAGATCTTGGCCCCAGACTTATTACCTTACTTAACTTTAATTACTTCCTTAGAGGTCCCAGACCATCTGTAAATATAGGCATACTGGTGGTTAGGATTTCAACATATGAATTTTAGATTCCATCCATAACAGTGTGCTTGGTACCTAAATTTTAGATTTTCATATTTACTATTCATATCAACACATGAGTTTTATATCTTTAACTCTAAAGAAAAAAAGTTCTGTTTATATACTATGGTACAATATGGCAGTTTTTAAAAAGTTAAACATAAGCTTATCCTATGACCCAACAATTCCACTCCTAGGAATCAACACAACTCAAATATTCATAGCAGCATTATTCAGAATAACCCCACACCAAAAAAAAAAAAAAAAACCCTCAGATTTCTATCAATTTTGCAAGTAGATAAATAAAATGTGACATATCCATGCAAATAATAAAAAGAATAAAATACTGACACATGCTTCAACGTGGGTGAACTTCAAAAACATTATGCTAAGTAAAAGAAACCAGATGCAAAAGGTGACATATTGAATGATTGGATTTGTATGAAGTGTCCAGAGATGACAAATTTATAGAGACAGAAAGCAGAGGTTGTCCAAGACTAGGTCTGGGGGACAGTGAGTCTTTCACAGTATTGATTGCAAATAGAACTCAAAGGAATTTTTTTAGAGGATGGGAGAGGTTTGATGGAAATACTCTATAGCTGGATTGTGGAGTAGGATGCACAACTCTTTAAATTTACTTAAAATCATGAAATAGTATACATGCAATGGATGAATTTTGTGGTGTATAACTATACCTCAATAAAGCTTTAAAAATACTAACACTCACTCCTATAAAATATGTCTCCCTGCATCATTTCAGTACTATCAAAGTGAAATTCTTGCCAGTTTCCATTAAGATTCAGTCCTATTCTTCCCCCGAAATGATGATTGGTTTCTGGAACAAATTTCATTGCTGTCTATAACTCCTGCTTTAAGGGAAGATGTCTACTTTCTGTTACTTTAGAGGATGTTTTCTCATTCATCCAAACTTATATTTCTTAGTATTTCTTTACATGAAACATTTTGCTTTTCTCTTATTAAAGATACTTGACATCCAGATCATCTGTCAAATATACTAGGAAAGGAAACATTTAGGGTGTTATAACATGGTATAACCCAAACCGCCTCACCATTCTTTGCACTCAGCAAATCTTGGATTCAAGTCCTAGCTCTCCATGCTGAATGATATTATCGAAGTTACATAACTTCTCTGAGTTTATCTCCTCATCTTTGAAATGTGGATGGCATCACAAGGATTGTTGGGAATACAAACAAAAAAATATTAGTATAACTTGTTATTACAATGTCTACAGCATTGTTTGTGTAGCTTATGAGTATTAAAAGTGTTTTCTTTTTTAATCCCTGAAAAA
This sequence comes from Homo sapiens, assembly GCF_000001405.40. Taxonomy (NCBI): domain Eukaryota; kingdom Metazoa; phylum Chordata; class Mammalia; order Primates; family Hominidae; genus Homo; species Homo sapiens. The sequence continues at coordinate 175,651,117 of NC_000003.12, forward strand.
ATTTTTTTAGTATTGTGTATAATTCGTGTATTTTACTAATTCAAATTTACATTGCCTTTTGCTTAATGGGATTTCTCTGAATAATTGAAGAAAATTATTAAATCAGTAACAAATTATAGTGACATAATGAACAACAAAACTGTTATTTTGAATATAATGAGCACATCAAAATAACTTTTCAAGGGTATTATAAGAAGGCAGATCATGTCAAATTTTTGTAGTATGATCTCAGTCTTTTTACTCTATGTTATGGGCTTGAATGAACCTATAGTATTTAATGATTAAATGATACAATCTACTAACATGAGCTTTGGTGAGAAGTGACTGGCTGGTTTCACTCTAATTCATTTTGGAGAGGTTCTTATCACAGCTAATCCAGAGAAAAAGAGAGTTCAGCTTATTCCTATTATTTAAAGATAGGACAGCAGCAGTCACTTGAAATTTATAGGAACAACATAACAGAAGTAAGGATCCAGATATTGTTAAGAGTTTATATAAGTCCTTCACCACAACCCACTAGATATTTTAAGGTATGAAATTATTTTTATCCCTTCAATAATGGAGACTAACCTTGACATAACATATATATTTGAAATGTTTCCTATCCATTTCTTAGCATTTTGCCAAGGCTTTATAATTTGTGCAGGGTTTTGTTTATCACACACTTAATTTTGTATCAAATATTAAATATGAAGTGTCATGTTACTGCACAACCAATGTGTGCCAGTCATTTTCTGGCCATTTAAAAATGCCTTGTACAAAGCAAAGCAGAGAAGCAAACGAAAACGAAAGAAAAGCTTGCTCTTGAGAAGCAAAATTTCTTTCTGAATTTGCTCATGTTCAGAGCAGTGTTTGTTCATAACATAAAAGCCGTATTCTTTTTTTATTAAAGTGCGTGGTACACGAGCAGACACAGTGAAAGGAGATACTGTACATCAAATTTCTATGTGGTGCTAGCTTGTTTGTCTTTTGTAAACAATCTATTCAGCCACAAAATGAAGATAATTCTGTTAACTTCTCTTATACCTAAGAGCATTTTGAATGAGTTAACTATTTTCAGTGAGTTCCCACTCTCGTAAGCAATAAAGCATAGATCTCTAGTATCCCCTTTTCAGACATCAACATGGACTTTATTTATATGGGGAGGCAGTGAAGGTAAAAGCAGATGCCAGGATGAATGAAATGTTTAAGACATATTTATTTTGCACGAGTTTAAATTAAGGAGGGAGAATTTTAAAGATGTGTTAGCAACAACTCTCCCCTCACCCCACCAAATACAAATTCCATATGGGAGGCTAGAACTGTTAAAATGTGCCATAGTAATAATATATCATGCTTAGGACTGTTTATTTTCTTTTCTTTCTTTTTTTTTTTTTTTTTGAGATGGAGTCTCGCTCTGTCGCCCAGGCTGGAGTGCAGTGGTGCCATCTCGGCTCACTGCAAGCTCCGCCTCCCGGGTTCACGCCATTCTCCTGCCTCAGCCTCCCGAGTAGCTGGGACTACAGGCGCCCACCACCGCGCCCGGCTAATTTTTTGTATTTTTAGTAGAAACGGGGTTTCACCATGTTAGCCAGGATGGTCTCGATCTCCTGACCTCGTGATCCGCCCGCCTCGGCCTCCCAAAGTGCTGAGGACTGTTTATTTTCAAAGTGAAAATAAGAATCATCTGTAAACTATGACTTTATATTTGATTACAAAGATACAATAGGCAGTTGATCCTTGAACTATACGGGGGTTAGGGGAACTGACTACTCATGGGGTTGAAAATGCACACATAACTTTTGACTCTCCAAAAACTTAACTACTAATAGCCTGCTGTTAACTGGAAGCCTTACTGATAACATAAACAGGGGATTGACACATATTTTGTATGTTATATGTATTGTACACTGTATTCTTACAATAAAGCAAGCTAGAGAAAAGAAAATGCTATTTAGAAAATCATATAAATAAGATAAAATATATTTACTATTCATTAAATGGAAGTCACATCTGTGTCATCTCCACACTGAGTAGGCTAAGGAGGAGGAGGAAGAGAAGGGGCTGGTCTTGTATCTCAGAGGTGGCAGAGTTGGCCTATATGGAGGAGATGGAAGGGGAGGAAGGAAGGCAAAAAAAAAATCAGTGTAACTTTACAGAAATACACAGTAATTTCTGACTTTTTTGCTAATCCTTCTTCCACCATTTTCTTTAGTTTCAGGGCTCATATCGTAGAAGGGTCTATGTCATAAAAGGAATCAAAAGCAGTCTCAAATAACTAAAACCCTACTGCTAGATTTTCTAACGTTAATTTGTTTTCTGGAACTGCTTCTTCTATATCTTCTTCCTCTTCATCTGGCACTGGTTTGGAAGCGCTGATTTCCATCAAGTCTTCTGTTCATTCCTGTGGTGTGATGTCTATGAGTTTTTGCGTTTCTCCAAGACATGTATTTGTAAGCCCTTCACTCCCCCAGCCCCCACCACCTTTTCGTTTGCCATATCTACAATCTCTTTCATGATTTCCTTGATTGGCTCTGTCATAAATTCCATGAAGTTATGCACATCAGTGTTCCACAGAAATTTATTGTTTCAGGCTTGATGGCTTTCATGGCTTTTTTCTATAACAACAGTGGCATCCTCAAAGGTGTAATCTCACAAGACTTTCATGAGGTTCTCTCTTTGGGGTTTTCCTTTCCATAGAGTACTGTGTATAATGAGCCTTAAAATTTTGTAAGACTCCCTGATGTAGAGGCTGAATTAGAGATGTTGTGTTTGGGGTCAACAACTTTGGTGTTGAACTCATGGGGTTCTGGGTGACCAGACACATTGTACAATATCAAAAGAACTTTAAAAGGCAGTCCCTGATTGACAAGTTACTTCCTCACTTCAGGGACAAAGCATTGATGAAACCAATTCAGAAAAAGGGTTTTTATTGTTCATGGGCTGATTGTTGTACAATCAAAAGACTGACCCCTGGATTTTATCATTTCCTTTCAAGTCTAGGGGTTAGCGGCTTTATTGATAAGTGTAGTTCTGATCATAAACCTGACTGCATTTGCATAAAACAGTACAGTTAGCGTATCGTTTCTTTCCTTATATTCTGGTGTTGCTTCTCTTCCTTACTAATGAGTGTTTTTGTGGCATTTTCTTTTTCTAGAATGGGACACATTTGTCTGCTTTAAAAAACTGTTCAAGCAGGTAGCTTTTCTTCTCAATGATTTTCTTGATTTTCTTGATGGCATCTAGGAATTCGTCTGCTGCCTCTTGGTTGGCAGAAGCAGCTTCTCTTGTTATCCTGACATATTTTAAGCCAAACTTTTTTCTAAAACTATTAAACGGTCCTTTGCTGGCATCAAATTCTCCAGCCTTAGATCTTTAAACTTCTTTTTGCTTTAAGTTGTCATACATTGACTTTGCTTTATCTCAAATCATATTAGTCTATAGGTATGCCTTTCTTGTAGCAATCCTGCACCTATATAAAATTGCATTTTCAATACAAGATAAAAAGGTATTTCACAAAAATCGCAATTGGCATCGCTGTAAGTGCAGCTGCAGGCATAGCTGTAGCGATGGCTTCACAGATTTCTTTTCTTTTTTTTACAGTAGTCCTTATGCTGGTTTCATTTATTTGTGAATGGCAGGCAAATGAAGCCACAGGCTTCATTGTGTGATACATATCAAGAAATTCAACAACAAAATGTCATGACTTTTCTGTGTTTCTTGGGAGCACTTTCATCCTAGCATTACCAGGGAACCTGTGTATAGGCCCCTTTGTGTTATTTAAGGTTTCTGATATTGCATTACGTAGAATGAAAGTACAGAAAAGTGCAAGATATCTTTTTTTTTTTTTTGCTATGATGAATTGGAGAGATGAATTGTTTACTGGAGAGATGAATTGTTCGTGTGACTACGATGAGTGTCACACTGAGCTCACTCCAATAACAAGTGGTAACTACAAAATTATTACAATAGGATAGTATGAATTACAGTTAATTTGATGTAGTTATGATTTAATAATGTGTCTTTGCATTTGTTAACATTTATCTCAACTGTAAATGATGCCATGTACTCTTTGCATTTGTGAGTAAATTTTTATAAAATTTTACTTCTTATTCTTATAAAATTTGTGTATCTTTGATGGTGTATATTTGTGCATATTTGGTGGTAGTATATCATAAAATAGGTGAGTATCTACATATATTTCATGCATTATTGACATAAATAACTTTTTCTTAATTTTCTTGCTATTTCTAAGCTATGTAGTTCATAGGCAAGTTTTTTCAAATTATTGGAAATCTCTAAGAAAGTTTTCCAATATATTTAGCTGGAGTTTGCCAAACAATGCGTTATTATTATAATGTGTTTGTGTTTTTCTTCCTAAATAGTGAAGAACACACATGCTTTCATAGTCTTGGAATGTGTGGTATGTACTCTATGATTGCTGAAATAAAGTGCTTTTGAAAATCCTACAAAGTCACTGTTGAAAATCGCAGAAACAATCATCAGCAAGAGAGATTTCCTGTTACCCCAACGATATGTAGCAGTACTTTGGAGTTAAGTATTATGTAACAAAGGGCACTGCACTTGTACTTAAAAAAATAAATAAAATAAAATAAAATAAAATAAAATAAAATAAAAAAACTTACAGTAATTCAAAGTATCAGATCAGGTTGTCATATTGCTTTAGACTACCGTTACTTTTCCATTTTCTATTCTCACAGTATGGCAGATGCATGCTACAGATGTTAGAATTTACACTTGGTTCCCTGTGGAAGGAAAATTAATATAAAAAGAAAAAAAGTAATACGCCCTTTGTGCATCTTACATGGCTTGCTGCTAGCATTTTTATGTCAGTTGGAAGAGACTGTAGAAATTGCCCATTTAACTCCTGAATTTTCCATATAAGGTGGCTGAGTTACAGAGTTTTCAAGTGGCTTATCTAATGTCCTTTGGCTAACGTCTCAAAGCTGGTTAATACTATAGCCGAGTTGCAACTTCCAAAATGCCAAACTTAAGTCTAGTATACTATTAACCATGCATTATGCTATGCCTCTCTCAGCCTAAATATTGGATAACGAAATTTGTTTTAGTGGTAATAAACCATCTCAGGGTTTGAGAGAGACAGGTATAGTCCCACTATTCAAATACATATGAGTTGAAACTCAGAGACGTTTGTCTCAGAATTATTTATGATTAAAAAGAATCTGCATATTTGTTTAATATCTAATTCTATATAAAATTATCTTTCAGTTGAAATGAGAGAACTTTTCTTTGGTAAGTAGAACTTTCAATTTAACTAAGATCTAATTATTTATGCTTTGAACCTTCTGAGGATGAATAGTCCTGAAAACAGTCATATGCTTCTTGAGAATTCACTGTCAGGAATTTTTCTAATCTCTCAATTCAAAAGAAATATTTAGACAAATCTTCACCAACCCAAAATACATAGTCTGATATCCAATTTTTACCAACCATATAACACTACATTTAGAAAGTATTTTTTTTAAAAGATAATATCTATCTAGAGAACTACTAAGTGGAACATGCCTAACTGGAAATTCAAGCTCTTTCCTCAAAGGTGTGCAGAGGAAGAAAGCTAAAAGCTTAGTAGTCTGGTGTGTGTGTATGTGTGTGTGTGTGTGTATGTGTGTGTGTGTGCAGGGGGCGAGGGGGAGTAACCAAATTCATTAACTATCACTCTTAAATTAATCAAAATTATTCTCCTGAAAGCAAATTTTTTGCTGGATCAGGCCTGTAACCTGGCTTTGTGTCAGATAACTAGAATTAATGCCTTGAATGAATACATCTTGCCACCGTCATGGCCATTATAATTGAGCACCTATGATGTGCCATATGTTGGACGTAGAAACTTCGTGTATCACTTTTATTTAACCTTCCAAATAGCCTTGAAAAATGAGTGTAAGAAAACGTACTTACATATAAGAAAACTAAAGGATCTATATGGTTAAGTAATTTTGTTCAGGTTGCCCAAACTAGTATTTAAAGGTGACTTCAGTCAATTAGTATTAAAATGCCAGATATTTTTCCCTCCAAGAGTCAGGCTGTCTCTGATTTCATCATTCTAAGTTCACTAGAATTTCAGGATTCTAAGTACTTGTTAAGAACGTTGCTTGTATGAATACACTATTAATATAACTATTTAAGTGAATAAATAAAAATGAAGTCTTAAAAAACTAATTCAAAGGTTTAATCACTATAATTTGTGTTCTAAAATCCACTATAGGCCTCCAAATACAAGATAAGTATCAGGGACATTAAATGTAAAACAACTTTTTATTTTCGTAAAAATCATTTTTTATTGCTTATTATCATATTTACGTATTTTTTAGAATAAAGACATTAAAATAAAATGTCAGGATTTCATCTAAACAGAAGAAAATTTCTACTTGTTTGCTAATTTAATTGAGGCTTGGATAAAATGAGAAACTTACAAGCATGTTGGAAAAAAATACTCATTTTACTGTTTTTTTTTTTTTTCTTTTGAGACGGAGTCTTGCTCTGTCCCCCAGGCTGGAGTGCAGTGGCACGATCTGGGCTCACTGCAAGCTCCGCCTCCCAGGTTCACGCCGTTCTCCTGCCTCAGCCTCCCAAGTAGCTGGGACTACAGGTGCCCGCCAACACGCCCGGCTAATTTTTTTGTATTTTTAGTAGAGATGGGGTTTCACTGTGTTAGCCAGGATGGTATTCCTGACCTCGTGATCCGCCCGTCTCAGCCTCCCAAAGTGCTAGGATTACAGGCGTGAGCCACCGTGCCTGGCCTCATTTTACTGGTTTTAATTAGCACTATAGAATTTTCTTTTTTACCAGTGTTGCCAGGTTACAATCTCTGCCAATGAACTTAATCTAATATGTATGTGAGAAGGAAAAAAGAATATGTATATATATATAATATATACATATGTATGCATACACATATTTTTAAACTTATTTTTAAAGATAAAATTTGTGATTCTGTGGTAGAAAATGACTGATCATAATCATTTCATTATTCTAGATTCTGAAATTACTCTCTCTAGTTGGATTGCTAGATTGAACAAAATTAGCATTTTATCATGTCACTATAACCTCAAGGATGTTTTTCACGTATGCATTTCACACTTGCTGCAGTTGCTATGGATTATTTAATCTACATGCAATGGTTGCTATGGGTTATGGTACCCAAATGACAGGGCCGACAATATAGTCTTTTCAGATTTTCAGAGGACTTCCTCAAATGTAACTAATCACTCTACAGAAAATAATGTCTAGCTTAGTGGAATATTATCTGATAAATTTATTTACTGGTCATTAAGATTGATATATTATTTTTAGATTGAAACTCCGATACTACCTTGAAGGGCTTTTTTTTTCTGTTCAGCAGAGATTGAGGTTAGCTAGTATTGAGGACTATAAAAATCTTTGATAGTTTAATGGGTAAAATATGCAACAGGGTAGAAATTGAATATGATAGCTTTTCTGCTTCTTTCCAAAACAAGGAACAACAAACAATCAGTTCTCCTAACCCAGAAATGCTTCATATGGTTTCACAATTGATTTGGATATGTATTGTTCCTCAAATGCAGAAATATATGTATATGTATGTATGGCCACTAGAAAATGTATGAGTATATCCAAACAATCTTAATTTTGAAGGTTCATTGTAATTTGAACTGAACAAAATATTATTATTATCTAAAGTTGTACATCTGCCTTCATTTAGTTTCAAAATTATCAAAACGATGTTTCCCAGAGTATCCCACAAATAATTATTCTTAGTAGGTCTTATAATTTGTATTATTCTACTTCTCCAAAGATACTAGGTACACACACACACATGCACACACACACAGTTGTATTTGCTATATTCTGCATTTTCTGCATTTACATGCTAAGGCTAAAGAGTGAATTTTAATGCTCTGGACCACACAGTCTTGAATTCTAGGCCATCTGTTTATTAACCATGTAACTACGGGAAATTTAGTTAAACTCCCAAAATATTTGTTGCTTTGTCTGTAAATTAGTGATAATAATACCTATCAAATAGGATTTTTGTGAAAATCATATGCCTAACATATAGCAAAAACTCAATACATGTTAGTGTTATGTATTTATTGATGTTTATTACCTAAGCCTTTAATATTGTTACGGCTTTATTTGAATTTCATGTGAATACAAAGGGCAAAATGGGAACATTGATTCTCCCCTGTTACTATAGCATAATTTTTCTGAATGGGCAATCAGATTTATCACAACATTTTAAGGAAAATTCAAAATTTTGTTAGAGTTTAAAATTCTAGTCATTTCATCCCAGGATATTATTGCAGTATACTCTATAAAGTGTTCATTATTTCTTGGTAACCAGCAGCAGCACTGCAGTCTATTTTATATTTTCTTAAATTTCTATGATTTATTATTGCTTGAATTTTTAGTTATTGGAATATTGTATCACCATAGAGCAAATAGGATGAACAAAAGTAGGTCTTGATGATAAGTTCAATATTTTGCAATTTTAAAAAAGAAAACATTTGACTTTATATAGCTGAATTGACTAAATTCAGTATTGGCTTTAAAGCATTCAGTTAGTAATAAAGGCCTTAGAATCTTTAGTCTTAATCTTCAATCAGATGAATTTATCATTTTGTAAAATTTAATTTGATCTTGAGATTTCTGTATCACACCCAGCTACCTAGTCCAAAAGGAGCTAGACTTCTATACATATCATTTGGGTTCTTTGTTTTGTAATGCTTTGTTAGTCAGCATGCTTCCAAGGAAACTGAATTCGGTTTTCAGTTGGGTACTGCCTGCCTCAGTCTGTTCAGGCTGCTATAAGAAAATACCTTAGACCTGGTAATTTATAAACAGGAATTAATTGCTCACAGTTCTGAAGCTGGGAAGTCCAAGATTAAGGCATCAGCAGATTTGATTTCAAATGTGGGATAAATATTTGATCACCGTGGGCTTCAAAAATGGTGCTTTCCTGGTATGTCCTCATGTGGTGAAAAGAGCCAACAAGCCTCTAGGCCTCTTTTATAAGGGAACTAATCCTGTTCATGGGCTCCACCCTCATGACTCAATCACTTCCTAAAGTCCCCACCTCTTGATACTATTAAATCAGAGATTAGGTTTCAACATGTACATTTTGGAGGGACAGAAACATTCACACTATAGCACCACTTAAGATAAACTTGAACTATTCAGTCTTCCTGCATCAAGACAATGCACAATATTAATGTTGTAATGACTGAAAAAACTCACAATGATGCTATGTCAGACCCTTTTTTCGTTGATATGTCACAATAGTACATATTCTGGGAATACACGTGATGTTTTGATACATGTACACAATGTGTAATAATCAAATCAGGGTAATTGGGATATCCATCACCTCAAATATTTATCCTTTCTTTATGTTTGGAACATTACATTTCTTCCCTTCTAGCTATTTTGAAATATGTAATAAATTATTGTTAACTATAATTTCTCTACTGTACTATCAGATACTAGAACATATTCCTTTTAACTAACTGTATTTTTGTACCTGTTAACCAATTTCTCTTAATTTCTACCCTTTTCCCTTCCCAGCCTCTGGTAACCACCATCCTATGCTCTACCTCTGTAAGACTCACCTTTATAGCTCCCACATATGAGTGAGAACATGTGATATTTGTCTTTCTGTTCCTAGCTTATTTCATTTAACATAATGACCTCCAGATCCATCCGTGTTGCTGCAAATGACAGGATTTCATTCTTTTTATGGCTAAATAATATTTCACTGTGTATATATGCCACATTTTCTTTATTCATCTGTTGATGGACACTTGATTCTATATCTTGCCTATTGTGAATAGGGCTGCAATAAACATGACGGTGCAGATATCCTTTGATATACTGATTTTCTTTCTTTGGTCTATATACCCAGCAGAGTGACTGATGGACCGTAAGGTAGTTCTATTTTTAGTTTTTTGAAGAACCCCCATACTCTATTCCATAATGACTACTGTTTTACATCCCTATCAATGGTGTAAAGATGTTCCCCTTTCTCCACATCCTCACCAACACTCGTTATTTTTTGTCTTTTTGATAATAGCTATTCTAACTGGGGTGAAATGATATCTCATTGTGATTTTGATTTGCATTTTCCTGTTGATTGATGTTGTTGAGCTTTTATTTTCAGATTCCTGTTGATGATTTGTATTTGTTTGTTTGTTTGTTTTTTAGAAATGTCTTTTCACGTCTTTTTCCCATTTTTAAATCAGACTTTTTTTTTTTCCTATTGAGTCATTTGAGTTCCTTATATATTCTGGTTATTAATTCCTGGAAGGATGGATAGTTTGCAAATATTTTCTCCCATTCTGTAAATTGTCACTTCACTTTGTTAATTGGTTTCTTTGCTGTGCTGAAGCTTTTTAGCTTAATGTAATCCCATTTGTTTATTTTTGCTTTTGTTGCCTGTGCTTTTGAGTTCTTTCTAAAAACTTTTTCCAGACCAAGTTCCTGTAGCATTTTCTCATTTTCTTTTAATAGTTTCATATCTTACGTTTAAGTCTTTAATTCATTTTGAGTTGATATTTGTGTATATGGTGACAGAGGAGTCTGGTTTCATTCTTCTGCATGTGTTTATCTAGTTTTCCCAACACTACTTATTGAAAATATTGTCTTTTCCCCATTGTATGTTCTTGGTGCCTTTGTCAAAGATGAGTTAGGTGTAAAGTAAGAGTTTATATCTGGGTTCTCTATGCTGTTCCATTGGTCTGTGGGTCCGTTTTTATGCCAGTACCAACTTGTTTTAGTTACTTTCTTATTTAGTAGTAATCTTTGAAGTCAGGAAGCGTGATGCCTTAAACTTTGTCCTTTCTTCCCAGGGTTGCTTTGGCTATTTGGTGTCTTTTGTGGTTCCATACACATTTTATAATTGCTTTTTCTATTACTGTGAAAATCATTTTTGGTATTTTTTCATTGAAGCTGTAGATTACCTTGGGTAGGATAGACATTGTAATGATTTTAATTTTCCAATTTCCCACGAACATCAGATCTCTTTCCATTTTTTTGTGTGTTCCCTCTTCAATTTCTTTCATCAGTCTTTTACAGTTTTCCTTGCAGCGATCTTTTATTTCCTTGGTTAGATTTATTCCTAGATTTATTTTATTTATTTATAGCGATTGTAAATGGAATTACTTTCTTGATATCTTTTTCAGATTGATCACCATTAGAACATAGAAAAGCTACTGATTTTTGTATGTTGATATTTTAACCTGTAACTTTGCTAAATTTATCAGTTCTCAGAATTCTTAATGGATTCTTTTAAGTTTTTCTAAATATAAGATCATGGCACCTTCAAACAAGGATAATTTGACTTTTTCCTTTCCAATTTGGATGCTTTTTATTTCTTTTTCTTACCTAATTGCCCTGGCTAGGACTTCCAGTACTAAGTTGAGTAAAAGCGGTGAAAGTGAACATCCTTCTCATGTTCCTGATCTTAATGAAAAGGCTTTCATTTTTTTCCACATTCAATATTATATTAGCTGTGGGCTTGTCACATACAGCCTTTACCATTTGAGTTGTTTCTTCCACAATAAAACCCAATTTATTGAGGGTTTTTATTGTGAAATGATGTTGAATTTTATCAAATGCTTTATCAGCATCTATTGAAATAATCATTTGTTTTTGGTCTTTGATTTTCTTGATGTATTGTATCACATTCATTGATTTGTATATGTTGAATCATCTGGTGTCCCTGGGATGGTTCCCACTTGATCATGTGAATAAATTTTTAATGTGTTGTTGAATTCAATTTGCTAGTATTTTTTGAGGAATTCAGCATTTACTTTCTTCAGGGATATTGGCCTGTAGTTTGTTTGTTTGTTTGTTTGTTTGTTTTGGTTGTATCTTTTTCTGATTTTGGTATCAGGGTTAATGCTGACCTTGCAGACTGAATTTGGAAATATTTACTGCTCTTTAATTTTTGAGATACTTTGGGTAGAATTGGTATTGGTTCTTCTTTAAATGTTTGGTAGAATTCAGCAGTGTATACATTAGCTCCTGGGCTTGCTTTTTTATTTTATTTTATTTTATTTTATTTTAATTTTTCTGCCTAGTGGGGAGACATTTTACTACTGCTTCAGTCTTATTACACATTTTGGATCTGTTCAAGTTTTCTATTTCTTTATGGTTGAATCTTAGTAGATTTTATGTGTCCAGGAATTTACTCATTTTTCTAGGCTTTCCAATTTGTTGTCATATAATAGTCCAATTTGTTTGTAATAGTCTCTGACAAGCCTTTTTATTTCTTTGACAGCAGTTGCAATGTTTCCTTTTGCCTCTGATTTTATTTGAATATTCTCTCTCTATTTTTTAGTTGTCCTTGCTAAGAATTTGTTGATTTTATTTCATTTTTTTCAATAAAACAACCTTATGTTTTGGTAATCTTTTCTAATTTGTTTTCAGTCTGAATTTCATTTATTTCTACTTTGATCTTTATTGTTTATTTATTTCTACTAATTTTGGTTTTGTTTTGTATCATGAAAAAGAATAATGCAAGATTAAAGTAAAATATGTCTTTATAAAAATAAATTAGAGAGTTTTATGAAGAATCTAATGCATTAGAAACTTGGCATAATTAAGATGAGGTCTAACTCTTCTTTTTAAATTAAAATTGGCACAAGATTTAGAACTTTTAATTTGTATTTACTAAGATAAATTTGAAAATTTGGATTGGTGGTATTTGTAATATTAAAGAATACGTAATTCCTAGAAAACATAATAAAATATTTTAATTTTTGACCTAGATATTGGGTTTAAAGAATGAAATAGATAAAGTCATATTTGCATGATGTATTTTTGTGAGACAGTGATTAATCCTTTTGAGACAAGATTCTTCACCAGTGTTTAGGAATAAAGTCTATTTGGGAAAAACAAAATGAAGGATATGGAGGTATATATTTCACTGGGCAATAACAATGGGGATAGAAAGATCAATTATTGGAAAATTTAGAATATTTTTCCAATCTTAAGACTGTTATAATATTTTATGACAGCTTTTAATTCCTTCTCCTAAACGCTCATGCTCATAGTTATCTTTGTGCATCTACATCAGTGTGCTAGATTTAAATAGTCTAGCCTAGTAGAGGTATAGAACTACCCTTTTAGGCTGTAGGGAGAACAAGAATATTGTTAGGAGTTAGTTTGGAAAAAACAAACTTATTGGGAACCTTCTAGCTTTCTCCTGAAATGAGTTATTTCCTTGAATATAGATTTCTTTGTGTGTTGCATGTCTACTACTCTCTCTATCTATTCAAGTCAAAATTAGCTCATGGTTTTATTAAAGAGCAGAAACATGCAAGGACTATTTTATAAAAGCCAGTTGTAGTAGAGAAGCCATTCTTGACTAGTTTTTAACTTTATTAATCTTCAGTATCTATAGTGCCTAGAACAGTGTCTGACTCCTGACCACACAGATTGAACATCTGCTGAAAAGACTCTGAATAAAATTTTTATATAAAGAACTTAGCCATAGAACAATATTTGTATTTTTGATTTTTTTTGTATTAAAGCAAAATAATAAAAAGTTAATTTGAATGAATGTTGAAAATATATTGAATTTAAATTATTATAAGCCTTTTCACCTGTTCCTTCTCAGGTAAAAACTCTAAATTATTGTCATGTTCACTTTGACTTGTATTAAGTAAAATGAATTTTAGATGAAGAGGAAAAAATATAATTACTTATATTTGATTAAGTGGTTTGATTTTTTTTCCTATCAAATCCTATCAAAGGTTTTACCTTATCATATTTCCAGCTTACAGTGAAGGTCCTTTTACTAATTTCTTATGACACAGTGAATTTCTCCCTCTTCATTTTGATGGTCCCTTAACTTGTATTTTCATCACCTGGATAATGCAACTGACAAGTGTGTATATGAACACTGACACATCTCATCGATATATATTGTAGTCAAGGAGAGTAATTTGCCCAAAGATCATAGCTTGCCCAGCAATTTATCTCACACCTGCCCAGACAGACACAACAGTCTAGCTCATCCATCAAAGTTCATGATGTAAGCTCAGTGGAATTTGAAACTTACAATAAGAAAATGAGATTGGTGTAATCAACATTGTATGCAAGGTGACACAGAGCAAACAGTTACAAGGCTGTATTTTAAAACAATTATTTGTCAACATCTAAACATTCAGGTTAGCCTGAAAATGAGTATCTTTTAAAATATATTTTTTCAGGTTATGGCTTCAGACCAACCAACTTTTCGGGATTTCAAATATAAAAATTTCCAAACCAAAAAACGTGAATTAAATTAGAGAGCAATACTTTAAATGTTTTTACTTGAGAGAACCACAGACTAAGTGTTTTAAAGTCCTAAATACATAGAAAGGTGAGTTGCAAATATAAATCTCTGTATTGTTTCTGCATTACCATCCATTTTCATAGCCTCAAAAATTTTAAATGCTAGAATAAAGTCTGTCAGTATTCAAGCTTAGCACAATAAACATTAATAGCTCTCCAGTTCATTATGATAGCATCTTAACATTAAAAAAAATGTTTTAGGCTGGGCGCGATGGCTCACGCCTGTAATCCCAGCACTTTGAGGGGCCGAGGTGGGCAGATCACGAGGTCAAGAGATTGAGACCATCCTGGCCAACATGGTGAAACCCCTTCTCTGCTAAAAATACAAAAATTAGCTGGACGTGGTGGTGCATGCCTGTAGTCCCAGCTACTAGGGAGGCTGAGGCAGGAGAATCGCTTAAACCCAGGAGGCGGACGTTGCAGTGAGCCAAGATCGCGCCACTGCACTCCAGCCTGGCAACAGAGTGGGACTCTGTCCCCCCCCCAAAAAAAAGGTTTTATTATATTATCCTATTTTCAAAATTTTGTTTTCCAGAATAAGCACTGGAAGTAGACAGATAATGACATCCCTGTTTTAGAACACTGAAATTTTGAGAGATTAAGAAACTTATTCAGTCACAAAACTGGCTCATGAAAATTCCAAGAATAGAATCTAGATCTCCTGAATCCAAGACTTTTCTTCCAAAATGCAAGACTGCCTTCTGTGGTACTTCTGTGTTGCAGAATGTGTTGGTGTATGGCATTAAGTAGGGCATCAGAATTTCAGAACTGAAGTAAATCTTGGAGACTATCTAGTATAACTTCCCTGATTTTATAGAGAAGAAAATGAAGTTCAGAGAAAGGAGGTAGAACTGAGATGAGAACTCAGGTTCCTAGAGTCATCAATCAAATACCCTTTATAGAATAACAAGCTTTTCCTCAAATACTCATTCTAATATTTGCACATGTTAGAGCATGTGAATTTGTTGTCTCTGTTTTATCACTTGTAGTATAGAGACAATGTTTTCCAAAAGAACTGTTCCACTATGCAGGATATTATACATGTTTTATTTAAAAGTACTTTTTCTCAAATCGTGTGCATATCCAGGCACCAATATAACATGAAAAGCTTCTGGCTGGAAATTTAAACAAAAAATATCATTATTATGCACGATGAGCCCACCAAAAGAGTTCAAATTTGTTTTATTTGTTATCTTAGCTTTGTAGCTAGCAGAATCAGTCCCTGGAGCGTAACTATACCATCTTTGGAACGTTACATTAGGATAATATGAATATCTTAAATATTGGTTTCAGTTTATATTTGGAAGTCTTAGCACCTTAGTAGTGTAGATTACATTTTAATACAAATGAGTGGGTAGATAAAAAAACAAAAATCCTGTTTTTAAGTAGGCTTAGAAAATTAAAGTCCAACTAATAATAAGAACAAATTATATTAGCACTTAATTCAAATAATAGAACTCAAATTAATTAATCTACTTCTTCCTGGGATAGACCTCTGTAGTTTTCAGACATATATACTTAGTACAGGGTATGCTTTTGACAAATAAATATGGCATGGTGTGGTAAATATCCTAAGTTCCTGTTTTTCAAATACTCCATTTTATATTAAAAATAGTGAAACTTAAATCTGTGCTGGCAAGAAAGAAAGGAAGGAAGGAAGGAAAGAGAGAGAGAGAAAAAGAAAGAAAGAAAGAGAGAGAGAGAGAAAGAAAAAGAAAGAAAGAAAGAAAGAGAAAGAAAGAAAGAAAGAAAGAAAGAAAGAAAGAAAGAAAGAAAGAAAGAAAGAAAGAAAAAGAAAGAAAGAAAGAAAGAAAGGAAGGAAGGGATGGGGATCTGAAGGGGTTAAATTGACTAATTTCTATTGGTCAGATGTTTCAAACCTCAAAATTGACCTCAGCTCAGATATTGCAGAGGATGAAATATGAGCAAAGATCCAAATTGTCACGTTTAAAATCTTAATAGATCTCCTTATTTATTGAAAACTTTGATTGTCTTTCTGGTTTTAAGATTAGGAGGTGGAGAAGGTGGCTGAAACCCCATGATGGAGTTGTACTCTGTTGCTGTGGTATTATTCTCTTGTTTCTTTGAGTACTATTTTTATTGATGCTGGCCAAGAGAGAAGAGACCACAAAGATTCAATATCATAACTTTTGTTTAAATTGTATCAGATTTAACAACCAGAAGAACAATAAACTGGAAGTTAGAAAATGTACACCTTGCTTTTCACTTGTCCTTGAAATTCTCTGCTATCCTTAGATGCTCATAACCTCAGATATCTGTGTGTTTTTTGCTGTTTTTTTTTTTTTTTTTTCTGTAACAGGAAGATGAAGTTAGACCCAAGGATGTCTTTTTCCTTCTACCTGTGAGTCTATCATGAGAGGACACTGAGAATGTCTGTTTGAATTGTTCTGTTTAGTGGTTTTAATACTCTTAAAATCTACCCTATTCAAAGATGTTTCGTACTAAAACAGTTCCTTTATCATTTGACAAATTCACTGGGCACTCACTGCATAAGGGACCATCCAGCCTGCAATGTGGAAAGTGCGCCCATCATCACACAGCACTGATAGGCTGCAGTAATTACATTGGTTTAATATGACTTTCTCCTTCAACTGGCAAGAGTTACTGTAGCCCCTTCTTCAGAGGAATTATTTCATTAGGCAATATGTGACCTCTCGTTGGAGTTTATTATTCTAATAATTACTCAGAGAAATGGAGAAAACTGATTACCTTGGAATTTTTAGCACCTTTGTTCTTTACAATGAACTTTTGTAGCTGCTAGAGTTACTAAAACACCATAATATCCCTTAATTTTAGGGGCTGTAGCTATCAGAAGGAGAACAATTGTGGCATTTGATAAGTTTTATGTCATGGCCACAGATCTTTTTTATGAGCTATTGTTTATTATGATAACCTTAAGAATAGCATTGTAATTTAACTTTAGTACTGTGGATGACTTTTACTGCATTTTCAGATATTTTCATTTTTTCAAGCATGAAAATGAGACTGTCTAAAAACTGAAGCTACACTACACACGAATGAGTTTGGTCTTGTGTAGGTGACCACAGAATGAGTAACAGCAATTATACAGCACAAGAAAACATTAATGAGAGGAAAGAAAACTACACTTAAAGCCACTCTTGGTAGTTTATATTAAGTTTGTTTCTATGTCCAAATCTTAATGATTTATATTTCTTTCTCATGATTTCTGTCCCCTTTGCAAAATTAATTTCTCCTCAACAGCTTTGCCATCATAGCAATATCAGTATTTGTACATAAACATATTTTTTCCCTTTGACAAAACTACCAGATTGTCTCAGTTTTCCGTGCGATATAATGAATAACAAAAGACCAAGAAGGGCCTGAATATAGTTAAGAGACAGTCTTACATGTTTGTGTATTTGTTTTTCAGATGCAAATTTTGTGACTTAAAATGGACATTAATTAATAGCAGTTATTATTTATTAAGCTCTCACTATGTGCAAGGCACTGTATCATGTGTTTTCTATTCATTGTTTTTGGTGGGTGTTATCTCCATTTAACCAATGGAGAAGAGAGGCTTAAAAGTTATACTTTAGGATAGTTTAGCAAAGTTTTAAAGAACAGATTACTCTATTGTGGGTCATTGATAGGCATTAGTACCAAAGCATATCTATTGTCATATATTCCCATAATACTATTCTAATTTCCTAAAGCAATTAAACAAAAGGGAAAAGTGCAGCCCAAACAAAATAAGAGTTATTTCAGTTTTTGATTCATTAATACATATGATTTTCATGTGAGTTAAAGGTACTGATGACTTTTGAGTTTGAAGTCATGTGACAATCTATTTTAAACAAAATACTGTAATATACAAGATCCAGAGATGTGTTCCTTTCTTAGCTTCAGTGGTCATTATGACAATAAGTTGTAGGACGATGCAGAACCATTCTAGGTCATATGTTGGAATCACCTCCAGAGCTTTCATCACATTTTATAATGTCCTGATGATGTGCATCTTTATTCATTGAAGAAAAAATTTGTTTTCAAATTGTTAATCAAATGAGATTATATCCCCAAAATTCTTATACCTGGTATATAAAATATTCAGTAAATTTGAGTTTTATTATTATAGTTGTAATATTCATTGATTAAAGCCAAGTCATACATTGAATGACTAAATTGAAAAACACTATTTGCAGCACTGGGAGTAATGAGATTGATTTCCTTATTTGGCTTTGGAATGACTCTAAAGACAGTTTCAAGTGAGAAAAATCTGAAATTTCTTAAATTAAGGCAATATAAGGTAAGTGAATAGTTTCCCAAATGAAAGACAATGAAAGCAGTATTCATTTAAATAGTGTATTTCACTATTACTATTTCACTATTGATAATTTCATTATCAGAAATAGTAATAGTGAAATAGTATTTCATAAGTGACTTTATGCTATTTCACTATTACTATCCAATGATAGACACTTCATTTGAATGATTAGACATAGTCTGTTATTTAAAACACCCCTTTCAGTGCTTGATCATCTTTTCAAAATCAGTAATATAAAAATGTAGGAATAATAGCAAACACAAATGTAGAGCTTACTGAATATCAGGAACTATTCACTTTACATCAATTTATTTACTATTCACGATAACTTTATGAAGTGAGATCTATTATTATTATCTCATTTTAAAGATGATGAAAGAATGCATAAACCTGAAAGGTAACTTGCCCAAGGCAATAGACCAGAAAGTAGCAAAACTAGGATTTGAATCCAGGCAATCTGGCTCCAGTGTCTATGTGCATAGCTAACCCTGGGACAATCAGCAATAATCACTTCAAAGTATTAACAAGAGCTACATTGACTAACCATATAAAGATTTGTAAAATAAAGTTTAAGAATAATTAAACTTAAGTTGACTTTCACTTTACTTTTTGTATTTTAATCAAAATTATAACATTTAATTATATTAAATTTACATTAAATGTAAATTTAATATATTTATATTAAATTTATATTAAATGTAAATTTAATATATTTATATTAAATTTATATTAAATGTAAATTTAATATATTTATATTAAATTTATATTAAATGTAAATTTAATTATATTATTTTACATTATATTAAAATTTAATATATTTATATTAAATGTAAAATTAATTTTATTAAATATATATTAAATGTAAAATTAAATTTATACATTTTCCTGCACCAACAGGAATTTTCAATCCTCCAAGATATTTAAGTTTTGTTTAAATGAAATAATAAGGAACATCTGGTTATTCTTGACTCATGGCATTTCAATATTACCACACAAAATTATCCAACGTTTTGGCAAGTTCTGTTTTTTAATGAGCTTTATTATTTTAAAGTACATCATTCATGAAGAATGTTATAAGTAAAATGTTATTTGTCTCATTTTCAAAAAATTCAACTCAAACGAAAAATATTTAGGTCTACTGGAGAAGTTTAATTCAATTAGAGAACAATTTAGGATATTCCTAGTACATACGTAAATTACCTTATTTTGATCTTCTGAGCAACAAGTGACCTCAAGTTGTAAAAAAAAATAATAATAATAAGCAAAAAAGCGAGAATAAAAATTTTAGACCCTAAACAACAGGGACACGTTTTAAATGTGTCTCTCAAAGGATACATTATTTTACTTTTGCTTTAAATAAACAAATCATGACTTAAGTCATGACTTAAGACTTGTGAATTTGAACATTTTTCCAAAGGAAGTGAAAAAAATAACTTGAACTTTTTTACTTACTTTATGTATTCTATAAGTTTCTGCAAAATGTTAACTCCATTTTTTTGAAATTAAAATAACCTCTAAACTATTTTGTTGGATATATCTGAAATTTGGATGCATGAGTAACTTTTTACATTATGAAAAGAAAAAAGTTCATGGTTGCTGCAGCAATGGCATGTATTTTATAAACAACCCAGTGCCTTTCTCTTTAAATTGCTAGCAACTGTTATCTTCCCTCTTAATGATAGTTTCAGATATCTTGGGATTTGTCATTAAAGTATTGCTACCAGGTGACATCTATTGTTATATGTTGAGAAAATGAAGAGAATTTTACTTACATATTTGTTTCTTGTTTGCCCCAAAGAGTTAATCACTAAAAATCATAGGTGAGCCTATTCTCTGATGATTTGTGTCTCAATTTTCCAAATTGTTCCAGAGAAGACTCTAAAAGATTGACAGCTTGCTAGAGTAAGTGGCTAAATTCCTTGGAATTACTTAGGAAAAAAAGAGAACCTCTTGTTAAGTCATATTAAGTACACTAAATTACTATTTTAAAAATATTTAAAGAGAAAACTGTCACCAAAATTTTAACTACTTTAAATTCTCATCCATAATGGAAATAATGTTACTATTTTTAAAAAAAATTTTTCTTACATTTTCCAGAATGAATCATTGAAACTATCAATGATTGTATAATGAGTTTAAATTATTCTAATTCATTACTATGTTCCAAAAGTGTTATAATGCAAAAATTTGTTCTAATACAATTATGTTGTATTAATTTCTAAGGCAATATCGAACAGTGCTACGCTTCTAATCCATGACTTCTTTTTATTAAAGTGTTACCAAAAAAGATCATTTTTCCCACCTTTGGAACACTGTTATTTCAGGACTTAAACATAACTTTAATTACTTAAGCCTGGTGGAGCAGGAGTTGCTGAGGGAGGGAAATGTTGCTGAATTAGAACTTGAACTGGAGTCAAGAGTTAATCATTTTTAGAAATTGTGTTGGCTTTTTAATGGTGCTTGGTTGAAACTGCCAGAAGCACATTTCCATCTTAACCCCATCCGGGAACATTGGTTTATGACTAAATCATAAGTGCCAGATAATGAGCAGTGAGCATAAATACCGATTCTGCCTTTACTTTGCTATTTTTATGCTGAGATATCTTTCTAATAAAGGGAAGTTGATCCTCTTATCCTGTGGATGCTATGGAGAAAACTCAGCTGTTAGTGCCGTTACGTGAAAATACCACTGATCAAGACTGCTTATACTTGGCAGCTGGGCAAAGGGAATAGGATGTTTGTTTTGTTTGGTTTGTTTTTGTTATTTTAGCTTTAGAAAAAGACAGGGAAAGTAAATTGCATAACTCATTACAAAATCTAAACTTCAAAAAACTGAGCTAGCAATAGAAGAAGCAGCCAGTTAGGGGTCATAAATCGGAAGTTTGAACTGAAACTAAAAGAGTAGGACTTATAAATTCAATCAAAACGGCAAGGGACATAACACTGATTTGTAAATCTGTCACTTTTTATCCTTAAGGTGCAAGAAAGATTTTAAATCAAAAATATTTTCTGTTTAGACTGTATTGGCATTATTAGTGACTCTCGGATTTTGTAAATCTGATAATCTTGTAAATATAGCAAAATGTTTGAAAATGTATAACAATTTTGTGTAATTTATAAGGCTATTCTGAGGAATGTAAGCTTTTTTGTTTATAGATTGCTTTCTTCAAATTATCAGGTTCAAACTCAAGATTTATCATCTTAGATGTCCTCAGTTATATGTTATATTACCCAAGCCATAGTTATTTTATGAGGAATATTAATGAGTTTTATTAGAATAGATGTAATCTTTCATATTGAGCCTAGATCTGCTCTTGCAAGGTTATTTCCCTCTTAATATTTATTTCCCTTTTTATTGTCTGCTCTATCTCCAGCTGACTCACTTCTGTCATCTTTATCTTACCTATACAGAATATCTTTTTAACAGGCAGAGTAATTTATATCCTCTCTTGTGAGAATAAAACTTTTGTACAAGTCTAAACAGTTTTACAGCATCTTCACATTGCAAAAACATCTGATTTTCAATTGGACATTGCTTTGCCTGCCAAATTAAGGGAGAGTCAGAGCATCATCTTCAAACTAAATGGAGATCAATAGCTATATAATATTATTCATGTAAAAACAATCTTTCTGCCCTTTTATCAGTTATAAGAATTTATTTTTAAGTTAGTTTTGTCAAGGCTTTATGTTGATAGATCTATGTATCAGCACAACCATAGAGTCTTTGGAGTAGAACTGGACCTTAAATTTCAACTGGCTTTAAATATTAAAAACTTTTTTTTTGTATTTTTTGTGTGTAAATTTGACAAAAATCACTAAAATGATTTTAACTTAATGTGCTTTTTTTCAATTATAAGGTATTCAGAAGATTCAGAATTCTAAAGTTACTGACAAGAAAACTGTGAACAATTTCCTCATGTTTATGTTCCCTGATAACACAATTCCTCTCCTTATGGAAACCAATGTTCCCAATACCTTCTGATAGATTCTCACTATAAAAATTTCAATCAACCCAAAGGAATATAAAGACTAAAAATTTTAAAAGTTAAACAAATCCCAACTTCCCAACTATTATTAATATTTGTGAATAAGATTTTAATAATCTCTCCATGCATATAGGCAGGTGGAAAATAGAGATAGATAAATATATAGACATTTTAATAAAATAGTATTTACATATTATATTAAGAAGAGTTATATTTATTTTTGCTTCATTGTAAGATACATTGGTTTTCAAAGATCCCTATAATGTTATGAAAATTTAGAAATCCTGAAAAAATGGAGATCCTAGATTCATTATGCTCTTTTTGCTGTGTTCCAATTTGATAGCATTCATTAACTCCCTGCTTCGTAAGGTGTTAAAAATAGCATACTCACTACATCCTCCTCTGAATCCCAAACCCTAATTTCTAGTATTTATTTTTTGTTATTTGTATTATCAAAGATTAAAATTCTTGCATTTTGTTTTGTAAAAGTGATTTCCAACTGATAGTGTTTTTTTTTTTTGTTTGTTTTGTTTTTTTTGAGTTGGAGTCTATCTCTGTCGCCCAGGCTGGAGTGCAGTGGCGCGATCTCGGCTCACTGCAAGCTCCGCCTCCCGGGTTCGCGCCATTCTCCTGCCTCAGCCTTCCGAGTAGCTGGGACTACGGATGCACACCACCACCCCTGGCTAATGTTTTTTTTTGCATTTTTAGTAGAGAAGGGGTTTCACCATGTTAGCCAGGACGGTCTTGATCTCCTGACCTTGTGATCAGCCTGCCTCGGCCTCCCAAATTGCTGGGATTACAGGCCTGAGCCACCGTGCCCGGCGACAGTTTGTTTTTAAAATTGAGATGGATTCTCTACTTACCACCAGTTTTACTACCACATTTTCATTTTTGAGTGTTTCATTTTAATTAACTTCTTATTGGGTTGGATCATTTTTTGAATCACTTTTGTTTTTATGTTTAAAAATGAGGATCATTTAAGTTTTACATGATGTCATATTTGTAAAATAAAGTAAAAAAAAGACTTAATTTGGTCTTTTGATGATTTTTCATTGGAAGTCTAGGCATTCCATTGAGTTAGTTATACTTAAAAACACTGTATAGGTACTTTTGTGAAAACGCTACTGTATTTTCGAGTACGAAAAAACCCAAAGATTAAAAATTACTTTTGTAATTTTGAGAAATATCAAACTTAATAGCAAAGAAGCAAAGTATAATACTGCTACATGCCATTATTTTTGCTTTTATCAAACTTTCTAAGTAACTACTTTGTGTGATAAACCCAAATGTAAAGGGCAATTATAAAAAACAGATACCTACATATACTGTAATACTAAGGTTTATTGAGAATATTTTATCGGCAGAAGATACCAATTGCACCTGTGGCCACAGTTAGCAGGATAGTATATGGCTGTTGGTTCACACCATGTGCATATTTGAAACCTTAATTCCTTATTATTGAATGTTATCATTACCATTCCGGTAAGTCCTAAAACTGGTCTCTATATCAATAGATATGAAATGGCTTTTAAAGTACCCATTATGTAATTTGCTACATCATATGACCATTCTGAGTTTTTGCCCCCAAATCTCTCTTAAGGAGACTTACAGTAACCTCTTTGAGTGTGAATAGTGGTACAAATGGTCATTCTTCATGCCTCCTCTACTTCTGGAATGACTGAACCTCTGTCCTTGACCAACTGGAACAACTTGAGATTCATTGCTAGATTGGCTTCATAAAACAGAGATAAGATCATTCCCTTGCTTCATGTTATTAGAAGTAAAGAAAGTGTATGCTGTGGCTATATTTTAGAACTGTGAGTAATTCTTCCAATTAGATGAATATAACCCATTGAGGAGTGAGTTAGTAATAATTCATGACAAATTTTGCATTTTCATCTCTAGCCCTCTGAAAGCTGTATCTGTAGCAATCGGAATAGGAACTTTCCCATGTTTGAATTAATTTTGAACTCAGGCATATTCCTGTTGACTCTTGTCAGCATGAATACTCATGACAGGTCACCTGTCTCTTCTTATTTTGCTGATAAGCTCATGATATCTTCTTTTGGTTTCAATAAAAAATGGTTTTATTTTCCTTTTTTCATTAGACAATTAAGTTTTTCAGCCTTTCTTGTCATTATATGCATACACAATCTCAAGAATGTTGTTTTTTCATTAGTTGTAGTGCACTATTGTTTATATGGTATATTGAACATAGTTTTTCAGGAAATCTTCAGCAAGCTTAGATATTTTAGCTAAGTTACACTTTAGAGTGTGCCCATCAATGTCTTACATGATACATAATCTTAGGCAGGTAAAAACCCATATCAAGTATTCCATATGCTTCATCAGGGGCAAAGTAATGTGTTCTTCTTAGATTGATCTTCTCACACACTAAATCAAGTCTCCAAGGTGTTGCAATACATATTTCCATCTCTCCCTCCAAATAACATTTGTGGTCTCTTGCAAGCACTACTATAGATGCAAGTAGATGACAAGCAATATGCTTTATAGTATTCAGCAGCTGCTTGCTTTACCTATTGACAAGTTCCTGAGTTGGCACCAGCACCAAGCAGATAGAACCATCCTCCCTCTTAGGAAGGCTGATAATTGACGTGGATGATGGCAGATAGTAAGTAGGATGTTCTCCCAGATTCAGTCTGACTTACTCCAGTCATATCCCATCCACTTGGAGCAACTAGCTACTCTTGAGCTTGAATGGCAATGGGTTCAGGAAAGTTCTGTTTTGCAAATTACATCCATGATACGTACAGAGTTGTTTTCTTCATGCAGAATCAGAGCTGGCTTCAGACAGTTATGTCCTCTCACTGTAACTTTCTTGCTTCTGTGTACTTCTACCTCTCGTACTGTGTCTATCCAAATCAGTGTGCTCTTGATTAAAAAAAAAAAAAACTTCTCAAATTTGATATTTCATCAAGATTCCACTTCTTTTTGATTAGTTTCTCCCCAGAGTTTCCAAACTTGTTTCCAGAGAGAAACCCTTCCTGACTTCCTTTTAATCAAGGTACATCAAAACCTATATCCTGGCCAAAATCCGTTATTCAGGTAAGCAAACATGACACTAATGGTGTGGGTGTTATGGAAAAGCTGAAGAGAATCAAATGTGATGAGTCCTTGGAAGTGCTTCAGTAACAGTGAAGCCTTGAGAGGGTGGTGATGGCTGAAGAACAGCAAGGACAAGAGCCACAACTACCTGTTTAGAAACCAGGAGATATAAATAAGGTTTATTTTTATTCTTTAAAAAAGAGTTTATATTTACCTTTGTCTTTAAACCCTTGCATACTTGAAGGGGCCTGTCTGTTGCCTTAAAAGATAAAGGACTGGCTGGGCATGGTGGTTCACGCCTATAATCCTAGCACTTTGGGAGGCTGAGGTGGGCAGATCACGAGGTCAGGAGATCAAGACCATCCTGGCCAACGTGGTGAAACTCCGTTTCTACTAAAAATACAAAAATTAGCTGAGCGTGGTGGTGTGCGCCTGTAGTCCCAGCTACTCCAGAAGCTGAAGCAGAAGAATTGCTTGAACCCAGGAGGTGGAGGTTGCAGTGAGCCAAGATCGTGCCCTTGCACTCCAGCCTGGCAACAGAGTGAGACTCTGTCAAAAAAAAAAATAAATAAAAATAACATAAAGAACTGCTTGCCTATTTTTTTATCATTATTATTATTAAATTAAAATTTTAACCTGTATTTTTTTGGTGGCTGATAAATAGTATAATGGGGTGTGTGTGTGTGTGTGTGTGTGTGTGTGTGTGTGTGTGTCTCGTTTATAGTGGGGTCACATAGATAGAAATATAGATCTTAGAGAACCAAAAATAGCTCATTGGTAATTTATCCTTCATTACCCCATCTTTTCAACCCCCTCCAGGGACTCCTTCATCTAATTCTCTAGGAACTGTAGCTCATTAAACCTGTGAACTTGTTTTACAAAAAAATCAATAGAGTATTTTGTAAACTCACAAATATTTGAGTTGCCTTGTGTATATATTTTTAATAGCAACAAGGCTGTTCTTCATAGGCAAAGTGAAGTGAAGGAGCGAGTTTATGAATTTAATGATTATAGATGGCCAATCTGAATAGTTCAAGCAAACATTATCTCTTACACAGTAGAAAAATTTTCTGCTTGAATTACTCTGACAATTGCCTCAGGTCTCCACTTTACCTGAGTAGGCAGTCTTCAGCTGTCTCTATATAATCATAGTTAAATTAGACTTGACTGAAAGACTTAGCCCTCTCAGGAATTTTATGGGAAATTTGGAAGATTCAAAGGGTTAGGCAGAGCCTTGTAGCTGGGCCACTAAAGAACAAAGTGACAGCATTTTTGTAGTTTCAATTAAGGTGTATGTTCTCATGTCAGAGGTTAAGTTTTCTTTTTTGTTCTGTCTCTTAAAAATGTATATTTTATCATTGAAAATACAAACAGGAATATCTTTTAGCAGGGAACACAATATTCTGCCTATTCAATATTCAGATATTTTGATATCTGACAACATAAAAATGAGTTCAAGTAAAAAATAGTGGTTCATTGCCCTCTCCTGTCCCCTGAACCCAGTAACATGGTACTGTGTACTTATGACCTTGGATATCATTTGACAATGAGAAACACAACAGGGACTGTAAGAGGAATCCTTCAGAGTCAGCAATAAGAATGTTGTGCTACATGCACACGTATGTTTATTGTGGCACTATTCACAATAGCAAAGACTTGGAACCAACCCAGATGTCCATCAGTGATAGACTGGATTAAGAAAATGTGGCACAGATACACCATGGAATACTATGCAGCCATAAAAAATGATGAGTTCATGTCCTTTTTAGGGACATGGATGAAGCTGGAAACCATCATTCTGAGCAAACTATCGCAAGGACAGAAAACTAAACACCGCATGTTCTCAATCATAGGTGGGAATTGAACAATGAGAACACTTGGACACAGGGTGGGGAACATCACACACCAGGGCCTGTCGTGGGGTGGGGGGAGAGGTGAGGGATAGCATTAGGAGATATATCTAATGTAAATGATGAGTTAATGGGTGCAGCACACCAACATGGCACATGTATACATATGTAACAAACCTGCATGTTGTGCACATGTTTCACTTGCATCCATGTGAAGAGACCACCAAACAGGCTTTGTGTGAGCAACAAGGCTGTTCATTTCACCTGGGTGCAGGCGGGCTGAGTCCAAAAAGAGAGTCAGCAAAGGGAGACAGGGATGGGGCCCTTTTATAGGATTTGGGTAGGTAAAGGAAAATTCAGTCAAAGGGGGTTGTTCTCTAGCTGGTAGGGGTGGGGGTCACAAGGTGCTCAGTGGGGGAGCTTTTGAGCCAGGATGAGCCAGGAGAAGGAATTTCACAAGATAATGTCATCAGTTAAGGCAGGAATAGGCCATTTTCACTTCTTTTGTGATTCTTCAGTTACTTCAGGCCATCTGGATGTATACCTGCAGGTCACGGGATATGATGGCTTAGCTTGGGCTCAGAGGCCTGACAACATGTACCCTAGAACTTAAAGTATAGTTAAAAAAAAAAAAAAAAAAGAATGTTATGCTAAATGTCTGTTACTATGGGTTTTAGTTATTGTTTTTGGAGAAATGCATTTGATGAAACTCAACTGCCTTTAGAAAAAGTAGTGATATTTGATATATAGGCTAATGGCTGATAAATGAATGATTCTAAAGTAAGAAAGAAAATTACAGCAATAAAATGTGATTTTTATCATCTAAACTCTATTTTTGCTCTTCTGTATAGTCTTCTTGAGAATGAACTTGAATCATTGTAGTATGGAATTACTTGTGAATTGGAGCAGAATATAGTTGTGTGTGTGCCATTGCATATCTGCTTATTTTAACTTAGGGTTTAATTCTATAGTTCTTTTTAGCAATCTTAATTAGAATACCATAGTCCTGAGTCAAACCAGTCAATACGAAATCTGTTTTACCCGTGATAAACAAATGACTAGCTGGTATTAATATCAGCAGCTGCTGTGCCTGAGAAGTGAAAGAAGGCTATATTTGCTAGTGATTTTCTTACCATGAAAATTGCTTATGTCATGCATTTCAGAGACTCAATCTGAGCAAAAATTTCTCAGTGAAGAGTATAACAAATAAGCAGAAATAGAATTTAGAACTTGAGCTCAGACAACTCAAGATGGTACAGTATAGAATCAACTTGATAGGAAAAAGAAGGTGAGAAAAAAAGGATGCCGTCACATATTTTCATCTGCCTGAAAAAGGGGAAAAAAAAGTTGAGGAAAAAAGATTCTCCTTACCTTAGGATGAAATTTTCACTAATGGTACCAAACCTTTGAGAGCTTTGAATAACTCAGAGTGCCCTGAGGTTGACAGCGATTCCTTAAAATGTTACAGGTTCAGAGGTATTTTAACCGTAATATCCCATTTCTGGAAAGCCTTGCTCTTTTGATTGTTTAGTATCTTTAAGATACCTTTCATTGTTACACATAAAAATATTCCATGGTGATTTTGACTGCATAGGAAATGTCTAATGTTTCAGTGAATAGATTTTGTTTCCTATTTGGGAGCTCTCAAAAATAATGTGTATGTGCTTTCCATTGATTTATTTACTTGTTCTAGCACTATGCTAGGCACTGAAGTATCAAAAATGTTATTTCCTTGAAGAATCAAGGTCTAATATCAGTGATAGATGGGTATATACACATTGAAAGTCAAACAAGTAAATGATAATAGAGATTTAGACCATGTTAAAGGAGAACAAATTGTTTATTAGCTGGCTTCATTTTTTAAAATAATATTTTTCAGCCTTAACCTAGCTTCAGGCAGTGTTATATGCTGTACATCCTTGATCCCATTTAGTCCTTATAAGACTCTTATGAGACAGATATCACTGATATACTCATAGTACAGATAAGCAAACTGAAGTTAAAAAGGGCTGCATTTCTGAGCCAAGGCCAAGCATGCATCCAGTGACTGTCCAAACCTGAATTTACCTACAGACCTGTTGCATTCTTAGTAACTAGCTTAAATTTCTTCCATATGCAAGAATCATATTATGTGACATACAAGTATCAGTGAATGTTCAGTTAAAAACATCCTTTAAGGCCGGGCACAGTAGCTCACGCCTGTAATCCAAGCACTTTGGGAGGCTGAGGCGGGCGGATCAAGAGGTGCGGAGATCGGCACAATCCTGGCCAACATGGTGAAACCCCGTCTCTACTAACATACAAAAAATTAGCTGGGTGTGGTGGTGCACACCTGTAGTCCCATCTACTCAGAAGGGTGAAGCAGGGGAATCACTTAAACCCGGGAGGTGGAGGTTGCCGTGAGCCGAGATCGTGCCACTGCACTTCAGCCTGGCGACAGAGCGAGGCTCTGTCTCAAAACAAAACAAAACAAACAAAAAACAGCCTTTATAATTCTTATCTAAATTTATTTTTCATTCTCTATTTGTATCATCTACTTTTTTACATTTTAGTAATATTCTATCACACAATAGAATCAAGAAGTGGTTATTGACAAGATTTTAAAAATAAATACCAAATATTTACAAAATAAGTACAGTATAATGCATACTCGATATTTAAAGTCA
The DNA here is from genome assembly GCF_000001405.40 of Homo sapiens. NCBI lineage: Eukaryota > Metazoa > Chordata > Mammalia > Primates > Hominidae > Homo > Homo sapiens. The sequence goes on from NC_000003.12 coordinate 175,681,322, forward strand.
AGTTCTTGCATTCTGAATGTTTATATGCTCAATGGCTCAGAAATCTCTTTTATTACATTCTTCATGGTATCTCTAATTTAAACTAAATAACTAGTTTAGTTCAAACCACTGTTGTACTTTCTAAATTTAAGCGTGACTGTTTTAAAACCACATAAGCTAACAAGTGATCTATAGTAATTCTTGTCCAAAACTTGTATGCATTTTTACTATAAAGCCTTAAAAATCATACGCATGTATTAATATCCTTTCTTAGATGAATCTAAAAGAAGTGTTGCAAAAACATTTGATATTTTTGTTCAAAATGGCTGTTTTGATTCTTTGAAGAACACTCTTTATTCCAAACACAAAACAAGGGTTAAACTATGAAAACAGACAACTGAAGAGTAATACCAATACAGGCAATGGCAATGAAGAGTTTATTTCTTGTACAGTGTAAATAAATGTCTGAAAAATGCAGCTGTCTTAATGGAGATCAAAATCTGACTCAATGCTTGAAGACAGGGGCTGATGTAGAGCTTTGCTGAATGTGAAATTAGGTTAAAAAGTCAAGCCCAATTTTTCTTTTAAAAAATCAGTATCAATTTCTACCTGTAACTATAGTCTAAATAATAAACTGTAAACCTAAAGAAGTTAGTAACTAAACCAAATTATTTGTTGGTTATAGGTTAAATGTTTTCAAGATTACTGTTTCTAATAACTTCATGGTACAAGAGTGCCAAAATCCCATTATAACTTCAGTTCAGAGTTGTGTGTCACCAATCATAATACTACTGGATGATTCTAAAGAGGAGACACTACAAAGAGAGAGAAAAATAAAACAAAATCTTTGCACACAAATGAATTTCAACCTGCAAACCCAAATTCCAAATAAGAAGTCATCTAATTATAAGAAAGATAGCCAAAATACATTTAGAATATAAATTCTATGTAGAAAAAATTGTTATAAAATTTTATAACATATGTGTTTATTCTAAATTTAAGAAATAAGAATAGATTAAAAGTAGATAGAAAAAATACTTTAAAACTTGGGAATAAAAATCTAGTTATTGAAATTTGAAAAATGGAATAATATTGCATTTGAAAAGATACAGCTGCAGAAAGAATTAATGAATTGGAGGTTAGCACTGAGGAATAATCCACAATACAGTGCTGAGAGATGAAGAAATAATAAATATGAAAGAGCAGCTACTGAAGATTGTAAAACAGATTGAGGAACTCTAATATTTACACAAAACAAATATCAGAAAAAGAGAGAATTGAGACAATGGCAGAAATGTAGTGTTTGAAAATGTGACACAAAAAGAATTTAAAGGTGACATTTTTGAAATCAATGCATAGCCCCTTAAACAACTTATTTTATAGTCAGTATTTGTTATTTTTGGTTTAATTCTTTTTTTCAATTTTATAGACATGTTTACACTTGTCCTTGAACTATAGGCATATGAATTAGAAATGCATTTATTCATATTTCTCTAATTTTCAATTGCTTGCTATAATACTTATCATTAAAACTTCAGGAAACATTCTTATTCTTTTATAAAAAAGTTACAGTTTGTTTAGCCTATCTGACATAACTGTATAAAATGAAAATGTCATACCCTTGGGGAAACATATAACAAAATTAAAAGGAGAGATCTCAAAGTAAATCAGTATAAAAGTCAACAAGCTGAACATAACACTCTTGTGTTTGCTGGAATGCAGCTGAATGCAATGTTGATATATGAAACAGAAAATTGTGAGAGGTGATACAAGAAACAGAAAATTGTGAGAGGTCTTTAGAAAACAAAATGGAAAGCCTGAAGTATAACCAATGACAATGTCTACATAGCCAAATATTTTCAAAACAAAAATAATAATTTAATAATTTATCAGAAATTCATATGGAATACTTGTTTACCAAAGTAAAAATTTATTTTAAAATTAATTCTTCCCATTTTGTGTTAGATTGTGGTTCAATTGTATTTTTCCAGAAAATTTACTAATTTTGGTCAAATTTAGCACATAGGTAAAGATGTTCTTTAACTTAAAGATTCAGTTTAAAAATTAAGGTTGTGAGGTGTAGGACATAGTCATGTTCTTGGTTCTTTCAAATTAAAACTTGCTTTATCAAAACTAATTTCTATTCAGATTCTTAAGGTTTTGATATAAGGTTTTATTCTTAAGATTTTAATACATTATATATGTATTTAAGGTAAATGGTAATAGGTATTAAGGTATAATTAGCAAATGGGTGGGTCTTTGGTTACTGATATATACAAGTTTCTATTTAAAATCTTATTAGTAAATATGTGAAGAATAGAAAGCATTCAGCTCCTTGCCTTGTCCATAGAAAACACACAATATATATTATTTGAATAAATGAGTTAAATTTTGTTATTTGTAAGTGGGGCTTTCTTTTAGTTTCTGATTCTTTGTTATTTCATTATGCTGAAACATTGTATTGAAGTTAAAAATATATAAGGTGGTAGTCTTTTCCTTCACAGATTTTCCAAAATTTAATGGAATATAATGTAAAGTATAATTACATTACATTTAACGGAAATAATGTAAAGTATAGCCTACAAGTGAGACAAAGTGTTGAAAAATAAGGAAGAAAAAAGAGTGTAAGATAAGAAAGTAGTATGCAGTCTGGGTAATATCATAGGACTAAGATGTAAGTTTATTACTGTTTGTTGTAACATTACACACTTGGAAATTAAGATGCATCATCTTATAGTAGAAGCAATTTTATGATGAGCTTTTAAACTGTTCTTTAAAGTACTTTTGTAAAGGAGATGCATTATATTGACAGTGTTAAAGAGCCAGCAGACTTTTAGAACATGGCAATCACTTTAAAAAAAAAAAAGAATTTACAATAACAACAGCAGCAACAACAAAAATATGCCATGCTGTCTGAGAAGGAAAAGCATTATTTCATTTTGTATAGATTTTTAAAAAATATCCAAATGGAGCAATGTCAGTATCAAGTTACATCAGATTAATTATCAAAGCCTATAGTTAAGCTATTTTTAACTTAAATAATACCCTTCACAATACAAGTCTAATACTCATAATCACATTTCTATCATTTATATTTGTAAAGTGATCATATTAAATCTTATCTCCAAAAGTAGATTATATAAAGTTATTTTCTAAATCCCAAACAGCTATATAAGAATACTCTGAATAAAAATATTTAAAAATTATGTTTAGGCCCAACACAGTGGCTAACACCTGTAATTCCAGCATTTTGGGAGGCTGAACTGGAGGATCACTTGATGCCAGGAGTTTGAGACCAGCCTGGACAACATAGTGAGACCCCATCTCTACTAAACAAACAAACAAACAAATAAATAGTTGGGTCTGGTGATATGTGCCTGTAGTCCCAGCTACTCGGGAGGCTGAGGGAAGAGAATCACTTGAGCCCGGGAGTTTAAGGCTGCAGTGAGCTATGACCGCACCACTGCACTCCAGCCTGGGTGGCAGACATAGGAATTGTCTCAAAAAAAAATTATGTTTAAAGATCCATATTAAATTGATATGTACAAATCTTTGAGTAAAATATGAGTTAGAAAATATGATTTTATTTATTTCCTGTACTACACTATAGATTTTTGAAAGAGCTTGTAGTTAAAATCTAATTTTTTAATCAAATGCACAGTGGAATAAGTAATGTGGTCAGTCAGAGATTATTTGTTGGAAAGTTTTATAGGAGAGGTTTGCATAATTTTAAAATTTAGTGCAGAATTCTCCTGGCATGGTTAACTCTTGATACCTCACTCCCATATCAAGAGTTCAAGGAGATACATTTGTTCAGCAATTATGTATTAGCTCTTTGGATCCCTCCCATAGCTCTGAAGGCTCAGGATCCTGATAGGCAAATAGTACCCTCCTTAAGTTCATCAACCCTTTAGGCTTTGCCCACCTCCATCTATGCAGGTCTTAGCCATGCCCATCAGCTTTCCTCTGACTCCTAGCATCAAGTCCAATTGTAATCTGCCAGAATCTCCAATTTTGTGCTAGTCTGTGTATTTTAGACACATAAATAGTAAAATAAATGAGAAATGGTTCTTAACTTTGGTTTGCTTACATTTTATAAAGGAGACACATGGTGTCTTAGTGTTCTCAGAGAAATAGAACCAACAGGAGGTGTGTGTGTGTGTGTGTGTGTGTGTGTGTGTGTGTGTGTAATCAGTTAAATACATAGAGACAGAGGAAGTGATGGAGAGAAAAAGAGAGAGAGATTTATTACAAGGAATTGGCTCACATGACTGTGGAGCCAAGCAAGTCCCAAGATCTGCAGGGTGAGTCAGCAAGCTGAAGACCCAGGAGAGCCAATAGTTTATTTTCAATCTGAGTCCAAAGGAGAGGTGATGGTGTAGTTTCCATCTGAAGGGCAGCAGACTGGAGACCCTGGAAAAGCTGATGTTTCTGTTCAAGTCCAAAGGCAGGAAAAAAGTCACTGTCCCAGGACAATGACATTGGTTACGAAAGAATTCTTACTTGAGGAAGAGTCAGTCTTCTTGTTCTATTCAGGCTTTCAACTGATTGTATGAGGCCCACCTACATTAGGAAAGGCAATCTGCTTTATTTAGAACACGTTTTAAAATTAACGTCAAAGCACCCAGAATGATGTTTGACCAAATACCTGGGAACTCTGTGACCCAGTCAATTTGACACAGCAAACTAACCATCACAATGTATAAACAAATAATTGTCCTAACCTCAATTTCTGTATTTGTTGGATTTAGCTGCTTTACCTCCATAAGATTCTGCCCTATTGTTCTTAAATGTCTAATGGTTCCTCATCCATGAATCCTATTAAAAACTGATTTAAAAATATTTCAGCTGTTGTTATTCTGTAATAAAATAAGTAGTTGTGGAGATTAGATGATGTCTAACTACTACAAAAGTAACAATGAACAAAATCAATAATTAAGGTTATGTACATTCTTTAATTGTGAAGTATATTAGCAAGTTAGTTTGAAGAATAACTTTTATGCATTAATTCCACATTTATAGATACAGACCGTCTTTTAAAATATAAGAGAAGCTGTAATCAAATTTATTTGCAGACTTCAGAAGTGTCTTTTTCAATTGGACATTAAATTTTCAAACATTTAAAAGCAAGCAATTAAATCTAACAATAAGCAAGTACAGAGATTTTTAATTAATGTATGTTTTAATGAAATTTTCCTTCTGTGAATATTAGTGGATATTTACATATTTACATACATATTAATACTCTTTTAGGTAAAGAATTAAAAGTTCAACTTTTAATTCAATTAAATAATGCAATTACATTATTAGCTTTAGATTATTTTCTTCATGAAGATTTATATAACAAATAATGCAATTACATTATTAGCTTTAGATTATTTTCTTCGTGAAGATTTATATAACAAATGGTTTCAAACAGCTTCCTTGGTAATGTTTGCTCCATGAAAGTATTAAATATCATTTTTTCCGTGACTATTTGCAAAATATATTGCTTAAACATATCCTAATTTGAAGGAAGCCCAAGGTCAGGGAGAGGTCATGAAAAAACAGTGGTGAAAATTGCTACAATTCAATTGCATAGTGTTTGCTATGAACAAGTTATCTTCTATGTTTTCTATACCTACCATCTTATTTAATATCACTCTGTGGCATTTACACTATCATTCCCATTTTCAGATGAGAAAACAAATATCAGATGTCAAGTAGCTTGTTTGAGGTACAAAGTTATGAGGGGGCAGAGCCAGAATTTCTATCTCCTTCTAGATAAATGATTTGCTCTAAGCCAGAGAAAAACTCCCTTTAATAAAGCTATTATAAATTCCTAAATGGTGTCTTAAATGGCAAATTTGACTTTAAACTCAATAACAAATTATCTGATATAAATTTTTATAAATAAATCAGGTAATAAAGTGGGTTTTGCAAATTAAGTATTTAGAAATGAGATGTGATTATAATTAATGAAAATAACTCTCATATATAGATTATGAAGACATTTTCAAAGTAGTTTGTTCCAAAAGTATTTTGAACAATACCAGTATTTTCAATGTAAGTATTATGCCGTTGTGGCCCAGAGTAATCAATGTACTATTGCTAATATCCACTAAACATGTTATTGTTTATGCATAGCTTTATGAGTAGAAGAAATTTGGATGAGTACCTCTAGCAGTTTACATAACAGCCGCATTTAATCTTCCTAACAATCTTTTGATATGGAGGAGTTAGTGGTGATGACTGGTCCTGAGTTATGTGACTAGCAAACAGAAGACTCAGAACACTGGGCCCAGAGTCTGTACTCTTTCCATGCACTATGCTGCCTTGGTATTTGTTATAGAACTGATAAAGTTTCAGTGTTTGTCCCCTCCAAATCTCATGTTGAAATGTTATTCCTAATGTTGGAGATAGAGGTGGTGGGAGGTGTTTAGATTGTGGGAGTGGATCACTCACGGCTTGGTGCCGTCCTTGTGATAGTGAGTTCATTCTTTCTCTGAGTTCTCAGGAAATCTAGTTGTTTAAAAAGTGTAGCACCTCCCCCACCTTTCTCTTGTTTCTGCTTGCCATGTGATGCACCTGTTCCCCCTTCGCCTTCCGCCATGATTGTGAGCTTCCTGAGGCCTCACCAGAAGCAGATGCTGGGATCACACTTCTTGTACACCCTGCAGAATTGTGAGCCAATTAAACCTCTTTTCTTTGTAAATTACCCAGTTTTCAGGTTTTATAGAAACATAAAAACAACCTAACACAATAACTCTGAAGAGTAACCAATAGTCTCAAAGTTTGAATTAATATTCTGTTTGTTACTGAATGCTAAAGTTAAGATACTAAAGTTAAGGTCCTGTATGTAAGCTCTGAGAAGCAGAATGAAATGACATTATTACAATGACTCCGCAGGTTAGGTAGGATGAGAAATTAATGAACGACCTCTTGCTGGTGCTCGTGACCCAAATAATATTTTAATTCAGATTTATTTTCTTGGTATTTATTATGTTTTCTATGAGAAATTAGACAAAATTTTACACAGCTAACTGTCTTTTGTCTTGAAAAAGAACAAGATTATTGAATAATATTGTGGAATCTTATGACCACATATTATCAGGAGCTCAGGTGAGCTGGGAGAGACAGAATTGGGCTGGCAGGTGTCAGAGTAGCCAATTAAAGCCACAAGCCAAAAGGAAAGATTTAGCCTGTAATCATTTACTTTGATGAAGTGCAAAAGAGTACAAAAGGGAAGAAAATGTCAATTCCTTGCTGTTCTTTTTTTCCCTCATGGAAGGGTGCACAGTCCAGGGACAGGTAGATAAGCAGAGACACAGGGATCATCTCTCTGTTGAGGGAGCCCCCAAACAAAAGGCTCAGGCAGTTTATGGACGGTGAGATGGAGAGGAGGGTGGATGGAGGGGAAGGGCTAGGAGTGGAAAAGTACAGGGCACTGAGCCAGACTGGGGAAAAGTGTCTTCAAGGTTTCTCCTTTGTTCTTCACTCCTATAAGGTACCTGAAGAGAAGCTCTGCCCAAGGCCTCAAAGAGGCCTAGAAAGGGAGGCACCTGGGCTGACAAGGCTAATGTGTAAAGAGCAAGACCAGCCAGGTGGGCCTGAGTCCTGGATTGCAGTTTCCTTCAGAATCTGCAATGCTCTGTCTGTGCACCAAATCTGATGCAAGGTGTGCAGTTTTCTCCCTGAGGCCTGCTCAGTAAAGCTTTTGTGATTGTTTATGATCAGGCCTAAAACATCACACGTAGTTTTTTTGTGTTTTGTGTTTGTTTTTTTAGATGAAGTTAATTTTATGGAAATATCTGACAAAGGTTTTAATATAAGTATATGTCAGGTAATTAAAGAAAAGTGAAAAATGGCTTTTATTAGAAGACAAAAGAATAAATTAGCACAAGTGAATATAAAAAATTAATGCAAGTGTTAGATGTAAAGGAGATCATTGTAGAAAACTTAAAATCCCCAAGATAGAAAATATCTTCTCAGGAATCATTTTAAAATGATGAGATCATTTGAAAGATAGAACTGAGAAACATATAAAATGTGTCATAGGAAGAGAGAGATTTTTAAAATATGAAAGTAGAGTTAAGATATATGCTAGATAAGCTAGGAAGCTTCAACTATATATAATTGGAATTTTAGAATAATAGAAAAAAGGGAAGACAAAAATTGGCAAATAATTCCTATAATTGATGAAAGATAATAGATTGAGTTTTAACCAGGAGCTTGAATTCTCACTTACGACTTCAAATATAAAGTTGGTCAAAACCATACCTATCACATGGTTATCTGGTAAATGTAGTAGTATTCCTCCTCAGCCACGATAAACATTCCCAGTAAATCCTACTGCATCTTACGTAATGTAATTTACAGGATAAGTTGACTTAAATGTTTCCTTTCTTCTTGGTAAGGAGAGTTGCACTGGTCTCCGATGTTTAGAGAATTGTCATTCTAACATTCTTATTTTTTACTCTGGACTTCTTCAAAATGTCCACCAGCTTTAGGCTAAAAGAACTTGCAAATTTGAGATGCTCTTTTACCCAGGGGGCATTATTAGCTACGTTCCAAGAGTATTCTTGGATAAGAATAAGTATCACTCTTCTTTAATGCCCTTTTCTCTTTTCAACACTAAATTCCAACTTTGGAATTATTACCAACTGCATTTAATTACATTATTAAGCAAATATACTGAAATGCCCTTCAGAAAACCACGGAGCTTTCATAATACTTCCTGCACTGAAAATTATGCTTAGGAAGACAATTAGTATGTACACAAAACATATAGAGAGTATAGATATATTGACTATATAAATATATAGAGAAAGTTTGATTCTGCAATCTTTCATGCCACCTGGGAGAGTTTTTATTCCAGATTTCCTTCTATGACTTGTGGGCCGTTCATATTGGGCCAAATTAAAAATGTAGGTGTGACTATAAGAGGTGAAACACATACAGAGCAGGACTAGTGTGCCTTTAGAGAGATAAAAAGGCACTGGAGAAATAATATTCAGGGCCTTTGTACTGTATTCTCACATCTGTTAAGAGAGGAGAGAAATGAAACACATCGTAAGAGGGTCAGAAGATATGTAGTACAGCCACATGATGATACTATCATAAGGCAAACATGAGAAAAATCTGTTGGCTCTGATAAAGATGTTAATTTAAGATCACTCCAAATTTTATTGTTTCTGCTTTTGTGTTTTGTTTCATCTCAGTCATTCAGATTACTTTGTTTCCTGGATTATGATAGGGTCTAAGAGACAGGATTCAATATTCCTGAGTCATAAAATCAGAAGGGTCATGAACAATTAGATAGAGAGTTAAATTCCAGCCATAGGGTAGGAGCATTGAGGGCAGTGTCTTAATACCCACATTCTCTGAATCTTCAGAAAATGAGTGTTTAGGAACCTTTAGAATTTAGAGGGAGGAGATTAACCAAATTTTCTGGCAATTGAAGGATGATACATGATAATTAATTACATTAATAATTTAAGGTGTATGAAAGTGTCATAGCATTGTATTAAACAAGCTGTCTTTATTGTTTTAGTGTAAAAATAGTGATAATACTTTTTATGGATTTGTTCATTACACAGTCCTCAAACTCTATTTTCTCCATAAAATCTTAAATACCTCTACTGTCAGTTCTTCTATGTTGGTAATTTTTCAAGATCCTAACCCTCATATTTTGAAAAGGTCTATTATTGATCCACAAGTTGCCTATGAAATATACCTTTATTACTTGTAGTTGAATCACTTTGTAATAATAAAGTTTTAAACCTGGAAAACCCAATATCAACTGAAAAAATATTATAAACAGTAAGAATTTCCGTAATAATTTTAGATACTAAATTAGTAGTTTCATAAGTAACAAAAGTCTATATAGAGACAGAAACTTTATATATATGTGTATATGTATATATAAATGTATGTGTATATATATTTATCTCTGTGTGTATATATACACACAGATAATATATATATATATACACACAGATGGATAAAACAATTACTATAAAAGGACATTTCTTATTAATTTTATCTGTAGGTATGTTTTCTTTGCTTTTGTAGTCATAGCTTTTATTATAATTTCGGATTCACTGTTTTATTTGTGTGTGTGTGTATGTATACACACAAAAAATTTCTGTCTTTAGAGAGTTTTGTGCCTTATGAAACTATTAATTTGGTACCTAAAGATATTACTGAAATTCTTACTGTTTGTAATATTTTATCAATTGACTTTGGGTTTTCCAGGTTTAAAATTTTATCATCTATTTTTCTCTTCCTTGTCAATTTTTACATCACTAATTTAAATCTCTTTCCTAATTGTGTAAACTAATGGCTGTAGGAAATATATATTAAAAAATGCTGATACTCACCGTTTGACCTATTTCAGATTTTGGTGTGAATGGCTTTAGTATATCCACATTAAAAATGGAACTGCTTGTTAATATATTAAGATTTTTCTAATAACATTCATGAAGTACAGTGGTTTGCATTTTTATAACTTAACCTTTTAAGGTTTAAGAGCAATATTAAACTTGTGTCATAAAATAATTTAAAAGTTTTTCTTATTTGTGCTCTGAAACAGTTTATCAATATTTGAATTTTCTGCTTTTTAAAGGGTAAAGCTTCTGCATTTTACGGTAAACCTTTCACCTTCAGGAATTACATTTTGCTGCTCCTTTCTCGAATATGATGCTGCTAAAGTCTTTCATCACTCTTCCTGGCTCTCTTCTCATTTTCTTTTGTGTAACTTTTGCCTGATCTCAAGTTGTATACCTCTTATATGAATCTGAAATTTTATTAATTTCCAGAATTCTTCTGAAAATGATGTTTGTAGGTTGTTTGTTTTTCCTTCTGGTTACATTTCTATGATTTCTGGGACTTACCTATGTTCATAGGGGATTTCTCTTGTTTTCACTTTTTTTTTGCCAATTTTCTTAAAACTATAAATCATGCTTAATTAATTCATAATTATTCATAGTTAGTTCATAATTGCATCTTGAGAATGATATAGAGCTTGGATCTGGAAGTGGTAATTTACTAGAATAAATACTGACTACCTGTGTGCACGAAGGAGATTTTGATAAACAATGGGATTCTGTAGTGGACATTGTGGTCATGTCTCCAGTATTCATTCTAGCCCTCACCCATTGTGTGGCAATTCTGGAGTTTCCACAGATTGATCTTACACTTATTTTTAGCCACAGATCTAGTTGGCTGAAACTAGTCAGGACATGGCATTATCCTAGCCATAGTGATTTTCTTTTTCTCCGGAAGAAAAGTAGATATCCTAGGTGGAAACAGTCATATTTTTATTTCTGTTTGGAAATCAGTGGTGGAAAATAAGACTTTGTGGAATTGTACTGTGAAGTTTTCATCCACTTCATGGCCACAAAGAGAAGTCAAGCTTAGGGTGCAGCTGAGAACTTGAAGATAAAGTGTAAAAGTGAAAATAAGTTCTCCGTGCTCTCATTGAACTGTGGAAACAAAACTATGATGTTCCCTTCATTTCTGATTTTTTTTCCATCAGTCTTAGCTAACAACTCATGTTGAAGTCAGTTTATTTTTGGAGAGGGGTATAAATTCAAGGAGCTGTCCACAAGACCCATAATTACTCTGATATCAATTATAAGTCTAGGAGTCCCAAGACCAACCTCATATTCCATAATTTGCTACAACTCACAGAACTCATTAAAAGCTGTAAAGCTCAGAGTTTCAGTTTATTACAGTGAAAGGATACAGATTAAAATCAGCCAAGGGAATAGATGATGAAACAGAGTCCAGGAAATTTGGAAGCATGGTCTTCTAGATTTTCTCACCCATTGCAATAATGTACAGTGCTATTTTTCCCCAACAGTGATGTGTGAGACCGCACTTGGAGTGTTGACAGGGAAATTCATCCAAGCTTTAGTGTCCAGAGATTTTATGGGGGCCCCATCACACAGACACAGTTTACTGCCATTGTGGTTGAACTCCATCTCCAGTCCCTCCAGAGGTTCATCTATTACAGTGGCCTAAATTCCCCTACACTAAATTGTGTTATTAATTTATTTGATATGGCTAAATTCCACCCCAAATCACATTGATACACAAGCTGGAGTAACCCAATGCACTCAGGCAAACAAAGACAGTCCTTTCAGATGTGACATTACAAGGGCTTAGATATTACTGACCAGGACCCAAGGACAAAGGGCAGACATCTCTTTAGGTAAAGTTAAATTCTTTTTACTACATGCTGGGCAGTGCTGTGGTTCTAGTTCTTTAAACTAAGAAGCTAGGGAAGAGACTGACAAGATGTTTTTGTCAGACTTGACTCTTATCATAGGTAGCTCCATTTAGAATAAAAACATTGAGTTCTGAAATTAAAAAAAAATTCTCAGAAAAGTGACAGATTTAGTTTTGTTTGTTGGGTTGGTTGGTTTGTTCGTTTTGACAGAGTCTTGCTCTTTCGCCAGGCTGGGGTTCAGTGGTGCAATCTCAGCTCACTGCAACCTCCCCGACCCGGGTTCAAGCGATTCTCCTGCCTCAGCCTCCCAAGTAGCTTGGACTACAGACACGCACCACCATGCCCAGCTAATTTTTGTATTTTTAGTACGTCGTTTCACCGTGTTGGCCAGGATGGTCTTGATCTCTTGACCTAGTGATTCATCTGCCTTGGCCTCCCAAAGTGCTAGGATTACAGTCATGAGCCACCGTGCCTGGCCAGTCTGATTTTTTTAAATTACCAAAATAATTTATAGATGTATGTTTCTCACAGATTTTTAAAATGTCTACAAATGCCTATGTATTTCTTCATAGTATAGTAATGTTTTGGTACTGCATTAATTTGTTTTTATGGCATCAGCTATTGTCTCTACAACGTCAGAATATGGTTAGAATATTGGTTGGTACAATATAGACATTATATAGTTGATATTATTAAAGCTTACTAAAATAGGTGAAATTACCAAAAACTTACACAGCAGACATAACAAACATAACTGAATACAAAGGTTTAAGTTAATCCTCTTGCAGAGTTTACCTAATATTTATTTTAAAAATAGCATTTCCTTTTTAAATAGGGAAATTATTTTATTTCTAACAATGAAAGCATGTCTAAGAAATCAAAAAATAAATCACACTGAGTATATAAACAACATGTTCTAGAGAGTAGTAGTGAATCCTTGATGTGAAGATACTGACACAAGAGTGGTAAAAGAATACAGTTACAGACTTTGGTTGCTCATTCTTGTTATTTTCTTGGAAAAATTAATTTTGGGGGCATTCATATGCAATGAATATCCAGGAATTCCAATGCTATATACTTTGACTAAGTGTGTCTACTTTGAATTCTATAATGGGTTCCTGGAGATAAGGAAGGAACCAGCATTGCTAAGGGAAAATAACATATAAGGCACCTCTATGAGATGTCCGTAGAAAAACAAAAAGTAAAATTCTGACTTTAGGGATGCTCATTTGCTATTATCTCTGACTCCTTTGTCCTTTATCAGTATTTAATAAAAGTAATCCTCTTCAGTCTCCCTGTTCAACTATCAGATTTTTAAGAATATGGAAACAGAAATTCAGGTAAATGAGTTATTTAATCCAATGATAGACCTTTCCCAGCAGTGTACCAGTGAAGGTTTTGGGGTCTTTCAACAATGTAATTCATAAACACAAAATTAGATTCAGTATTCAATTGTTAATGAGCAGTCTCGACTTCACTGCTGTTAGACTTTCTGTGCCTTGCATGTTTGTGTTGCCTAATTTGAGGTGCTTGAGGAGAGATCCATATAGGTGCTTGAAAAAAAAAAAACAATCCCTGAGATAATTGGGCATTTTTTAAATAAAATGCATCCTTGCAATTTTATGTAGAGTAATCTTTTTTAATTATACATAAACCATGGTTTCCAACAAGATTCTTTCAGGCATAGAATAGGGACTTTTCTGTTTTTCTACTCCTTCCATCAGAATATTCTCAAACTGTAGATGCCACATCACAATTAAGTTGCTAAAGTTTATTTTTCCAATGTCTGTTGTAGTAATGTTCATAGTGAAGTTTAAAAGGACACTTGTTGGAAAAATGTACTGCATTCTTTGCCTAGTGAAATATTCTACTCCTTCCATCAGAATATTCTCAAACTGTAGATGCCACATCACAATTCTGTTGCTAAAGTTTATTTTTCCAACGTCTGTTGTAGTAATGTTCATAGTGAGGTTTAAAAGAACACTTGCTGGAAAAATGTACTGCATTCTTTGCCTAGTGAAATATGCTGAGCTTTTGTAGGCACACTTATCACTCTCTTTATCTGTATAGGTCCATTTAGTACTATTTGTTCTTTTAGTATCAAGGCTACTATAATGAGCAGCAACCATCCTTTTCAGATAACAGTACTAAAAAATAGTAGAAATAAATTAAAAAAATATTTCCTTAAAATGGCATAATGCTTCCAAACATAGATTTCAAAGTACAGGAGATATTTTGGAGAATATCCTCTGAGGAATAAACAACTATATGTTTCAAATTTGTAACCATTAAACTTAATAATATATAGTACTCAAAACTCTAGATGGTGATACGGTTTATCAGTAATAATTAGCCTGGGCGTGCTTATTAGATTAAAATGGCAATACAATGTCTACTTAAAAAATTTTAGAAAAGGATGAAGCTGATAGCTCGCCATCTCACTGGGTATGCAAAATAGAAAACAAATGGCATTGTGCTGCTTTTGTTATTCCTTGATCTTGATCTTTGTAAACCTGTCTCTGAAAGAAAACTGTGGTGAAATATTTTCTAGATTGGCCATTAATTTTTATAGCAAGAGTGACAAATATTCAGATTAATTTCAACACCTTCAGAAAATTAATTTGACTTGTGTTCACAAAAAAAATTTCTTATTCAAAAACGTTTATGTAATATACATTAGTGCTCATCTAGCACATACAGAGTATTCTGCTTGATGCTATGAAAGATAAAAATGAGCCAGACATAGGCCTTCCCTTGAGCTAGTTAGTAACCATGAAGAAAGATGAAGCATACATGGCAAACTATAATATAGTGAGAAATAAAGTAGTGTTATGAAAGAAATGTAAACAAATGAAACTTCAGGAGAGAAAGATTTCTTTTCCTTCCAGCTTGGGGGATCATTTGGAAGTCCTTTTAGCCAGGGCTTGAGAGAAAAGATGTAGGGAACAACTGAGATGATTGACACTCCACATAGAGGAAATATTAAGTGATCAAAAGTCCAGAGATGCAAACACTTTTTTTTCATGGCCCTTTATTGTAGGATATACAGATGCAAACACATAGGATGTGTTTGTGAGATGTGAAAGATTATTTCCCTCCACTCTAAGGGACATCAAGGAGAAAAATTGGAGATAAGTGAAAAGATTCTTGGTTCAAGACACTCATTTAAGATGACGACTTACTGTCTTAATTTTCTGCTGCTATGATAGAATACCACAGACCAGGTAATTTATAAAGAAAAGAAGTTTATTTGGCTCACAGTTCTGGCAGCTGGGAAGTCCAAGAACATGGCACCAATGTCTGGAAAGGCTCATCCATGGCAGAAGGCATCACATGGTGAGCAATCACAAAAGGCAGAGAGAAAGTAGGGGCAACATTCATTCTCTTATTAGGAGCCAACTCCTTACTAACCCACTTCTGCAATAATGGCATTAATTCATTCATGAGGGTGGCACACTCATGACCTAATGACTACTCAAAAGCCCTACCTAAGAATACTGTTACAATGGCAATTAAATTTCAGCATGAGTTTGGAGGAGGCATTCAAATCTTAGCACCCACTATGGAATTTTAACCTGTCTAGGAGCATTTTGGATATGTCAATCAATCTGAAGCCAACATCAAGCAAGAAAGCCTCAGAATTTAGATTTTATGGTGAAATTTAAACTGGTCTCTAGAGGTAGCGTATAACTTTGCCTGCCATCTTGAGCTCCTGCAGCTGGAATATAGGAGCAGTAGAATACTAATAGATGTGATTCTTCTCATGCCTTAGGGGAGAATACAGAGAATCCTGTTTTCACACAATGTGTCTTTTATGTGTAGGCCTTACTACCCCTTTTCTGTTGAACAACTACTTATAATGTGCTAGTGCTAAAGCTGCACACAGACACACACACACACACACACACACACACACACAAAACCCTACTTATGAGGGTGTATTGTTACTTTTGATTTTAGGTGTAGTAGTTGAGTTAGAGTTATGGGATAACTCTGACAAAACCCTACTTATGAGGGTGTATTGTTACTTTTGATTTTAGATGTAGAAGTTGAGTTAGAGTTATGGGATAACTCTGAAAATGAAAGTAAGATGTGATGCCAAAGTTAACCTGTCCACTATTTAATCTCATAATCTCATACATTATGATTGTCCCAAAGTTAAGTGTTCAACTGACTTATTATTAAATTTATTATTATTTATTAAAAAAGCAAATTTATATATTTACATACACACACATGTAAATGTATGTATACATATATACATATATATGTGTGTGTATATATGTATATATATTTATGTATGTATACATATATATGTGTATTTATGTATACATATATATGTGTATATATGTATGTATACATATATATGTGTATATATGTATGTATACATATATATGTGTATATATGTATGTATACATATATATGTGTATATATGTATGTATACATATATATGTGTATATATGTATGTATACATATATATGTGTATATATGTATGTATACATATATATGTGTATATATGTATGTATACATATATATGTGTATATATGTATGTATACATATATATGTGTATATATGTATGTATACATATATATGTGTATATATGTATGTATACATATATATGTGTATATATGTATGTATACATATATATGTGTATATATGTATGTATACATATATATGTGTATATATGTATGTATACATATATATGTGTATATATGTATGTATACATATATATGTGTATATATGTATGTATACATATATATGTGTATATATGTATGTATACATATATATGTGTATATATGTATGTGTATTTATGTATGTGTATATATGTATGTGTATTTATGTATGTGTATATATGTATGTGTATTTATGTATGTATACATATGTATGTGTATTTATGTATGTATACATATGTATGTGTATATATTTATGTATGTATACATATATGTGTATATATGTGTGTATATATATTTATATATATATATATATATAAAATCTCCAAGCAAATTCCTATGTACATAGAGTGCAGGAAGATTGATTTTGATTTTGATGACTGGTGCCTGGAAAGAGTAAGACTGTTATATCATTAAAGAGTTCAATACAGCCCACCTTTTTGATATTATACATTAAGAATAGACAAATTTAATAAATAAGTAGAATTTAGAAGAATTCGTGTCATGTGCCACAAGTTACAGTTATTTAAGTTAAAGACATTATAACCATTTAGCCACATTAATACAATTACCTCCAGCTTTATAATCTTTGTAAGCATAGAGAATTCAGTGAAATAATATTTGATCTCAAAGACCATAAAGCACTCAGATCCCATTTATTTGAACATTATTTCAAATACATACTATCCTACAGCATGATAGAAATCCAAATGCTAAGAAGAGTGCTAAGCACACATAAAACTATCTAGCACTAATTCAGTAATATACAACAACACAGTAAGCTCAAACTTTGAATAGTTAGACTCTAAAGTGTCTGGTTCTGTAAACCAATACTGTCCTACAGATGCACTCCAAAGTTTGGCCCAAAGTACTTTTCCTTTACATATTTAATTTTTAAAAATAATATATTTCTAACTATGTGATTAAAAGTAGGTTATATAAAGGAAGGAATTCTGTGGCAGTGTCCAAGCTTCAGCTGAGCAAATTTTTGCTGGCAATACCTTATTTGAATCCATTAGTTTATAAGCTCAGGAAAAATAGAAGATCCACAAAAATAATGTTGAGAACCATAAATCTTAATACAAAGCACTACATATATATAATTATTATAATTAATTGAGTCTTTTGTTTGTTTTCCTATTATCCATATAGATGACAGGCAACAAGAGATTAAGAATAAAGAACTATGCTGTTTTCTTGAGTAGTCCTCTGTCTTAAGTTTGCTAACATACATGAAACATGCACTAGATCTTAACTTGATGTTTCTCAAGGAGGAATATAGGACATTAACTCTGCATTCAAGAAAATGTCTGGAGCCTCCCATTGATATTCCAGGAGGTGCTTCTACCACACTAGCCCTCTACCCCTCAGTTACTTGAGAGGTGAGAAATTCACTTCTCCGATTATTTTCTCAACTTAGGTCTATCACAGATAAGATATATTGAACAAGTATTAATTAAACACCCACTGTTTACCTTTTATGAAACTAGAAAAATTAAGTACAGAATTAGAACACACATACAAATCAGTATATTTATTGAGTGCCACTGAGTGACAATTAGAAAGATATTTTTATATGCTATAGTGCTTATCATAGGATTCTTTCTCAGCATAGTCATTATTGTAATAGGTCCTCTTAAATAATTGATAAATGCCAAATCCTTTAATACTAAGTTTCAAGACATTTTAAACAATATTATACTTGTAATGTCAGAGGACAGGAGATTCAAAGATGTGGCAGAAAGTCCAAGGGCATTTTCTGTAGTCCAGTTAGAATACCAGAGATGGTAAACTTTTATGACTTCCAAGCTGTATTTTTAGGGTTTTGCTTTTAAAGGTAAAACTTGTCATATTAATTTTCTGCATCCAGAAGTATTTACTTCCCTTATATTTGCAATCAACTGTGTACTACAGTGCTCTTTTGAGAGCAGACGTTAAAGTATCTGTAAAGGCCTTGTTTGATTGTAAATATTATACATTGGATTGTGTTTATGCAAACTTATCTTAGCTGTGTGTAAAAGTAAGACTGGCTTTTGAACAATGCTAAGTGCTATGTTTTCCCCCAGCTTCAGTTGAGGCCGTTGATTGGAATAAATTGAGGATCAATATTGTCATGAGGCTGATAGGATATGAGTTTTTCAAAAGCTTAGGAAACTTTTTTGTCCATGAATAAGATATAAGATGATAAAACCTTATATATTCAGAGAAAAAAGGCTACTGCAGCAAATTTAATTAAAAGACAGAGGTGTTCTGTTAGGAAGAGAGTTACCAAAGCTGTTCTGACAAAGGTAACTGCCTTTTCTGAAATGGAAGAATCTGATGATACGTATTGAAGATCTTGTTGCTCTTTGCAATGAATATGTGATTTGCAATATATATGACATTTTTTTAAAGCAAGAGCTTTTACTACCTGAAGTTGCTTACAGGAGGCTGTATGAAAATGTGAAAAGAAAGTATGGGATCATTGGTTTTTAGAGCAACTTAAAAAGTCTCTCAAATCTCCTGACTTCTTAATTGAGGAAATTAATTGCAAATGATGTAAAGTCTGTTTTTCATCATCCTTTCTAAACTTACCCTGGTTTGTATTTTTATATTAAGTTAAATTATAACTGATCAATATTCTTTTATTTTTCACATGTAATGTATACTTATCATGGAAAAAAATCCCATCAGTCTAAAGTAGTAATATTTCACTTGGCAAGGGAAAGGCAAAAGGGAGCATTAGAGAGGAACCATCAAGAAAATTTTAGGATGCTCTAGGCTGGGGAATATTGGTAATGAAATGGTACTATGGAGATAAATGAAATGGTACTGTGGAGATAAATGAAGACCACCCAAATGACAACAACCTAGGTCTACTTATTCAGAGCTTGCTAGAGCAAGGGAGACACTCCCCATCACTTGCATTTGGCAGAAAATCAAAGGCAGGCAGAAACGTGCATTAGGTTTACAGTGCAGAAGGAGAAGATTTCAGGTCTGCGCTCATTGGAGGCTGTAGGGTTGGGGAAGCTGGAGGTGGGCTAACAAGAAGTGAGGCACCCTATGTAGGTTAGGGGAGCATATTTGGCTTTTCCTGGTTGGTCTTGTGTAGAAAGTGGGGGTGAAAATTAAAGAAGCTATCAGTTATTGATCAAGTCTGGCTGTTTTCAGTTGATTGCTTAAAGTTTTGGTTTGGCTTTTTTAACTGATCATTGCAGATTGTAAATTAGATTTCTACTTTTATATGGGATCTGGCCATCGTCAATTTGTATATTCAGTGTCTCACGATAGACCCAGGTCTCTGGTATGCCTATGTGTGCGTGTATTAATATTTGGATTTCAAACACGTATTTACCAAAAAATGGCATGCCTTCCGTTAATTATCGCACTTGTGGGCACAGGAGTGAAAACTGCACGCCAGTAGGCTAGTTGGCTATGATTTTACCATGTTAAACGTATCAAGCAGAATGAAACAGCAGCAGAAGCTGACACCAGTGCAGCTCTATAATAAACCACAATATTCATATCATGACTGTGCTTGTTTGTAAAAAAGAAACAAAAATGACTTCCAAAGGCCAATTTTTATAGTAAGTAATATCTCCATTTGTGTTTCATATTTCAAAGAATGTATTCAACAGGATGGCATTATTGTAATTGAATTAACTTCTCTATTTAGGTAATATTAACACTGCATTCCATTTTTCTGTCTTTTTGTTGCGAATTGCATATTTATCAATTGTATTATGTGCCTCTGTTTTTAGAAACTGGATGAAAACCACACTGACACTAATTTATCCAAATTTTAATTTCCTGAATAATGAACTTTAGCTCCCATAAGAGCTAATATTTTCAGCAAAATTTATCAGACTATTCAACTCCAATATTTATTTACTTTCCTCTGTTTTTTTTCTTCAGAAAATTTATGAATATGTCAAATATGCTAGTTCTAACATTTAACAAGATAACACATGGCGTTATAAAATGGCACTCAAAAAGAAACACAAAGTTAATCTGTAATTCTGTTCTAGTAGTTTATAGAGGTCTGGAGCCAAAGATTTGTTGTTCTCTCTCTGCACGTCACAATGCACTAAGAAAGCTTTTATTCAAAACTGAAAATCTGTCTGCATATTTATAAAAGGAATTTTCACTGGTGAATCTGTAATATAAAGTTAATGTTATTAACAGGTTCTTCTTCAAAAGTAAGTTCTCCTAAAAATGATAATTTTATTTTCCTTACCAAGTCATTTAATCAAAACATCTTAAAAGAGAATTTACTGTGGGAGACTTACTAGGCTTTAGGGAAGACAGAAAAAAAAACTAAAAAAGAATCACTGCCTACAAAGTTACCAAATAACAAAGTATGCTTAAATAAAAAGAAAAATAGCACTATATTGAAAATGTCCAATAAAGTCAACCTTTGCTTCTCAGTTATAGTCCATTGTAAGACACAAAGCATAATTTGTTTTTCATCCCATGCCAGATCCTGATGTAAGTTATCAAAATGTCCCTAACTTTAGAATTCAACTGCTGCTAAGAATAAAACTTTTCTTCCAATGGATCTAAATAAGGAAAAGGAACATCTTCATTTCTGTCTATTTCATATACTCTAAGAATCCCCTCTACTTGGGAAAGATATATTAGTGTATTAAATTGTCAGCAAAAAAATATTTGGAAGAAAATAGTGGTATGGGTCAAAAGAATAGATCCTTAGATCATATATTTAAATCAGAAAAGAAATGCACTTGAGGAAAAGAAAAAAAAAAGGAGAGTAGAGTGAGATGTTTCTCATAACTAGATAAGGATGAGAATTCCACCAATGTGCTACAAAATATCCTATGTAATTTCCTTACTGTGTTTTACCTGCTGTATAACTTGCTTTAATTAAATGTAGTCTCATCATTGACACATCATCTGAAAGCTTAGAAAACATTCCACTGGAGATCTCATCTGGGGTTAGAATAACAATTAAAACTCACTGGCACTCATAGAATTTCTCTCATAAATAACTCTAAATATCAGGCATTCTTGATTTTTCCAGCTTGTGAACAGATTTTTCTTTTTTAAGTAGAGAGAAATTTCTGTTGCAAGTGAATCATTAAACCTTGGGAACAAGCAGAGTAATTATAAAATACTTCAGGAAGTCTATCAAACTGTCTAGGGATTCCCCAAGGTGCTATAAGTCTGACAAATTTGGCATTTTTTACTAGTCTGAGGAGAGACTGGACAGTCCCCAATACATGTACTATAATTAATGTTTTCGTTAAGTACCTTCGTTTCCTTAAAACTTAATCTAAGTTGGCCGGGCATGGTGGCTCATGCCTGTAATCCCAGCACTTTGGGAGGCCGAGGCGGGCGGATCACCTGAGGTCAGGAGTTCGAGACCAGCCTGACCAACATGGTGAAACCCCATCTCTACTAAAAACACAAAAATTAGTCAGGAGCGGTGGCAGGCACCTGTAATCCCAGCTACTCGGGAGGCTGAGGCAGGAGAATCGCTTGAACCTGGGAGGCAGAGGTTGCAGTGAGCTGAGATCGTGCCACTGCATTCCAGCCTAAGTGACAGAGCGAGACTCCATCTCAAAAAAATAAATAAATAAATAAACAAAACTTAACCTAAGTTGTTAACTGTGAGCTAACCAAATCAAATTGCATTCATTTTCCTTTTTCATCTCTTTGACATGATGAATTTATTTTTATATCAGTTTTCTTAAAATGCATTCGTTCATATTGACTATTATGACAGGGGTTAAGCTAAACACTTAATTGACTCCTGAGTTTCCTTTGGAAGTTCAGGTCCAGCCCTTAATGAGATTATGATCCTGTTGTAACTGAAAAATCAAAGTAAATGGGTATGGATTCTTGGCTTAAGAAAAGATAATTTTGATGACTAGTGGCTCTGCGAGGAAAAACTTTCTTTCCTCTTTTTCCAAATGTCTTCTCCCTAAGACTCTCTGAAATTCTTCTGGTCTGTTATAAAATACAATCTGAGTATGAAAATAGCTAATATATGAAAGAACCTTAGTACTGTGCTTGCAATACACTAAATAAATACTGCATAAATATTAGCTATTATTAGTAGAAAGTGGGGCTGTTCGCTGTGGAAAAGAGGCTTCCTTTTTCCTCTGTCATTCAGTACAAACGTGGAAAGCCCTGGAATATATAATCTGTAATGTTTATTCCTATTTTATGAGTTTCAGTAACAGCTACTTCAAAGCCATACATATAATACTTCTGCACAAACCCCTTTTCTTAGAGCCACTTTACTTATTTTTACGACAGAAAAATAGATGTGAAATACATTTTTTGACAGATAGTCTTTTGCCAGCACAATAAAAATATGAACCAGGAAGCTAAGTAAAGTTTTGTTTTGTTTCATTTTCTCTTTGCCCTCTGAATTCCTTTACTTGGTCATGCCTCTTTGGTTCATCTAAACCCCAGGTATGTCCTCTCTACCCACCGACTCTCGATACAGAGTCTTTCCACATACAAACATATGCTCTTCATTGATCTATACCTTTGTTTCTCCAAATCTTTAAAATTGGATATTTTGGTGACTTTAAAGATTCTCAAGCATATTCATATTTCCCCATGTCTTATTTGCACAGCTGTTTCTGCGCTAATGCTTCACTTGGTATCAAGGTATCAAAGCTGAGTCAGCCCTAGAATCTGTCTTTGAAGTCCAGGGTCTGTGAGGAACTAAAAGTTTCATGTAAGTATGATGAAACATGTGAAAGCATCGTGCACACATTACTGTGGTAACAAAGAAAGGATGAGCAATTCTACCTCAGAAAGTTGGTGCTAAAACCATCATTCACATGAGGAATATTTGCCCCTACATTTGAAAAATGAATCGGAGCCTTGTATGGAAAGACATCCCAGATGGAGAGCACAACATTTTCAGAGACATTTGCTCAGGAACCACAGTAGTGGAGAACTGTGGCATTGCTGGAGAGAGGAAGAGTAGGAGAGATGGCTGGAAAGAAGAAAGGCGATGGAATAAGGAGAGGACCTCACATCAACCTTCCAGCTGTAGGGTTCATTTTATCCTCATTTCACAGAAGAGGAAAATGAGGTCCATAGAGTAAAAAACGACATAGGAAATAAACAGCAAGAGCTCAAAGTCAAGACCAGATCTTCTCCTAAAACCCATCGTGCTTGCTTTCTGCTGCAATATATGACTAGTTGGATTTTTTTTAATCAAAGTATTAAATCCCTAATTTAGATTCAAGAAATTAGATTTCAGTATGGTATGTGCTAAAGGGATCTTTTAGACAGAGCTCCTTTGAGAGGTGTCCCAATTACCTCACAAACAAGTATTTTCCTGAATGTATATTGTTGCTTTTCTCATCCTAAAGAAGTTGGAGGTGAGGAGAAAGAGAAGAAAGAAGAAGAAAAAAAAAAAACTAACACTGATTGGGTGTCTTCTGTGAGCTACAGATTATTTTATATGTTATATTTTATAGGTATTTTGTATACTATATTATTTGAATCCTCACAACCATTTTGTGAGTTAAATATTATTGCCACTTTTAAAGATGAGGACTCTGAAATTCAGATATAAAAAAACTTGCCCAACTGCCTTGTCCAGTCATGCAGCTAGTTAATGGTAAACCTCAAGTTAGAACAGGAGTTAGCTTGACCCAGACCCAGATCATCTCATTCCTTTATCTAACTGTGCTCCTTGTGAATGGGCTCAACATTAAACTCAAAACAAGGCCAATCAGTTAACTAAAACATTGATGAAGGAAATGTTTTAGAGCAATGTCTCTAAGAAAGGACATACCTTGGCAAAGGAAGTAACATGGCATTTTCGGCTTAATCAAATAATAACCTTGTATTTGAAATAACACTTGGACTTCAAATTTGGACTCCAAACAGAAAGAATGATGAGATCAGGGAACTATATGAATGACAAAATAGACCATGAAGCAGCATGAAGAAGAAACAAGGAGTGAATGGGAAGAGATACACTACACAAAATGGGGGATATAGAGTTTCTTGTTCTCAAGGGCTTTATTTGCCCATTCGAATCATATCTGTCTTATAAGTATGCCCAAAATCTGTGACTTCATACATTAGCCCCTCCTTATTGATGGGGAATATCTTCCACGACCCCTAATGAATGCCAGAAACCATAGATAGTACCAAACTCTAAATATAATGTTTTTTCTATGCATACTTAGTTATGGTAAAGGTCAATTTGTAAATTAGGCACAATAATAGATTAGCAACGACAACTAATAATTAAATAGAGCAATTCTAACAATAATAAAGTAATAAAAACTGTAATAAAAAGGTATGTGAACATAATCTCTGTCTTTCTCTCAAAATATCATATTGTACTGTTCTCACCTATTTTTGGACCACAGTTAACCATGAGTAACAGCTATTGTAGAAGATAAAACTGCAGGTTAAGAGGAACTACTGTACTTACCAAAGGATCATTGTCTCATATAGTCACATTGTCTCCCAGAATCCCAAATAGCTAAACGTTTACAAATTATGTTTGTTGACCAACCTAAATTCTAGAACACATTGATACATTAGCAGAAGAGGGTAATTAACTCAAGCTCCTGGCCTAGAAAACGTCAAGGTTTGAGAGACTGCTCACCATCAAGAGAGGGCTTCAATACTGGTCTGAGCCTTGTCTAGTCACCTTCACAGATCTTGGACACTCAAGTTAACTCTTCAGTATTTAGCTACTTTTATCCAGGGCACTCATAATAATGATCATATGCAATCCTCTATATTTGTATTCTAAGTGGTGTGTCTTGCTGAAGACAGAAACATTTAACTACTTGACTATATGTATATAATGGATTACTTAGAATAAAAACAAAAAAGTTTGGCATTATAGTTTTTTATTGGCCAGAAATTTTGCTGGTAGTTGAGCTACATGTCACTTAGATTAAGAAGTCATTGTGATAATTTTTATTATTAATAATAATAGTGTAAATTATAAGCATAGTTTATTAAACATGTGCAGATGTTGTTCTGGACCAGGGCAAGATAGTAAATATTTTGGCTTTGTGGGCCATGTGCTATCTGTTGCAACTACTTAGCTTTCCTGGCACAAAAGCAATCAAACAATATGACACTGAATAGACATAGCTGTATTCCAATAAGACTTTATTCATGAACAGTGAAATTTAGATTTCATATAAGCTTCAAGTCATGAAATATTGTTCTTTTTAATTTTTTCAACTGTTTAGAAATGTAAAAACTATTCTTAACGCATGAGCCATACAAAAAGAAGGAGTGGGCTAGATTTACATGAGGGCTTTAGTTTTACAATGCTTGCTCTAGACAGTCACCTTTCTCATCATCAACTTTGTCATCTATTTCAAGACTTCTCATCCATATTGCATAGATAAGGAAACTAAACATAGGAACATCAAACTGACTTAAACATCACATAGCAAGCGATTGCAAAACTTTGGCAATTTTCTTGACTTCCCTGAATCTCAATTTCTTTATATGTACACTGGGGAGAAATACGTTTATAGAGATATTATGGGATTTAGTGAAATATTCATTTATTCAATTATTATTAAGTTCTTTCTAGTTGCAGAGTCTTCCCTGAAATACTAAAGTTCAGAAAATATACAGTGTAAAAGGTAGATCTTGACCCTGCCCAGATGAGGTTTAGAATTAAGTTTGTAAGACATAAGGTAAGTATGAAGTTATAATTAATATGATAGAAGCGCTGATGGAAAGAAAAACTGTGGGCCAAAGGGAGAATATAGCACAAGTGCATATTCCAAGTTCAGGAAAAACCTCCTGGAAAACAGTGGTGTCAAACAGGGCTGTGAAATGATTCACCGAACTGAAGACATGGGGGAAAAAAAAACAAACAAACGAACAAACAACATTTCAGGCAAAGGCAATGCTATGGGTAAATTCCAGAAGTGACAAGGAGTTGGCCCATTAAGAAACTGAAAGAAGTTCACATGACTGGAACACAAACTTCAAGACATAAATATAAAGCTGGATTCAAGAAATAACGCTAGAGAAGTAAGAAGCCATATAAAGACATGTTCATAAGTCTAGAAGTGATCTTAAGAACAAAGGAAAGTTCCTGAAAAGTTGTGAGCAATGAGGGCATATTATTAGACTTGCATTTTGAAAAGGTCATTCTGCTGCAATTTGAAGAATGGATTAGAGAGTGGCAAGAATGAGTCCAGGGAGGCCAGTTCAAAAGTAGATGCTACTATGATCCAGATGAATAATGGTAGTGGCTCAGATTAGAGTAGTGGCAGAAGAAACTAAGAGAAGCAGTCAGATTCAAGAAATATTAAGTTATTTGATTCATTTAAAAATATTTATTGCATCCATTTTTCTGGGAATATAATAATAAACAGACCAAACTGCCGAGTTGTCAGTATGATGGACAAAGTAGAGACGGAGATTATTTCTGACTGGTAACATGAACTAGGATGAGAAAAAAAAAAACAAGAAGAAAAATAATTTGGTGTGTTTTGATTAAAAACCCTGACTAAAATTTCTCATCATTATTTCTTATGGTTCTTTAGAGGGATACATTTCCCTCCCCCCAAAGCCATTTAGGGCCAGAAACAAAAATAAAAAGAGAGTGAGTTTATGGCTCTCTAAAACAGCTTTACTATTCTTTCAGCTTTCTCCTACCTTTTATACCCAGAGAATAAAAAAAAAAAAAATGGAAGAGAAGAAATATATGACTGCTGTTGCAGAAGAAGTGCAGATATCACTGATATGAACAGATATCAATGGAAAACTACTCATGTACATTGTCTCCCCTAAACCTGATAATAGACATTTTCTTCAAGGTAGAAGATGCTGTACTTTACAACAGCTTACATGGAGTTTGTATACACTAATTGAGTATGCTATTGAGAGTTGGGTTCTTGGGGTGACTCTTATCATTCAAGGGGACTCTATCAAGGTATCAAGATCTCCACCAGTTCTACAGGGGCCATCGTACCTCATGTTTCTGTATCCTGGAACCCTTTAAAATGGTTAATACCACAAATATTTTCCTCAGAATTATATTGCACTCATCAAAATAATTCAAATTTGGAATATTTTTAGCTCGTGATTATTCTGCCTTCAGTTTGAATAGTTTCCATAGATAAACATATCATGCTATGTGTGTATGTCATTGGACTGACACCTCCTGTTTTATACTCTTTACATACAGCAAAACATATTTATAAATGATATTTCCAGAATACTCCAAAGCCAAAGGTGAGGTCATTACAAAGTATCCTAGTTAGGTGAACAGAGACACATAGCAAATGGAGATCTTTGTTTAAAAAGTATACTTTGTTTACAAAGTATAAAATAGTAAGTTTAATTCTTGACCCATTCCATTGGTAGCGCCTGTGAAGACCTCAGCCCCCAGGGGACATGTCCACCAGTTGCGTAGGCTTATATGAACCTAAAGAAAGCGTATTACGCTGGAAATAATAGACTTGGCAATCATTCTCTTTGTATATGATATTTGAAACTATGGCAGTTGATGGAAGTACCTAGTGAAATTGTCTGGAGAAGTATCAGCATTTCACAAACCTCAGCAAATCAAACTGAAGAAGAGCAGCTAAAAAGTAGAACATAAGTAAAGATCTGGCATTCACAAAACCCCCAAACAGCCTGTTTCAAGAACGTATATTGTGCCAAAGCCTGGCTCTGTAAAGGGCCACTGGGTTCAGGAAAGCAGTCAATGGTGATCTTGACAAAAATGATGTCTGTAGTGAGGTTGGAAGTTTGATGCAGTGAGTACAGGTCTAAGTGTGATGCGAGGAAATCAAGACTGTGAATACAAAAGCTCTTTCAAGAAAATGGGCCCACAGAAAATAGGGAAAAGACAAAATAATTTTTGGCTGGTTTTCTTGTATTTTTTTTAAGATGGAAGATAACCTGAACATGTTCCAGTAGTGATAGAAAAGAATTAGCAGGAAGAGATATTAAAGGCTTGGGGAGAGATAGATAACTGAGAGAAATCACCGGTAAATCAGGAAGGGAAGGAATCTAGGAAAGAAACAGAAGGTCTGTTTTTGAAATGATACCATCTCTGTTTGCTTACATGGAAAGAGCAGGAAAGTAGGAAAGTATGAAGGTATGGTATGTACCTGTAGGCTAGATGTCAGACAGTTGAGACATCTCCCTCTGAAGATTTTTATTGTGAAGTAGCTAGAAGTTAGGGGAAAAGAATAAGAGGGTTGATTTACATAATCATTTTGAAGAATGGAATATTGAACGCAAAAAAGGCCAGATAGACATTAATGATTATCAATTAATAGCGGTATTTAATCTACTTATTTCTAAAATAATGAAGTTTCTACAAGTGTCTAGGAACTGTTTTCTTCTCTGTAACTATTTCTACAGGATGAGTAAGTAGTTTCTATTATATATAAATATTTATATATGTGTAAATACGTATTCAGATATATATATATACACATATATAGGCACATATACACATATAGACACTTTAAATGCACAATGAGGGTATGGAAGAATATATATGTCTATATTTTGAGATGTGCTTATATATGTATATATATCTACATAGAAAGACATATGTACATATAAATTTACACATATACATATATATGAAAAACTGTGAAATATATTCATATGCATTCTTTTGTACCCTCACCATTCTTTTGAAGTATGTTATTTATTGCACACTCTGTATAGTACTCTCTCTAAAAACAGATTTAATCTACATGTAGTTGATCAGGGAAAATTATCCCATCATTTTGTTATTTTGTTGTTCAAGAATAAATATAGCCCAGAATTATTCTTGATGTTGCTATGAATTCTATGAACCTTCATATAATTCCATCCAGATGTTGAATTTTAGCATTTACCTCCAAAATACAAAGATATTGTTCAAGTTATTACTGGTGTAGCTGTTAATGAATTATTTCAAATTTACCTTTGCTCGGTGCTAAAAAGAAAATATTTCCTATGCATGAGAAATGATAGAAAGACCAGAGCCGCTTTAGAATAATCACTAGGGGAGAAAGGCATCTAAGATTATATATATTATTTTAATTAAGGGTGCTTGAAATTCTATATGGCTTTCTTTGAATAATAAGCATCTACAGATGAGGTATGATTAGAAAATGCAATCTCTTTTACAGGTTCAATTAAATCAACTTCATTTCAATAATGTTGAATGATTAGAGAAAATTTTATCAGAATCGTACTTTGAGTCATCATTCAAAGAATCAATTTTTTTAAAATTCTGCAATGTGGTTTACTAGATAATGACAACAGGACTTAAAATTAATGGAAGAAGTTTGAGGGCAATTAAATTATATGTCTTAATCAGTCTGATTTAATATGACTAGTGGATAGAATTTTCATTTATTCACAAAAGACAACCATCTGAGCCAGTCAAGCTTATAATTAGTGAGAAATAACCCTCAGAAATTAGTGTGCATCTCATATGTGAAGAAGAGTTTACTCAAATAATACATAACCTATTTACCTTGAATTTTTCATTTCTTATAAAATGTATTTTTATTTTAAGCCATTAAACTGTGTAGTATTTGAATGAGATTATTCTTGTTGCTGTTTTGTGTTCCAAGCTAAACCAGAGTAACTAGTTATGAGGAGATATAAAGTATTGCAGGATGACATGTTATATACTTATTTGTTATCAAAATACAAAGCTTTCAGTTTTTAAAAAAATGAGATTAGTGTTTATTTTTAAATCTATTTTAGATGTAATTTTAATATGCATTTATCTCTAGGCAGATAAAATATAGTATTCAACTTTATCCAAGTGTCTTTCATTATAGAGAAATATACATTTGCAAAAGGTTTACTTCTTCAAAAGTTGCACTATCCATATATTCTTTAAGGAGAAGCATATGATATGATCTATTTGTCATAATGATAAGTTATATAAGATATTGTATTGAGATATTATTTAAATTTATAGAGAAATGCTGATAAATATTAAAATGTGTTATGCCTAGATAAGAAGGTATAGTTAAGAAATAAAAACAATATTTGATGCTATCAAATCATTATATCATAAATATGTAAAAACTAGTTAAAAGCTTTGATTTAAATTATGTCCTTTCTTCCCTATTGACATTTCAATGAGATTAATAAGTTACATTTATATCATCCGTCTGCATGGCAATATTAAAATACACTTTCAATCTTTCATGTAATCCATGTAAAAGGGGTACACAAAACATTAGACGGTAGTCCTTGTCTCTTCCTTGCTGAGATGAAGTGAAGGTTTTAAAGCAGGAAATCTTGGAATGAGACAAGAAGGTAAAGTTTAAAAAGAACAGGTGAGGAGAGGACCCATTTTGTACATACAACTGATACATAGTCAGAAAGGTTTGAACTGCCTGAAATCCTAGTAACTGTAATAAAGGAAAAAGTACTATCCTCTCTGGCCCAGCAGGAAGGGGTCAACCAAAGACGGTGATTATTTCTCTAACACAGTTTTATATATGTGTGCCAGTGCTTACTATACTTCCATCATGTATAGATGCATCAGAAGGTTCTGTCTGTGGGGAACAGGAACACATCAGACAATGAATCCATCAAGACCTTGATTTTGGACTTCTCAGTCTCCAAAACTGTTAGAAATAGGTGTTTGTTGTTCATAAGCCACCAAGTTTATGGTATGTTTGTTATAAGCAACCTGAACAGGCTAAGACATGGACTCTAAAATATTCTGGAGCTCCAAATTACTATGAGGGTTAGAAATCCAACAGACCAATATTGTATGGAGCTACTGAGATTTGGGGGGTTAGATTGCTTTTGCAGCATAATGAAGTCTGTAACTCTAGCTGATGACCTAACTGTAGTAAAGTCTTAAAATCTGTGCCCTTAATCTAAATGCTGTAATAGTAGCTGTGATTTAATAGGAAAACAATCTAGACACAATTTAATAATAATTTCATTTCTCTTTCAGCCTGAAATTGGAAGTCAAACTGTGATTTTATTTTCATATAAAAACTCTGAATTAGTAGATTTTCCTGCAAAGTGGTAATAACAGGGTTAATGTTCAAAGCTAAATAATCACAGTGTTATGGTGAATTGACAAAATGCTTAGCAGTTCAAGACTACAACAATTTAAAATAAGCTGACTTTGCCAGTTTTTACTTGCCCACCCAACAGTTATTTTTTCATCAACAGTTCTGAACTCAATTCATTTTAAGTGTACTATTGTTTTTCTTTAGGAAAAAGAATAAAATATTCATGACAGTCTGTGGTGATTCATACATTTTTGTTACTTAGAAATATCTAACTTCATTAATTCTTCAGAATGTCTTTTACTGCCCTGAAACACAAATAGTATGATAGTGTGTCTGGGGAATTGGCTGCTGAAATGTATTTAAAAGAATTCCATGCCTTCTGATATACAGTGTTTTGAGAAAGAGTTTAAAATTTTAGAATATCAAGTACAAATGATGTTATTTAATAATTGATAAAGGCAGTTCCTACACAACTTTGACATTCTATCATTCTATTCAGATCAGACTTTTAAAAAATAAGTAGTTTCTTTATTCTTTTTTGTTTGTTTGTTTTTTCTTACCACCCCAAATGCAAAGCCTCATTTTTTTTAATACTTTAAGTTCTGGGATACATGTGCAGAATGTGCAGATTTGTTACATAGGTATACACGTGCCATGGTGGTTTGCTACACCCATCAACCCATCATCTACATTAGGTATTTCTCCTAATGCTACCCCTTCTCTAGCCCCCCACTCCCCAATAGGCCCTGGTGTGTGATGTTCCCCATCCTATGTTCATGTGTTCTCATTGTTCAACTCCCACTTATGAGTGAGAACATGCAGTGTTTGGTTTTCTATTCCTGTATTAGTTTGCTGAGAATGATGGTTTCCAGCTTCACCCATGTTTCTACAAAGGACATGAACTCATCCCTTTTTATGGCTGCATAGTATTCCATGGTGTATATGTGCCACATTTTCTTTATCCAGTGTATTATTGATGGGCATTTGAGTTGGTTCCAAGTCTTTGCTATTGTGAATAGTGCTGCAATAAACATACGTGTGCATGTGTCTTTATAGTAGAATGATTTATAATCCTTTGGGTATATACCCAGTTATGGGATTGCTGGGTCAAATGGTATTTCTGGTTCTAGATCCTTGAGGAATCGCCACACTGTCTTCCACAATGGTTGAACTAATTTATGCTCCCACCAACAGTGTAAAAGCATCCCTATTTCTCCACATCCTCTCCAGCATCTGTTGTTTCCTGACTTTTTAATGATCACCATTCCAACTGGCAGGAGATGGTGTCTCATTGTGGTTGTGATTTGCATTTCTCTAATGACCAGTGTTGATGAGCTTTTTTTCATTTGTTTTTTGGCCACATAATGTCTTCTTTTGAGAAGTGTCTGTTCATATCCTTTGCCCACTTTTTGATGGGATTGTTTCTTTTTTCTTGTACATTTGTTTAAGTTCTTTGTAGATTCTGGATATTAGCCCTTTGTCAGATGAGTAGATTGCAAAAACGTTCTCCAATTCTGTAGGTTGCCTGTTCACTCTGATGATAGTTTATTTTGCTGTGCAGAAGCTCTTTAGTTTAATTAGATCCCATTTGTCAATTTTGGCTTTTGTTGCCATTGCTTTTGGTGTTTTAGTCCCTATTTAATCAATGGTGTTGGGAAAACTGGCTAGCCATGTTCAAAAAACTGAAACTGGACCCCTTCCTTACACCTTATACAGAAATTAACTCAAGATGAATTAAAGACTTAAACGTAAGACCTAAAACCATAAAAACCCTAGAAGAAAACCTAGGCAATACCATTCAGGACATAGCCATGGGCAAAGACTTCATGACTATTTTCTCTTTTCTAAATTATCTATTCTCATTTAAAATAAGTACTAATGTTTGAGAAAGATCAGATTTTCCCTAATATTCTTTACATTACCATTAACAGTAATAATGTATTAATCATACGTGGAACCTTTCTTTAGTGTTACTCTTACATCATCTCTTATGGAGTAAAATAACAGAAGCCTAAAGAAGTAGTTTTATGTCCAAGGCCACAAGGATGTGGACAGATCCAGGGTTAAAATCCAGATAAACTGGCTGCTACACCATTGTTCACTCTGCTCTATTCTAGTAGAAGAGTTCAAGAGTTCATCCTACTCTGTTCAGTTGTTTATGGACTCTCTTTAGTAGGTGTTTAAAATGCTTAAAACAATAGCAGTGTCTTTAAAATCTCATATCTTTCTTTGGTCTATCTCTAATTGGTACATATATGCATAGTAAATACCAAAATTACCAACATACTATACCTTGAATATTTTTTGCATAGACATTGTAAATGTTATTATTAGATGTCTTTATTATTTCTCCATAATCCTTGTTACCTGATGATAATTGATCAAAGAATGTTAGGACGTCAAAAATTAAACAAATGACTATAAGATGGACACTCAAGGCTGGGCATGGTGGCTCACACCTGTAACCCCAGCACTTTTGGAGGCTGAGGAGAGAAGACTACCCGAGGTGAGGTGTTCGAGACCAGCCTGGTCAACATGGTGAAACCTGGTCTCTACTAAAAATACAAAAATTAGCCAGGCATAGTGGCACATGCTGTAATCCCAGCTACTCAGAAGACTGAGGCACAAGAATCACTTGAACCTGGGAGGCGGAGGTTGCAGTGAGCCAAGATTGTGCCACTGCACTCCAGCCTGGGTGACAGAGCAAGACTCTGTCAAAATAAAAAATAATTAAAAAATAAAAAAAGATGGACCCTTAAATGTTTGATGATATGGAAATTACTATCTTTACAAATCCTTCATTCATTCATTCAGTAACTGTTTATTTAAACCTACTGTAAGGAATGAGCTGTGATTAGGTGCTGTGTATAGAGTCATGAACAAATAGGCAAGACAGCCACACTCAAATAACATATATAATATGTTACATATATCATATGTAATATTATATATGATATATGTAATTTATTGGAATACATAAGGAATACATGTTATATATAATATATAATATATTGGAATACATATATAATATATGTATATAATATATTGGAATACATATATATGTATATAATATATAATATTGGAATACATATATAATATATGTATATAATATATATAATATATATTATGTTATTACACATATAAGATATATTACATATATAATATACAGATATATATGTGTATATAATATATATGTATATGTGTGTGTGTATATGTATACATATACACACACACTAACAAAAAGTCTATGAAACTAAAAAGCCGACTGCTCTAAGAGATAAAAATGTTGGGGGAAGTCGAGAGAAATTCTATTTCCCTGTGTTTGACACGGAAGCTTGACTAAGAAGCTCAAAATTAAGCTGAGGGTTAAAGGATGAGAATGAGTCAGCTCTACAAAGAACTGGAGGCAGAGCACTTCCATTAGTGGGAAAAGTACATGCAAATTCATATAGGCCAAAAAAGTCTTAGAATGTCTGGAACATAAAAGTGATTTAGAGGGAAAGTGGCTCAAAGTGAGAGTGAAGACCAGATTGTTATAGGCCTCAGGATGCTGGCTGGTATTTGAGGGCAATGGGAAGCCAAGTTTTAAGAGCAAAGTTATATGATCTAATCTAAGTTTCAAAAACAGATAAGTCATCCTGGCTGTATATAAAGAATGTTTTGGAGGAGTCTAATTTTAGTAACTTTGGAGACTGACTTAATATAGACTTACTTTCTGGTCCATAGTTATAGAATAATGGATACATTTAAAGCTAAACAAACAAATAAGTAGCATGACTGGAAAAAGAAAGGTATTCCCTGATGTCAGAAAGAATGAATAATACCAAACCTGAGCTGTAATTTACTAATCTGGTGCTACAGTTGTCCAGAAAATTAGATTTGGCTTTAGGCTCTAAGTTCAGGCCCTAGAATTTGAATACCCACTTAGGGATAAAATGACATAGCCTTTGAATTGCATGATGAAATTTGCACAGAGAACAGCCTTAGAAAGACGAGTATCTTGGCCTCAAGTGATCCTCCTGCCTCCTGCCGTAGTCTCCCAAAGCACTTCGATTACAGGTGTGAGGCATGGCGCAGCCACATTATCCTTTTGAGGCAGGGCTACAAGCACTGATTCCTACATCTGCTATGACCTGGGCACAAGATTTTGAATCCTTCACTAAATTATTCTCTCAATTTCCTCTAAGAACGATTCAGCCTTAGAACAAGTCACAAGATTTTTTGTTTTTTTAAATCAAAAAATTAATATACTAGGCCTAGTATGATGGCTCACACCTGTAATCCCAGCACTTTGGGAGGCCGAGGAAGGAGGATTGCTTGAGCCCAGGAGTTTGAGACCAGCCTGGCCAACATGGCAAAACCCTGTCTATACAAAAATCACAAGAATTAGCTAGACGTAGTGGCGCAGGCCTGTGGTCCCAGCTACTTGGGGTGTTTAGGGGGAGCATCACTTGAGCCCAGGAGGTAGAGGCCACAGTGACCCAAGATCGTACCACTACACTCCAGCCTGGATGACAGAATGAGACCCTGTCTCCAAAAAAAAAAAAGAAAAGAGAAAAAAAGAAATAAATTAATATACAGACAGCAACCTTGAAGGAGATGATTGAAGTTTAGAGTTTAGTCTAACAGTGACCTCAAGAGAGCAGATTTTTTTTTTTTTTTTTTTTTTTGAGATGGAGTCTCACTCTGTTCACCCAGGTTGGAGTGCAGTGGCACAATCTTGGCCCACCGCAACCTTCACCTCCCGGGCTCAAGAGATTCTGTTGCCTCAGCCTCCAGAGAAGCTGGGATTACAGGCGCCCATCACCACACCCAGCTAACTTTGCTTGTATTTTTTTGTTGTTGTTGTTATAGCACAACTTATATATTTTAAATGGACAAAAAATTAGTATCATTTACAGTATCTTAAGATAAATTTCCTTTGAATGGGAGCTTCCTTTCCAGTACTTTGAGGTCTACAAGACGTATCTAGAAAATTTACTACTGTGGAAAATGAAGACTGATTAAATCGAATGGAGGGGAAGGGGAAGGGCCTGTGGTTTTTTTTTTTTTTTTTTTTTTTTTTTTGATTAGTTGCTGTAACACTGTCCTTCGGGCGACTGAGGGAGTTTCATATTTTCTTTAGACATCGTTAGGCGCCGAAGCTCTTGCAGGACAACTTTGATGCTATATGAATTCTGCCATTTTGCTAGCACTGATATGCTCTTGGGTCCACCACTCCATTAGAACTATTTACTCCATTCATATTAATTTTTGTTACAAATCTTAAAAAGGGGGGTGCTTCTGGGTATTTAGGTCCACATTCTATTTTAAGGCTGTATATTCGGTTTTCATAAATTGTTCTTGGAGGCCCAATTATCATCCCTGTCCATCTTGTAAGTGTCATGTCTTCGTCATCTTCTAGATCCCAGCTAACTGTGCCATCTCCTACTCCTTTCTGGCCTTCTTCGAGTTTTTCCAACAGTCGGAAATTGCGAGGGACTTTTACTCCCGAGCCCGTGGTGGCTGCCATCTTGCGTTTTCTTGTATTTTTATAGAGATGGAAGATCACTTGAGGCGTGGAGATCAAGACCAACCTGGGCAACATAGCAAGACTCTGTCTCTACAAATGTATTTAAAAATTAGCCAAGCATGGTGACGCACACACCACTGCACTCCAGCCTGGGCAACAGAGACCTTGTCTCAAAAAGACAAAAAACAAACAAACAAACAAAAAACAAAAAACACCACCACCACCAACAACAACAAAAAACAAGGATAATGTGATTATTTTGGTGTAAACCTAATTTTGTACCAAAAGGCTAGCATTGAATTTTTTAAAGTGCGGTATGATTGCCATTATCTCATCCGCTTTGTGCTAAAATGCTTTTTTAGTTGCGATTGGGCCAGGGGCCAGGATGAATCTCCTCTGAAATTCTGACCTGAATCTTCAGGAAGGAAGATTGAGGAAGAAGGTCTTGGTTAAAATAAATCAGGTTGTCAAGCAGGGGTGATTTTGCCCCCAGGGAACATCGGCAATGTCTGGAGACATCTTTTGGTTGTCACAAATGTGGGATGGGGGTTACAAAAAAAAAAAAGGAAAGACTGGTATCTTGTTAAATGAGTCACTAGAAATCTCTATCTACTACTGGTCCAATATGTTGCTAAAAGAAAACTTGTTCTACCTAAGATATAACAGTATGTTCATATTGAAAGTGCACATGTACCCTAAAACTTAAAGTATAATAAAAAAAAAAAGTTCCAGAAAAATTGACACCCTAAACTCTACCACATGTGGAAATGGTTTACAGGTTTATATTATTCACATTATGTGAGAATCTCCAAGTTAGAAACATAAAGTAAAACTTGCTCTGAGCTAATGAAATAACCGTTATGCATGACTGTTACAAATGCAAACTGCTTTACAGTAATATTTTTGAATATTTCCAAGATGATTTTTTTAAAACATAGAATAGGTCATGCCACTTCTCACTTAAACTCTGGTTTCCCATTGCACTTACAATACCAGTTAGCAACCTAAATACCTATGACAATCTGATAGCCAGTCTCACTTGGAAATATACTGCCTCTTAGCTCATTCAGGCTGCTGTACCAAAATGCTATAAACTCAGTAGCTTATAAACAACAGAAATTTATGTCTCACAGGTATGGAGGCTGGGAAGTTCAAGATCAAGGCACTGGCAGGTTCTGTGTCTTGTGAGGACTGTTTCCTGATTCACAGAAGGTGCCTTTGCACAGTCTCCTCATGTGATAGAAGAAGCTAACTTTCTGTGGCCTCTTTTCTAAGGACACTAATCCCAATCATGAGAGTTCTGCCTTCATGTTCTAGTCACCTCTCAAAGACCTTACTTTCTAATATAAACTTGGGGGTTAGAATTTCAACATATAAAGTTTGGGAGAACACGCTCAGGCCATAGCACCCTCTCAGCCATTTTTATTTCTTCGAAACAGACATAGACATATGTGCACAGAACTATTCACAATAAAAATTATAAATAATGGTAGAAATTGATCCACTGTGATAAGTATACACAACAATCCATCTGAACACAACAATCGATGCTGAAATAAACTATAAGAGTTTTTTGAAATTATTAAATAATTTTAAAAATTAGAAACCATAACAAAAGAATTGATCATGAGATAGAAAATCATCTTTAAAAGAATTACTCTAGAAGTAACATAATCAGTGAAATTAAAAATACAATGGATGATTGAAAAAGGA
The DNA here is from genome assembly GCF_000001405.40 of Homo sapiens. Taxonomy (NCBI): domain Eukaryota; kingdom Metazoa; phylum Chordata; class Mammalia; order Primates; family Hominidae; genus Homo; species Homo sapiens. Next base: position 175,720,382 of record NC_000003.12, read on the forward strand.
ATGTATATAAATGTTGAGAGCTATTTGTTGAAGTGAAAAATAAATGTAAAGAAGTAACCCAGAAAACAACAAAGGAAGGAAAATAAAGTGAAAAATGAGAAAGTCATATCTTTTGACCTTCTCATTCTAAATTCCAGAATAAGAGACTGGGGGAGATGCAGTATTTGAAGACATAATGGCTGATAATTTTCCAATATTCATTAATGACGTCAATTTTTATTTTGAAGATCAAATCACAAATAGGATATATTAAAAATAAACCCACATCTAAAAAAAAATTGTGATGAAGTGGCTCGTAGGGGTAAAAGAAAGGTTGCCTAAGTAAGAATAACAACTAGACTGCAACTAAGGACTCCTTCATAGCAACAAAATAAAATAGAAATAACTTCAAAATGTTAAAGAAAAATAATTTGCAACCTAGAATTCTGTACTAATCTAAAGTATCATTCAAAAGTGAGAAAGAAATAAAGATATTTTAGAAAAAGGCTGAGACAAGTTTGCCACTTACAGGCTTTCACTGAAAGAACTACTGAAGAATACATTTCAGTAAGAAGGAAATTGAATCTGTTATGATAATGCAAGGATAAAAGAACTAATGGTGTGCCAAAAAATGGTGAAGATGTGAATAAGTATAACTAATTTTTGACTATAAAGAAAACCACACTAATAAGAATTACTAGAAAATATCAGACAATGTAAGAGAGAAAAAGAAGGGCTTTAATGAGGTGTGAGCATCTTGCGTAGTTCATAGTCGTGAGGTGGGTGCAGATATTGATTACCTCTAGACTTTGTTAGTCAACTGAGCTTGTCTAAGATTTAATGTGCCCAACCTAATAAACGAAAAGTAAAAATAGAATATACAATTCAATCTCTACAGAAATAAAAGAACAGGGGAAAAACTCAGTCAAGCTAATATACTTCAAGAAGGAGAAAAGGAAGTAAAGAAAGCTCATTGTCTAGAAAACACAAAATAATAAAATAAATGCAAATGTACCTGTAATTATAATAGCGTTGTAAATAGTTTAAAAATTCTCAGACTGGATTTTTGACTTTTAAGAAATGCAGTTACATATTAATTTCATGTCACACACTATCAAAGAAAGCTGATGTAACAATGTCAACATCAGAGAAAGGAGACTGAGGCAAAGCTCAAACTTGGAGGTTTTTCTAATTAGAGGATGAGCTCATAAGGTTTTTAAAATGAATAATTAGGAAGATACAGCAATTCTGGATATACAGGCATCAACTAACATGTATACAAAATAAAAACTGATCGAGCTATAGGAAGAAATCAATACATCTACTATCACAATGTAAAATCATTAATACATTTCTCTCTAGAGGTATAGAGAAATTGAGAATAAATTGGTATAATATAAGAGCTGGGATGGGAGGTGGGGTAACTACATAAGATAATCTTCCTAGACATGGTGAGTGCCTTAGAGAAGGACCGTGAGCTACTCCTGGAGAAGTTAGAGCATAATGAAATCAGGAGATTGTTTTTTAATGCATTATAATAAAGTGTCATAAAATGCAATGGGCAGATTTTATAGCTCACTACCATTTGCATATTTTTTGTATATGGTATGTTTACCAAATTTTCCATTCGTATTTCATATTTTCATCATACACATGCACACATACCCACACACCATCAATTTGGATTCTATTTCTCGCATTTTGTTGTCTGTAAAAGTAACGTATTGAGAGCCTTAAGACCTTAATCCCAGTTCTGGTCTTGCCAAAAATCTATGTGATGTTTGGCAAATCAAATCATTTCAACTTTCAACCCCTATATTCTTATCTGCAAATTGAGGTGATAAAATCAGACAGAGAAGATTTATTTCATCAGTTGCTGCCCCATAAATTTATCTAAAATGTTTGACCTTTTGGGAATTATAAATGTATATTTAAGTTATATATTTCACAAGTATGTATTGTGTAGCAATTAATTTTTCCATTAAAATGAGGACAAATAAAGTTATTCCATGAATGACATAGTACACATCTGAGATAATAAAACCCAGGCACCTCTTAATCTGCCTAAGTAAATGAGGTGGTTCACTAAAGCATGACACCAGGATATGTCCCCAGTTGTTTAAATAAGTTGAATAAATGGGCACTGAATTCTTGCTACCCCTACAAAGACGTTGTTAGCAATTTATCATAACGAAGGTAAAAATAAAATATGTACATTACTAAACATAGCCTCTTTTGGTGCTGTTTTCCACTAAATAAATTACATTTTAAGTGAAATAAGCTTTTTATTATAACCTACCAGACTCTTCATAGCCTGGCCTCAATCTGTATCATTACCAGTAATGCATAATATAATCTGGAAGATTTGTTGATAGGATTAAATTAAATCATCTATTCACAGTTACAGTGAAAGGTCTGGCACATAGTAGATTTTCAGTTAATACTTGTTCCTTTCCTTTGCCTGCCTTTAGAATATGCAAAAACCATAGATGCACTATATAGCCTCTTTATCAGACCAGTGTGCTAATTTCCTTGAAAAGAGTGAACAGCCATATGATACAATGATGCACAGTGTAGTGTTTCTAATTTTCCTGAGGATCTAAACGTACAAAGCTCACACAAACTTTGGAGAACAAAGGAAGCAGGTTTCCTGAAGTTTGTGGGTAGGTGTCCTACCTCTGCTTCTTAATCGGCTCCTAGGGGCAGGTTCTGCTGAGCCCCAGCGTCTAGTCAAGCTGTCCTAGATGTAGAAGAGACTGCTCAGTTCACAGCATTTATATGAGCAAGTCGCCTAAGAAACATGAGGTTGGTCAGAGCTCTGGCAGCTGGCTAAAATCCACTTCAGGTTCCGGAAAATAGTCACAATAATAAGCTCTTCAGATAGCCCTCGACTTCTGTTATTAGATTGAGTCCTTCAGTACTCTCAGTACTCCTCAATAACCAACCATATGCTAAAAATTTAAGAGAATATTGTGACTGAGTCTTAGAGTAAACCCTTACAGACGAGGAAACAGAGGCCCATAGAAGTTCAAGTAGTAAACTGACACATTCTAAATTAAGGCTAATGTGTTTTCAACAATAAACATTTAGATATTATACTTTTTGGTGATGGTGGTAACATGGTAATATGAGTACCAATTGCTAGATGAAATTAAGACATGAAAACCTTTCTATCTTCACTTGTCCAGATCAGGCTTGACTTTGGCATATTATGTGGAATGGCTTAAGCCTTTCTCCAGGTTAATTTATTAGTAATCACGGTGTTTCTCTAAAAAAATCTAATTATTCAAGACATTCCAATATAAATAGAATATCTTTCTCCTTTACATGGAGCTTGTTGAGAAGGAAGAAAGGGATCCCTTGCAACATAATCATCTTCTCCAACTTTATTTTCATTTTCTCCTTTAAAAAAATCCTTCCATCAAGACTGATTGACTTAGTGTTAGGATCAGAATTTTCACTTACCTGTTCCTCTTACTAAGAGAGCTGCCCTTAATTCTCTCCACCTCTCTAAATTGTATCCTTCCTTTAAGATCCAGCAAAATTGAACTGTCCCCCAAGAACTGTTCTTGGTCCATTGCTGTTCATAGTAACCAGTGTTCTCCTATTAACCTTTGAGATGTGACGTTTCATATGTTCTTTCTGTTTTTCTTTGCTAATAGCATCCAAACCATCCAAAGCCCCTTTAGTACAGTAACTATGTCACAGTTTTACCATTTAACTGAGGACTGTTGAATTATATGTAGGGGCTTTATAAGCATCTCATCAAGATAAATATCGCTCAGATAAAGTGTACTAATAAAAGTATAAGGTCATATCACGTGGTTTAACTGGTCAACTATAAAGATACTAAAATTCTTGAATTGTTGGGCTATGTCATATAGGACATCCTGGGATATTGGAGAAGCAAGGAACTATTAATATAAGAGTCCTGTTTATCACTAAGCAACATGTAAAGACAAAAATAAATCTTGGAATTTCTAGAGCTTGACAGTGTGCTCTGTTGGTGCAGCTTCTTATTTACATACATGTATTTTTAGATTCAACTGAACAATAGCATCTAGTTCAAAGAAAGTTACTGTAAGAACCTTGTCATGAATAGAATCACACATCAAAGGATCTAAAGCACTTGTGGTATTTTTTCTATTTTTAAAATGTCAAGTCTCACTTTGTAGGATGCAATCTGCAATAACATGTATTGCATTTAGAGCCAAGAAAGAAACTGCATTAACAATGTAATTGCATACAGTAAGGGTCACTTATATTTTGACCATCATTTAAAATCTCACTAGGTAGAAGCAGCAAGTTCAAAAGAACAATCTATTTATTTTTTCCATTCCCATATCTCTACCTCTCTCTAGTGCCTTCATTGTCTCTATAAGATAGAAACATGATGTCATTATTTTTTAATGTTCATATTTTTTGAAAAAATGAAACAATATTCCAAGATAATATTTTTTAAAAAACAGAATTATACCAGATATCCAAATCTATAATAAAACAGAGGTTTATTTTTGGTTGTTTTTTCAACTGGCACATATAAAAGGAAATAATTATATTAATTTATATCAAAATAATATTGATCTATTAATGTGATTGCTTTCATTTATTACCAAGATGTTCTTTGTTTAATGGTTGGATATTAGAAGGAAATAACATCTTTGTCCTTACTAAAGCACTGTTTTATTAAATTCCTAAAGAGAAAACTAAAACCACAATATTTCACATGTACAGATACTCAGCATTATGACCTGAAAATACAATTTCTAAGAGAATTTTCTCTTTCTAGCTCTTTATGAAAGGCTTCTTCTGTCTTGGTGCATTATGTATGCTTGTTATATGTTTCTTTAGCATTATTACAAATTCTGCTAAATCAGTTCTTTAATCTTTCTATGACTAATTGATTTGGATAATTTACAAAGTACATCATTTAATAAACATAAAATTAATCTTTTAAAAATACACAGCCACTACCTCCTTTGTCACACCACAGCCATGATAGTTTTTGCAACTACTCTAGGGTATCTTAGAGAATTGTTTTACTTCATAAATCTCTACTTCCCTTTTTAGGCTCAGGAAAGCAGGATCTACAGACATGAGAATTAGCATTGGAATGTATCAAAAGTTATAATCCTGGTAGGATCACTTGCTCAGGGCTTTATTTTAAATAGGTGTAATCAGCCCTTGATTATTCCTTAGAATCGTTATGTTCACATTTGGTAAATATTGGCCACTGGTATTCCCTATTTGCTAAAATTAGAAAAGGGCTTGGAAAAAAATTTCAAAGGTGCTAATTAGGGTAACAATTAAGAGTCCAGATCTGCAGCCAGAATGCTTGGGCTCAAATCTCAAAATTGCCATGTACTAGCTACGTGGACCTTGGGAAATTTAATTAACTGAGCAATGCTTCTATTTTCTCATGCAAAATAGAATAAGGCTATTGTAAGGATTCAATGAATTAATTTATATAAAGAATTTAGAATAATGCCTGGCATATGGCAAGAGTGCAACAAATGTTAGCTGCTGTTATTATTATTGATATCATGTTAAAGATAGTTATTAGTGAAATATAATGAAGATTCTTAATTTGTCAATCAGCACATGCAGATTACTACTAAACATAGTAAAAATGTAAAGTTAGTATCTTGAAGTTTCATTTTCTAGAACACTAAGAAATATTAACATACTGTGGTCCCTCTCTAGAAACAATATGACTAGCAGAAAACACAAATATATTACAAAGTCAAAACATGACTATATCACTGAAAAATAGTCATTAAAAATGCCAAAAAGCTAATTTATTATTTCCGAATTAATCTGTAAATATATTTTCTCAACTAAAATTTAATAACAGATAGGTGATGACAGTCACCAAAAGAGGAGAGCTATCTTACATTTGACCAAAAAAAAAAAAAAAAAATTACATGAGTTACTTTTCTGTGGCATGGGAATAGAAAGTAAGCATTTTATTTTAGTAATAGATTTGCAAATCCTAAACTTTATCTTTGCCTGAGGCTTTCTTCAGCCCTGGAAAGCTGCCAGTGAACAGGATAGTTCAGAGATTAAAATGTAACACCTCCATGGAGCAATGCCCAATTGGTAGCTAGTGAATCAATACACTGCTCCCTTGCCCCTCGAATGGGAAGATCCTGAGGTACCTATTTTATACTAGCTCTAAGGTTTTCTCCAGCAAGGTTAAGCTTCAGTCATCCACAGTGGTAGCTGTGGTACACTACTGTGTGTCAGCTACAGTGGTAGCTGACTTGATAATGTGCTTTCTATTGGCGGTCTTGTCTTCCTTGTCTCTCCTTCCCATCCTACTACCCTCACCTCTCAATGAACTATGTGTGATCAGATTTCATCTCAAGTTTGTTGTTTTGAGGGAGTACCCAAACTAGGATTCCTGGTAAACTGGAGATGGTGTGATCAGAGTTTAGGCCGAGAAACTAGAGAGGAAATGGGGCTTTCAGCAGAAGCAGAAGCTGGAAAGGAGGATTTGAATCAGGGAGTTTATATTCCCAGCCATTGGTTTCTTGACATCATGAGTTGCCTTCTTCTTCAATGCCCTCTTCTTCAATGCCCTGGTGTTGGGAGGTGTTAGTACATACTTGCAAAAAACTATACTGTTAGCAGTTCAGGGCTAAGTTAAGAGCCCAACTCTTTCATAATCAAATTAAATTTCAGTGGAGACATGCCTTGTTTATGTCTTCTTTCTTTGCTTCACATCCCATCGATTTTTCATCATGTCCAAGTGGTCCCGAGAGCCTTTGCATGATCTGTCGGCTCCAGAAATTCTGCAACTCGGTGCAGGGAAGGCATGCTCCAGGCTGCAAACCCAGTGTCTCAGTAACCTCATTCAGCTCTTGGCAACTGTTGGAGGCATGGTGGTGACTGAAACAGCAGTTTCTCAGCACGCTGAGAGAAAAGAACTCTTTCCTCCGGAGGTATTCAGAGCTATGGCCATTCCACTATCCAAAATGCTGTTTTCAAGTTTAACACTGTTTGCTAACACAGGTCTTTATGTTCACACGTAGTTTCTTTTTGGTAGGCCCCTGGACCAAACAGGATAAGTCACAGGAGCTCCTAAAAAATGGCCATGTGTTTGGGGAACTATATATTCCAAATGTTTCCTGGGATTACAACCCTTCTCCTTGAAGCAAATTGCCCTATCAGAGGCTATTGGAATTCTTCAATGACTTTGGAAATCCTTTGCTAAAAGATAACCTACCACCTAAGGTAGTCTTCATTTGAGACTACCTCAGTCCTTCAAAATCATTCTAATGTCTTTGAAAACTTAAGAAGGAAAAGTGAGATCTTGAACCATTTCATTCCTAAAAGGTTAGAGATTCCATGACAATTTTCCTATCTCTTTCTCCTCCAACTATTGGCCTTCACAAATGTAAGCAGTGGAAGCAAGGCCTTTGGCAAGGCCTCCTAAGCATTCCACCAAAATTTTTCTGCAGAAGAAACCCTCAAGTCATCCATTGGCAAGAAGAGGAGCATTATTCAGGTGTTGGGATGTTTCTGCTTATACATGAAACTCTCTTGGGGCTGTCATGGTGGCTCTTGTTGGGGCTGAGGGAACAGGTGTGGCATTTAAAATTTTCCTTGCTAGTTTCTGTGATGTGAGTTGTATCTGAAGCTTCCTTTTTGATAGTTGTGGAGGTTGTATAAGTTCTCGCTTTACTAAGACACTTTTACTTTCAAGTAATTTTTTTATATATATAAACTTGTCAAATTATAGTTGAATATTAGATATCATAAATCTTGCTATAGGTCAAGGGGAGCAATGGAAAGGAAGTGAGACAAACAGGTCTGTTTTTTCGAATATACAAGAAACATATCCCAAACAAGTAACTGCACAGCTCGGATGATAATGTGGAGAATGTGTTGGAGGCAGATATTTAAAACAATTAGGGAGTTTGTGGAGTATTCCAAATGAAAGACAGTGACAGTCTTAAGGCTATATTTTAGTCACATTATGGATACATGTATTTTGTGCACTAATTGTGCATTACACCATTTAATTTCTAATTTTGGGGGGAAATAACTTGGGTATGTCAGGAATACATCTTTGATCCCTCTCCTCTATGGATACTGCAGCTTTGGAAAGGGGTCGTGAGGACTGGCAGCTGCTTCTCATTCTGTTCATCTTCAGGAAACTCCCTCCACTCTTCTTGCCCATGGCTGGCTGCCCTAAAGTTTGTTATCCACAGGATATTTGTTGTTAAATTGGGGAATTTCTAGTATAAAGTGACATAAATCAGAGACATGTCACTTCAGGATGAACATAACAGCCTGAAGGACACTATGTACCACAAAATCCTGTTGTAAAGACTCTTGCCAGGCTATGATTTATCAGGTTATGCCTCTGCTCTGAAAGTTAAAAGGAGTGGAGCAGACTCCCTGCAGATCACTGAATCATGGCCATATGGCTTGGATGAGTTTTAGGGTTTTCTGACCCTATGCCCCACACTCCACACACAAGCTTACTTCCCAGTAACTGAGAATTCTGTTTCAGTCACACCGGTTTCTTGTTTCTCTAAAAAATCTTGTTTTACTCTAAAAGTAAAAAGAAATGTTGGCTTTTTTCTACCCCAGATTGCTGCTCATTTTATTCCCTTGGTCTAGAATACCTTTCTCATTTTACAGTCATCTAGGTTCCTGCTCCCCAAATATATGTGTATGGTGTCGTTATGTGGTTTGTTTAGAGTGGAATAGAAAATGGTGCTTTCTAAGAAATAAAAGATTCATATTTACTAATTTTAACTTCTTTTTTAACTTAATTTTTAACTTCTTTTTCCAATTGTGTAAAAGTGGAATGGACTTATCTCTAACAGGAAAGTAAGTTCTAAGGAGAGCACCTATCTTTTATGACATTTTAGCTCTTTTCTCTCCCCCATAGCATGGTAATGATCACACAATAAAGGATCAATAGCTACTAGTTAGGACGGTTCATGATTCATCTACTATTTGTCATGGTGTCTTATAGCATGTGTTAAAGTGAATTAACAATGGCCTGAGAAGGACTCTGTACTTCTATATTTGAGTCCTTGTGGATGAACTGTAACCTAACTAATAGGTAGACCAGATTCACAACCTAAGAGTATGTGCCTGTAACAATAGCTGAGTCTTTGTCAATCCCAGAAGCCATACTTCAACCACTCATACATTGCTGAGTGTTCAAACTGTGTTCAAATAAAGCAAACACCAATCGGTAACCAATCCAGCTGTTTCTGTACCTCACTTCCAATTTCTATACATCACTTCCCTTTGCTTTGTCTATAAATTTGTTCTGACCATGAGTCATCCCTACAGTCTCCGAATCTGTTGTGATTTTGAGGGCTGCCAGATTCGCAAATCACTCATTGCACAATTAAACTCCTTTAAATTTAATTCAGCTGAAGGTTTTTTTTTTTTTTTTCACATGCCACAGTGACATCCCAGTTTTTTTTTCCCATGGTAACATGTAAAACAGGTGTTATGCTTATCTTACAGCATCAACTTTCATAGTAGGGCTCTATTGCGTTTTAAATTTAACTGAGGACATTTAAAAAAATCCCATGATAATAGTTTAACTTACAGCTTAAATGAAAGGTATAAACTATGGTTACTTTAATCTGGGTATATAAAAATATAGAAAACCACACAATGCTCAACCATGCTTGTGGCTAAAGAGAAATTACATTATAGACCCAGGGCAATGGTATTATTTTAGTGAACCTATATATGTTTTACTGCATTGTCCACTCAATATATGACAAATTCGTTAAAAGCATTTATTGCAAATACAGTCACCATACTGGGTAATGAGCTACAATAATTAAGGGGAGAAAATGTACCCTACTCTTTAGATATTGACAGTTTAGTAAATAATCTTTTTCTTTCTACATTGGTCTGGTAAGTAAGAGGAAGATTTGTGATGAAGTCAAAGAATTACAGTTATCCCATATAAAAGTTTATCTTTCTTTGGCCTGTAGTAATTTTAGTTGTATTTAAAGGTGCAAAAGAGTATTTTCAGAAAACTTAATACAGATATATATATATATATATATATATATATATATATATATATATATATATACACACATACACACGCACACACACACGTGTGTGTGTGCGTACACTTTTTCCTTAACTCTGTAAATAATCTGTTGCCTTGTTGCCTCATAGGGTGATATTTATATTCTTAACATTCTAGAATAAGTTTCTATGTATAGTTTTTATCTTTTGACAATCTGATCTTGCCTAACACTAGTGAGACCACTAACTCTAGGAACATCAATATTATTTAGTAAGAGAGGAAAGCCTTTGCAATGTGGTGATTATTAACTCAGTTTTCAACACAATGATCCTTTTATATTTTTAAAATATTTTTAGTTCTTTACAGTTTTTCTTATTTCTAATTTATTCTTCCTTTATCTTCTGCTCAGGGCTAGTATGGTCAGAGAATAATGGAAAAGGAAAGACACCAGGGTCTTGAGGTACATGTGTGCTTGTAAAGTCATTGCATTGTAATTTTACAGATGGTGAATAGTTATTTACTTATGCTATGTGCCACAGGTATGCAAATATCATAGATGTTCAGGATTGGAAATAAGATATTACAGGTATTGGCTGGTAGTATTACAAGAAACATAGGTTTTTGTATTTTTTTCTTCACCAGGAAACACAGTAGTAGAGTGGAAAGAACAGTTGGCAAGAAGTAAAGAATTTAGAGTCTAGCTTTAGTTTTCCACAGATAACCAACTGAGAGATTTTTTTCTAGATTCTGACTTAAACCTCGTGTTATAGCAAAAAAAGTAGCACAGGCCTTCAAATCAATGACACTTGGGTAGGTGACTTGAGCAAGTTAACTAATCTCTGAGAGCCTCAGTTTCTTTTTTTTATATGAACATGGTACCTGCCTTGCTGAGCTGTTGTGAGAATTAGAGAGAATGATGTTTGAAAACTTCCATACAGCTCTGATACCTAGTAGGTGCTCCAGGAAATTTGGTTATTGATATTTTAGCTTTGCCATTACTGTTAACTGTTCTCAGTGAAGCTGATTCTCAGTGTTTTTGACATAGAATATTAATTCCCCATCTACCTGTCTCTTAGGGTTGTCAGGATAATGAAATGAGATATACAGGTATAAAGTACTTTGAAAAGAATGAGGCCTCATATGAATGTAAAGGAAAGTTGTTCTGGTGTGCCTGAGGAAGACTGAGTTTCAGAGTGGGTAAGAATATGCAGTGTGGCTCATCTCTGTGCTGCATGACAAGGAGTATACAAATCTTCCTCTTGCTTACGAAGCTGCAAAGAAAGCTGATTTAGTCTAACCATTCCGTTGTGGGCCAGGTGTTTCTGAAGTCTCAATCTTTGTTGCCAGAAGGTAGTTGGCTTATATTCCAGTGTTCAAGGTGCCAAGCCACTCTTAAAAAACAAACAAAACAGCTTTCTCCAGCAGCACTCAGAGAAGTCGCCTTTCTCCCTCCTCCTTTTTCTTTTTTAATCTTTTGTAATGTGTGGTATCCAGATTCTAACTGTAAACAAAACATGTCTTTTCTGTAGTCTCTATTATACAGTGCAAACTGGAAAAAAAATCAATCAGAATCCTTCTTAATTTCTTTTAAAAATCCTTTTTATAAATAATTTATTTTTATATTTTGGTGTTTCTTGTATGATTTGGATGAAGTGAGGTGGAATTGAAGGATAATTTATGTCAATCTATTGCACACAATTCATTTCCTGAAGTACAGCGTAATCAGAGTAGGCAGTTTCCCAGGATTTTTGTGATCACTCTGCTGGTGTAGGGGCAAAGGGAAAGCTTCCCCTCCACTCTCTGAAGGTTTGCTGAAAATGAACTGACAACAGGCAGGCTAATAGGAGAAAAATGCATAGTTATTTATTTCATGTGCATGATGGGGGGGATGCATAGGATTACGCAATAACTCAATGGACTATAGAAACATATTTATGTACCCTTTTCTGTAAAGCAGAGAGAGATGGGGAATTTAGACCATTCTTCTCATGAATAGTAAATTATTATTAGGCATAATAAATGGACCTGGGAGACAAAATTAATTTGTAAATGATTCTCTTTAGTATTTGAATCATCCTTAGAGGCGACACTATCTGTTTGGAAAAGTCCATCTAGGTGTAGTTGTATCCCTCACTGACAAACAATGAGATTTCCAAGAGAGGATTAAAGGTAATTATGTTCCTCTTTGGAGGTTCACAGTTTTTAGATGGATAAGAGAACTTCCGAGAACATCCTCATCGTGTGCTTTGAGAAACACAGAAGTGTTGGGAGGGTGCGGGGTAAGCAAGGGCAGGGAGACCTTGAGGCTCTTTCTTTAGCTCAGTATGTCAAAGTCTTATTTTGCAGGATACTTTTTCAGCACCCCAACATTGGGGATAAGACTCTGCAAAGATACGTTAGGAATTGGTTGGTAAATTTGGGAGAAAACTACCTCAAAGGAATAAAAAGTTATCAAAAATGGTTTTTCAATGAGAACACATGTACATGGGAGGGGAACAACACACGCTGGGGTCTGTCGGGGGGTAGGGTGGTGGGAGGGGAGAGCATTAGGAAAAAATAGCTAATGCACGCAGGGCTTAATACCTAGGTGATGGGTTGGTAAGTGCAACAAACCACCATCATCTACATTTACCTATGTAACAAACCTGCATATCCTGCACATGTACCCCAGAACTTAAAAATAAAAAAGGGGTTCTTTCTTCTCTTTATTTCTAATAAACACATTTTCCCAAGCAGATAGAAGAAGATCAAATTGAATTATATTTTTTACGACTTGAATTGTGCAAACAATTGGGAAATATAACTTTTAATGTTGTATTAGTTCGTTTTCACACTGCTGATAAAGACATACCGAAGACAAGGCAATTTACGAAGGAAAGAGGTTTAATGGAGAACTCACAGTTCCATGTGGCTGGGGAAGCCTCATAATCATGTTGGAAGGCAAGGTGGAGCAAGTTACATCTTACGTGGTTGGTGGCAGGAAAAGAGCTTGTATAGGGGAACTCCTGTTTTTAAAACCATCAGATCTCATGAGACCCATTCACTATCACAAGAATAGCATGGGAAAGACCCGCTCCCATGATTCAATCATCTCCTACTGGGTCCTTCCCACAACATGTGGAATTATGGGAGCTACAAGATGAGATTTGGGTGGGGACACAGAGCCAAACCATATCATTGCACCCCTGGCCCCTCCCAAATCTCATATCTTTACATTTCAAAACCAAACATGCCTTCCCAACAGTTCCCCAAAATCTCAACTCATTTCAGCATTAACTCAAAAGTCCACAGTCCAAAGTCTCATCTGAGACAAGGCAAGTCCTTTCCACCTATGAGCCTGTAAAATCAAAAGAAAGTTAGTTACTTCTTAGATACAATGAGGTCTCAGGTATTGGGTAAATACAGCCATTACAAATGGGAGAAATTGACCAAAATACAGGGGCTACAGGCTCCATGCAAGTCCAAAATCCAGCAGGGCAGTCAAATCTTAAAGCTCTAAAATGATCTCCTTTGACTCCATGTCTCACATCCAGGTTATGCTGATGCAAGAGGTGGGTTCCCATGGCCTTGGGCAGCTCTGCCCATGTGGCTTTGCAGGGTATAGCCCCCCTCCTGGCTGCTTTTACCGGCTGGTGTTGAGCATCTGTGGCTTTTTCAGGTATGCAGTGCAAGCTGTTGGTGGATCTACCATTCTGGGGTCTGAGGACGGTGGCGTGGCCCTCTTCTCACAGCTCCACTACGTGGTGCCCCAGTAGGGACTCTCTGTGGGGGCTCTGACCCCACATTTCTTTTTTGCAGAGGTTCTCCATGATGGCCTCGCCCCTGCAACAAATATTTGCTTGGGCATTCAGGCGTTTCCATACACCTTATGAAATCTAGGCAGAGGTGGGCTGGGCGCGGTGGCTCACACCTGTAATCCCAGCACTTTGGGAGGCCAAAGCGGAAGGATCATGAGGTCAGGAGATCAAGACCATCCTGACTAACATGGTGAAACCCCATCTCTACTAAAAATACAAAACAAAATTAGCTGGGCGTGGTGGTGGGCGCCTGTAGTCCCAGCTACTTGGGAGGGTGAGGCAGGAGAATGGTGTGAACTCGGGAGGCGGAGCTTGCAGTGAGCCAAGATTGTGCCACTGTGCTCCACCCTGGGCAACAGAGCGAGACTCCGTTTCAAAAAAAGAAAAAAAAAGAAATCTAGGCAGAGGTTCCAAACCACAATTCTTGGCTTCTGTGTACCCACAGGATCAATACCATGTGGAAGCTACCAAGACTTGGGGCTTCCACCCTCTGAAGCAGCAGCCTGTGTTGTTCCTTGGCCCATTTTAGTCAAGGCTGGAGCAGCTGGGACTCAGGGCACCAAGTCCCAAGACTGCACACAGCAGAGGGACCCTGGGCCTGGCCCATGAAACTATTTTTTCCTCCCAAACCTCCAGGCTTGTGATGGGAGGGGCTGCCGCAAAGGTCTCTGACATGCCCTAGAGACATTTTCCCCATTGTCTTGATGATTTAGCATTTGGCTCCTTTTTTACTTAGGCAAATTTCTCCAGCTGGCTTGAATTTCTCCATAGAGAATGAGATTTTCTTTTCTATCACATTGTCAGGCTGCAAATTTTCCAAATTTTTATGCTCTGTTTCCCTTTTAAAACTGAATGCCTTTATCAGCACCCAAGTCATCTCTTGAATGCTCTGCTACTTAGAAATTTCTTCTACCAGATACCTTAAATCATCTCTCTCAAGTTCAAAGTTCGACAAATCTCTAGGATGGGCAAAATGCCACCAATCTCTTTGCTGAAACATAACAAGAGTCACCTTTGCTCCAGTTCCCAACAAGTTCCTTATCTTTATCTGAGACCACCTCACCCTGTATTTCATTTTCTCTATAATTGTCAGCATTTTGGTCAAAGTCATTCAACAAATCTCTATGGAGTTGCAAACTTTCCCACATTTCCCTGTCTTTTTCTGAGCCCTCCAAACTGTTCCAATGTCTCCCTATTTCCCAGTTCCAAAGTTGCTTCCACATTTTCAGGTATCTTTTCAGCAGTGCCCCACTCCTGGTACCAATTTATTGTATCAGTCTGCTGCTGATAAAGACATATCCAAGACTGGGCAATTTACAAAGGAAAGAGGTTTAATGGAAAACTCACAGTTTCACATGGCTGGGGAAGCCTCACCATCATTGCAGAATACAAGGAGGAGCAAGTCACATCTTTCATGGATGGTGGCAGGAAAAAAGAGAGCAGGGAAACTCCCATTTTTAACACCATCAGATCTTGTGAGACACATTCACTATCATGAGAACAGCATGGGAAAGACATGCCCCCATGATTCAGTCATCTATTACCAGGTCCCTCCCATAACACATGGGAATTATGGGAGCTACAAGATGAAATTTGGGTGGGGACACAGAGCCAAACCGTATCAAATATTAAATGGAATTTGCACCTTGTTGAATATATATATTTGGATATATAACATCATAATTTCCTAGTAAATTATATCTTTTATGCATTCTGTCTCAAGTTAGTGTGCTAATTTCCCCTGTGTAGTTTCACAAGACAATGTTTTTCATTCACTAACCACATTTCACACTGCATTAATAATAACACAGTCGCATTTCCCTGTGTGCTGCCTTCAGGGTTATAAGATATGTAGGGACATTCGTTAAGCCCAGGTAAATATTTAAATATCACTTATGAGAGAGAGAGAGATAACAATGGCATTTGCTGCCAGCCCTAAGGTCCTTTGAGATGTGTATGAATGCATATGACTTGTTCAGCCTATTAAGCAGATGCTAGTTCAGCTGTAGTGCATGTGTTAATATTCTGACAGTTTTGGGGTGGGGTCATGGGGGAATTATGTATGTACGAAGATTGCAGATATGAGCTTTGGGGATGCCTTTTAAAATTTGTATTTATTTATTTTAAGCATTGATCTCACAGATGTATTAATACTATTAGTTTTGATTCTAGAAAATTATAAAAATTAAAAAGCAATTAGGAATAGAATAAAAGCATGAAGAAAAATCGTATCTAAGATTTTGAAGGAGGTTTATTGGAAGCCAAATGTGAAGATCTACCCGTGAAGACACACCAAACAAAGAGTCTGTTACAGGTTGGGAGGCTTTCCTAAGGAAGCTTAGAAGAAGGGAGGAAGACTCCTCATATCAGAGTTGTTCTTTTTACTGGAGGGTATAACACAGAGGTTATAATCACTGGCTACAGATATCAACATACAGGTTAAAATGTCTACATGCAAGACAATTGGCAAAACTTCCTGATTCTGAAACAAATCAGCCAAACTTCACGATTCAAAGACAAATCAGCATCCTTTTCAATGTCATTAGGTTATGTATTCGTCAGTATGTAATTTGGGGAACTCAGAAAAAATTCTTTACTCAGTGACAGGATGTTACCATAAATCACAAGACAAGTTAACTTGGAAGACTGTTTACTTTCAAAGTAAACTGCCAAATGTGGCCTGTAGGTTATCAAATAAAATAAATTGATCATTAATTTTGTCTGAAGTTTTCCTTAGTCCAATAACCAGGCATTGATTTTCAGGTGTTCCTCTTTACTGTTTGTTTGGTCATGTGATACTACGAACTGTAAGGAATTATTTAAAGTCTAAATAGTACAACTCTTTCAATTAGGGAAGGCATTTCTTAATATTTCAGCTCACAAAAGGAATAATATATTTCCTTATACTATTCTGAGACGTGAAAAAGATACTGAGGTCTTTTTCTTTATAGAAAGATAAAATTAAATAAAGATTTAAAAGAAAAAGAGATTTTATAAAACTATATTATTCCTGTGTGTTTTTGCTGCTCTAGATGTATAAAAATATCTGAAATAATGAAAAACAAACAAATGAAAACTCCTAATTACTGAATGCTAGTATTTTCTTTTTCCTTTTTTCTTTCAGCTCTCAGGAGAAGTGATTTTGCAAATTGCCAACGAACCTGTTCTGCCCTTTAATGCACTTGATATAGCTTTAGAAGTTCAAAACAACCTTAAAGGTAATTTTCCTTTGAATTATAGTAATTTTACCAATGAAAAATTGTTCAACTAATTTTCAACAAGGAATGGATGAAGTCATCAATGATCTTACTAGCCATGGCAATGCTGTGCTTCCTGGAGAGGCTGATCCTGGGAAGGACCTGGAAGAATTTTAGTTTTCATTCAACAAAAATGAGATGCACGGATGTGTAAGCATAATGGAGAATATCAGATTTTGAAGGATGGCCCATCTATTTTATCAAAGAGATTTATAATTCTAAGTTTCTGTTATTATTTACAGGTTTCATGTAGAATAATACAGTTCAATGATCCAGTTTTTTTTTTTTTTTTTTTTTTTTTTTTTTAACATTCTAACAGCCAATCAGTTCAAACAAGATTGGCCCAGAAGTTTCTCTTTTGGGGTTGGTTTCTGTGTGGTATGGGCCCCATTCCATTTGACTGAGTTATTGGCTCAGACTTTAGATCAAAGATGATAAAGAAGAAACCAGGCAATTATTTCTGAGTCTCTATTTCAATTCCTTCATGTTTGAATATATCTCTCTCAGCAGAATTCTGACCCCACCCTAATAATTACCTTCATTTCCCCTTCATCTACATACAAATCTTTCAATTAGGCTCCTAATTTGTCTTCATTAACCAAATACAAAGGGCAGTATTGTGATTAAAGATTTCACCCTCCTCCTCTTTGAGTCACACATCTTCCTAACAGATCTTTAATGAGTCATTTGTGGACAACTACTTCTCAATAAAAAAGTCAATATTTTAACTGTAGAGCTGAAACAGTAATCCTTTGAAAATGGATCATTCTAAAAAGCCAGATATCTCCAATAGCTGAAAATTTAATTTTTTTTTTCTTTTTTTTTGAGATGGAATCTCACTGTCTATTGCCCAGGCTGGAGTGCAGTGGTGCGATCTCAGCTCACTGCAACCTCCACCTCCCAGGTTCAAGTAATTCTCCTGCCTCAGCCTCCCAACTAGCTGGAACTACAGGCACATGCCACCACACCCGGCTAATATTTGTATTTCAGTAGAGATGGGGTTTCACCGTGTTGTCCAGGCTGGTCGCAAATTACTGAGCTCAGGCAATCTGCCTGCCTCGGCCTCCCGAAGTGCTGGAATTACAGGCATGAGCCACCGCACCTGGCCCCCTTTTTTTTTCTTTACCTGGATTGTTTCTTACTCCCTGGATTAGAGATTACTCCATTTTTCCCCCTCAATACTTCTTATGATTTTATTATAGTGACTGTAAAACCATGACCTTGTGAACAGTTTGAGCCACTTACAGCTATTTGTTACCATACAAATAGCCTCATATTGCTCTCCTTTTTATATATTTAAGTTAGTCTCTATATAGTTTCCTTCTTTCCTACCTACATTAGGCTTTCATCTTACTGTTGTCAGTGTGTCTACTGTAGCAGTCACTCTGGGCAACCAAACATATGGCACTTTGCAAAATAAGAACAAAGAAGGTATAAATAAAGGTCTAAATAGTTTTGTGAATAATAAATATCATTTTTGCAAATATTTTTTTAAACAGTAATTTTATTTATTCTGTAAACTGTTTTGCTGTTTCTTTAGTTTTTATATTTTATACTTCAGAAAATTCTATTGGTATTCCATATAAAACTTTAAACTTTCAGAGAACAAAAGGAGTTTAACAACCTCACAATACTTGTTCATCTAAAAGCAATAACTATCATGCATGAAAAGAAGCCCCAAAGAGTATACTGCAAAATGCTAACATTATATAATAGAATTATAAATGATAGGTTGCTTTCCTGAGACCAGAAGTATTAGCAATACTGTCATTTTACATGCTAAAATCAATTTTTTAAACAATGGGGTTTATTCTTCAAAATTCATATATATGATCCTTTTGTGGTTCATATTTGTGACGATTCGGTTGTCAGGCCAATGTGTGAGATTTACCTCCTTCAAACCTTGTTAGCACATTGGCACATTTCAATTGTCTGACATAAGAAATCTACAAATTGGCACAATATTTCCACATTATAACCACTATATAAACATTTTAATTAACATAGGCTAATACTGATGCTCAAAAAAATGACCTATTGGGTTATTGCTAGAATTAGATTATTAATCTGGTTGGTGTGGATGATTAAGAACCCTTTCAACATCTGAAGAAAATCATTATCTTTCTCCACAGAAAGTTAAATGTATACAAAAATTTTTGCATGTAATCCCCATGGACTTCACATCTCCTGAATCCACTTTTTCATTCATTTAACAAATATTTATTGAGCCTCTCTGGTATACTTGGCACAGTTCCATTATCAAAACAAACAAACAAAACAAAAACAAACAGCAGTTAGATAAATAAACCAAAATTAAAATCCCTTCTCCTAAGAAACATACCTACATACATTCCCATAGTGGAACAAAATTAGCATAAATAAAAGCAAATCTGAAAATAGCACTATGCTCAAACTAATATCAATCACTAAATGCCATAATATTAATTACTTTGATACAAATTTGCATTCCCAAAATAAATGTCATAGCAGAACATAGCAGTTGTATCCAGAGTATGGAGGAGAGATCTGACCTGAGAATGTAAATTTCGGATTCATCCTAGATGAAATTACTAGGGGATTACATGTAGAGGACAGAAAAGGTCTAAGACTTCTCAGGCGCTCCTTCCTTTAGAAACTGGGATAAAGGTACAATTATAGGAGGAGACCAAGGAGGAGTGGCCAAAAAATAATAGAAAAACAAGCGAATCTTATAACCAGAGGCCAAGTGGATAATATATTTCAAAGAAGAGGAAGTAATCAACTGTGTCAAATGCTGGTAATGGGTAAACAAAAGGAGAACAGAGAATTGACTAGTGGATTTAGCAATGTGGAAATCATTGGTGATCTTAACAAACAAAATCATTTTAGTAGATTAGTATAAGCAAAAGCCGGATTAGAAGGCATCCGAAAGAAAATGGGAGGTGATAAATTGGGGATGTGTGGCAGTGTCAGAGTCATTTGAACCAGAGTGACTCCACCTTGAATGAGGGCTAGGAAAATGAGGCTGGGACTTGCTAGGCCATATTCCCAGAAAGTTAGGCATTCCTAGTCTCTCGATGTTTATGGTTAAAGGAACAGATTGATAACGTTTACTCAACAGACCCAGACTTGGGAGTGTTCTAATATCACAATATCTTGAGAACAAAGGCATTTCTAATTTTGCTTTAAAGACAACAGTATTGGTTCTTGCAAAATATAGTAATTAAGAAAATTAATCCTTTATCACAAACCCTTATAGCAGAGCGCATCTCCCCATGATCTTTTTTATCCTGAATATAAACAAGCATTGTACCTAGGGCGGACATGTTCCTCCTCTTACTTTAGGAAATGTTCTGCTCTCTCTATGGAGTGGCTGTTCTTTCAGCACTTTACTTTCTTAATAAACTTGCTTTTGATTTGCACTGCGGACTCGCCCTTAATTTTTTCTTGTGTAAGATCCAAGAACCCTCTCTTGGGGGTCTGGATCGGGACCCCCTTCCTGTAACAGTGGTATAGGTGATAAAAAAGTATGGAGTCAAGGAAGTGTAGCATGTTTTTATTTTGATGACAGTGATCTAGTGGAGAGGTAAAATTTGCTCACACAAGAGAGTAAAGGGAGAATTGCTGGACTGATTTTCTTAATTAGGGGAAGCACAAGGATTGAGGACTTCACATTAGTTAGGAACTGTCATAGTCCATTCAGGCAGTTAAAACAAAATACCATAGACTGGATGGCTTATCAACAACAGTAATTTATTTCTTACAATTCTGGAGGCTGAGATATCCAAGATCAAAGCATCAGCAGTTTCGCTGTTTGGTGAGGGTTCACTTCCCGGTTCAAAGATGGCCATCTTTTTGCTATTAACTTCACATGGTAGAAGGGTTGAGGGAGCTGTCTTGTGTTTCTTTTAAAAGGGCACTAATTTAATTTTTTAGGGCTCTGGCCTCACGAACTAATCAATTCTAAAAGATCCTACCTCCTAATACCATCACTTTAGGGGTTAGATTTAAACATGAATTTTGGGGGACATAGCATTCATACCAAAGCAGGAACACAGTAGTCCATCCATGAAAATGTGAAGGGAGGCAGAACACACAGTAGATGGGTAAATTTGCTGTTGAGATTCCTTGGCAAGTTTCTTTAGATTAGAAAAACATAAAATAGCTGTTTTTTTTTTAGGAGGGTAAGAAAGTGAAAAACCATGAAAATATAACTTTTTTGGGGCAGAATTAAGAACCCAGAAGAGATACATATTATAAAAGAGATAATTCAGCATAATTTTTGATTTTTTCCAGCCTCCAGAGGGAGATGCAAATGTAGGGGAGAAAAGAGCTGTTTCCTCACTTATCACTAGGTTGATGGTTGAGACACCTATAACAAAAGACACATTAACAAGTGTGAACTCAAGATATCTAAGATAGGTCTCAGTCAACTTAGAAAGTTTATTTTGCCAACGTTAATGACGCACCCATGACATGGACTCAGACATCAATTAATATATGTAATATATGTACATTGGTTTGTTACAGAAAGGCGGGACCACTCAAAGGAGGGAGGGGACTTCCATGTCATAAGTAGATAAGAGACAAAAAGTTGCAGTCTTTTTAGTTTCTGTTTAGCCTTTCACTCAATTCACAATTTACAGGAATAGTCGCTTATGCCTTATCTGGTTTAGTGAAAAAGTATGGCAAGGGAAGCCATCAGATATGCATTTGTCTCATGTGAGCAGAGGGATGACTAAGTTCTGTCTGTCCTTGTCCACAAGGAATTTCCTCGTCAGGGAGGTATGTAGCTTGTTTTCAATCTTTGTAGCTATACTATATAGAAATAGAATGGGAGGCAGGTTTGCCTGACACAGTTCTCAGCTTGACTTTCCCCTTTGGCTTAGTGATTTGAAGGTCCCGAGATTTATTTTCCTTTCACACAAGAGAAAGGCATACGAATTTATATAATGTAAGTTTTTTTGTTTGTTTGTTTTGTTTGTTTGTTTGTTTTCTGAGACGGAGTCTCGCTCTGTCACCCAGGCTGGAGTGCAGTGGCGCGATCTTGGCTCACTGCAAGCTCCGCCTCCCGGGTTCACGCCATTCTCCTGCCTCAGCCTCCCGAGTAGCTGGGACTACAGGCGCCCACCACCACACCCGGCTAATTTTTTGTATTTTTAGTAGAGACGGGGTTTCACCGTGTTAGCCAGGATGGTCTCCATCTCCTGACCCCATGATCCGCCCGCCTTGGCCTCCCAAAGTACTGGGATTACAGGCGTGAGCCACCGCGCCCGGCCCTATGTAATGTAAGTTTTGCATGACACAGGAGCCTTCAGAAATGAAAACCCAAAGAAAGAGGGAAATGTATGTATTTTTATGCTAAGTTTGATGAAGAGTTCAGAAGTATGATTAGAAGACAAAAAGATATGATCTAATTGTAATAAGTTGGGGGGAATTCAGTAAGATCTCTGTTCAGATTATTCTCAGTGTCTGTATCTCTTTGAGGACAAGGATGTTTCTTTTCTCCCGGTGTAGGGAGGGTATCTCTGGAATAAAAGTTTTATGTCTTACTTCAGAGGAAGGTCAGACAATTCCAAATCTTTTTTTTTTTTTCAGACGGAGTTTCATTGTTGTTGCCCAGGCTGGAGTGCAGTGGTGCTGCGCGATCTCCGCTCACTGCAACCTCCTCCTCCCGGGTTCAAGTGATTCTCCTGCCTCAGCCTCCCAAGTAGATGGGATTACAGGCATGCACCACCATGCCCAGCTAATTTTTGTATTTTTAGTAGAGATGGGGTTTCACCATGTTGGCCAGGCCCTTCTTGAACTCCTGACCTTAGGTGATCTGCCCGCCTTGGCCTCCCAAAGTGCTGGGATTACAGGCATGAGCCACCATGCCCGGCCCAGAGAATTCTTTTATGGCAGGCTTCAGGGGAGAGGGCCAGGAGAAGGTCAGAGACAAGGTCTTGCTTCTATTGCTTCCTCAAATGCCAAGGTGCCATATTTTGGGATAGGGTGTCCTGAACCCCATCACAGGCATAGAACAGGCAGAGTTGGGTTTAACCAGGGCTAGACCTTTTCTGAGAGAAGGACAATGAACTGCATAGGATAAAGAAAACTGGATGTACATAAAGGATGTATGTAATGAATGCATTATGATGGACCAGATGTACGTGAAGGATGTATGTAATGAATGCATTGTGATGGACCAAAGTATCTTAACTGGGGTTGGAATAAAGTGAGGTTACGAAAGGAGTGAAGGGTAGTGAAAAGGAGGTAGGACCAATAGACTTCATGTCATAGTGAGATCGAAGAATTGACAACACATGAGCTGACAAGGCAGGAGGTGGTAGTCAGCAAGTTGGATTCGTGAAAACGAGATCATAGAAAGAGTGCAGACATTGGTAAGGACAGCGTCCAGGCCAGTGTATGACCATGAGAGTGTGGCACATGGTTGCTAGAAGAAAAGAGGCTAAGGAAAAGAGAGTATCTCTATGTGGATATTGACATTGTAAAGAATTAAGCTTTTTGTAAGAGTGAGTAATGATGAGTCAGGAGGTAAAAATCTTCAAAGAATGAGTGGTGATCTAGAAGCACCTCACATTATTCTTCTAGGGTTGGTGGTACAAAAGCACAGGGTGAAAAAGCACTGCTGCCTACGACAGCTAAAATGCAAGTGATATCATTAGGGGAGAACCAGGTTTCAACTAAAGCAAGAAGGGAAAGAAAATATTCTCAGAATAGGCCAGGGAAATTAATAACCCTTTCTTTAATAGTTATACCTAAGCGTGTGTCATCACAGGAGGAACAAAACAAAACAGAACTGCAATGATTCAATGGAGATTTTCACTCCAAGCCAGACACCTCTATATCTAGATGAATCTGCCCCTAAAATCCAAGGTTCTCAAATGGATGAGCCAGGAGTACTTTGGCTTCTTACAGTTATATCAGACTTCTACCCAAGATGAAGAACTTTCTCTGGTTATTGGTTGTTGCATGTGCTTAGTTTTCTTTGGATGTGAAATTCCTTGGGTCTCCCTGTCACTTTCACTGGGAAAGGTGAGGCCAGACTTGAGATGTACCCATATTAGAAAAAACAAGCAAAGCAAAACAAAGTGTAACCAAACAACATAAGCAAAAATATTATTTTACCATGTCCTGTGTGTGACTGTTTGATAAAATTAATAAAACCTGACACCTTTAAACTATACATTTTTATATTTTACTTTTTGTGACTTAAAATAATCATGGTCAAAGATTATTCAAATAGTTGCTAAATTGTAGGCATCAGTTCTATTTTAGTTATGCCTTACTTCTAAAAATGGAATACAGTAAAGGGCTAATGTGTGAATAATGGAAACCACTTATCAATACCTAAATACATATTGCAGTTTTAACTTTAGCTACAATGCTAGATAAGTTCATTAGCTAAACAGAATTCTTGTACTGTGTTAAATGAAACATATAATTTTACTGCTTAATACAAGCTTAAATTGTTGATATTTTTCTTATTTTTATGACAATTCACAGTGATTACTATTAATTTCTCAATTGCAGTGAAAAAAAAAAACTGACCTTCAAGGCTGAACCAGAAAATACTGTTTCTCCTTACTGCAAACAGTATAAATATGAAGGTCTCTGAAACCCAATTGCATTTTCAACGGTGTAATTTTTACCACTTGACAACCAGCCATCTTGTTTATTTATTACGCTAGTTTACAGTAGCAGCAGACCATTCTCAACCGTTCTCACAACCACCAGAAAGAAGGATAATTTACCAGTGAATAATTTGTTTGGGTTGATTTATTGGATGGTTCTTGAAAGCTCACTTTGACTGAGTAACCTTGGCTCTTAATATTTGGTCAATGCCAAGCACATAATGGAGAATGAATATTTATTTGTGGTATATGGAGATATAGTGTAAATAGTGATGGATAAGATAGCTGATATACTTCAGATGTATTAATACTTGTGACAAAAAATGAATACAGTTGTCCCTCAGTATCCATGGAGAATTGGTTCCAGGAACTCTCTCAAATACCAAAATCCATGAATGTTCAAGTTCTTCATATAAAATTATGTAGTATTTGCATATAACTTGTGCACACTATAGATCATCTCTAGATTACTTATAATACCTAATGCAATGTAAATGCTATGGAAATTGTTGTTATACTGAATTGCTTGGGGAATAATGACAAGAAAAAACAGTCTGCATGTAGTAGTACAGAAACCATTTTTTTCCACAAATATTTTCAATCTACAGTTGCTAACTGTATGTCCAAAAAATGCATTTAGAATGCAATGGTACTAGTTTGCAGGGGCAGAGGAAGGTATCAAAAACAAATAAAATACAACCCTACCCTTGAACCTTAGAGCAGACTAAAGAGTAAGCGCATAATAATCTTACTAAATTTGATGCTCCTCACCTTACCCACTTCTTAATGTCTAAAACAGCACTTTAAAACAATTAATGTCTGCGTAATTCTGATGTTTCTTGCTTAATATATGCTATTTTTCTTCATCAGATTTCTTAAATAGCATTATCGTAAAGACTTCATATGACCAAATAAAGTAAAAGTAATTTTCATTTGATCTAGCTAGGTACACATTTATTTAGTGCAAGCCAGACTCAGCAGGAAACATAATTTTGAACTGTGTGTCTTATTGCCACCTCCTGATTATCTCACTAAATGTAAAATAGTTGCTGGCAGCGTTTCCTCCTGTTCTTTGAATAACTGACAATGAGAATTTGGTCTGACTTTTTTCTTTTTTTTTTCATTAGCTCTGATAATTCATTAGCGTCAATCACTTCATTTTGGAAGAAAGGATAGTATTTCAAGGTGATGATCACACTAAAGCAAGCATTCCGTGTCCTGTTAGATTTGTAGTTTCAATTTTTAGGTGTCACTTGGTTTGTTTTTTTTTTTTTTTAATCAATTGCAAATGATTGAGATCTATGTAATATGTTTTTTTTTTCTAAAAATTAAAAAGTGAGTTTCCCAACTAGCAAAATTAAGTTAAGCACCGTACAGTTTGCCTGAGTCTATTTCTCAGCCCATCTGTCTTCAATTTTGATTTAATTACCACCAATTCCAGCTCTGGCCTGGCCAGTAGATAATGAAGTACACTGGGTCCTCAATCCTGGGCCCTCCCTCAGAAGTCCAAGGCAGCCTGACTAAAATCCAGACAGTTCCAATAAAAGATTTTGTTCCTGTGGGAATTCTGTATCATGTTAGATTTCTAGCAGTTTGATCTGAGCTGGCATTTCTAAAACTTACCTTTTTCATTTGACAAGGACGTAAACTCTAAAGCATTCAATGAGAAGTATCTTACCTTGTTTGCTCAAATTAATAGAGAAGTTTAATAAGAGGTTGGCCATCCATTGGGGGCAAATTCCTAAAAATACATTTAGTCTCAATCCCCATTACATTTTTATATAGACTGACTACATAACCATATTAAATTGGTTCCAGGAACTCTCTCAAATGCCAAAATCCATGAATGTTCAAGTTCCTCATATAAAATGGTGTAGTATTTGCATATAACCTGGGCACATCCTCTAACACACTTTAGATCATCTCTAGATTAATATCAAATGCAATGTAAATGCTATGTAAATAGTTGTTATACTGAATTGGTAATCCACACTTAGTTCAAAAAGCTATTTGAGGCAGCTGGCTCTTTAAGGCTGATTGTCTCCCCATTGTCAGAGTATGTCTTCAAAACTAGTTTTTCTTTCCCACCATTTCTCTTTGAACTCATATTTATTATCACCTAATGTCCCTTAATTATTATCCTAAGCACATTGTTCCTTTTTTCCTTTTGTTTATCTTCTGTCTCACAATTTGGTGCTATTCACACGGCTTCCCATTGTGATCATCATTTCCTTCTCCATTCTGAGTACTTCATGCAAATTCCTTTGAAGTTTTCTTCTGAGTTACCTACATTTTATATGTGACACTACATTGATTGAAATCTGTGAGTGACTTATTTTTCCTACTCTTCCATCATAGTAATGGCCTATTCTATTGTAACATTTTTTTCCCTAAGGTGTATTTTTTGGATAAAACCCTGTGCCCATGACAGAATAGTACCATAACCCATTATTCTATGAGTGTTTCCTCACTGGCACACTTATAAAAATGTTTGTTGGTTTCTTTGTGTAAAAATACTTTTAATCTTGGCTTGTAACAGAACATAAAGTACCCTTGCCTTCATATTAATCAATTTCATTTAAGCCTTTTTTTTTTCTTTTTCAGTTTCCTGGTTTAGCCAATACATAATTAGACTCACATGTGATATTAAATATACAATTTCAACTTTCTGCCTCAGGAGAATGATAAGAATAAACTCCACCTGAATTTAATTCATTCAGGAATGTTTTTGCTCATATTTCCCAAGCAGTCTGTAGCCAGATCATGCAGTCACAAACGTAACCCAGTGACAACATCTATAGGTCACAAAAGAGCCCATGGTTATATTTCTAAAATAAATGGACAGACAATTTAGGGAACCCACTACATGCAGTGAGTTGGAAGTCTTATTAGATTTGCATCTGCAGTGGCTACCTGGATTATTGGATAATCTTTAGAATTTAGAAATCTGTTGCTTTTTTTTTTAAAGTAACCAGTATAATCCATCTAAACCTATCACTTCAGTATCTTTTGCAATGAGATTTCTATTTCATTCAGTTTAGCTATAATTATCCATTGTTTTCTGGCATTTTTCACCCTTAAATAATATCTTTTTATCTATGCATTATCAAATCAATGTTAGATTATTTGAGTATCAATAGCGCAATCGCTCTCACATTTTTTCACTACCTGAGTTGTTTGTTTAACATCTTTAAATCACCAGCTGAGATGATTCATTGTGATTCATACTAAAAAAAGCAGCATGAAGAATAGAAAATGTATGATAAAAAGGACTACTGTTGCCCCTGGCTGAAATCATATTGGCAATTTCTTTTATTTTCTTTAGTGATACCACAAGGTGTTTTTAAGATGACATTAGGTAATATACATTTTCCCCCAAAATAATCTTCTACTCTTTTAACCACTGTATTATGCAGAACATAAATCATACTTTTTCTTGTCACTATAAATCAGTGAAGTCTAAGCTATGATTGTGCAATTGTTAGCACCTTTAAAACTGTGGTAAGCTCATCCATAGGATAATAGGTTCTGGGAAATACTATTAAAGAAAAAGCTTACATTTGTTTGATATAAAAATGTTGTTTTAGAGGATGACCAGTACATTTCACTTTTAATTTAAAATAAAATTGAATACGCCTTTAAAAATACAGCCACAAAAAACACAGAAAAATTGAAGTAAACTAAAATTTAAAACTTGTTGGAGTAGGAAAGTCCAAAGAGATCATAATGATAAGCAGTAAAATCACTCCTTAGAATAGGAAAATTATAGACTGGGCATGGTGGCTCATATCTGTAACCCCACCACTATAGGATGCTGAGGCAGGAGGATCACTTGAGGCTAGGAGTTCAAGATGAACCTGGACAAAAGAGCAAGATTCCATCTCTGAAAGAAAACTTTAAAAATTAGCTGGACATGGTTGTGCAAGCCTTTGGCTGTAGATACTTGGAAGGCTGAGGTAGAAGGATCTCTTGAGCTCAGGAGGTCATCCCTGCAGTGAGCTTTGATTGTACTACTGTACTCCAGACTGGGCAACAGAGCCAGACCCATCAGGAAAGAAAGGGGAAGGGAGGGGAGGAGAAGGGAGCGGAGGGGAAGGGAGGGGAGGGGAAGGGAGGGGAGGAGAAGGGAGAGGAGGGGAAGGGAGGGGAGGGGAAGGGGAGGGAGAGGGGGTAGGGGGAGGAGGGGGAGGATGATGGGGAGAGAAGGGAAGGTTTTAAATTTTTCCAGGAGATTGGGGAACAAAGTTAATACCCAAGAGTTTATGCTAAGTTGAAACTAATTGTCTTAGTTCATTTTGTGCTGCTATAACAGAATACCCAAAACTGGGTAATTTATAAAGAACAGAAATTTATTTCTCACTGTTCTGGAGGTTTGGAAGTCTAAGATCAAGGAGCTGGCAGGTTTAGTGCCTGGTAAGGGCCCAGTTTCTGCTTGTAAGAAGGCTATATCCTTTGGAGGAGGGGAACACTGTTTCCAACATGGCAGAAGAGGGGAAAACAAAGAGAGAGAACCCACTCCTGAAAGCCACTTTCTAAAGGCATGAAACCCACCCATAAAAGCAGAGCCCCCAAGGCCTAATGGCCTCTGAAAGGCTCCACCTTCCAATGCCATTACACTGACAATTAATTTTCAACATGAGTTTTGGAGAGGACAAACTTATCCATAGCATACATCAAGTTATTTAATACCTCAGGTAAAATGTAGTTTGTGCTGATCCCAGGTCCCGGCAGGTTACAGCATGTATAAATTCAGTGGATACAGTCGTTACTGTAGTTAACGGCCTTACGCAGAAGTCTTAGAAGCTTTAAATGGATAAGCCATTATAAAATGACTTTGAGCTTGTGACCTGCTGTTGGAAGGTGTTTTAGGATCCTGTATCAAGGGTGTTCAGAAGGAATAAGATTTCTGGGAAGAAGTTTGTCACTTTAGAGGCTACTCCACAAAGCTCCATATATTGTGTTAAGTTCCTTACATTTGTTATAATATTTTAACTTACTTCTAGCTCAACGAGCTGAGCTGTGGATTAAGTCCAATTTAGAGATTAAGACACTGAGCCTCAGAGGAGTTTGTGTCTTAACCAGATGTATAATTAGTGGGAGAACTGGGGCTTGAATCTAGGTCTATCAGATTCCAAATCCCCTCAACCTCTCTGCTACACCACATTGCCTCATGAACTGTCTTGAGGGCAGGATGCTACAGGATGATCGTTGGCTAGAAGGCAGAAGATTCCCTGAGCAAAAGGCTTTTGTTTTCCCCAGAACATCTTAGAGTCTTTCCTAAATTGGCTTGTCTAGGTCTCAATATCTATTTTGATATCTATTGACTAACATTTCTCTCTCTCTTCTTCTCTCCCTGCCTCCACCCCTCCCTCCTTCCTTCTTTCTTCCTCTTTAATTAATATTAATACTTCTTACAATATCCAGCTCCATTCTTTCCATAACAAGCCAGAAAAATGGGAGGATTTGGATTGGAGGGAGATTTATCCTCTACGATAGTGAGGACTAAGGGATGAGGCTGGAAAGACATTAATAATGTTTAAAAATGGAACACTCTCCCTCAATTGCTTTAATGTAGATAACATCCCAGAACTTTCAAGAGCTCATTTAAGATGTCCTGGATTTTTAGGCAGTTTCATGATCTATCTCTCAAGGTTTACTTCTTCCCTGGACACTTGTCAGATCATTCTTATACACAATGAACTCTTCAGTCATCCTCATGAGCATTTATTTCATGTGACAATTATTGTGTGTTTAGATGTATATGTACATTTCTAACTAGATCAGGAATTTATTAAGATTAAAAATTTAATCTTCTATGTCTTTGCTTCTTTCTCAGTACTTTTAGAATAACATATAAAAAAGGACTCAATAAATACCTACTGAACACATGTATTTTACTTTGAGATGAAGGGAAAAAGAATAAATGCAAACTGTTTTTGTTTGAAATTTGTAAGTTAATTTCATTTGTCTCAAATAATATCAAGATAGTTTCAGTAGACAGTCAACTATATTGTATTATATTAAGCTTGATTTTTAATATTTATAATAAATCAGCATGTTCTACCATACTATAAAAATTTATTAATGGTTAGCGTTTCACCAGGAGCAGTGATCTAAAAGAATCCTTTTTAAAGTTCACCGTTTAATTCCTTTATCCTTTATATTATTTCTTTCCTTGTTCTTCAGAAGTTTGAGATAGCAGCCCATGGGGAAAAATGGCACCCAATTTGCAAGCACAGCAAAATAAAATTAGAAATCCTTATTAAAGTATATATGAGAAGGAATATGGAATATGATACATTGGGTTGGAGGGGCACAGGTTGAAGAAGTGATAGAGAGTAACATCTCTGAGAAAAAAAAAGTCAGTAAAGCTGTTACAATATTTTTTCCATGCCTTTAAAAAATGGGTTTGTAGTAACTTGTGTTGTTTGTGTGCTCTAATAA
Source organism: Homo sapiens (assembly GCF_000001405.40). Classification (NCBI taxonomy): domain Eukaryota; kingdom Metazoa; phylum Chordata; class Mammalia; order Primates; family Hominidae; genus Homo; species Homo sapiens. The sequence goes on from NC_000003.12 coordinate 175,751,499, forward strand.
TACAAACTTGCGTAAATAGTGATTTATGCACTTAGAAACTTACATGATTATTTTCTCCAAGGAAGCTGAAGGCCTGTAGTATTAAGTAACTTATTCATGACCACACTGATAGTAATTAAGTAAACCATACTGTAATCTATCTTTTGATATCCAGTCTTTGGTGTGTAAACTCCATGTGTATAATTTAAAAAATAGTTGTATTAACTCGCTCTGAGAGAAATATCTAATTTCCAGTTAATTTTCTTTGTTTAAACGTACTTATTATTTTTTAAACCCGTACTATGAACAGCCTCAGTTTGTCCTCTTTTCTCTGAAATTCACCGTGCCTTAAGTAAAGTTTTATATAATCTTAAGTTTTTATGGGGTTTTTGTAGGGCATATTTTATTTCAATTTAGTTTAATTTAACTTATCATTACCCTACAATAGCCTCTTTTCTTTTAAATATTTTTCCTTTATTTTGCAACTATAATGGATTTTTAGTAAGAAAGTGAAGGAAATAGCATTTGTTGATGCTCATTATGCACCAAACATCTCCCTGAATGATTTTGTAGACATTGTTTAATATAATAATACATTTCAAAAAAGACATCTCATAATTCAACATTCACTCAACAAATTTATTAATAAATGACTACCATAAAACAGATATTATGCTACGATCTGGGAATACAAAGAGAAATAAAATGTATTTTCTGATTACATAGGGTTCTTTCCAATCAGAAAGAGTAGAGAGACAGGGCAGATAAGGATCAAAATATTGCAGCTGCTATGATAAAAGTATATAAGTTAATTATTCATTGATTAAATGGTACAACTGGCACTTTTAGGTGCTAGGGAAATGGCAGTGAATAAAAGACACAAACCTCTCCCTTCACAGAACTGATATTCTAGTAGGGATCCTAAGAAGCATAAAAGATGAATCATTTGGGGTCACAAAAGCTGAAGTAGGAAAGGTAAGGTTTCTTTCTGGTCTTATTTAAAAGAACAAGCAAGCTCTAATTGGCAGAGAAATGGCTACTAGAAATCTTTGGAGCATCATTTATATATCAAAATGATTGAGTAAACATTGAAAATAGAGCTACTTTTCAATTTGTAACCTCATACACTTGAAGTAATGCATACAGTGTGTTGTGAGTGGCTAGTTTCCACTATCAGGGTCCTTTCTGGAGCTAGCCAGTTCCTGAAGCTGTCAGTTCTCTGCATCTGTACTACCATGAAAGATAAATTCATTTAAAGCTAAATAAGGTAGAATGATACAATTTGTCTCACTTGATTCGGTAGTAATGTGTTCAATTCTGTAATGTACTTTAGATCAGAACAGATTTTTCTTTCTTAAATGGAAGACTCTCAAGGATGTCGAACTTGTTTTTTCTGTTGTTCAGTCTTTCCAGCATAATCTAAATGTGCTGTATCCATCTTATTGTTTCCTTGTGCAGAGATATTCCCTTGAAGTTATCTATACATTAACTTTGCTGAACCATCAAAATTTAGGACAAACTATTTTCATAAAATGGCATTGAGTAAATTATTCAGGAGCTAGATTTTCTAAATGACTTAAAATACCCATTCTTGCAACCTCATTTTGTTGTGAAATCAAACAAGATAATTAATGAATCTGAAATGCACTTTGAAAACATCAAATGCCAAAACCTTGTGAACTCCTATAATTGATTTTATTCTTACTGTTAATTTCAGTGAGCAGGGAGCTACATATTAGCCTCAAGCATTATTTCTCCTTCTACCACGATTTTTAACTAGATTGTGGGATATTGAAAATTAGCAAAAATGACTATGTTCTCTAAGAACATTTCATGTAATCCTACCTATGAATCTCTTTGTAGCCCTTATAAAACTACTTATCTCTTTACATAATTTTATTTGTTATCAGATTTTTTTTTCTAAACATACTTTATTGAACCTACTTTGCTTATTTAGTAAACAATTATTGAATTTCAACACGGTGCTGGGCACTAAAGACATTGACATGTAAAACAGTCTCCATCAAATGAAGGTGAGAATAAAAAATTATCATTTTAGAGGTTGGCAATTCTATGACAAACATATTTAACGTATCAGCTATACATCTAACCTAGTTTTCCTTTTCTTAGCATATCACCTCTCTGTAATTTTTCTTAAATATGTATAGAATAATCTGAGTAGCATATTGAAATGAAGATTCTTGGCTGTGCCCCTAGAAAGAATCAGTAGTTCTGGGAATCTGCATTTTCATAAGGACCAAGTATTACGGGAACTGGTAACCCTTGGACTTTACTTAGACAGAGTCCTTTTGTGATGTTTCCCTTTTGCCCAGGACTTCTCATAGTGAAGGCCTCAGGAGGCCTCCATTCTTCACACCATCTGTCTGTCTCAATATCATCCTCTCAAAACTGCCAATTTAGGTTATCCAGCTCTACTTTCCTTCATTACCTTGACTTGAAGTGATCCTCTGTAGTGATATGCCAGCCTTGTTGAAGCCAGTTGTACCTAGTCTGCTGAGAATGATACCAGTAATTGTTGTCTCACTTAAAGCCTGATTCTAATGGTGAGATATCTGGAAGAAGATGTGAGGGAATGCCCCTCTCATGACATGATAAGAGAGTGATTTTTAAAGAAGGTCTTGAATCACATCAGCTGAGAACTGCTTACCTGTGGGGACATACTGAACAAGTATTAATCATTTAATCCTCATAATAAATCTATGAAGCAGGTACTATTATTACATTCATTTTACAGATGAGGGCACTGAGGCTCAATAACTTTACCAATATCACATAGATACTAAGTGGTAGCGCAGGGATTTAAACTCAAGTGGACTGGCTCTAGAGTTCAGCGGACAACTATACTAGTGTTGCCTTTCTCTTAGTCAAAGGTATGTCCTGTGGAGCCTTTGCTACCACCATTCCTCTCAGAATGACTTTTAGTAAGTTACACTAACAATTGGAAAAGAAACAAAGACAAACACAAACCTCCAAACTAAAACAAAACAATGCAAACACTACATAAAATAGTTTTTAGTGTATTTTTAGGTCAAAGATATATATCAACTTCACATTACAGGACATTTCTAGTAAAGAAAAAAAGAACCCAGTAGTCACATGACAACATATAGTAACATATCTCAGGTTCTCAAGAGAAAAGATCACAACTCGGTTTTTATTTTCTTCCCTGAAATACAGTTTACTCTCTGGTGAACATAAATTTTTGAGTCAGAAAGATCAAACTTCTAATTCTGTCCTGTTATTTACTTGCTTGATAACCTATGACAATTTTCTGACCTTACTTAGTTCTCAGCTTCTATGAAATGTATGTGACAAGCAAGTTTTGGTCAATATTAAAGACATAGTGCCTGGAATATAGCAATCCTTCAGCAATCGGTACAGTACCTATTTACTGTTGTTATTATTATGAGCAGTGATAAACTTAATTTAGTAAAATATAAAAACAAGTTGAGACAGAATGCTTTGGGCAAAATAAATATATTCTCAAAGTTCAAAGTTTACTTGATGCTGAATCTTTTTCCTTGGACAGGTAAGATTCAAACACATATACCCTTGCTTTTGTCAAGTGACAAAAAAAAAGAGAGAGAGAACTGTCAATGACAATTTCCTCTTCCTTCTTCAGTGGTCTGTCTGGCTTATAACTTAGATTCCTGATTGGAAAATGCTTATTTTGCTCCCTTGAGAATGTCTCTTCTGAGATGGGCTCATTTATCTTCACCAGGTGATCAACCCAACACTCATCAACTGTTAGCCATGGCGTTACGCCTGCGGGAGAGTGCTGAACTTTTTCAGTCTGATGAGATGCGACCTGCTAATGATCCCAAGGAGAGAGCACCCATCCGCATCCGGATGCTGAATGACATTCTCCAAGACATGGAGAAAAGCTTTCTGGTAAAGCAGGCACCACCAGGTTTTTATAGGTAGGATGCATGTCTCAAAAATTATACTTTTTGCCCTACATTAAATGTTTATGTTTAACTTTCAGAATACATACCTTCTATGAACATAACAGTAGTGTAAAAGAAATTATAAAGCAGTTACTCATTTGAGGAACTTCCCCCTCCCCCAAAGAAAAATTAAACTGCAGAAATATAAAATAATGGAAACTTGGCTTAGCAGCAGCACAGAAAAAATGAGTAAGAAGTTTCTTACATTAATTTCAATATGAGTCAAATATGATATGGCCAATGAAAAAGCAAATGGAATTATAGGTTGCACTGAAAGAAATACACTTTCTTGACCAGATCAGGGGATAGACCCATGCTATTTTTTCCTGCAAAGATCCCATCTAGATTAATAAGTTTAATCCTGGAAACTACATTTTATGTTGGAGTTCAACAAGTTTAATATTTAGGGGAAAGTGGGATTTAGATCGATGTTGAAACAACTGAGGAATTAGGCTTGTTTGGTTGGAGAGTCACATGGAGTGCTTTCTGAAAACATTTTAACAATTATATGGAAGGTGGATTAGATACAGACTCAGAGGATACTATGAGTACAGTATGGTTTTGTTTTTGAAGTTCCTTATATAGTAGAAGATAAATGAAGAAAACATGAAGTTTAAAAGATTATGGTACCCATCAATCATCATAAAACCACGTCATTAAAACCACAATGAGAAACCATCTTACACCAGTCAGAATGATTATTATTAAAAAGTGAAAAAATAACAGATGGAGAGAAAGCAGAGAAAAAGTAATGCTTATACACTGTTGGTAGGAATGTAAATTAGCATAGCCTTTATATATACTTGGAAAACAGTATGAGATTCCTCAAACAACTAAAAATAGAATTACCTTTCAACCCAAAAGGCTAATCTCTTGGTATCTACCCAAAGGAAAACAATTTTTTTATATCAAAAAGATACTTGCATTCATATGTTTATCACAGGACTAGTCACAATGGTGAAGTCATAGAATCAACCTGAGTGTCTATCAACGTGTGATTGGATTAAAAAATGTGGTATATGTACTCTATAGAATACTAAGCAGTCATCAGAAGGAATGAAATCATGTCTGTCACAGCAGCATGGATAGAGCTGGAGGCCATTATCCTAAGTGAAATAACTCTGAAACAGAAAATCAAATACCGCATGTGCTCACATATAAGTTGGAGATAATAATAGATACACATGGACATACAGAGAGAGATAGACACTAGAGACTGCAAAAGAGGGAGAGTTGAAAAGTTGTTATATATTGGGTACACTGTTCACTATTTGGGTGATGGGTACACTAGAAGCCCAAACTTCACCATTACATAATATGTCCATGTAACAAACCTGCACATATACCTCCTGAATCTCTACAAATTTTAGAAAAAGATTATGGCATATTTAAACAGTTTTTATTTAACTGATAATTCTATGAGACACAACATACAAATACATACTTTTCTGTTTAATATATACATATATAATATGTGTATTTATATGACATATTTAATGTATGTATATGTGTATATATAATATACATATGTATATATTTGTGTATATATATTTTTTATATGTGTATGTGTGTGTTTGTGTGTATGTGTATGTATGTATGTATAATTTTATGTAGTGTGAAAGTCCAAATTTGTGGCCCTTTAAGAATGAAAGTTCTGGGCTAAACAAACAGTCCTCCTACTCCATTCTTCCCCCAATATCTCTTTGCCTCCTGCTTCTTCTCATGATACACCCTGGACTAGACATACTATGTATAAACAAAGGTTATAACTAGGACTAAGGAATCGATGTATGGTATAGAAATCTTAATTACATATAAGAAAAAGGTAAAATAATAAATATGATACTTTTATAAAGTAGCAAAAGCCTTATCACTGCAGACATTAAAATATAGGCTGGGTGGCCCTAAGCACCTGAATATTTGGACCACGTGAGGTTTAAGGTGCCCATTAGTACTAAAGTTCTGTGATCTCACACATCACTTAATCTTTCAACATCTTAATTTCTACATTTATAGAAGGAGATGATGGAATGAGACTCCTTTATAGTAAAATATGTTTTTAAAGCCCGATATTTGGTAATTTTCCTTTATGGTTTTAAACTCAAATTCACATTTAAAATCCATACTTTACGTAATTTTCCAATATTATGATTCTGCATTATAAGTCTTTGGAAAATATACATTATTATAATAAGAGATATGGTTAAGACACTTTGTTTGCTGCTTGTATTTTTTTAAGCATCAGGGACATAGCTGTCACCTTAAGTTACCTTCCTTGATGAGGTATATTCTAGTGGTGGGAATGGGGAAACAGAATGAACAAAGTAATTAAATAAATGTAACGATGTTAGATGTAATAATTGCTGAGGAGAAAAATCAAACCACATTATTAAATCTAGCATTATTAAAAAGTCATAAAGTAGATAACTTAGGGGTTTAAAATATATTTTGTAAATTATTCTATTTACTTTAAAGAAAAATTCAGAAATTAATACAAATTATATGTAAAGAACATAGTTTTGTATAATATAGTAAGCTTTCCCCATTTGTCTTTCTTGGCACTTGCACTGGATACGGAAGACCCCTCTATGGTCTAAATTATGCATCTGGTAAACTTTTTATTATCCGTTCAAAAATATTTATGAACTCAATTTACTTTATCATGCATTTTGAGTAGAAAAGTAGATATTTGTCTGCCCCTGAGTTAAAAATGATTAAACACATCATTTTATTCATGCTAGTAATGTAATTACAGTATACCTTGTGTTCTCATTATGCAAGCCTCAAAGTGTCGATGGTGATAATGTTCTAACTCATATAACAAACTTTAGGACTGAAAGTTTCTGGTTCACTCTTTTGAAATTGTGCTAAGCTATTACTATAGTTATTGAAGGAATACATGTCTGCCGTTCTTTTCCTTAGCTCTATTAATTTATGTTACTATATTAATTTATATATATTAATTTATGTGTGTATACCTATATATACTATAGCAGTGTAAATAGATTAGCTTCGTTTAGACGTATCGGACTCACCTTTATCTCAAAATTGTCACGAATTTGTACTTCATTTATAAAATACCTAAGAAATCATCCTACTTCATGTTTTTTCTTGATAGATAATTCACATTTCTAAAAATGATTGATGCAAACATTTCAAAATTACAATAGGATTTCCACTCTCAATGCTTATAAGCACATTCTTAATGGGGAAGGAAATATTCAAAGTAAAAATTTGAGTTTAAGCTAATGAAAAGTAGATTGATTATTTATAATGATAATTATATAGAGAAAAATAAAATTGTTAATTACATTGTACAAAAGAACATTTGGTGAACAGGGTTCAATTTTTTTTTAATGTTAAACAGTCTTTAGAGATGTTATTCACATAAGAATCTCACTCTCTAACCCACTGGGCATACAGAATTCTCATCTAATACACAAGAAAGAAGTAAAAGATGATTTGCATTTTAAGAAAGTTCTTGACAGAACTTTACTGTGTAAAGCCAAATACTTCATTTTGTATTTAGATCATGTCCCAAAAAAATATCGTCTCAATAAAAGTGACACTAAACACTGGAATATATTATTTTTGGAATACGTAGAATAATATTCCCAATGATCTGGAAACAGAGGATTCAAAATTTTGAATCCTATGATGTTGCATGTAAACCTGGCTCCTCATTGAACGCTGCTCTGTTGCTCTGTGCAATACTGCTGGAAACTGGCAATATAAGATCCCTACCTTCAAGGAGCTTCATCTAATTCAAGAGCTAAAATACATAAATTATATATCAAATACAGGTACAGAATACTTATTCAAAGTGCACAATGAATACTACAGCCAAAAAGTACTTTTGTGATTCAGTGAAGAGAGAAAGTATTGTCTTGTGGTAATCAAGAAAGACTTTTTTTTTTTTTTTTTTCTTTTGAGATGGAGTCTCGCTCTGTCGCCCAGGGTGGAGTGCAGTGGCACAATCTCGGCTCACCACTACCTCCACCTCCGGGGTTCAAGCGATTCTCCTGCCTCTGCCTCCTGAGTAGCTGGGATTACAGGCGCATGCCACCATGCCTGGCTCATTTTTGTATTTTTAGTAGAGACGGGGTTTCACCATGTTGGTCAGGCTGGTCTCAAACTCCTGACCTCGTGATTTGCCTGCCTCAGCCTCCCAAAGTGCTGGGATTACAGGCGTGAGCCACCATGCCCAGCCACAAAAGACTTTATAGGGAAAGTGAAAGATGTATGTGGGCATGAGGGAATGATAGTATGCCCATTAAATTAAGGTGCATTTCCAGGAGGATAGTTTGAAGAAAGACACAAAGGAGAAGTTGTGTGTGGTGTGCTCGAGAGTGAAGTACAAAAGGTAGAGTAGTCTGAATGGTTATTGGGTTAGTGGTTATGGAAAGGTAGGTAAGATCAAGTTGTGGAGTCCCTTAAATGCTCTGTTGAGAGGTTTGGGCTTCATTTTTCATGGACACAAAAAAGCCATGTAGAAATATGTGTTGTTAGGAGGATTTATCTAGTGCTCCTGAGAGGGTGCACTGGAGTCAGGAGAGAGCAGAAACCTTTAGGAAGATTATGGGAGTAGGAAAGGCACGGGGTGAAAAGAACATGATTTGATATGTTGGTGTCAGGAATGAAGAGCAAAGGACCAATTTAGGACGTGATATTTAGGAAGAATTGGCTAATTTAGTGATTGTGTGGCTCTAAGAGTCTCGTTGCAGGTTGTTTTTAGAATTCCTCTAGGTTTAGGTGGGAAAACAGGATTGAGTACTGGAAAGGGCCTCCCCTCTGCCCCATTTACCTGGCCATTTAGGTAAAGCACTATTTGTCTACATGTAATTATATGAAGATCTATGGATAAAGATAATTTCTAAAGTCATTTCCAGCTCTACAGACTATTAAGCCTCACAGCCTCTGTTTTCAAGGGGACATCTAATTCTGAGTAAGGGGAGAGGGAAAGGGCACAAGGATAGACTGCAATGCCATAAATGAAAAAGCTGCAAAGTACCTTGGAAGTACTGAACTTGGTCAGCAATGGGGAGCCAGCAAAACAATATCTATGTTCCGGGACCACGTAAGTGAAAGTATGTTGAAAATTACAAAGCATCACAAAATATCAGTACTATCAAATCCAGCAGTGTGAAATTTGACTTGTTGCTCTTGAGTAGACAGGGGATTATGCATTTTGTTAAGAATTCTAAATCTTGTATCTCACTCCTTCCTTTACTGTCATTCCAGTAGGCAGTGCTCTACCACTCCTGGATACTGGGTGTGTCTGGAGAGGAGATCTCTGGGCATCTGTGTTTTGCCATTAGATCCTTTTTTGCTCCCTGTAGTTATTACTCTACAAAGGCAGAGCAACGAGTCTGCCCTGGTAAACCTGTGCATTCCCACTATAATTTGATTTTCTTAAACAAATTGATAGTCTTTATTTTTTAAAGCAGGTTTAGGCTTAGAAAATAATTGAGCAGAAAGTACGGAATTCTCATATGATTCCTCAGCATCCCCTCTTCCTAGACACAGTTATCCCAATTGTTAATATCTTGCAGTAGTGTGTTGGTACATTTGTTACCATGAGCCAATCTTGATACAAAATTGGTGAGCCAATATTGATACAAACTAAAATGAATAGTTTAATATCAGGGTTTGCTCTTTAGGTTGTACATTCTATGGGCTTTGACAAATGTATAATAATATGTACCCACTGTTGCAGGGTCATATAGAATAGTTTTACTGCCCTAAAAATCTCTTGTGCCCCACCTATTCATTCCTCCCTACTAAACCTCTGGCAACCACTGATCTTTTTACTGTCTCCATAGTTTTGCCTTTTCCAGAATGTCACCTATTTGGAATAGTACAGTATGCAACCTTGTTGGATTGACTTCTTTCATGTAGCAATATGCAGTGCATTTTCTCCGTGTTCATTTCTTTTTATCATTGACTAGTATTCATTTTTGAAGGGCATTTTTGTTGCTTTCAAGTTTTGGCAGTTGTGAATAAAGCTGCTCTACATATTTTGGTGCAGGCTTTTTTGTGGACATACATTTCAATTTATTTCAGCAGATACCAAAGTGTGCAATTGCTGGATAATGTAGTAAGCCTATGTTTAGCTTTGTAGGAAACTGCCAAACTGTCTTTCCAAGGGGCTATATCATTTTTCTTGTCCACCAGTAGTCAATGAAACTTTCAGTTGCTCCACATCTTCATCCGCATTTGTTGTCAGTGTTTTGGATTTTAGCTATTCTAATAGAGGTATGTTGGTATTTCATTGTTGTTTGAATCCGCAGTTCCCCAATGATATATGATGTTTTGCATCTTTTCATATGCTTATTTGCCGTCTATATATTTTATTTGATGTGATATCTGTTCAGCTCTTTCGCCCATTTTTAAAATTGAGGGTTTTTTTCTTATTGTTGAGTTGTTAGACGTATTTTTATATTTTGGACACCAATCCTCTATTAGGTAGATGTTTTACAAAATATTTTCTCTCAGACTATGGCTTTTCATTCTCTTAACAGTACCTCTTGCAGAGCAGAAGTTGTTAATTTTAATGAAATTTGAAAATTAAATCATAATTCAAATCATGCTTTTTGTGTCATACCTCAAAAGTTATTGTCAAACCCAAAGTCACTCAGATTTTCTGTTATATTATCTTCTAGAAGTTTTATAGTATAGCATTTTACATTTAGGTCTATGATCCATTCTGAGTTAATTTTCATGAAAAGGATAAGGTCTGTGTTTCGATTTTTTTTTTTTTTTGCATGTAGATGTCCAGTTGTTCCAGCATTGTTTGTTAAGACTCTCTTTTCTCTGTTGAATTGTCTTTTATTTGTCATACGATATAGTTTTAATATTGCTTTTTGTGATTAGCATCTCACTTCTCCACATTAGAATAGCTTTCAAAATTAAGAATACCAAATAACAATGATATTATAGGAGAGCACTGGACTTGGGATTTTTAAAAGTGGGAAGAGATTTGAGATGAAAATTTGTCTTTTTCTTCTTAAATGATCTGCAGCAAGATAATTAGCATCTCTGAGCATCAGTTTTTCATCTCTAAAATAGATCTCAAAAGATTATTAATATTTCAGACTCTGATAATGTTCTCATTTCCAAAGCTCCCCCATATCGCTATTAACCAAGGGAGACATATTTAAAAATTAAGTGACCCAAGTTCTCTTTCCCCAGAATCACAGCAGTGAAGTATTTCCTTCATGTTTAATTTTCAATATATTGTCCTTCCCTTTATTAAACTTTGCTAATTGCTTGCCAATCGAGGGGTTGCAACATCTTCATAGAAAATAAAGAGTTTGAGGAGAGACATTAAATATGCAGTTAAGAAAAGAGTAAATAAGGGCCAGGCGCAGTGGCACGCGTGTAATCCCAGCACTTTGGGAAGGCCGAGGCAGGCGGATCACGAGGTCGGGAGACCGAGACCATCCTGGCTAACACGGTGAAACCCCGTCTCTACTAAAAATACAAAAAATTAGCCAAGCGTGGTGGCGGGCGCCTGTAGTCCCAGGTACTCGGGAAGCTGAGACAGGAGAATGGCATGAACCCAGGAGGCGGAGCTTGCAGTGAGCCGAGATGGCGCCACTGCACTCCAGCCTGGGGGACACAGCAAGACTCTGACTCAAATAAATAAATAAATAAATAAATAAATAGTAAATAAAATATCTAAGTAGCACTAGCTTTCAAAATAAATCTTGGGACTCTAAATGACAAACTTTTTCCAGTAGAAAAGACTTCTCTCTAATCACTTTCTTTAGGTGTTTGGGGAGTACTGTTGTAAGCATCATGGTCTTCTGGGGCATATTCTCCTATGTTTTAACTTTTGACATTTAAACTACATTTTAGATTTTGGCATCAACCATTTTGTGGTTGAAATTTAATATCTTTTAAAAAAATGCTTCTTCCTAGATTCTTTTAGCAAATTTCAGCAAGATTTCCAGCCTTGTCAAAAATTACTCCAATGTTTAAGGTTATGAGTCCTTGAGGCTACTGTTGTGTCTCTATCTCCTTTCTTCACTCACCCATACACTAGCTTACATAGTCTTAAAATGAGAGAGCAATAATTATTGTCCTCTCTTTTATTTAAAGTGATTGGACTAAACTGAACAGAAACAGAAAGATCTTTGATTTTAATCTTTTAGTATACAAATAGAAAGCAATGGGATTTCAAAACTGCTCCACACAAAAATATAATGACAAAGGATTTCTATTAATACACCACTAATAACATGTGTGTAAGGTATATGAACATGACCCCACATTTATACATTAAGAGGGCACATCTCCATAAAATCTCATCTTTATTCTCTCTCCACATTTAAATGAGATAGCAGTTAAACAGCAATAAGGGTTTCCCTTCCTCCCCATTCTAACACACACACACAAAGACACTGCTGCATTACTGTGGTGAGATAGGTTTATAGGGAAATTTTACAAAAGGATAGGAAATTTGGTGTGGCTTTGGAAAAGAGAATCAGAGATTCACTCTTTCATTTGGATTGATTTGAAAGGCATGAGAAATCAAGGGAGCAAACATGAGCCAGTGTCTAATTCTGGCTGCTAGATAGAAATAGGACTCTTAGGAAAAGTGAACATCCTCTAACACCACCATTAGAGATGAATTAAAGGCTAATTATTTAAATTAACCTTTATTTTATTATTATTAAATTATTTTAATTATATTTAAATATAATTAAATTTAAATATAATTAAAACAAAACTATTGATTATGGTCCAGTATCCCATTTTTCATTCTTATGTATGGTATTTCAGCTACATCTTGGCTAAGCAGACTATAGGGACTATCTCAGTAACTACACTTATATGATTGTTTCTTTGGGAAAACACTTCTGAGTTCCAAACAATGGCATAATCAGGAGTTTGGAGAGCACAGCCCATTTGTAATTTGAGGGACAGTATATGTATGTGTATATACATGTGCATGCCTTTGTGTGTCTCTGACATTGTGTCCTTATGGAAGATGTCACAGCAGGTTCATAACAAAGGAAATTATTTCAGAGATTGCCAGAATGACCTTGTGGAAGCTCAGGGGACCATTTCAAGCTAATCCAAGCCAAGACCATTTTTTTTTTTGTTAGCATCCTTGAAAGCAGAAAAATAGCAATGTAAATGTCAAGATGCTTCTGCCTTTAACCAAGAATAAAGAAAGCAATCCACTAAAAGTACTTTTCAAACACATAAGCTCCCAAAACTTTGCTTTTGAAAGATGTTAGAACCAGTTTATATTTAGGCAAGCAATGAAATGAGACGGAACTATTAAAAAGCCACATTTCTCAGGTATTATATGATCAGTTTCCAGCTACATATTCAGTACATACATAATTTTAAGAGGTTGAAACCCAAACCCCCCAAATCACTACAGAATAACAATGATCTCATTATACAGTTTTCATGGTGTTTTAATTAGAGTTGGTTATGTAAGTCCCAAAAGGACCTCATGTTCCGTGTTTGATTGGGATAATGACTACTTTGTTCAGGTTGTACTTTCTTTTAGTGAGGTGTGGGTGGTCTGAATGGAACTAAAATCCCACCATTGTTTTTCTTGTCATTAATTCTATGAGCAATGCCTCTGATTTCTTTAGACTATGAAAAAAAACAGTGATTAAGAATTACCATAATGCTTTTAACATATTTTAATAGCGACCACTTGCACAAAAGAATCTATGTATGCATACAAAATTTTATAATCTATACAATGACAATGTAAAATTTCCAAAAGAAGGTTGAAGACCTGGCTCATATAAAAAATCTTTGTAACGCTGATCATTATATACATTCCCTTTTACCCTTTTATGAATAAATACATACACTAGTTTTATAATTATGTGTCCCTTTAATATTTTTAAAGTTTCCATTTCTAAAAGGAGCAGAAAAGCCCCCAAATTTTAAGAAAAACCAGATTAATATGCCAAAATTCAAGCCTCATTTTTTTCACTCATTTTGTCAATATTAGAACAAAGAACATACCTCATTTTAACAGACAACATTCAAATACAATTTGATTAGACATTTAAAAACTTGTTTTAAAAATTTCAGTTGACAATGAAATAAGGATAATTAGTCTGAGATCCAGTCTGCTGGTATCAAAATAGAAATACTTGTGTGTATAACTGTTTGGATTTTATAAAAATGTTTCTTTCAGTTTTAAGGTGTATTCTCATTTAAAGTGAGAAAAAATTACTGTTGTCATATTTGCAAGTCAAGACCCATTGCCAGTCTGAGGGTGAGTTTTGACTTGATGATGCATTGAATAATTAAGACTAACAATAACAACAATACTTTCCATAGAGGATGATTTATGTATGCCAGGCACTGTGCTGCACATTTTTCATGTATTATTTGTAACACTTCTAACAATCCTGCCAGATTGGTCTTATTATTCCCTTTATACATATAAGAAAACCGAGGCTTAGGAAAAGTTAACATGCGGCAGAAATGGGATTCAAACCTAGTTTGTTTTCTCTAAAAACCACCACTCTTTCTACTAGACAATACTGCATACATTTGATCCAAATTATCCCTAGTTTGCTCAGAAATCACCAATAAATTTAATGAGATTATAGTGTTAATATAGCCAGATATGTATAGATTACGTTTTTCACATTTCAGAGTTACATCCCCTAACTTGATAGTGACAAAATTGCATCTGTGAGACACCAAATATATCCCTACTTCTGGATAAGAGATATGCCTTATTGTCCTGAATCAATAAAATTATCTTGTCTCAAAATAGTGTCTATCCCTTCATGTTTCCGTAAATCTTAGATGTAATTTAAAAAGTAGGCATATTTGTCTGCTAAGTCTCATATACTATACTTAAAATGTTTTTACATAAATAACAATATAGTATAGAGGGGGGCTCAGTAGACGGGGATCTTAGAGTTGTGGGCTGAAGACACCAAAAGACTCCAGAATAAGTCACTTAACTTCCATGACATTTATTCTCTAATCAATTAAGTAAGAAAAGATAAACTAGTGAATCTCTAAGGTAATGAAAATATTAGCTGATGAAGTATTCATAACTAATACAAATTTACTTCCATATTTTTAAATGCATTTCAGGGAAATAATTCAATGGGGGAAGAAAAATAATGAAATCTAGGTTCCCTATGAAATCATGTTAGACATTTTAGCATTTGTTTCTCTCTCCTTTATTTTATCTGCTATTTTATTGTATTTTTATGTGTATAAATATCTTTCTGATTTAATATGATCCAAAGAGAATTAAGAGAAAGGATCATGCTGAGTATTTTCTTTGTACTGAAGCACCTAAAACCTCATTTTGCTACATAATGAAACTAAAGTTTCCAATTGCTGTGTAAATCGTGTGTTTAGGAGATGAAATGCTCAGGAATCATTTTGCACTTGACATTTTCTAGATTTTGAGTAGCAAAATTTTCTTCTTATAATAAGAAAGTAGATCTGTAAGCCACAAAAAAAATACGGAGCAAGTATAGCATATTGAGATGAAACACAAGGAAAGGACAGGGAGCCAATAGGCACGATTCTATAAAGCACACATTTAGTCCTGTACACCATCCCCAGTGGAATCTTTTGTTCAAATGAAAGCTTACATGAGCTACACTAGTTGACAAGGAAAGGAATATGAATGTTGCCTCTTTTTCCACAGTCACCTCGGAGGAGTACATGATTTGCCAGCCACTACACTTGAGTGTGCTGCTTAACCAGTCTGCTTGCTAAAAACACAAGACTACAGCATTTTTAACTGATTAAAAAAAATAGGTCTATAAATATATAATCATACTTAGTTTAGATCAAGTTGGAAGTTTATAAGGGCAATAATGGATGAAATGGGAAGTACTCACCCCATAGTCTATAATTAGAGCTAAATTTAATACATGATTTAATGTGCAATTGATATAATCCTTAAAAAACTGCAACAAACCCTCAAATTACATATAGTGAGGTTCTAGTATTTCCTCCCAGTCTACCTTTATCTGACAAGTTTCAATGAGAAAGTTAGAAGGCAATCTAGATATTCAAATTAGGAATAATTTGAATAGAATTCTAAGTTTGTATGTGCATTAGAAGTGTTGAAGATATAAAAGTGAAGGAAATGCTCACTTTGGTATCACATATAATAAAATTGGAATGATACAGAGATTAGCATGGCCCTTGCGCAAGGATGACATGACAATTCATGAAGTGTTCCATATTATTATAAATAAAAAATGTATATATTTTAAAGTCAAGGAAGCTTGAAGTTTCCTTAGCTTTCTTTAAGCTAAGTTTCATAGAATCAAGAACTACTAGAACTGAAATAGAACCTTCAGTGACAGTTCCAGCCGCCTGCAGTTCTCAGGCAGGCAACTTCCAGCAGCTCTCGGAGAAATTCTATGAATCTCCTTCTGACATTTGCCTGTTTATCTGCCTGAAACCGTTGCTGAAGAAAGCAGATTCGGTTCTACTTCTGCCTTCCAAATCCTGCATGATGACTGTTGCAAATTTTGTATCTTTTACTGCACTTCGAAAAATGTTTGTTGACTAATTTATCCAGAGAAACTTTCTTGGTCCTTTATGCCATTGTCCCTGGATCTTAAAAGAACCGGGACCTGACTTGTGCCATAATTGGTCATGGTGGGGTTTTATTGGGGTTTTGTCGGCCCACACCGGGTTTTACTGGGATTGTTCCATGTATAATACGTGTCCATATCAAACAATGGTTAGGCTATCAGGATACTGCCTATGAGAATTTTAAGAACTAAATAAAACTCGTGTACCAGGCACTTCATATACTCGATGCATATCTCTGGTCTTCACAATACCTTATGTAATAATTGTTGGGGCTGGTAATTTTACCAGGCCTTTCTTGTTTCAAAGCCATCTCTCTCTCTCCGTGTACTCCCAGGGCCTCTGTATACACTTTTTTGATCTATCAGATTACTCATCCAGGTAGATGTTTTCCCCATTGTGTTGGTAAGGGCTCTGAAGTTCAGAAACATTAGTTTTTTTTCTTCAAAGTTACCAGAGATGGTAAATTACATAAACTGGTTAAGGGATAGAACCTGTTTGCAGCCATTCTGAATTTTATTTTAAAAAACAAATTCGGCCAGGCATTTGTTTTTTGACAAACAAAAGTGGCTCGCGCCTGTAATCCTGGCACTTTGGGAGGCCAAGGTGGGCAGATCACTTGAGGTCGGGAATTTGAGACCAGCATGGCTAACATGGCGAAAGCCCGTCTCTATTAAAAATACAAAAAAATTAGCTGGGCATGGTGGTGCACCCCTGTAGTCCTAGCTTCTCAGGAGGCTGAGACAGGAGAATCAGTTGAACCTGGGAGGCAGAGGTTGCAGTGAGCTGAGATTGGTCCACAGCACTCCAGCCTGGGTGATAGAATGAGACTTTGTCTCAAAAAAAAAAAAAAAAATTGTAGTAACTTCACAGAAAGGAGTGGTATAAAAAGAAGATTTAAAACTGAGTTTGAATAAAATGATCATATTGTGAACCAAAAGAGAAGCAGAATATATTTTATCTTACACATACAAAAATGGATATTTAATATTTGCTATTACTCCTATCTAGACTGTAAGATTAATGCCTATGGCTTGGGTAATATTTTGTTTCTTGCATTTCCTGATTCTCTTTTTAATCTTACTACCTTTCTTACCTGTAAGTTAGAATTTGATGTCACTTTTTCAAAATACTTATCTAAAATTACTACTGATTCCATTATACTTATTAATTCAGCAAGTACGCAGTGTCTACCATAGGCAGAACTGTACCAGACACTGAGAATACAATGCTCAAAAATATAAATATCAACCTTACCCTTTGGGACTTTACTTTCTATTGGGAAGGAACACAGAATAAGCAGACAAAAGACCAAATAAATATGTAATCACAAACTTTACAATTGTCTTGAAGGAAAGAAACATAACCTTTTCCTTTAAGGTAGCTAAATAGATTTGGGGATTAACTTGGGCTGAGACTGAAAAATCAAACAAGGGCCTAGAGGCCATAGAGAGGGGTTAAGCATTATTTTCAGGGCCTTTAATATCTCATTATAGGTAGATTGTAACATACTTTTTATCTATTTATGTATAATCTATCATCATGTATTCTGTATATCTCTAATTGCTATGTAGAAAACAGATTTTAGAGGTAATGGAAAAAACGGAAAAATTAGAAATGATGTGGTCTTTTAATAATCTAGGCATGTCAGTCAGGATTTTCCAGAGAAACAGAACAATAGGACAATAGGAGATGGCATGTATATGTGTGTGCATGTGTGTGTGTGTCTGTGTGTATGTCTCTGTGTGTGTCTGTGTGTAATTTTAAGGAACTGGTTCATATGAATGAGGAGGTTGGCAAGTCTGAAATCTGTGGACAATGAAGGCTGACAGCTCAGGGAAGAGTTGATGTTATAGTCTTGACTCCAATATCTGTAGGTGGGCTGTAGCAGGCTATAAATTTAGTTAGAATTTCTATGTTATATTAATAGTCTAAGGCAGATTTTTTTTTTCTTGTTCAGGGTGCCTCATGTTTTGTTTTGAGGCCTCCAACTGATTAGATGAAGCCTACCCACATTATCAAGGACAATTTCCTTTAAAGTCAACTGATTATAAATGTTAATTAACATCTGTAAGACACCTTCACAGCAACATATGGACTAGTGTTTGAACAAACAACTGGGCAGTATTGCCTCACTACATTGACACGTAAAATTAATCATCACAGAGATCATGTTGGTGGGAATGCAAATATCGAGAAGATTAATTTGTAACATTTCAGACATATAATCTACAAAAACTTGGTGATGGATTAGGTATGAGGATGAAGGTGAGGGAAGAAATCAAGAATAACAGGTCTTTCCCATGAGCAGTGGATTTTAACAGCTATGATGTAGAAAGAATGAATCTTTTCTAAATGGGATTCTGCTGACTTCAGCTCAAATAATATGATTGACAAGGCGAGATTACTTTTGTTATGCATTTTAAATGACTAAATAATCTTGAGAAGAAGGTCTGTTTGTGTATGTCTAGTTATATTTGGCTAATCCTAATGTAGACTAAAAATTTGCCTTGCCTTCTCTTTCTCATCCAAAATAATTGCATGCAAATAGTAATCTACTCTTTATGCAATAATGTGAAATGGGAGGAAACATGGCCAAATATTTCTGGAAGGGATAGCCTTCAAATGTGCCAGGTACAGTGCCTCCAATTTTTTTATTGCTAATCATAGTAGGTCTCATCTTCTAATCAAAGCTTACATATGCTACACCAGGGAGTTTGGATGATATGCTAACTCAATCTAATTTTACACAATATAATTCAAAAGCCAATAAAATGTAGCCTTGTTAGACACAAAAGTTTTAGAGGGAAGAATGTAATATAGGCACCAAATGTTAAGTATCCTCTCTGCAGGTGGTTTGTACATTTCCTGTGTTTCCAATTTCTCTTTTCTTTTCTTAACCATGAAATTAAATAGATAGCTTTGAACAACTAAAGAATAGAAATGTTTTCAAAGCTGATTCATAATGCCATCTTTTTTCCTGAAATAGAATATCACATGGGTGAATAGAAAGTCATTTCAGACATAGAGAGTTAAGAATTAAATATGTAGTAAAATATTTTTCTAGATTAACTACTAGAGGTTGATGAGTACCTATGCTTCATTTTATTTCAGAAAATGTTTGCCCTTTTATTTTATGTATTTATTATTATAAGTCACAATTGAAAGGCTTGATAATCCATAAAATCATATTTTCCAAAGCCAAATTGTTAATGTTGCATACAATTTCGATTAGGTGTAGACAGGTTCCATTTATCTTAACTCATTAGTGTTATGTTATATTAGTAGATTTTCTATGTAGATTAAACTTTCTCTACGTAAATCAAAGGTTTTGTGATTCCCATTTTACTTATTTCATAAAATTTTAGTATCTATTATGTAAAAGGCATAACCTAAATGTATTAGTTTCCTGTGGCTTTCATAACAAATTGCCATAAATTAGGAGGCTTAAAACAACAGAAATTTATTCCTTTCCATTTCTGGAGGCCAGAAGTCTGAGATCAAGAGGTCAGCAGGGCCATGTTTTCTCTGGCTCTAAGGGAGAATCCGTTCCCTGTGGCTGTGGCATTCCCTTGTTTGTGACCACATCACTCCAATCTTTGCCTCAGTCTTCACATGGCCTTCTCGTCTTTGTGTATCTGTTTAATCTCTCCCCATCTCTCTTTTACAAGGAGACTTGTGATTGGATTTAGGGCTCATTCACATAATACAGGATAATCTCCTTATATCAAAATCCGTAATCACATCTGTATTAGTCTGTTCTCATACTGCTAATAAAGATATACCCAAGACTGGGTTATTTATAAAGGAAAGAGGTTTAATTACTCACAGGTCAGCATGGCTGTGGAGGCCTCAGGAAACTTATACATAGCAGCAGCAAGAAGCACCCAGCAAAAGAGGGAAAAGGCCCTTATAGAACCATCAGATCTCCTGAGAACTCACTCACTATCATGAGAACAGCAAGAGTTAACCACCCCATGATTCAGTTACCCTCTACTGGGTCCCTCCCAAGACATGTGGGGATTATGGGAACTACAATTCAAGATTTGGGTGGGGACACAGCCAAACCGTATCAACATCTGCAAAGACGCTTTTTGCAAATAAGGTAGCATTTACAGGTCCTAGAGATTAAAATCTGGATGTATCTTTGCAGTCAACATTCAGCTCAATGCACCAGATAATACAGGGAATATGAGTGTAGATTAGACAATGGCTTTCTTCTGAATAGATGTGCTAGTTTATTCAGCTTTATTTATTTTTTTTTTTGTTGCAATCCCAACCTTGTATACCATCTTGTGTTAACCTGGGACTAGGACTCTACAAACTGCATTTTCACTTTGCCAGTTGACTCCCTGATAAACTACAATAAGAAGCAGTAAAAGAAAGCTGGAAGTCAGGAGGAGGAAGAAAAGATGCTTCTATCTACAATTTGTTCCTGTTTTTGCTTTCTTTTCCTGTCATTGTCACCCTAACAAGCTTCTTCACCTAAGTAGTGACAGTTCATTCTAGTAGTAGAAGTTAGCACTGATTTTCACTTTTTCCAAAATTAGTTAAATCAGACTCACAATACTCATCAGAGACACCAGCGCGAGCGGACTAAAGTCCTTCCTCATAGGTCTGGGGTCCAGTTACACAGGGTTCCGTCTTTGATCTCAGAGACATCAGTTATAGCTAAGCAGTGGCCGCTATTCAGAGGCCTGAGTTTCAACTTCACAGGACACTTCCTTTGAGCTTCTCAGCTTTAATAATTCCAAATATTTCCATTCTCCAACCCTAGGAATAGTAGATCCTTCCCGCTGTTGTAACCTAACTTCTGTGACATTTTAGTGTTACTTCTGTGACATTTTAGTGTTTCTTCTGCAACATTTTAGTGTTTCTCCGTGCCTTAGAATCTAAAATACATATAAAATATCTTCAACAATAACTGCCAAAAAGGTGAAGAAATAGATACAGAGAAATCGAGGAGTAAAAGGTTTGTGTTATTGTTCTTTTCAGCTGGGGTAGGATTTAGGCATGTATCCTGGTTAACAGGTAGATGGTACTTAAGCAGGATCTTATAATTAGTAAACTCCAGTCTTCAGGAGATGGTAATGAGAAAGTGGAAGGGTATTTCTCAAGAAAACCTTACTGAAAGGTATCACAGTTGTTATGTTTCTCAAAATCTACTTAAATAACATTTAACCTTCTCTTGTTGATTGAAGGTCAAGTTATATATTCTTTTATAATACAATTGAGTCCTCAAAGAGTGTCATTTGCCTCTATGACAAAATAACTACAGATGGTTTGCTGCTGAAAACTAGAAAAATGAATGAATAGTTTAGTTTTCTGTTATTTCTTTTTTTCATTTCTGTATTTTTATTGGTTACTTCTAATTGATATCATTGTGTCTAGCTGCTGGAACCTGCTGGTGATTGCTTCAGTTATTCAGTTTTCTTCTACCTCTCTTAAGGGACAGTCTGTTGGGCTTTGTGAGTTATTTGCCCTTCCAAGTGCTATTTAAGGTTATTTTAATTTGATTGCAGTGTTCAGGAAGCATGACCTCAGAATAAGTAGTAATGTTACTGTCCATAAATAAAGTCCTCTTGATCGTAGCTCTCTTTCTGGTACAGGAGAGTATAATTTTAACTTTTCATGTAGTTCAGGGGTATTCATCTTAAAGTGATAATCAGAAAAACGTTTGCTGAGAGATCTTTGAGACTTCAATGTTTTTGGCTTAACAGGCCAATATCTAAGTTTCTCTAAAATGAACACTTGTTATAAGATCATAAAAAATATGGCAGTAAACACTAGCTATTTGCTACTGATTGAAAAGCAATGAGTTGACATAAGTGAATTCTGCCATTAAGATTCACTGAATTTGAGACCATGAAGCCAACTATATAGCCACTCTTCCCCCATATAACATATGTGGTTTATTGTGTCCACACAGTCTCTTTTCAGAGATTGTAAATTATATTATTTATGAACTCTTGATGACTGAAACACAATTGGAGCTTGAAGGTCAAGGCAGCAAACTACATCCTAAATTCCTATTTATTGATGATGTATGGTACAGTTAGTAGTATACTTTGTGCTGCTACAATTAAAGCTCTGTCAGTGTTTCTAATACACACTATTATTTTAGGGTTTGATAACATGACCACTTATCTTTACTCTGATTTACATGATGAAAGGCCTCAGCAGTGGGAGGACATCTTCAAGTTCTTTTAACAAGACTATAAGATATTTATATGCTTTCCTTGATACTAAAATTCTAAACATTAAGATTTATGGTAAGCTAGACATAAACAAGACCTCTACGCAGGCAGCATACAGCCAAAAATGTTTGACTTATATGAATGTTAAGAAATACATTGTTATTTCAGACTTCCATTTCATTACCTATATTCATTTTAAAAGAAAAAGTTAAACAAAAATTTTTTAAATCCTTATTTTTTAAAAATACCTGGCTTATTCCTACTACTCCCTTATGAGATGTCTATAAAGAGTATACAGAGCCTAACAACATAGTAAAGTAGATATAAGTAGTTATAAGCCTGACTCATTGGTTTGTTTGCAGAAAAAAAAAATAATTCTAAATAATTTTTTTAAGGAACTCAATTAGCTGTTAGTTAAAAAATACCCTGTGGTTGTGTGATCTGGACCTATATAGATCTATGCTGCTCAATGTGGTAGCCACTAGCAATGTGTGGCTACTGATAATATGAAATGTAGTTAGTGAAAATTAAGATGTTAAGTATAAAGTGTGCATTTGATTTTAAGACATACTACCGAAAAGTAAAAATAAAGTGAAAATATAACATTAATAATTTTTATATTGATTCATGTTGAAATTATAATATTCAGCAAATAATAAAATGACTTCATTGATTTCTTTTTTATGTAGTTTAATGTACTACTAGAAAATGTAAAATTATACATGCAACTTACCTTATAGTTCTACTTTATAGTGTTTCTGTAGATGTTCCCAAATATCCCACATTTTTCTTATAGATGATATACCCCATTGACTTGAGTTGACTCAAAGTAGGATGTTTGGCTTATGACATATCTAAGATATGATCAGAAAGTAGTAAGGCCTTTTTTTTTTTTTTTTTAGAAATTCTCCATTACCCCAACTGTGGTTGGTGATGTTGTTACAGGTATCTGTGATAGTGGATGGCAAATATAGAAGCGGGAAGATGTAAAAAGGAAAAGTAAATATGGGAGTCCATAGGAGTGAGTGTCTGAGACATTAAGTAAAACAAAACAAAACAAAATTCAAACATAAAATATTTGTTGAATGTAAATTCGTTCATCTGTCATACTTAATATAGAAAGGGAATATTTTCTTTATCCTTGAATAATATTATTTTCAGATGAAATTACTTGTAATAATAGTAGTTATTACTCAAAATTCACCTTATAGCTACTAAACTTCTGCAACTATAATCTGATTTCTCTAAAGCCTCATTAAAACAAACAAATGAACAAACAAACTGCTATTTGCTTCATTCATAAATTCATTAATTCAGCAAACATTTATGTGCCTATTCTATTCTAGGCATTATGCTTGAAACTAGATGATCAAAAGGTAAAGTACTTCCTCTTTCAAGTCTCATTAGATGTTTCCTTAGCATTCTTTTGCCAATTTGCGAAGTCTGTTCGCCTGAATTCATCTAAGTCTGTGATCATGGATGAAATTGCTTTGGGCACCCCATCAGAAAGAATCACTGAACCCTAACCCCAATGTGTTATCATATACAGATACCACAAGAGTCAACGGAGAAGCAATAATGTGTTAACATCACAGGAGTCCTCCTGGGCTAGAAGAGTTGTAGCAGTGGTTAGGCAGGACACTGCCACACTTGTAGTATTAGTGGAAAATAGCAAATAAATTCTATTAATAGAATTGAGTCATAAAGTATTTTAACTGAGCCAGCTACAGGAGCTTTCTGTCTTTTTTCATCCCTTTATGTCTTACCGTCTGTATCCTTTTCTCCCTCACTTCCGTCTAAGAGTAAAAGCGATTTTTTCCAAAGCTAAGTTGGTCACCTCTATTCTTGCCTCCTTCTTCTCCTACCTTATGGCCTTGCTCTGTCAATTTTCAGAACTCTTCTCACCTTCATTTCTACACATTATCAATCGTTTTGGTTGCTGCAGTGATTTCTGCCCTCTGATTTGAAAACATACTTCCAAGGCCTATGTTAAAACAAATCAGACATTCTCCCCTCAACTCTTTCATATTACTGTCCTCTCCTCCATTTGACATACCTCCCCAGTAGCCTGTTCCCTTGCTGTCTTTCATCCTGTGTCGCTCATTCATTCTTTCAACCTGTAACATTGGCTCTCCTTCCCCCATCCAACATTCTAATTCTCTTATTGTTCTTACATTCTAATTCTCTTATTGTTCCAACAACTGCCATTCAGAAAACAGAGTCTTTTTTTCCCCCCAGTGCTTATTTGTTTGGACCTCTCTGACCAATTCTTTTATGGAAACTATCGAGTCCCATTCTTAGTAAAGTGAATACAACTTAAAATCTGTCTTCAACTGCTTAATTTTATTTTAGCAGATTTCCCCTTTCATTTACCTGTTGCAGTCCCTTTACATTAAGAAACAGTTATCCCAAAGTCTGCATCTCGAAGACTGGACTCTGATCCCAATTTTGCTTAATAAAAATTCTTCAAGAAATTTTGTAGAAAGTCTGTCAATGATTAAATCTCAATTCATGATTTTTTTCCCTCTATCAAAAGGGGCAGACATTTAACAGAGATACAGTGGATAAGAAGGGAATAGAGTCGGAGTTTATGAGGCACATATCTGAAGGTTATATTCTTTATTTTTATATTTTTGCTTTTGGAACAATGTCTTTATTATGCTCAGAAAATACCTGCTGGTTCAACCCTAAATTGTTACATTAAAAGAGATACAGATTTAAATGTTTAGGGTGGGTGGATGAGTGCTTAATATCTATAATAAACTGACTACATTGTTAGAAAACATTCTCAGGCAACTATCTCATACTATCTAACTTGACTTTGAAAGGGAACCAGTGTCATGGAGTAAGGAGGAAAATTTATTTGCCGTCTTCTGATTGATGAAGCTGTGAATTTTTGTCAGTTTGGGGATTGCTACACTCTGGCAAGTTGGAAAAGGTCTATTTTGTTGTTTCTTTCAGAAGCTTTTTTTCTGTCATCTGTGAGTTTCAAATTTAGCTCCTGTTGGAATATTGTTTTAAAATAAATCCAAAAGCAGTTAAGATATTGAAATTAAAACCCTTTCGATAATGTACTTTTCTAAATCCTGACTCTACTACTCAAGGGCTATGTGATGTTAAGCTAACCTCTCTGTGCCCCGTTTCCTTCTCTATAAAATGGAAATAATAATAGTACCTATGACATTAAGTTATTTTGAGGATTATATGCATTAAAATATGCAAAATGCTTGGAATATGGGGAAGCCTATACTAAATGTTCAAGTATTAGCAGTTATTACTTTTATCACTGTTAATTTATGCAATCAAATTTATTTAGTATCTACTGTTTGGAAACCTGGAGAAATACACAATGAACGAGAAACTCGTGTTCTTCAAGAGCTTTGCCAAGAAGAGATAAGTATCTGTCAGAGTTACAAGGGTATGTGACTAGTGCTATGATAAAACCATCAGCCTCTGTGGTTGCAGTCAGAATAAATCAACAAACTCTGCCTAGGGTTGTTGGCAAAACATGAGTTGTTGGACTCTGAACTGTGTTAAATTAGTACTGTAGTTTATCCAGACCACAAAAGTCTTTCATCAGTATCTCTGAGAGTCAGTAGCTGGATCTCCTCCCATACTCCAAGTCAGAAAATGTAGAACTTTTTCTCAATGTGGAACTTTTTCTCAATAATTTACCGTGATCCTTTAAAAATTACAAAGAATTTGCTTCTCTCAACCTACTGATGAACTTCAAGACACATTTTCTCTAATAGTTAAAATACGTTTAGCATAATGTTTTCATACGCAGTCTGTGTGTCTGTGTGTATACCACTACTATTGGCTGTCTGATTATTCTGACCTGCATACACCTTTTAAAATAATCTTTCTTCTTTGTGACTAACATATGTCTGGCTAGAAAACCAACACCTTCCTATCTAAAGCAATATAAAATCTAAAGTTATTTGGTGGGGTTGAATTACTAGGGATGTGGAGGAAGGGAGTTGTTCCCTGTGAAGCACAGTCCAGAGTGCCAGATAGATTTTTCCTGGTTTGACCATAAGAATATATACAGAAAAAAAGTAGCACTAGGAAAGTAGAGTAGTTACAGAAAAGGGAATGGGTGGCATTTTCAATTAGTTAATGGCGTGGTCAAATATAAAAGGACAGCTAGTTTATTTGTATAGACTCTTACAAGGCATGATATGTACTTGGCCTAGCAGTGTCCTATAGAAGTGGTCTCTCCCTTGTTCCGGGAAAGTTCCTTTTGGAAAAACTCTTTCCTGGGCAGGAGATGTCATCTGATGGTCTCACAGCTCTGTGTTACTAAGGACAAAGTCAGTTGAGAATTATGGGGCTGTGGGATTATGTCCCCAAGGAAGCAAAATGCAAACATCTCAAATAATAGCATAAGTAACACATATAAAGCTTTTTATTGTATATGTCAGACACTGTGCTAAGCACTTTACATGTTTCAGCTCATGTAATTATTATAAAAACTCTAGGTTGTAAGGACTAATATTTTCCATTTTACAAGTGGGGAAGAAGAGTTTCAGAGTTAAATAACTTTAATGTGCTCTAGATCATGGAGAGAGAGAATGGTGGTGATGGGCCAGGAAGCTTGTCTTGTACGGGTAAGGGAGGCAAAATTTATTCTCTACCCTCCAAGGGCTTCTTGCTGAGCCTAGGAATTAAATTTACCTAAGGCAGATTAACAGGAGAAAAGCATATGAGTTTTATTTAGTAATTTTTACATGTACCTGAGAGCCATCACACACACACAAAAAAATGAAGACTCAAAGAAATGAAGTTGAATGCTTATATATTAGGCTGAACAAAGAATAGTAAATTGTGGAAAAGCGGCAAGACAGAGGGGTGTGGGCTAGGGCAGTTAGTTGTGGAAAAGTGACTAGGAAGATAAGATTGGCTTGTTAGTTCAACAAGATTTATTTGTGTAGATTTTTGTCAGCCTCCACTTCCCTAGTGATAAGCATGTCTTTCACATAGGAATTTAATCTCCTGCTTTCAGGAAGAAAAAGGAAGTTCAGAGTGCACTTCTTGCATCTGCTGTTTTTCAAATGTTTTTTACTCTAAATAACAAATAGGCCAAAGCAGCCTATCTGGGGGCAGTGTATTTTGATCTCTTACATGGGAAACAGCATGAACTGTACACTTAGATGAACATAATTTTGATACTGACCACCCAGTATTTTCTTCTTATTTTTCCCTCTCTGTTATTGATATTACTTTTTAGATGTAATTCATTTTTTTTTCAAAATGTTTACTTCTTTAAAGTGTTCTTCCTACCTCAATAGGGCAAAAATTATAATGTATTCTTCATAGCATTAAGCATATAAACTTCAGTATTCAGGTGAACCTCACACTATGCTTTCAAGTAGGATAATTAGTGGTATGAGTAGTATTTCTGTAAATAAAGTTTTATTTTGATGAAGCAAATATGCAAATTAAGATTTGGGAATATCATGGGAATACAATGAAAATTAAGGTTTCTTGAAATGAAGAGTATGGTAACTTGAGAATATCAAGACAGGCTGCTGTGGAAATTTTCAACAACCTTTAAGTAATACAAGGTTTTCTATCTTCACTTTCCTGCCTATAAACTATATTATCAGCCCTTTGTTTCTTAGGACAGAAATACATTTGTTTAGTGTGGAATGTCTTTTATTCTTACTGATTTTTATTCCTATCACATGTAATATTTTGTAGTATAATTAGCAGCTTACTGTTCTGTTACATGATTTGAGGGGACAAAAAAATTTAGAATTTTTCCAAATAGTCAGGGCCGGGCGCGGTGGCTCACGCCTGTAATCCCAGCACTCTGGGAGGCCGAGGTGGGCAGATCACGAGGTCAGTAGATCGAGACCATCCTGGTTAACACGGTGAAACCCTGTCTCTACTAAAAATACAAAAAAAAAAAAAATTAGCCGGGCGTGGTGGTGGGCACCTGTAGTCCCAGGTACTCGGGAGGCTGAGGCAGGAGAATGGCATAAATCCAGGAGGCGGAGCTTGCAGTGAGCCGAGATCGCGCCACTGCACTCCAGCCTGGGTGACAGAGCGAGACTCTGTCTCAAAAAAAAAAAACCAATAAAAAGAATTTTTCCTCATAGTCTAGTATGGGACTGATTAAACACAACACACTACACACACATGCACACAAACACACACAAACAGTATGTGTATACGTATCACATATGCAAATTTGCATATACATGTATTTTTACATAAAATATATACATATATACACACATATCTCAAAAATGTACATAAAAATAGCAAATACTAAACAAGAATGGAAAAGAAACGGTTCCAAAATACTGTCAGACAAGATTTTTCTCTGAGCAGATGCTTTATGTGTTAATAAAACCACAGGAGGGCAAAGCTGGTATGGTTTATCCTCAAAGCCTTTATTTATTCACAGCTGTTCAATAGTAGCAATAACAATTGATATCACTGTATCTCATCTCCATTTGGAAAGTGAAAAACAATTTTCAAATTCCATTAAAAAAGATAAAGCAAAATTTACCTTGCTACATGGAGTTGAATAGAAACATTTCAATGAAGTCATTTTTTTAAAACTGTAACATGTCAAGATTTTAAGAATAGGCATCATTAAAAATGTTCTGCGATAAATATAGCAATATCACAATTATTTGCTGTACTTGAAGGATTAAAATATTATTTTTGTGCCTTCCTTGCTATGTGTTCCTTGCCTTTGGGCTCAACTCTTTAATAATCTTATTTATTTTCAAAAGGCACATGAGAGATTAATGGTGAAGCTAATAACCTACTACAGGTATTCAGCTTACATTTTTCTGATGAGTAATATTTTTACTTTGAAATGTGTAATTTCAATTTGTAGTCAACACTTATTTTTAAGAGATTAAATATCTGGGAACTCAGCTAAAAATGAAACCGTAAATAAAGTTGAATATGCACTTGTTTGAAATTTATATCCTCCTACTTTCAAGTTATTTCTCAAATTGACAAATGCTTTTAAAAATTATTTTCATTATTTTTAATGGGATTTTGATGAGTGTGTCTAAGATAGTACACAAAAGCAAATCTATGTTATAAAATCATGTGCTGAATAATGATGTTTCAGTCAAATATGGGCCACATATACTATAGTGGTCTCATAAGATTATAATGGGGCTGAAAATCTCCTATTGCCTGGTAACATAAAGAACAATGCATGACTCATGTGTTTGTAGTGATGATGGTATAAACAAACTTACTGCTGCCAGTCATATAAGCATATAGCAATTATAACTAAGTACAGTACCTGATACTTGATGATTGATAATAAATGACTTCAATCCTAGTTTATGTACTTACTATATGATACATTGAATTGTTATATTAGAGTGTGCTCCTACTTATAAAAAAATTGATGATACTGATCCTGTGTAGGCCTGGGCTAATGTGTTTGTTTGTATTTTCATTTTTAGCAAAAAAAAAAAAAAAGTTTAAAAGGTAAAAAAAAATTAACATAACGCTTTTATTTTTTTTATTTTTTTATTATACTTTAAGTTTTAGGGTACATGTGCACATTGTGCAGGTTAGTTACATATGTATACATGTGCCATGCTGGTGTGCTGCACCCACTAACTCGTCATCTAGCATTAGGTGTATCTCCCAATGCTATCCCTCCCCCCCACCCCACCACAGTCCCCAGAGTGTGATATTCTCCTTCCTGTGTCCATGTGATCTCATTGTTCAATTCCCACCTATGAGTGAGAATATGCAGTGTTTGGTTTTTTGTTCTTGCTATAGTTTACTGAGAATGATGATTTCCAATTTCATCCATGTCCCTACAAAGGACATGAACTCATCATTTTTTATGGCTGCATAGTATTCCATGGTGTATATGTGCCACATTTTCTTAATCCAGTCTCTCATTGTTGGACATTTGGGTTGGTTCCAAGTCTTTGCTATTGTGAATAATGCCTCAATAAACATACGTGTGCATGTGTCTTTATAGCAGCATGATTTATAGTCCTTTGGGTATATACCCAGTAATGGGATGGCTGGGTCAAATGGTATTTCTAGTTCTAGATCCCTGAGGAATCGCCACACTGACTTCCACAATGGTTGAACTAGTTTACAGTCCCACCAACAGTGTAAAAGTGTTCCTATTTCTCCACATCCTCTCCAGCACCTGTTGTTTCCTGACTTTTTAATGATTGCCATTCTAACTGGTGTGAGATGGTATCTCATTGTGGTTTTGATTTGCATTTCTCTGATGGCCAGTGATGATGAGCATTTTTTCATGTGTTTTTTGGCTGCATAAATGTCTTCTTTTGAGAAGTGTCTGTTCATGTCCTTCGCCCACTTTTTGATGGGGTTGTTTGTTTTTTTCTTGTAAATTTGTTTGAGTCATTGTAGATTCTGGATATTAGCCCTTTGTCAGATGAGTAGGTTGCGAAAATTTTCTCCCATTTTGTAGGTTGCCTGTTCACTCTGATGGTAGTTTCTTTTGCTGTGCAGAAGCTCTTTAGTTTAATTAGATCCCATTTGTCAATTTTGTCTTTTGTTGCCATTGCTTTTGGTGTTTTGGACATGAAGTCCTTGCCCATGCCTATGTCCTGAATGGTAATGCCTAGGTTTTCTTCTAGGTTTTTTATGGTTTTAGGTCTAATGT
Source organism: Homo sapiens (assembly GCF_000001405.40). NCBI lineage: Eukaryota > Metazoa > Chordata > Mammalia > Primates > Hominidae > Homo > Homo sapiens. Next base: position 175,782,848 of record NC_000003.12, read on the forward strand.
TTAAGTCTTTAATCCATCTTGAATTGATTTTTGTATAAGGTGTAAGGAAGGGATCCAGTTTCAGCTTTCTACATATGGCTAGCCAGTTTTCCCAGCACCATTTATTAAATAGGGAATCCTTTCCCCATTGCTTGTTTTTCTCAGGTTTGTCAAAGATCAGATAGTTGTAGATATGCAGCATTATTTCTGAGGGCTCTGTTCTGTTCCATTGATCTATATCTCTGTTTTGGTACCAGTACCATGCTGTTTTGGTTACTGTAGCCTTGTAGTATAGTTTGAAGTCAGGTAGTGTGATGCCTCCAGCTTTGTTCTTTTGACTTAGGACTGACTTGGTGATGCAGGCTCTTTTTTGGTTCCATAAGAACTTTAAAGTAGTTTTTTCCAATTCTGTGAAGAAAGTCATTGGTAGCTTTATGGGGATGGCATTGAATCTGTAAATTACCTTGGGCAGTATGGCCATTTTCACGATACTGATTCTTCCTACCCATGAGCATGGAATGTTCTTCCATTTGTTTGTATCCTCTTTTATTTCCTTGAGCAGTGGTTTGTAGTTCTCCTTGAAGAGGTCCTTCCCATCCCTTGTAAGTTGGATTCCTAGGTATTTTATTCTCTTGGAAGCAATTGTGAATGGGAGTTCACTCATGATTTGGCTCTCTGTCTGTTATTGGTGTATAAGAATGCTTGTGATTTTTGTACATTGATTTTTTATCCTGAGACTTTGCTGAAGTTGCTTATCAGCTTAAGGAGATTTTGGGCTGAGACATTGGGGTTTTCTAAATATACAATCATGTTGTCTGCAAACAGGGACAATTTGACTTCCTCTTTTCCTAATTGAATACCCTTTATTTCCTTCTCCTGCCTAATTGCCCTGGCCAGAACTTCCAACACTATGTTGAATAGGAGTGGTGAGACAGGGCATCCCTGTCTTGTGCCAGTTTTCAAAGGGAATGCTTCCAGTTTTTGCCCATTCAGTATGATGTTGGCTGTGGGTTTGTCATAGATAGCTCTTATTATTTTGAAATACATCCCATCGATACCTAATTTATTGAGAGTTTTTAGCATGAAGGGTTGTTGAATTTTGTCAAAGGCTTTTTCTGCATCTATTGAGATAATCATGTGGTTTTTGTCTTTGGCTCTGTTTATATGCTGGATTACATTTATTGATTTGTGTATATTGAACCAGCCTTGCATCCCAGGGATGAAGCCCACTTGATCATGGTGGATAAGCTTTTTGATGTGCTGCTGGATTCGTTTTGCCAGTATTTTATTGAGGATTTTTGCATCAAGGTTCATCAAGGATATTGGTCTAAAATTCTCTTTTTTGGTTGTGTCTCTGCCCGGCTTTGGTATCAGAATGATGCTGGCCTCATAAAATGAGTTAGGGAGGATTCCCTCTTTTTCTATTGATTGGAATAGTTTCAGAAGGAATGGTAGCAGTTCCTCCTTGTACCTCTGATAGAATTCGGCTGTGAATCCATCTGGTCCTGGACTATTTTTGGTTGGTAAACTATTGATTATTGCCACAATTTCAGCTCCTGTTATTGGTCTATTCAGAGATTCAACTTCTTCCTGGTTTAGTCTTGGGAGAGTGTATGTGTCGAGGAATTTATCCATTTCTTCTAGATTTTCTAGTTTATTTGCATAGAGGTGTTTGTAGTATTCTCTGATGGTAGTTTGTATTTCTGTGGGATCGGTGGTGATATCCCCTTTATCATTTTTTATTGTGTCTATTTGATTCTTCTCTCTTTTTTTCTTTATTAGTCTTGCTAGTGGTCTATCTATTTTGTTGATCCTTTCAAAAAACCAGCTCCTGGATTCATTAATTTTTTGAAGGGTTTTTTGTGTCTCTATTTCCTTCAGTTCTGCTCTGATTTTAGTTATTTCTTGCCTTCTGCTAGCTTTTGAATGTGTTTGCTCTTGCTTTTCTAGTTCTTTTAATTGTGATGTTAGGGTGTCAATTTTGGATCTTTCCTGCTTTCTCTTGTGGGCATTTAGTGCTATAAATTTCCCTCTACACACTGCTTTGAATGTGTCCCAGAGATTCTGGTATGTTGTGTCTTTGTTCTCATTGGTTTCAAAGAACATCTTTATTTCTGCCTTCATTGCGTTATGTACCCAGTAGTCATTCAGGAGCAGGTTGTCCAGTTTCCATGTAGTTGAGCAGTTTTGAGTGAGATTCTTAATCCTGAGTTCTAGTTTGATTGCACTGTGGTCTGAGAGATAGTTTGTTATAATGTCTGTTCTTTTACATTTGCTGAGGAGAGCTTTACTTCCAACTATGTGGTCAATTTTGGAATAGGTGTGGTGTGGTGCTGTAAAAAATGTATATTCTGTTGATTTGGGGTGGAGAGTTCTGTAGATGTCTATTAGGTCTGCTTGGTGCAGAGCTGAGTTCAATTCCTGGGTATCCTTGTTGACTTTCTGTCTTGTTGATCTGTCTAAAGTTGACAGTGGGGTGTTAAAGTCTCCCATTATTAATGTGTGGGAGTCTAAGTCTCTTTGTAGGTCACTCAGGACTTGCTTTATGAATCTGGGTGCTCCTGTATTGGGTGCATATATATTTAGGATAGTTAGCTCTTCTTGTTGAATTGATCCCTTTACCATTATGTAATGGCCTTCTTTGTCTCTTTTGATCTTTGTTGGTTTAAAGTCTGTTTTATCAGAGACTAGGATTGCAACCCCTGCCTTTTTTTGTTTTCCATTTGCTTGGTAGATCTTCCTCCATCCTTTTATTTTGAGCCTGTGTGTGTCTCTGCACGTGAGATGGGTTTCCTGAATACAGCACACTGATGGGTCTTGACTCTTTATCCAATTTGCCAGTCTGTGTCTTTTAATTGGAGCATTTAGTCCATTTACATTTAAAGTTAATATTGTTATGTGTGAATTTGATCCTGTCATTATGATGTTAGCTGGTGATTTTGCTCGTTAGTTGATGCAGTTTCTTCCTAGTCTTGATGGTCTTTACATTTTGGCATGATTTTGCAGTGGCTGGTACCGGTTGTTCCTTTCTGTGTTTAGCACTTCCTTCAGGAGCTCTTTTAGGGCAGGCCTGGTGGTGACAAAATCTCTCAGCATTTGCTTGTCTGTAAAGTATTTTATTTCTCCTTCACTTATGAAGCTTAGTTTGGCTGGATATGAAATTCTGGGTTGAAAATTCTTTTAAGAATGTTGAATATCAGCCCCCACTCTCTTCTGGCTTGTAGGGTTTCTGCCGAGAGATCCGCTGTTAGTCTGATGGGCTTCCCTTTGAGGGTAACCCAACCTTTCTCTCTGGCTGCCCTTAACATTTTTTCCTTCATTTCAACTTTGGTGAATCTGACAATTATGTGTCTTGGAGTTGCTCTTCTCGAGGAGTATCTTTGTGGCGTTCTCTGTATTTCCTGAATCTGAACCTTGGCCTGCCTTGCTAGATTGGGGAAGTTCTCCTGGATAATATCCTGCAAAGTGTTTTCCAACTTGGTTCCATTCTCCCCATCACTTTCAGGTACACCAATGAGATGTAGATTTGGTCTTTTCACATAGTCCCATACTTCTTGGAGGCTTTGCTCATTGCTTTTTACTCTTTTTTCTCTAAACTTCCCTTCTCCTTCATTTCATTCATTTCATCTTCCATTGCTGATACCCTTTCTTCCAGTTGATCGCATCAGCTCCTGAGGCTTCTGCATTCTTCACGTAGTTCTCGAGCCTTGGTTTTCAGCTCCATCAGCTCCTTTAAGCACTTCTCTGTATTGGTTATTCTAGTTATACATTCTTCTAAATTTTTTTCAAAGTTTGCCACTTCTTTGCCTTTGGTTTGAATGTCCTCTCGTAGCTCAGAGTAATTTGATCGTCTGAAGCCTTCTTCTCTCATCTCGTCAAAGTCATTCTCCATCCAGCTTTGTTCCGTTGCTGGTGAGGAACTGCGTTCCTTTGGAGGAGGAGGAGGAGGAGGAGAGGCGCTCTGCGTTTTAGAGTTTCCAGTTTTTCTGTTCTGTTTTTTCCCCATCTTTGTGGTTTTATCTACTTTTGGTCTTTGATTATGGTGATGTACAGATGGGTTTTTGGTGTGGATGTCCTTTCTGTTTGTTAGTTTTCCTTCTAACAGACAGGACCCTCAGCTGCAGGTCTGTTGGAATACCCTGCCATGTGAGGTGTCAGAGTGCCCCTGCTGGGGGGTGCCTCCCAGTTAGGCTGCTTGTTGGTCAGGGGTCAGGGACCCACTTGAGGAGGCAGTCTGCCTGTTCTCAGATCTCCAGCTGTGTGCTGGGAGAACCACTGCTCTCTTCAAAGCTGTGAGACAGGGACATTTAAGTCTGCAGAAGTTACTGCTGTCTTTTTGTTTGTCTGTGCCCTGCCCCCAGAGGTGGAGCCTACAGAGGCAGGCAGGCCTCCTTGAGCTGTGGTGGGCTCCACCCAGTTCGAGCTTCCCGGCTGCTTTGTTTACCTAATCAAGCCTGGGCAATGGCGGGTGCCCCTCCCCCAGCCTTCCTGCTGCCTTGCAGTTTGATCTCAGACTGCTGTGCTAGCAATCAGTGAGACTCCGTGGGCGTAGGACCCTCCGAGCCAGGTGCGGGATGTAATCTTGTGGTGCGCCGTTTTTTAAGCCGGTCCGAAAAGCACAATATTCGGATGGGAGTGACCCGATTTTCCAGGTGCGTCCGTCACCCCTTTCTTTGACTCGGAAAGGGAACTCCCTGACCCCTTGCGCTTCCCAAGTGAGGCAATGCCTCGCCCTGCTTCGGCTCGCGCACGGTGCGCGCACCCACTGACCTGCGCCCACTGTCTGGCGCTCCCTAGTGAGATGAACCCGGTACCTCAGATGGAAATGCAGAAATCACCCGTCTTCTGCGTCGCTCACGCTGGGAGCTGTAGACCGGAGCTGTTCCTATCCGGCCATCTTGGCTCCTCCCCACAACATAACGCTTTTAGAACAAAGATATAAAAAAAAGAAAATATTTTTCAGCAGTAAAATATGTGTTTTAAGCTGTGTTATTACAAGAGTCCAAAAGTTTTAAAAATTACAAAGTTCATAAAGTAAAATAGTTACAATAAGCTAAGGCTAATTTATTATTGAAGAAATAAAACTTTATTTTATAAATAAATTTAGTATAGCCTAAGTGTACAGTGTTAATGAAGTCTATAATAGTAATGTCCTAGGGCTTCACATTCTCTTACCACTCACTGATTCAAACAGAGAAACTTCCAGTCCTTCAAGCTTCATTCATGGTAAGTGCCTTACACAGGTGTACAGTTTTTTACCTGTTTTTTTTTTTTTTTTTTTTTTGAGACAAGGTCTCACTTTGTCACCTAGGCAGGAGTGCAAGTGGTATGATCTGGGCTCACTGCATCCTTGACCTCCCAGGTTCAAGTGATCCTCCCAACTTAGCCCCCAAGTAGCTGGGACTACAGGTGTGTGCCACTATGCTCAACTAATTTTTGTGTATTTTGTAAAGATGGGGTTTGTCATGTTGCCCAGGCTGGTCTGGAACTCCTGAGCTCAAACGATCCACCACCTCAGCCTCCCAAAGTCCTAGGATTATAGGGGTGAGCCACTGTGCCAAGCCATTTTTTATCTTTTATAGAGTACTTTTAGTGTGCCTTTTCTATGTCTAGATGTGTTTATATATACAAATATTTACCATTGTGTTATAATTGCCTACAGTATTCAGTACAGTGCAGGTTTGTACTGTACAGGTTTGTAGCCGAGGAGCAATAACCTATACCATGAAGCCTAGGTGTGTAGTAGGCTACACCGTCTATGTTTGGGTAAGTACATGCCATCACATGTTTGCACAATAATGAAATCATATAATGATGCATTTATCAGAGCATATTCCTGTAGTTAAGTAATATATGACTGTAGTTTAATTTTAAGCGCTAGCCATTAGTACTAGTAGTCATGGCTAGATGGTCACATAAATATATTTCTTAGAAAACAATGTTGAAATCTTACTCAAATAATTATATGAAGGCAAAGAATTATCAAACATAATTATTTATGGAAAATAAAACTATATAAACTTACATGACAGGCTGCGATGTCCACTAAAATTTTTATTAGCATATCATGGTATTTTTACAAATGATCTCCAACATCTCTAAATTATCTCTTTCTGAGGAAGGGAAGATAAAATATTCAAAATGATTCAAAATTTAATTTATATTTCAAGGTCTTCATGAACAAGAAAAATAGGTGGAATTCCTTAACTTCTTTAGAGTTTCTTTTGTTTTATTATAAGTATATTAGCCAAATATGCAGAAGACCATAACTCTGAAACTGTTCAATCACTCGCATTTAAATTAACTGAAAACTCAACAATCCCTTTGGAACTGAGATTGCTTTTGTAATTCTTTTGTATCCCACATAGCAGTAGGTGCCTAATAAATACTTGATGAATGAGCTCTCAAGGTAATTATTTTTCCTTAATTTTTGTCAACTTCTACTGTAAAATTCTTTCTAAATTTTCTTAGATATGATGAGAGTTTCTGCGACTTTATTTGTATTAAAATGTAGACTCTTTTGTATATGTCTTCTCTGTGTTAAAAGTATCAAAATTCTATCATCTAACCATCACATATGACTTAGTCATCTTAATGTATTTTATACAATTGAAGAATCATCTCACAGACTACCTGACATTTACATAATTTCAATTGAGAACATATTCTACTACTTGAGGTCTTGGCTTTTGTATGGCTCAGAATTCACTGAGTAATGTTGTTTTCAGGTTATTGGATTAGCATGCCTGCCAGAACATTCATTAAGCATGGAACAAAATGTCAAGGTGACTTGTATCAAGATGTCCAGTGCAAAGAACCCATTACTTTTATTCTTCTCTATTTAGGGCCACAGTTCCAAAGGGTACAGTTAAGAACTGCATGCATTATTTTCTGCATATGTTAAATATTAAGTTTCAAGAAAAAAGGTGGATATATATTAATAGAACTGAGCCCACTGAATAAAGTCAATTACTTTAAAAACTAGTATGTATTTCAGATAGTACCACACATCTTACAAAAAGAGCTAAACATCCATGAAACTCAAAGTTATTAATAAAAAAATACAAATGCATTTTGTTTTCCCTAAGTATAATTTAATAAATTAATAATGGATTGGGCAATTGTTTAAACACATAGTGACAACAGAGTCTAGAGCATCTAGGAAAGGAAATGTAACAATTATTTAGTTATCTCAGATTTCATAAACAGGAAAAGCAGGGGACTTAGAATACAAAATTTCAAAATACTTACTAGGATTGGCTAACTTAATTACCAACACCAAGTAATTATGACCTTTTTCTCTTCATTTTGATAACTTGGTTTATATATGCATTGATTATGTCAACAAACCTATGCATTACTATCAATCAATAAAATTGGCTAGATAATCTTCAGTGAAGCAGGGTCTGTGAACAGGAGTCTGAGTAATGACAGATCTCTTTCTTTTGGGGCCCCAGATCCATTGTTCATCTAGTACTTCAAGTCACTACCACCAGTTCATGAGAGTTGGAACTCAAGATGATACCTATTTGCCTTCTCAGTTTTTAGGAGTAGCTTTGACTAAATACTGCCTTTAGAATAAACATTCTTTTATGTGACACAAGCAGAGCCAGTAGATGTTTAGATGCTTGAAAAAGCATTTTATTTATTTTAACTGAAACACTCATTATCAATCTTTTGGTATAAGACAAAGAACTTTTCTTTGAGTATTGTTCTGGGGATTGGAATTCTAGATTTACTTTCTTGTTTAAACAACACATATGATGCAACGTCTAAGATTCCTAGTTTCAGTTTCCTCACCTTGGAGCAAGAAATAGGCACTTGCAATGCAGATTTTTTCTGCCTTGTCACTATACTCCTTTCCTCCCCTTATTAATAATCTTTTCAGTTATGTCTCCACATATACTTGAACAACACTTTCAAATTTCATCAATTAATCTGTGTAAGTCTGTCCAAAACATTCAGGTTCATTTTCAAAAAGATAACTCTTTCTTTCACACTTAAACTATCATTATTTACATAATGCTAATTAAATCATGTAATTTTGTATATAATTACACATGTAACCAGAAGAAACTAGTTTGGGAACAAAACAAGACATCTTTGTATATGTAAAACTCACTGGAGGAATTGTTGAATTTATGTGGGTGTCATGCATTAGGTTTCTGTTAGGGAGCTGGGAAAAAATACAGACTCAAATAAAGCATCTCAGTTCCATTGCATCTGAATCTCTTAAGCACCTTTAAAAGTTTCGCAGGTTATTCTCATGCACATTAAATTTGGTAATGATTCCTAGAACATTGTAGAATACTTGCTAATATTTAATATGAGGGGAAAAATGTGCTATATAGCGGGGCAGCAAACTAGAGGATAATTCTAAAAGAATCCTGTGGAAATACACTTTTCTATTACCAGTGTAGTGGATATTGCTCTTTTAAAATTTATTTTATTTTATTTTTGAGTGCCTGATATCAAACCCTGTTTTCTATATGGGGTGAGTCCCCTGTGAGCTTAGCTGGAAGCAGGGCATATGTCTCCCCACAGAAGGTGAATCAGGGTCCAGATATTTGTATTTGAGCTAGGGTAAAGGCATGTGCCCTAAGCTTAGCTAATTGGATGACCCCTCCCAGGACTTTACATCTGAAAGAAGAGAAACCAAGACATTGGGACAGTTCAACATTATTCACTCTTGTTGTGGACAAACTCTGTCAGTGGCAGAGCAGAAGTAGAGGCAGCAAGACTGTCATGACAGAGGAGTGTTCCCAATGCAATGGTGGCAGTGGGGGTATCTCAAACATTGATGTCCTAAACTGACTATTTCTATAATGGGATCTTGGAAATATCCTTATACCTAGTTTCCCTTGGTTACTGCTTCATTCTCAATGTCTTCTATCATTTCTGTAAACTGTTACATATAGTATATTGTATATAAAATATATATACAGTATATTTTTTCAATAAATTTATTTTTTTCTTAAATTGTACATGCAGCACACCTATTTTGTGCTGCATACCTGAGGACCCTCTTCAACCCTCTAATATTCACAGCTGACAGTGTGGAATTTGCTTTTAGAGTTCCCAAAGCAAAAAAAAAAAACAACCCTGATATTTCTACTATTTACTCACAACTTGGAAATTCTTTTCACAATTAACTTTAACATAATCACTAAAAATGCCTGTCTAGTACTTGCATTTAAAAAAAAATAAATGGTACTTTGAAATGAGATGATTTTACTTTTTAAAAAATTGTGTAATATGTTGTTTGTTTTTGTGTCCATTTGTTTACAAATTAAAACCACAACATTTTCATTTCCTTGTGGCAGCAAAAGTTGTTGCAAATAGTGACACACGAATAAACTGTGAGGAAATTTACTCAGCTAAGAAAAAGTACCAAAGTGCTCCTTTAAAGCATTAATTTTTGTCACATTTTCAAAGTTAATATTTATTGTGTTAACTTCTGTAACAATTCTTAAAAATATTAAATGTGATGTTTCTAGTTTTTGTAATTAACATTAAATCATTCTTTCATTAATACCTCAAGCTTTGTGATCAACATTCATAGATTCAGTAGGTCAATTGCTGCACTTTGTACTTACTTTTCATTCTAGCTAAAATTAAGCAAACATTACAATGTTTTGTTGATTTTGAAGTGTTCAAATCATCTTGAATACTTACTATTCAAGAGAAACCATGCATTTTTGACCCTAAGGCAATCATTTTCAGATGTCAACTAAATGAATTATCTAAATTCTTTAGGTCAAAGAAAACTATATCTATAATTGTAAAAGAGAATGTCTATGTGTTTTTCATAACTACAGTAAGTAATCAAGTATAGTATATCTGGATATATTTGATTGAAAAGAACACAAAGCCGTACTCACATTGGCTTAACTGACGTAATTGAAAATCAAGAGGAAGTGCAGATGTTAGGTTGGATCGATGCAGTATTGCAATCACGTCATCAAGGAATAAGTTTCTTTCAGTCTCTCAGCTCTGCCTTCCGTAGTATAAGCTCATCTTAAGACTGATTTCCTCCTGGTGGGGTAAAAGAAGATGTGGCATGTATAGATTTCATATCCATAACCCATACTTTTCAAAAGAAAAAAGTGGATTAGCTTTTGCTGGTTCTTTCAGAAATCCAAGGACTACTGCTTTTAGAATCCTGCAGGAAACTTCCTCTCAAATGTACGTGCCAACATTTGGTCACATACCTATTTCTGAAATAATCTGGTGAAAGAATTACCTTTTGCTTAATTAGGACTGTGTTACTTGAATCAACATTATGACAATTGAGATCAGATAACCCAAGTTAAATTCATACCATGGGGAACTACCTCTGGAACTTTTCTCCTAAACAATAAAGCACACAGTGAGCACTGCATAGAATATTTTTAGACTTTGTACTACGTGACAATGAACAGTATATGACATAGAGAGGCAAGATTCAAAAAAAACTTTATAACAAAACAGCATTTTCTTTCTTTTTTTTTTTTTTTTTTCGAGACGGAGTCTCTCTCTGTCGCCTGGGCTGGAGTGTAGTGGGCACGATCTTGGCTCACTGCAAGCTCGGCCACCCGTGTTCACGCCATTCTCCTGCCTCACCCTCCCGAGTAGCTGGGACTACAGGCACCCGCCACCGCGCCCGGCTAATTTTTTTTTTTTGTATATTTAGTAGAGACGGGGTTACACCGTGTTAGCCAGAATGGCCTCAATCTCCTGACCTCGTGATCTGCCGACCTCGGCCTCCTGAAGTGCTGGGATTACAGGCGTGAGCCACTGCACCTGGCCCAAAGCAGCATTTTCTAACCATCTAATATAAATATAGAATAAAGTGAAAAATTTTATAAAACATAAAATTAAATAACCTCATACCATATAGTATTTATTAAAGTATTATACAAACAATAAGTTCAAAATAATATTTTGATTTATTCATCACGTTTGGCTTCCAACCTAGACTGTAAACTTCTAGTTTCTATCCCTAAGCAACTAACACAGTGACTTACTCATATTAGATGTTTAATAAAGGCTGTTCAGTAGAATAAGCGGAAAAACATCAATACTGGCTGAATTACTCACTTTGTTTAAATAGATGCAGCTTAAATGGCAAACTTTTGGCTTTAGAGTGAACTTCAAAACACATAGTCCACATCCTTCTCATTATTAGAATCAGAAAAATAAATGAAAAAAATAAAGCTGAATTACCTATTTTGTTTCGTTTTGTGACCTGACCATTACTGTTTGCCAGAGGTAATGGAGGTAACTAAAGAACAATGGAAAAAGGACAATGCAAATATCTGGAGTGCAGATGAAACGAAATGCATCTTTATATTAATTGTCAAAAGCCTGTAGGGTATTCAAATAAAATTGTCTTTGGAGGTTGACAGGTTCTACCTACTGAGTGGAAGCTGAAATACTAAGAGATAATGAGTTCCAAATAAGTAAAGAAAGAAAAGTTATCTAAATATTGAGTTTGAGTTCATACATAGAGATAAGATGAAAGAAAATGGTCGCGATGAAATATAAATAAAAACAAGAAACCAATTAAATGAGTGTGGAAAAAAAAAAAGTAGTCAACTGTATCACTGTCTTCTCCAAATTCTGAAAGGCACTAAGGATTGTGTTAACTTCATTTGATTTTAGTCTTGTTTTTGAATTAGTAGGAGGTTTTTTAATACAAAAATATAAGTTTTCTTTATTGTTAAACTATCGAGCACTGTGCAGTGGAATGGGAGTCTTACTTGAATATCCTAAAAGATAACTTCTTACTCAGGAAATTTCTCTTGAAAAACAGTGTAGTTATAGTTAGATGGACTGAGAACTCTTGACAGTAACTGCAAAAGAACACAGTTGTTTACTCCCTCTACAGTCCTCTGCTCTATTTTATATTTTAATTATAAATGCAAACAGACACTTTTATCTATTTCTTGGGTTATATCTCTTCAAGATGATAATTCATATTTAAAAAAATTATGCTGTGATGGTTTTCATAGTCAACTCAGGCTGCCTGAGACAACATACTATAGACTGGGTGGCTTAAACAACAGACATTTATTTCTCACAGTTCTCAGGACTGGGAAGTTCAAGATCAGGGTGCCAGCCTGGCCCGGTTCTGGAGCGGGTACTCTGGCTGGCTTGTCAGTGGCTGCCTTCCTGCTGCATCCTCACATGGTAGAGCGAGGAAGCTCTGGTACCTCTTCCTCTTCATATAAAGGCACTAATCCCATCCTGGGGGCTCTACCCTCATGACCGTATCCAAACTTAATTACCCCCAAGGCTCCACTTCCTAATATCATCCCACCTGCAGGGCCTAAGGCTTCAGTGTGTGCATTTGGAGCAGGAACACAAACATTCAGTCTATAACAATGGTTGACTTTGGTTTCTGTTTTATGTGAAAATTCCATCTGTCACTCTGTGAACAGATTTTTAAACTTTTAATAAATCAGTACAGATATCCTAACTTTGTAATGCATACCTCATGGGGACTGTTTGGCATGATTTACTAATGATATCTCCTGAATTTAGCTAGTCATTTAAGAATTGTCAAATCCATATTGTACTCTGTCAATGGGCGCGATGGCTCATGCCTGTAATCCCAGCATTTTGGGAGACCGAGGTAAGTGGATCACGAGGTCAGGATATTGAGACCATTCTGGCTAATACAGTGAAACCCCGTCTCTACTAAAAAATACAAAAAAAAAAAAAAATTAGCTGGGCGTGGTGGCGGGTGCCTGTAGTCCCAGCTACTCAAGGGGCAGAGGCAGGAGAATGGTGTGAACCTGGGAGGCGGAGCTTGCAGTGAGCAGAGATTGTGCCACTGCACTCCAGCCTGGGCAACATAGCGAGACTCTGTCTCAAAAAATAAAAAAATAAAATAAAATAAAATAAATAAAAAAGAACAGATTCTCATGGGAAGAAAAATGCTACCAAATTTTATAAATTATGTATTGCCTCATTGAAAATCACCTCAAAATCTAATGGCTTAAAAAAATAACTATTTTTTCTGTTATTCTTCAATATGCCCTTTAAGCTTTACTTAGCTGGGTGGTTCTTCTGGTTGTGGCTGGGCTGGGTCTTGTTATCTGTATTTATGTCTGCAACCAGTGCCTCTGCTGTGAAGTTGTCTTGGGGCTAGCTAGTAAAGGAAAACCTCTACTGACCAGATCCTTGTGTTATTTCCTCTTCCAGCAGGCTAACTAACCCCTTATTGTTCTTATTGGTAACATGGTGGTTTGGCAGGGAGGGAGGGAGAAGGAGAGAGAGTGGGGGAGAGTGGGGGAGAGGCAGGGTGGGTGGGGGGTTGGGAGAGAGAGAGAGAAGCAGCATGGTAGCTTGCCAAAACTGTGGGGAGGGGAAGGAGAGAGAAAGCAGCATACAGGAGATTTTGAGACATGGGCTTTCTACATATGCTATATTCTGTTGGTCAAGGCCCAAACCAAATTCAAGAGGTAGAGAAGTAGTCTGTGCCTCTTGATGGAATGAGCTGCAAAGTCTTATTTTAAAGGAGTCTCCACACACAGAGGAAAATAATTGCAGCCATTTCCCTCAACAATCTACCACACGTGTCTTTGTGCCTCAGTTGTCTGCAGAGTGAGTTTATGGCTTAACAATATCAACAAAGTCTTAATTCTCATTCTGCTTTTGCTAGTATAGAACAAATTCAAATTTAGCTCAAAGGATATGTGTAGTATAAATAGTGTAGCCATGCACTTTGTGCATTCTCATGGACGTAGTATCGAAGTAAAATAATCTCCTCTAATGTTGATATAAATACAGTAATCTACTGTTAACTATGGAGTACAGTTAGTATAATCCCTAAAAGAAATAGCAACAATTGTATGAAATTTAGCTGAACTTTTCTCTCTGCATTCAGCATGTATACCCAGTCAGTTTTGAAAGACATGACTTATTATTTAGTGTGATTTCATTTAGGAGTTTCTCAACATGGGGTATAATGAATGTTAATTCAGGCTTACAATGGATGGCATCCTGTGCCCATTTATGAATATAAGAAGGAACATTTGAAAAAGAGTCATTATTTCCATCATTAATTTTCTAATTCAAACACATGGAAATGACTTATGAAGATTTTAGTTGCCTTTGTTTAAAAATTCATGGCTTTTTTTTTTTCAGTTTTCTTTTGCTTTAGTTAAGAGGAAAAGATTTGTCAGTTGAGTAAAGATATTTCATCTCCTTCACTGATACCACCTGGAGTTGTTAATTAGGTTTCTGAGTTTGGCGCTGTTCTTTCCTGGTCACCATGATGTGTCATTGAAACAGGCTCACTATAATGAGTGATGTGTGTTGTAATTTCATTAGTGTCATCAATAATATATTACACTTTCCTTTAGTAGTCTCTTTATGTTGTGTGTGGGTCAGGATAACTGTATGAATTACATTTATAAGATCCAAATTGTTACAGATGAGGGAAGATAGGCATGAGGGTGGAATTAATGTTATTTTACACATGATAACTACTAAAATGATTTCAATTAAATAATATTTTAATTAGGTCTGATGTCTCTACATGCCATTCTAAGATACATGTTCTGTGTATGCAAATAAGATAGTGATTTATTGAATTAGATCTATGCTAACACAATCTATTCTTCCTGCAGGGAAACTTTTCTAAATTGGACTAAAGCAGGTGTATTGAAGAGCAGGAATGATTCACTAAGGAATATGAGTCCTTGTGGTTGTAAAGGACAGACTTTTAATATGGAAACTCTCAAAATATATTCTCACTTTCTTTCCACTGTATTTTTTCTGCCAGACATGTGCCTTTTGACTGGCTATTGGTCAGTTCCTAGTCTTTCCCAATCTGAAAAATGGGTCTATAATGGAGGAGGGACACACTTAGGCACTCTGATATAGTGTTTGTTGTTAATATCTTTTAACTCTGTTTGACCAATTCAATTTTAGTGACATTACATGGGAATTCAAAGAGCTTTTGAATTAGAAGCTTCCATAAGAGTATTGATCTAATTGAAATATCCACAAACAAGAAGCATTTGCATATTAAAATGGTATAATACTGGTTTTGCTGTCAAGAGATGATTCTGAGAGTACTTAGGATTAATGATTGAATATGTAAAAGTTCTCAGAGCCAAGAAATACATGAGAACATATGTGATAACATGTAAAAACATGATTTTGTTTTAACCTTCCATTTAAGTATTAAAAGTAATATAATGCTATATTTTCATAAATGATTCAAAATGCAGAAATTTATTTTATGTAAGCAGGAAGCTAAGTGGTTTTCAGCACACAAAAAAAACTGCAAAAGATGAGCTAATTCTGAAAATCAGTAGGAGAAATGATCTTTCTCATGCAAATTTAAAGAAGATATTTTTGCTAGCCCCGATTTGTTTTTAAGGTAATACAATTTATCTGGGTGAAAAAACGTATTTCTACTATTATAATAAAGATCATCTAACTTAAGTAACATCAGAAGCTACCCAAAATGAAGGTTTTTTTAAATGATGATGAAAAAATCTCAGTCACTTATATTCTACTAGAATCTCAGTATCTTAGCTTTATGCTGATTTGTATCCAATTTGAGTAGAAATGGGTATGAGTGTTTATCTTCCATAATAGCTTGCCACAAGCCTACTACTTGAATCATGTAGCATATGGAAAATGTGTTTAGCTACTTGCAGAATTTCACAAACTAAAAAAAGATCCATTTCTGCTCATAGGGCTTGTTTACAGTCATTATAAAAGCATGTTACTATGTTGCTTACTAGTTAGGAGAAGCAAGTGTTGGCATACTCCCCATTCCATTGCATTGGCCTTTAGGAAATGTATGTATTGATTTTCAGTTCTAAAACAGTAATCATTCTAATTTCTTGTGTTTTAGACCTGAACATTTTTTTAGGATGTATTTTTATTCTTCTACATTATACCTCTTCCAGATATTTTATGGTAGTTATTGACACATTTTACAAAAATATATTAGATACTGTTCATGCTTATGTGAATTGCCATCACAGGATTAATCTGTAACTTTTATGAGCATATTTTATTAATAACATCTTATCATTAAATTGAATATGGATATTTAACATTCAATAAGCACATAATGTATAGGTAGAAATGTACTTCATGCCATTGGGTTTTGCAGATGGGGAAAAGTCATTATAACAGTCTAAGAATCTTTAAACATGCCCCCCATAATATACTAGTTGCAATGTTACAACTCATTTAAGGAATAGTTTTTGATAATAATGGATTATAATATTTTTGTTTGTCAGCATACTAAACAATTTGTCCTCAAGGTATGGAGATAAAATGTTTGATACAATTTTAAAAATATCGATTGTACTCTCTCTTAAATTCTGGAAATATGTTTGCCATTTAATGATTCATAATTAAACATGAAACTCATAAAGTGAAGGAAGAGAATTCAAAACTGTAAATATTATGAAAAATGATTAATTTTTTAATTATAGTAGTTTATTCTTTTAGTAAAGCAGTATAGGTTGTCTACAAAGCAGTATTTTTTACATAGCTGAATAATTAAAATATTTTTAATCCATTTTTATCTTTAAAATATCTTGATTACTAAATGACTTTTTCATCATTTGTATATGAATACATATATATATCCATTTATATTTATGTTTGTTTGAATAGTAGATTATGAATGTAAATATGTTTGATATGTATCCTGGCACCAGAAGCCAAGTCTTTTTCCTAAATGACAAGAAAGCTTATGTTAGCCTGAAAAAACTAACTTTTGTATAGGTTCTGTCACGTACAAAAATATTCCAGGCAGTTTCATCTCCATTTTGAACAATTCTACAGTTCAGTCAAAGTTTCTCTAAAATTATTTGGTTTCTCATTTTTATGAAATAAAACTAATATTTAGGGAAACTTTCAATAAGTATTTCACTAATTCTCACTATTTAAGTCATTTTGAGATATCATCAAAACATTTTCAAAAGTTCTCTGTATAAAAATACATGTATACATATGTATTTATGTACATACATAAATAATCTCTTACTTGATTACATTCGCATGGTTGATATGGCTTCTTCTGAAAATCGCTTTAATGTTAAGAATACTTGGAGAATAGCAAAGGGAAAATGTCTGCTTTAAAGAATGTTCTGCGCCTGGAAGTAGAGACAAAATTTTCCGAGTATACAGGGGAATCTAACATTTCCTGGTACTGGATGATGAATCAATTTTATATTTATTTATTGAATATATAGTTTATTCCCAGATTGCATATTTCTCATCTGTAACAGAGGCCTGGAGCAGTTGTGTGTATGGGCATAGATTGTGCATTTCCCAGGCCAGGTGACCACAATGTGGATCAAGCCAGCAGTGTTGGTGATGAGGCAGGTGGAGTTGTTCCCAGTGCCAGAGGCAGTTCTATCCCTCTTTTACGTGCTCCTTGGGCTACAGAGCTTCTACACTCCACAAGACCTTATACCAGAGCATTGCTCACAACCCTCTTGCTACTCCACCTGGGAGGTAATTTTCTCCCTCCCATATTCAGGGAATATATTTTTCTTAATACAAACTATAAACCTGAATTCAAGAATATTCAGAATTTTGAGAGTATCTTTCTTGCACTGCTCTATTTTCTTAATACAATGCTAAGTTTACTCATAAGCATGATGATAAAGGATATTGGACTATTAGAGATAGTTCCCATTTAAATTTTTCTGTCTTGAACAAAATCATTGAAATAATCTCTCTATTCAAGAATCCTCTTTTCCCACCACCCCTCATCATGTACTCATTTTCAACAGAAATTTCTCTCCAAAGATACAAAATCGACTGTTCTTCAATGAATTATGGCTTAAAATCCAAAATAAGCTGAATTGATATACCTTATACCAACATTATTGAGGGTCTACTGAGTTCCCAGCACTGAACTAAGCCAGATAAAAATTTAACTAAGTTAAATCACCATGACTAAAGACCTCCTAGCCTCACAGCACTGAATTAGACTTGATACAGAAGTAACATGTTCTTCACTCTGAAGTGTAAAGCAATGAGATCATAACATATTCTTGAAAATAGGGATTAGGATATCACAACAGATAAGACAGAGATGGATAAATGAATATCAGAAGCCGATTGGACATGTAAGGAAAGCGAATGACTTACAGGGTTCTGGCTTAGGGCATTAGGTAGATTTCACTCCCCATTAATCCCTACAGAGTATGTGGTGAAAAGTGCTGGCAAGGCTGAGACAGTGAAGCATTGCTGAGAGGAAATGGTGATCAAGAACTCAATCAAGTTGATGCTGGTGCTAGAGAAAAGTATAAATTAATAAATTTTGTGCTGTGGCCCTGATTCCATCTTTTCAAACTCAGTCATCACTGTGTAATTTAAGTCTTTGTCACCTTTCATCTGGACTAAGTGGTCTTCTGTTCTCCAGGCTCTACATTACAACCAACATAATTATTCCAAAATGAAATATAATCACCTTTCTTTCTTGCTTACATCCTTTTGCTGGTTTCCTATTGCTTATAGGAACAAGTTTAATCTTTTTACCTTGGTTTACCAGGCCCTGTATGATATGACTATGGCTTGTTCTCCCATGTCTGCTCCTATCATTGCCCAGTCTGGCCCTATACTCTGATCTTACAAAAATGCTAACATGGATTTCACTAAGGATATCATGCTGTTCTATAATTTTGTGTCTTTGCTTATGCCATTCCTTCTGCATAGGATGCTGTCCTGTCTTCATCTCTTTTAGCTTTTTTACTTTCCTAAACTTTTGTAACTGGCAGCTCCCCTCATCTTTCAAGATGCAATTTAAATATTCTCCATTTAGACCTTTTTTAGACCTTTCCCAGTAGCAATATATCATCTGTTATAACTAGACCTTACATCTCTACTATAACAATTAGAAAAATGTATTTAAGTTATTTACCTGTTTGCCTCCCTTATTAGACCACGAGATTTCAGCTAGTTTGGGTTCGAAATAAGACAATGATGCAATAATTCATAGCTTTCTAACAAAATGCATCTATTTGTATCTATGAATGTATAAAGGGGACTGTTTTAGACTTTCCCAAATCAAATTTCTCCTTCTCAGCAATTTGACTAAGTTACAGGGCACTATCTTATTATGCATTCCACACTTGTGAGAAGATGGTATTCTAGATGTCAAACATATATAAAAGAAGAGAGAACAGTGTAATGAATTATATTACCCAGTTTCAACAATTATTAACTAATGGTCAACTGTGTTGCCTCTATACTGTCTGTAGCTCCACTCTCTCATCTGCCCTCCAAATATCTGAAGCAAATTCCAGACATAATAACATTTCATTTGCAAATATTACAGTGTGTATTAATTTTCTAAAGTGATAAGAGCACTTTTAGAAAACATTGATGATACCATTATCACATCTAAAATATTTGCAATTACCTAATATCACCCAATAGTCAGTGTTCAGTTTTGCACTACTTCTCATATTTTAAACTGTTTAAATACAAGTCTAGTAAGGTCTATGCTTTGTGATTGATTTTTTTTTGGGGGGGGACAATTTTGCTCTGTTATGGATATTTTGTCAATATTTAGAAACATTTTTGGTTTTTACACTAAAGGAGGAGTGCTACTGATATCTAGTGTGTGGAGGCCAGGGATACAGAAAAACATCCTACAATACACAAGGCAGCCACCACAATAGAGAATTATCTAGCCAGAATAGTGAGAGGGCAACATTGAGAAACCCTGGTCTATAGGTTCCCCCTGCATTATATATTGTATTGCAATTGATTTGTTGAATAAACTGGGTCATTTGTCTTATAAAGTTTTCCACATCTATATTTTGCTAATGACACATTGTGGTATAATTTATTTTTTTCTGTTTCTTGTATTTATAAGCAATTAAATCTAGAAACATCAGATTCAGATACAATTTTCTTTTTCTATCAAAACTGCTTTTTTTTGTTTCGTAGTGTTGTGTACTTCCATCAGGAGGCATATAATTTCTGATCATTTCTCTCTTTCTCATCAATATGGGAAACTATTGGTGATCAATGTCTAAATTTGTTAATTCATTAGGAGTTGAAAAATCGTGATATTATATTTTTATAATTTATTCATTTATTGAAAACATCACTGACTCTTAGAAATATTCATTCCAACGTTTGATAGAAAAATAGCATTGTGCATGAAACATTTATACATTTTGTATTTCTTTTCAGAAACATCCTCTACCACCTTGATGAAAAGACAAGCCGGTTTTCAATACTTATAGAGGCTTGGGAACACTGCAAACCCCTTGCATCAAATGAGACCCTTCAAGAAGCCCTGTCAGAGGTGTTGAACAGCATTAATTCAGCTCAGGTTTACTTCAAAGCAGGACTTGATGTGTTCAAGAGTGTCTTGGATGGGAAGAATTGAGAAAACTCTGAGCATTTTTAAAAGTTTGTTTACAATTCCACAAGCAAAAGCTCTAATTTAACCAGATTTTCTGACATTGAAGGCTTATTTTCCCCAATGGCTTTTTGACAAGTATAAAGCTATTATTACATTGTATTTTTTAAATGTAAATATAGAAAGAACATTTTGCACATTTAATATTTTTCTTATATCTACATTTCTGAATATGTAAAGCAAGTTATTGAAATAGGACTTAAGAATTACCTATTAAAAAGAAATCTGATATATAAAAATATGTACTATTTTAAGGAAAAATTTCCAAGAAGTTCTGGACTATCTTTGTTCCTATGGGGAGGGCATATAGGAACACAGTTTATTCTCTCTGATAGAGCTATTAATGACTTAGTTTCTGTAAAAGAAATGGAGAGTTGATATGGTTCAGATTAACTTCACTATTAAGTGTTCAATATGAAGAATTCAAGTATTCTGACTGAGTGATTGGTTGACCTAAACCACTTTGAATGTTTCTATTTTATGAAATGAAGTTTCTCTTCTTAACACAACTAGATGTAGTAATACACTGGTTATGAAATTGTATTTTTTTAAGTATTAATGAAAAAAGAGCCATAAGCATTCCAGGAGAAAATCTCAAGGGAGCTACATAGAGCAATTTAAATGCAAATTTTTTTCCTAACAACTTACAAGGTGACTAGCTTTGAAACCCCTAATTTGCCTCAGTTGATTTTCTAAGAATTTCAGGAGTGATGTATGTCTTAAGAGGGAGAAAAAAATATTTCTTATTACTTTTTCTCTTGTTTCTGTTGGAAACACTGAAGCAGGGACTCTAAAATGAAAGCATCTCACATTGGTTTTCTTTCTTGTATCTTTTCTGAAACTCCTTGCTGTAAGGCAGCTTTCTCAGAGTACTATATATTTTCAACAGTAAAGTAGCAGAGTTTCTCTTTGAAACCCAAAATGTCTTCTAAAGAATCAAATTTCTATTTCTGCCTCTGACAAAAAGAACTTACTATGAAAGAAATAGTTGTTTTATCAATAAAAGCCCCTTAATATTATGAAGAAACTTTTCATATTTTTTCTTCTTTATCCTTAATTGTGACTAAGATGGAAATCTAGAAAATATTCATGCTTCTAAGTTTCTGCAGTGTTACTGTAAGAGAGTGTCTCGTCTACACTTCAGTTCTTCTCTCATGTGGAAAACTAAGCTTTTTATATTGACATTGCCATTGAATAGCTCTAGCAACTATTATTATTCCCCCAAACCCTAAAATTCTACCTATTAGGTGTCAGGTTAAAGTTCTAATTTATCTTTAGAAATTTATGTGAAAAATGGTTTTCCTATACTGGATAAAGCAATTCCCCTTAGGAAACATAGCCTCAGAGTATTTCATATAAATTTTCTCTATCTAATTCAAACATATCTCCCCATGATACACCGCCAGAGTGACATTGCAGACAGTCTGTGTATGTTTAAATTTTCACTTTTTATGGATGAGCATAAACCTAGTCTTAGTTTAAAGGCAAACTAAAGTTGAGGGGAAATAATTAATCAATACTGATTAATTGATTTATAAGGTTCAACACTGTCTACCCTAAATAATTTTTATATGCTCAAGGCAAAGCAGGGAATAGAGGCAATTAGCTAGATAATTCAAGCAGAAATCCATTTTCATCGAAATTGCCTGTGTGCACATATTTTTAGATGAAAAATGAAACTACCTTACAATATTATTTTTTTAACCAATGTATTTGTTTGCAAACATTTGCCATGTTGAAGAGTGTGTATAGGAAAGGTCTAGAAATAAATAGGCTTGTGCATACCTAGGCATTCATGCTCTTTCTTCCTCTTCAGAGATCATCAGAAAAGAGGTGGGAATACACAAGCAGGTGCATGTAAGCCCAAAAGCTAGAAAGCCTTATATTTAACCAAAGGTTGATGTGTTCATTCCAGTTATTCACTTACAGATGAAACTAAAACAAATAAAGGCAAGCTATTATCAGTTTGGTAGTTCATTATTTTAGAACAAATTTCTAAATTAATTTATTCCCATAACCTACAATAGCACTGAGAACAGAAAACATGTTTCTTCTTCATTTTGTTTAAAGATTGCGTACCTAGGTAAGTCACACTGTATAGATAAAAACCTTCTTCTGTATTCCTCACCTCTAAATTATATGTTATTTGCTATTTGAAAACTGTAGTTAACTATGGTTTTTTATTAGTCTATTAAAAGATACGTGGAGATATTAAATTATACCTAAAGCAGACGTCCAACAAATTCTGTACATGCTGCTTTACATCTTTGCAACAAACCTCTTAACTAGCAGCATTATTTCTATAGTGTGATTACCTGAGGGTGCCTCCAAATGTATATCATTTCACTCCCCTCCCCTCCCCACCCCCAATAGATTCAAATAAATAAAATCCTGAGCAAATTAATAGCAAGTGTTAATGTGAATTGGTAGTAGGTTTAAGCTGTTGCTGAGTCGTCTATATGCCTGGTACTTCTCACAATCTTTCATACATAGAATTGTGCCTAGGAAATAATGAATCATAAATATTCTCTGAAGAAAATGTGGTAAAGGTGTAACGGTGAAATTTATGTTCAGGCAGGGTACACATGAGATACTGCCCTTTATGGAAAAGCATAAGTCTCAGAATCAAAAGAAAGCCTAATAAAGATTCTGGTCTAAGCCCTGAGATCTTGCCTTCAGCCAGAGAAGGCATTATCAATTACCCCCACCAGATATAGTAACTAAACCCAAAGTGAGTAAGAAACTTGGACATAGTCATGTATTTAGTTAGTAACAAAAGCACCACTGGAATTTAAGCTTCTCTGCTTTCTCATGCAGTATATCTTGCTTCTCCCTGAGGAGACAGGGTTATAAATGATCTTTTCCAGTGCATTCGATGTAACCAGCCATTCTGTCAGATGTTGCATGGGCTGGAAACACTGCTTTTAATTCAAGGCTAGTTCATTCTCTGACTGTACCTGACAAACAAAACTCTCCCCGAGAATTCAGGCAAAGGACACAAAGACTGGGTACTTGAGAGAAAGTGGGGAGAATCCTTACAGAACACCAGAAGTCAGGAAGAAGGACATTGAGCAAAATATATCTGTAAGAGGGCAAGTCAGGCCAGTGTTAAGTCAACAATCTAAATCACCGTTTCTCAAAATGTGAAATTTAGAAAGACAGGGCTAGGAATCTACATCTTCAGCAAGATTTCTGGATGTCTGTTACACACACTGAAGTTTAAGAATTTCCAATCTACGTTAATCGTAGTTTCCAAGAAAACACTAATTGACATTTCTAAATAAATTGAAGAGTCATAATAACAAGAAAGACGTAAAGATTTGTTATTAATGGAATCATTATGAGAAAAGAAAAGTGGACCCATTTTATCTCTAAGAAAACAATTCAGTTGCAGCTTATATTTGTGCCTGCTACATCCCAGGCACTGGTGTTTTAGAATTTTTCCCATGTATCCTTTTTTTTTTTTTTTTTTTTTTTTAATTCCCACAACAACCCATTTCAAAATGAGAAAACTAGGTTGAGTGACTTGTCCACAGTTCCAAAGCTAATAAAAATGATGAGGCATATTTCTCTTCTGGGCCCACTGTATTCAGTTCTTTGTTCTTTACACTGAGTGCCGAAAAAAAAAATCAGACTATTTTGATTCTAGAAAGTGAGATAATTGAAAATGTTAACATATTTCTCCAAAACTGATCAGACTGTGGAGTCTGTCACTTTTTTGGTATAATAAAGGAGTTTGAAGAAACAAATGACATCATTCCTGATGATGGTAGCCCACTCCAACAAAGGCGTATATATGTAGGCAAGTTTGAAGATATCTATAAGAGCATTAAAAGGCAAGTGCACCATTGTGGAATATCATGACGAGTAGGCTTACAAACAGTAAAAAGAGACCAGAAACCACAAGTCTTACACTTTCATTCTCTAAATGCTTATATAATTTCACTAAAAAAAGAAAAGCAGGTGCTGTGATTTAGAACAACAGTTTTATGTTATTTTTAAAAATTCAGAATAACCAATTGACTTTTTAAATTAAATAAACGTAGAGCATATAGTAAGTTTCCCCACAGGAAAGACAGATGTTAACAAAAATAAAATAAATGATTATTTGTGACCATGTTACTAATGATGAATCAGCATCTTTGCCTCAAATGAAAATCTATAATTATTTGTATGATAAATTGGTAGACCTAGCCAAAAATGTTCTCATGAGACATTCTGTGATATGTGTAATTGATTACTCCAAAAATTAAGCTTTCTCTGAGGGTAACACATTGTCATCTCATTGGTTTAATGGGCTATTTAAATGTGCCTTAGCCACACATTTGCTTAATAGAAAGGAATTATTTTAAACTACCAATCCATATGTTGAGTGGAAAGGAAGTTGGCCCACATATTCCAATAAATATATCAGCAATATAACAGTTTCATCATGGGACCATGGATACAGTGCAGGGAAAAAACAAACAAACAATATTTGAGAAAATATATATATTCTGCCCAGCCACACTGGTGAGTTTTTATTTCTTGTATGAGTTTAAATTGCCAACTTAAAAAAGCCTCATTAGAATTTGCTATTCGAAAAGACCTTAAAAACCCTCACAGAGTTCTAAACATCCCATTCATTGAAAATAATTTTCAGTTAAGTAGATTTGTTTTGTGCACTTCACAACTTTTAGGTGACATGAATTTGAAGCGTAGCAAAAGAAATGTATAAAGATAGCCTTTTCTGGTCATTACCATGTCTACTCAAGTTTCTGTTTTCTAGGTACACTCTAGCATTGTAACTTTTTCCCCCTGAGAAGTAATTTTAAGATCTATCAGTCTCAATTTAAATGATCTGTTAATCAGCCAGAGTTTTAGTTTCATAATATCGTTCCATTGCCTGACAAAGATATACACACTGAAGTGCCTTTAGCAGACCTGGGACCGTCAAGAATCTTGTTACCCTGATTATTGCAAGATGACATATTTCTTAAGCCATTTATAATCTCATATTCGGGTTGAATCTGAATTTACAAATAAAAGGGTTAAATTGAGGCAGTTTCAAGCAGCATTTAGGAAAATGAAGTGGCTTCAAATTTTAGTGTTTCTGGTTACATTATTTTGTTTGAATTATACAATTACATAATTTTCTGTAACCAAAATGGTAATTTTGATGGATTTTTTAAATGCCAAAATCCAATCATCAAGGCCAAAGAAATGCATGATTACTCTGATTTCTTATGCACCATTCAGTCAAGACTTAACTCAGAGGCAGTTGATTCAGTGCTTACATCTAGACAAAGCTTTAATGAGTGCAGACCCAGCCTAACAGTATTTCATCTAATTTCTTTGATGGCTTAAGCCAATAAGCACTGAGGTAGCTTTTCTCAGAAGGAAACAGATTTTATTTTCCAGGGGCTAATTAATATGCACCACCTAAGTCCCCAAAGGATCACACAGGTGCCTGTATCATGCCATATGTCATGTGCTATATTCCTGCAAGCTCAAGAGATTAATATACAATCATTATTATGAATTATTATGTTGCATTGAAGTTAATGTCGGTCTTTTGTTCTAATTAAAGTACAAACGTGGCATCTGAATAGAAGCTTAGCTAGAGAAGTGGAGTTAGAGTCCCTATTTTAATGAACTACATATATTTTTCAATCAAAATGTGTAATTATTTAATTATCTAGCCTGCTCAGTAATCATAACTCTCCAACTTCTTCAAAGGGCCTTTATTCAATATGTTACCACTCATATGGTCATTACTTGGTAAGTGTTTTATATTTTGAATTTCTTAGATGCTTTCAGTGTATGTGCTAGTGTTTTATTAATATTAAAAATTTTTGTTTACTTATATATCAAGCTGCTGCAAATGGACTACCTTATTTTAAAAGTTAGAATAAAATGCTATTACTCTCTAAACAGAACTTTAGCATATCTGTTTGATAAGAAATACACAAACAAAATATTTTTCTATGCTATTGCAAATTGTCCGCAGGAAGCAAAATGCCAGATGGTTAAGTGTAGCTCACATAATTATATTCCAAAGGTGTTATAAACAATTCTATTTAGCATCTGAGATAGGTCTATATTAGGCAATTTCATGTTTACATTTCTAACAGAAAGGTTTAATGGCAAATATTCCTTATATTCTAACTTGCTACTTGGAGAATATGGATATTCTGAAAAGAAAAACCCTTTCTAGAACACTGTGCAGGACTAATTTTTTTTTAATAGACATCCAGAAAATAGCCTGGGCAACAAAGTGAGACCCTGTCTCTCTTAAAAAAAAAAAAAAAAAAAAAAAAAAAAGAAAAGAAAAAGTAGCTAGGCATGTTGGTGTGCACCTTTGTAGTCCAGCTACTAGGGAGGCTGAGGCGGAAGAATCATTTGGGCCCAAAAGTTTGAAGCTGCAGTGAGCTAAAATCATGCCACTGTAGTCCAGCCTGTGTAACAGAACCTATCTCAAAAAAAGGAAAAGAAAGTCACATGCTGTTGATAGTAGTTTTATATGTATTTGGAATGTTAATATGGGACACATGCATTTAATACTTTAATCATGTATTCAATGTAGCAGCATTTAGATATGTAAGATTTTAGAAGTAAAATCTCAGTGGTATAACATTTAAAACACAGCCTTAAAATGAAGAATAGGGATGAGCAGGAGAAAATTTATAAATTAACCCAGGGTAAAATTTGGAGGAAAATTTTTCCAAATAAATTTGCTTTGATTAAAAACACATATCTCTCAAGAGGTGTCCCAATTACTAAATTATGTTGAACTGTTGTGGTGTTTAGCCTTGTTCAAAATGATTTGATTATCATCTGGATTCAGAAATCTTTTCATTGTACAGAGATTTCATTGTCATTGTCGTTGTTGTTAACTGATTTTTAATGATATTGATTTAGAGGCATTTGTCGGTAGTTTTTAAATTACTATATAGGGTTGAATGTCTAATTTCTATAATGTGTGGATGCCCATCAGATATTTAGTGCATTCTATATTTAGCCCAAGTGTGATCACAATTTATTTTATAACTTTTTATGTGTTACTTACATGACTCAATATGCATCTTACTTAAGAAATTATGTTGTGATCTGGAGTGACACAAATGGATTGAGATACCACATCCATTAAAAATATAAGTGAATATTTTATATTTAAGTTGTTTAAATATTTGCACATTATTGAAAACATAGTACTAGGAAATGAAGGCACCATTTAACAAACGTGTTCTGAATCATAATTTTCATGAGTTTGTACGTGAAATGTTAATGTTTAAAACACCCATTTTGAAATTATTAAATACAGGTAAAAACATTGCTATACTGTGTTTTTATGACAAAATATACAGTATTTTATGTGTGCACATGAATTAGTTATTACTCTATTTTATTAATGAATTATTTTTACATAATATATATGACAGCCAAACAGGTGTTCACTTGTTTAGGGAAAATTCTATAATATTTTATCATCTTTTTTTGTCCTTGCCTTCCATTCTTTTCTTGAACATTTAGTTAGATTTGCAGTTTGTGACAAGTTCCATCAAGTAACAGTACCTGTATCAACTGCAATGTTAAACAGTTTTGTTTTCTCAAATTTGCTCTAAAAAATGCTCTCAGTTATTTTTCACATAGAAAAGAATTTTCTGTTTGCATGGTGAGTGTAATAGATTTCATTCATTTATTCATTCAGGAAATATTTGCTAAAAGACTCTTCTAGTCCAGGCACTGTATTAGGCACTAGTGATACAAAGATGATTAGCACAGATTAGCACAATTTTACTTTTGGAGCTTTACAGTCAAATAGGATACAACACTTCAGTTTAACTAGTAGCAATATCCATAGATAGTACAGTTTATTGCAAACATATTGGCAGAGCAGAGACGGTTTAAAGGTGCCATATGTTCAGGCCACATGCCAGTCCCACTGGACCTTCCTTAAGACTCTCTAAAGAACAGTGCTCTTTCTCTAACATCTCTGCTATACAATAGCCTGCATTTGGTACGGGCATAGCACTGTGTCAGACTCTGGTTGCCAAGCATCACTTGGATGAAATCTTTTAATCTTTAAAAAAGCCTATGAGATAGGTGTTATATCATTTTGTCCCATTTGATTGATGATAAAACTAATGGTTAGGGCAATTAACAACTTGTGACAGTTATTATACTACTATATACACACAACTACATAGCTATAAAAAACTTTTAAAAATCTGCAGGAATATATATATATATATATATATATATATATATATATATATATATAGTGTGTATATAGACACACACAGAGGAGGTAATATTAAAACAACATATAAAGTTATGTATTACTCATGGATGTGTATATATATATTCAAAATATTAAAATCCAGACTGAAAAAAATGAACACCTTGTTTAATTCATGATAGTAGGAAGGAAACAAGTGCTAAGGACAGGATACAGAGGACAGCTTTAACTGTAATGCTTTATTTCTTTTATACATAAAAAGGAATTGAAGTAAATACGATAAAACAGTAGTTGGTAGATTAAATTATTATTCTTATTTCTTTTCACCCTCCCTTGTCAATTTGGGTGGTAGGCACATGTGTGTTTATGTAATTCTTATTATATTTGTGAATTAAAAATACAACTCTCAAAGTAACATAAAATCCTTATAAAGTGGTCTGATTCTGGAGCCCACACTTACAGCCACTAATCTAATCTGCCTTTTAAAATTTTATAAGCATGGTCGCTTTCTTGTCTTTTTCTTCAACTATGCTAATCTTAGGAAGGCTGCTTCCATAAGGCATTTTCTGACATTCTAAATGCTCATAGATGTAATTTCAATGCAGTTACATTTATTATCTACTTTTTTCTCTTCAATTCTTCTCTATCTCAGTAAATACACCAGATTCTTAAATCAAGAAATAAAAATCATCTGTGATTCTTTTCTTTACCTCTCTTCTTACATCCAATCCATCGCCATATTGGCTTGCCACAAAATACAGCTCAACTCTGTACATTTCTCCATCGGCACTGCTGCCATCCTACTCAATGCCACCATCTTTTCTTCCCTGCATTACACTAGTCATTATATCTATTTCAAGCAAAAGGGATTTTAAAACAGGAAATTGATTAGGAAATTATTAAATGTCCAGACTAATGAAAACGTAAAAGTGCTGTTTTTCAGAGACAGTAACTGCAGGAAAACACTACTGACCTTAGGGCTGGAGAAGCATAAAGGAAGAAATCTATGATAACCCAGGAGCTAACATTCTACTGACACTCCTGGAAACTGTTGGTGATGCTGGTGTAACCACTGCATGCAAGACTTAAAGAACCGCCACAGTGTAGATCAGAAGCTTGGGAGTCTCCGCTCCCTCAGACTCCCATACCAGAAGCAGGAAAAACAAAATGAAACAGCTTCCACATGTTTTTGCCTTTTAATCCTTGTAAGTGCCTCTCATTGGCAGATCCAACTGGGATCCAGCTGGCACAAGGGTCTGTGGAACGTGCATACGTGTTCCCAGCTCTAACATTATGAGAGAGGAGGTAGGAGGTGGGTATGGGAGTGTGTCCATACAGACCATGGCTGACACAGTCTTGAAAATGATTTTTCTATGAAAGCATAAATGAGTAAACATACCTAACTCTTACATCTGCATGTATCAAAATACATTGAGATTTTTCTCTGAAACTATGTAGCTAATTTAACCATAATATATAATAAAATAACATGAAATGGCTTTAGTGTAACTGTTCCATGCTAATTTATAATCAACAGGGTGATTAGCTTGAGTCCAGAGCTAAGACAGCGAAAGCATGTAGACATATAGCATTACATTTTTAAAAGGAGGTCTATATAAGGTGATATCAGAACAGATAATAAAAATAATAAAATCTTGTAGAAGCCAAGAAAGGTTTCTCAAAGGAGAAAATATTTGAGTTGTGTCTGAAGAGTAAATAGAAATACTTCAGGAGGAAAAGGAGAATGATGGCATCCCAGAAAAAGGGAACTGATTATCCAAGTCACACAGGATAAAGGACAGGACATTCCCTTAGTTTTCTGCTTCAAAGTTTCTGTTTCTTTTTCTCAGCCTCAGCAAAGACTGGAATTTTTACATTATGGTTTTTGTGAAAAGAACAACTTCCAGACTGCTTATCTTTTAATTTAGACATCACGTGATATTATAAAATGTTTAACGTGACTAACTTGGAAATAAAATAAATTGAACAGATTTTTATCATAATACGGAAGTCATAGCATTCGTAGTTTCCCATCATTTTTGGTGTAAAATTCACATGCCTTAGGATGATTTCTAAGACCTTTCCTGGCTGACTCCCACTCTTCCCTTTCCTTCTCAGTGCTTACCTGTTTTCCAACCCACATTTTATACTACAGCCTAATTGAAGAGCCCACGTTTTTCTGTATGTGCCATGCTTTCTCAAGTTTCAGTACCTTTGTGACTGCTTTCACTCTTTCAATGGACCCACCCTCCATTATGTATATACCATGGGTATCTATTTTTTCTAAAATAAATCTTATTAATAAAGACATTTCAAACTTTCTGTGGAAAATTATTCAAACCTGCCTCATAGTACATTATATTGTCACATGCGGTTCTTATATTTCCTGGGATTTGATGAGTTAATTCTTTGTTGAGTCTCTAAGCCACCCTAAATTATGTCTGTAATTTTGTCTTTGATTAAGCTACATAGGCTTGGTTTCTCTTATTCCCAAAAGAAAAAAAAAAAAGAGAAGAAAAAGTTAAAAAAAAATCCCACCAGATTTCTGGAAAAAATAGATACAAGTCCAGATAAAAAATTATGCAAATTAACACTGTATTGCTAACTGGGGCGTCAGCCCCAAGTCCTTTTTTTATTTGAGCATGTTGGCTAGACATGGAAAAAAAATCTTCAGTTTACATTGTTTGGCCTGAATACCTTAGGAGACTGAAAGTACTGCTCTGCCTATTTAACATGAAAACCCAAAGTCATAGACAATTTGAGCCCTTCCTTGTTTGCTTCAAATCTGTGGTAATCACTTTCATCCTTTCTTCTTTATTCTCAGCAGATCATTTCATTTCTTCCTTCTCCAAACATAGAAACTTAACTGTATTTCCATGTAAAGTATCTTCCTTTCTTCCTAAAATGTTAGATAAGTCTTGCATATTCAATTCCATTTAAGAAAAGAGAACATCATGAACAACAAGAACAATAAAATCAATAGCCTATCTCAATTCTACTTCCACATATAGGTACTTACTTGCCTTTTTCCTCTCACTCATAATTAAACTTTTTTCAGACTTGCTAAATGTCATTATGCTTTTTCCTTCATCTCCTGCTAATGCTCCATTCCTGGATAATCGGGTTGGAATTCTCAATATTTTACTCAACAAAGATTTAGATAAGTGCAATATAACCTTTCTCAGCAAGGTTAACTATAACTTATTGTACAAATTAGGACACTTTCCTAAAGGTAAAAGTATGCATTATTAATAATTATTCTGGAAAATCAGAAGTTGGGAATATCATGGATCAGGACATATGATCACCTTTTTATCTCCAAGGCACTATGTGTAATGAATGTGTTTAAATTCTCATCTTGCATGACTCTAGTGATATTAAAGTCTTTTGACATTTCTACTTCCTTAAAATATTTACCCCATGGCTTTCAATAAGTAGCATTTATTAGCCTAGTTTTTCTCATTTAGGGTGGGTGCTGATGGAATTGTCATAGTGTTGAAAGGTAAAGGGTGAAACAGCTTACTATGACCTGTATGGCTCATTGACATTGGGAGAAGACACTACTCAAAGCTTCTCCACAGGGAGGGAAGAAGAGGAGTAGAGTTTGCCTCATAGGTCACAATCCATGGCATAATAATCAGACACCAGAAGGAATTGATTACAGGCTCCTAAAAATAAAAGAAATTTTTTAAAAAAGTAAAAGAAACCTATCTAATTAAAAATCTATCTAGTTAGAAATCTCCAAGCATAAAATTTACAGAAGACATGTCCAGAGGAAAACTCTGAGTGGATCCCAAAATCTCCATCTGGGAAGATTAGTGAAGGATTTTTTTCCTGTTTAATCGAGTCCATAAAGGTTGGGGAGATAGCCATTTCTTCAAATGTATAGATACCAATGCAACGAACAAGGAACAAGAAGAGTCAGGGAAATATGACCCAAAGGAATAACATAAATTTTGAGTAATAGACCCTAAAGAAATGGAGATCTATGAAATATATAACAAGGAATTCAAAATAATTGTTTTAAAGAAGCTCAGTGGATTATAAGAAAACACAGCTAGAGAAACAAAACCAGGAAAATGATACATGAACAAAATGAGAATATCAGAAAAGGAATAAAACATATTAAAAAAAGAACGAAATGGAAATTCTAGAAGTGAAGAATACAGTAACTGAAAAGAAAATTCATTAGAGGGGTTCAATAGCAGACCTAATGACAAAAACTGCTCATTTGGGCAGTGTGATAAAAGTCTGGGATGTTGGAGGCATACTATACCCTTCTTCCTTCCTCCCAGGATAGAAGCCACAGGTTCTGCACCTTCTTGCCCATCTAACAGATATGTGCTGGCTCCATCAAATCTTTTGCTCCTTTCCTTTGTTCTTAGCTGCCACCTAAATATCCAAACTATGCCAGTGACTTCTGTGCACTATGTGAGGTGAGACAGAAACCAGTCTTTTGGGCAGCATCCTGATAGGATGAGTGTGTTGAATATGCACTCCACACTCTCTTCCCCTTCACCACAAGGATAAAGTTAGGGGCCAAAGAAATCTCTCTCCACACTGCGCTATACCACCTTGGGGGAGGGCCTGACACAGTTAAAGTAAAATTGTCCTTCTTATATATTTGTATATGGATGTTCTCCATTTTGTGCTCTTCTGGGGTACTGCAACTTCTTAACTAGATTCTGGACTTGTTATAAAGGTGTTTTGGTCTGTATATCATTGTTAAATCATGTTGCTTTAGGGAAATGAAGACTGGGACTTTCTATTCCACCATGTAGCTGACATCACTCCCAAATTTGTTTAATATTTAAAAAGAATTAATCATTCAATATAGTTTATTATATTAACAGAACAGAAATGAAAAATGTTATACCTATATATCTCATGCCTTACACAAAAATTAACTTAATGGATCATAAACTCAAATATAAGAGCAGTAACTATAAAACATATAGAAGAAAACACATTTAGAAATATTTATAACCGTGGGTTAGGCAATGATTTTTTTGATAAGAAACAGAAAGCTCATCCCTGTAATCCCTGCACTTTGGGAGGCCGAGGCAGGTGGATCATTTGAGGTCAGGAGTTCAAGACCAGCCTGGCCAACATGGTGAAACTCCATCTCTACTAAAAAAAAAAAATACAAAAAAATTAGCCAGGTGGTAGTGGCGCGTGCCTCTAATCCCAACTACTCAGGAGGCTGAAGCAAGAGAATCGCTTGAGCCTGGGAGGCAGAGGTTGCAGTGAGCCGAGATGGTGCCACTGCACTCCAGCCTGGGCAAAAGAGTGAGAGACCCTGTCAAAAGAAAAGGAAAAAACAAACAAACAAACAAAAAAACCAGAAAGCACAAACTATAAAACTTAAAAAAAAAAAAAATCAATAAGTGAGACTTACTTATTTAAAACTTTGCTCTTCAAAATACGTTTTTAAGAAAAAGAAAAGGCAAGACAGAAATAGGTAGAAACTATTTACAAAGCATAACTAGTAAAGTTACTGTATTTAGAATAAATTAACAAGTCGTACTTTCAATAAGACCCCTCAAAAATATAAGTTAAAAACATTGGGCAAAAAATGTGAACAGATACTTCATTAAAGAAGTGTTATGAGGCTTGGTGTGGTGGCTCACGCCTGTAATCCTATATTTTGGGAGGCTGAGGTGGGCAGATCACAAGGCCAGGAGTTCTAGACCAGCCTGGCCAACATGGTGAAACCCAGTCTCTACTAAAAATATTTAAAAAATTGGCTGGGCATGTTGGCCTGTAATCCCAGCTACTTGGGAGAGTAAGGCAGGAGAATCACTTGAATCCTGGAGGCGGAGATTGCAGTGGGCTGAGATTGCACCACTGCACTCCAGCCTGGGTGACAGAGCAGACTCCATCTCAAAAAAAAAAACAGTTATGAATGGCAAAATATATCCAAGTAGGTCATATTGTGTTACCACTGCACAAAAAAATGACAATACCACATTATTGCAAGGTTATGGAGCAACCAAAACTCTCACACATTGTTGGTGGGAAGGTCAGATGGTATAGCCACTCTGGAAAAAAATGTGACAGTTTCTTATAAATTTAAACATACATACAATGTGACCCAACAATCCCACCCCAACCTTGTTACTAAAAATAAAAATTTATTCCTCAAGAAAGTGTGCACGTCATAATAATTTTTTTAATAAACTAGACACAGACCAAATGTCCCTAAATGGTTTAAATGATAGAACACATTGTAGGATATCCATACAATGAGTTTCAGGCTTATCTCAGAGATATTCCAGGTTTAATTTCAGACCACCACAATAAAGCAAATATTGCAATAAAATGAGTTACACAAGTGTTGGGTTTCCCAGTGCATATAAAAAGTTATGTTTACACTATGCTGTAGTCTATTAAGTGTGCAATAGCATTTTGTCTAAAAAATGTGCATACCTTAATTAATTATTATTATTATTTTTTGAGATGGAGTCTCGCTCTGTCACCCAGGCTGCAGTGCAGTGGCATGATCTCAGCTCATGGCAACCTCCACCTCCCAGGTTCAAGTGATTCTCCTGCCTCAGCCTCCTCACTAACCGGTACTACAGGTGCATGCCACCACGTTTGGCTAATTTTTTGTATTTTTAGTAGAGACGAGGTCTTGCCACGTTGGCCAGGCTGGTCTTGAACTCCTGACTTCAGGTGATCTACCTGCCTTGGCCTCCCAAAGTGCTGGGATTACAGGCATGAGCCACTGTGCCTGGCCAATTAATTTTTTTTACTAATAAAAGCTAATGATCACCTGAGCCTCCATGAAGTCATAATCTTTTTGTGGGTGAAGGGTCTTGTCTTGATGTTGATGGCTGCTGACTGATCACAGTGGTGGTTACTGAAGGTTGGGGTGGCTATGAAAATTTCTTAAAATAAGGAAACAATGAAGTTTTCCCATTGACCCTTCCTTTCATGGAAGATTTCTCTGCAGCATGCAATGCTGTTACATAGATAACATTTTACTCATAGTAGAACTTCTTTCAAAATTGGAGTCAATCTTCTCAAAACCTGCCACAGCTTTATGAACTAAGTTGCTGTAATATTCTAAATCTTTTGTTGACATTTCAATGACACAGCATCTTCACAAGAAGTAGATTGTATCTTAATATACCACATTTTTTGCTCATCCATAAAAAGCAATTCCTCATCTGTTTAAGTGTGATCATGATATTGCAACAATTCAGTCCCAACTTCAGGCTCCACTTCTAAATCTAGTTTTCTTTTTATTTCTACCACTTCTGTAGTTATTTCCTCCACTGAAGTCTTGAATCTCTCAAAGTCATTCATGAGGGTTCAAATCAACATATTCCAAACTCTTATTAATATTGATATTTTGACCTTCTCCAGTGAACCATGAATATTGTTAATGGCGTCTAGAAAAGTGAATTCTTTCCAGAAGGCTTTCAACAGACTTTTCTCAGAGCTATCAGAAAAGTATGTTGGAAACAAATTTTTGGTGACACAAAGAAGAATCAGCACTCCAGCAAAAAGCTTTCTCAGCAAGGCAAATTTACTTCTAGGGTGCGTCTCATGGATGGAACAATGGTGAGAGCACTCCAGACAAGGGAGGGGAAGGGGTTCTTATCCCTAACGAAGCTAGTTCCTACAGCTGTGTCTTTCCCCTTTTGGCTAGGGTTGGACCACACAGTCTAAGCTAATTCTGATTGGCTATTTCAAAGAAGGCAGGGGTACAAGCCAAAGTGCCAGGGTGAGTAGTTTTGGCAGGAAGTATGGTTACAGAGCAGGTGACTAAGGATGACTAAGAACAGGTGATAGAGGCTGGGGAAGTTGTTTACTGAAACTAGGGGCAAGGAGGCATAAAGAATGAGGAAGTTAAACTTTAAAATGGAGAACAAGGAACAGGGAAGCTGAACATACTGACATATTGGTTCTTTGAAGAGGAACTCAGAACTCATTGTACTTAACAATTTTCCCCCTCTTGAATTTTAAAGTAAATTAACAGACTAAAACCTTTGAAGAGGAATTTGCTGTATTCTACAATTAACTATCTATGGTGGCTATAGCCTCATGAGTAATAAAGCCTTAAATAATATGACTTGAGAGTAGAAATTACTCCTTCATCTATGAGCTGCAGAATGGATGTTGTGTTAGCAGGCATGAAAACTTTAATCTCCTTCTACATTTCCATCAGAGCACTTGGGTGGCCAGTTGCATTATCAATGAGAAATAATACTTTGACTTTTTTTTTTTTTTCCTGAGCAGTATATCTCAATGGTTTGAATTTTTTTTTTTTTTTTTCTGAGCAGTAGATCTCAACAGTGGGCTTAAAAGATTCAGTAAACTATTCTATAAGCAGATGTGCTGCCATCTAGGCTTAGCTTTTCCATTTATAGAGCACAAGCAGAGTAGATCTGGCATAATTCTGAAGGGCCCTAGAATTCGATGAATGGTAAATGAGCATTGGTTTCGACTTCAAGTCACCAGTGCTTTAGTCCCTAAAAGGAGAGTTTGCCTCTCCTTTGGAACTTAGAAGCCAGGAATTAACTTCTCTCTAGCTGTGAACGTCCTAAATGACAACTTTTTGTAATAGAAGCCTATTTTGTTTACTTTGAAAATCTGTTGTTTAGTGCAGTCACCTTTGTCCGTGATCTTAGCTAGATTTTCTGCATAACTTGCTGAAGCTTCTACATCAGCACTTGCTGCTTCACCTTGCACTTGCATGTTATGAAGACGGCTTCTTTCCTTAACCCTCATGAACCAACCTCTGTGAGCTTAAGTCTTTTCTTCTGCAGCTTCATCACCTTTCTCAGCCTTCAGTGAATTAAACAGAGTTAGGGTCTTGCTCTGGATGAGGCTTTGGCTTAAGGAATGTGTGGCTTCTTTGCTCTTCTATCCCTACCAATAAAAGTTTCTCTATATCAGCAATAAGGCTGTTTTGCTTCTTTATTATTTATCTGTTCACTCGAGTAGCATATTGAATTTCCTTCAAGAGCTTTTCCTTTGCATTCACAACTCGGATGTTTGGCACAAGAGGAGTAGTTTTCTACCTATCTTGGGTTTTGACATGTCTTCCTCATGAAGCTTATTTCTAGTTTTTGATGTAATGTAAGAGATGTGCTACTCTTCCTTTCACTGGAACACTTAGAGGCCATTGTAGGGTTATTAGTTGGTCTAATTTCAAAACTGTTGTGTCTTAGGGACTAGCAAGGCCCAAAAGGAGGGGGACAGATTGGGAAATGGCTGGTCAGTGGAACAGCCTGAATACGCACAACATTTAACATTGTCTCATATGGACACAGGTGGTGGTACCCCAAAACAATTATAGTAGTAGCATTAAAGAGCACTGATCACAGATCACCATAACAGATGTAATAACAATTTAAAAGTTTGAAATATTGCAAGAATTACCAAAATGTTACAGAGATATGAAGTGAGCACATGCTGTTGGAAAAATAATATTGATATTCTTTTGTTGGTGCAAGGTTGCCATAAACCTTGAATTAGTTAAAATAGTGTGGTATTTGTGAAGTATAATAAAACAAAAAGCAAAAAAACAAGGCATGCCTGTCCTATCTAGGAATTAAAAGGAGCAAATTATTGATATATACATTAACAAGAACAAATGATAAAAGCATTATAGTAAGTGAAGTAAGCCATATTCAGAAATCTAATGTTGGGAGACAATTTACAACAGCATTTCCACACATTGTGACAGCTTTTACTGAAGATTCTCTTCCTAAGGTTTTTTATTATTCAAAGTCCTCAGAAGGAAGAGATAGTGGCTCCCTTCCTGCCAGAAAACAGATCTGTTTACTGACCTGTATAAGAAAGATATTTTCTCCCACTTGGGTCAAAGGTTGTGCAGTTTTACCAGTAGTCCAGTTAAAAGATTGGAGGTATGCTAAACTCTGGGTTTACATAGACCCACTGGTGTGCAGCACCCTGCTGGGTCTGCCTTCACACCACCAGCATGTTTGATGGGACAAAGTGAATGGATGAGAACATACACCTCATAATGCCGGCTGTGTTGTGTGTAATAAACTTTCAAATCCAACTGGGACACTCTCTTCTTATTGGTTAAATGTATGAGCCCGTGGCAAGTCAATCTAGCAGCTTCACCCACTGTGTTGATATTGCTTTGGAGCTGCTTGATAATTATATCATGTAAGATTGTATTTATGTGAAATTCTAGAAAAGTAAAGACTGTAGTGACAGAAGCCAATCAGAGTTTGCTAGCAGCTAGATATAGGGGTAAGGGTTTGATTGCAAAATGGGCAACGGGCAACTTTTGAAGTAATGTACACATTCTGTATCTTGACTGCGGGGGTGGCTACATAAGTATTTAGATTTGTCAAGTCTCATTAAATTATGCATTTAAAATTAGTGAATTTTATTATGTGTAGATTTATGTAATTTATGTAATTATGTAATTCGTACAATTTAATGCAGTTAATTAAAATATTTACAAAGAGTTTGAAAGAAAGAACAGAAAAGTGAGGGAAAATAAAAATAATAGAGGATATAATTTAGTATGAAGGATAGTCACTTTAAGGTCCCACTGATTTCCTAGCAAAGTGAAAAAAACAGTTGGTCATTGTAGACATGCTGAAAAAATTTTAAAGTACCAATTTAGATAATCCTAAAAGTTCAAGGAAGTAAAACAAACTAAAACACAATTTTTAAAAATCAAATTTCAACAAGTTTCCAACAAATGAAGGAGCACTTAGCATCAAACCTCTCATCAATGACTTCTCAGTTTTAAGGGAAAATAGTTTTATCCTATGATTCTATGTCTCATTAACTCTTAACGTATCCTATGCCACCCCATACATTTTGGCCTTACCTACATTTCTTTTTTTCTGTGTTCTAGTCTCACTGGCCTTCTATCATAATCTTGAACTCTCCCAGCACCTTCCTGGCACCATGCTTTATACATACTATTCCCAATGCAGCGGATGCTCTTGCTCTATTTGCTATTTAGTTAATTTTTCAGAATGCAGTTAAATTTTCACCTTTTCATGAAATTGTGCCAGGATATATCAAATACCTCTATTGTTTGTTCTCATAGCAACATGTACTTTTCTGTCAGAAATTACTTCAGTTACATTCTAATTTTACATTTTTTGTTGTGTAAGTGAGTCCCCTACTAGAATTTAGCTTTTGTGAATGAGTCATCAATTTCTTATTTTCTCACCATTTTCTCCCAAATGCCTCGTGTATCTTACACTAAGTAGGCATCCAATATTTATTTGTTCAGTGAATGAACAAAAGAAACAAAAACATGTAAGATAAACTTCTTAGAGCAGTCTGAGTTATTTTCCTGCCCCTATCTGGAAAAGGGAAATGTCAGGCCTCTGAGCCCAAGCTAAGCCATCATATCCCCTGTAACCTGAATGTATACATCCAGATGGCCTGAAGTAACTGAAGAATCACAAAAGAAGTGAAAATGGCCTGTTCCTGCCTTAACCGATGACATTCCCTTGTGAAATTCCTTCTCCTGGCTTATCCTGCCTCAAAAGCTCCCCCACTGAACACCTTGTGTCCCCCGCCCCTGCCTGCCAGAGAACAACCCCCTTTGACTGTAATTTTCCACTACCTACCCAAATCCTATAAAAAGGCCTCACCCCTATCTCCCTTCCCTGACTCTCTTTTCAGACTCAGCCTGCCTGTACCCAGGTGAAATAAACAGCCTTGTTGCTCACACAAAGCCTGTTTGGTGGTCTCTTCACACGGACACGCGTGAAAGGAAGAGAAAGGGAAGAACACACCTCTATGTGCTTGAACACTAAAGCCCGGAGAAAGCTCTATCTCACGTGGTCAGTAAAGTGCCAGTTAAACCAAACATTACAGTAGTTCTCCTCTTCATGGGAGAGGTGGAGGTGGTGAGAGGTGAAAGGCAAGAAAGAGGAGTGCCTGTGCTTCTTCCTGATCTTCACCAGTATCACTTTCATCCTTGGAGATGATTGCTTCTGCACCTTTTCCTTGGAAACCACTTCATTTTCTACTTTAAGAAACTTGAGGAAAGCTCTTGTCTGGAAATATACTGTTCTTATTCTATTTATTGCTATAAATTTTCACCTTCTTCTAACCTGTTTCTACCATTTTAATGGGGTCTTAAAATGGTAAAGAGAAAAATGTTATGTTTAATGTTCCATCTTGAAATGGAAGAGCGCCATGAATTCTAAATTTCAATCGTTATTTTGAATTTCTTTACAACGAAAATACCAGTTTCTACTGCAACTGACAGTGAATAAAAATGGTTTATTTTTCTTCATGCCTGACAATAAATAATAAATTATGAAAGACATTTTATACAGATACAAAAATGCACAAAAAGTATAAGATTAGAAGAATAATATTATAAATAAGGAATTCTACAGAAAAGACCTCCTGTGCATAATTGTGGGATAACAAAGTCTGAAACAACATTAGAACTTGAGGAAAATAGGAAGGAAATAGATATGAAGCTATGAACTCTTTTTAGTTTTTGCTAAGCAAAGCAATTATTTGCAGGAAAAATACCTAACTCTCTCTCTCCCTCCCTTATATATATCATATATATATATGTTATATATATGATATATATATCTCATATATGTATGAGAGAGATATATATATCTCTCTCATATATATACACATCTCTCATATATATATTTTATATATATATATATATATATACTGCCTCAATGTTTTTTAAC
This sequence comes from Homo sapiens, assembly GCF_000001405.40. Classification (NCBI taxonomy): domain Eukaryota; kingdom Metazoa; phylum Chordata; class Mammalia; order Primates; family Hominidae; genus Homo; species Homo sapiens. The sequence continues at coordinate 175,824,141 of NC_000003.12, forward strand.
ATGAAATTATTTAGATTATCTAAGACAAGCTGGCTAGGAGTTGTTTTGATTAGAATCAAAGTAAACATAAAACATATTGGCTCTATTTGCTTAGTGGGCGCAATTAAATTTATGATGTATATAACACCATCAGCTTATTTTGAAAGTAAAGTTCTCACTACCTTAGGTTACCGAGGGCCTCCTCTGCTAGTGATCCTGAAAATTTTAGCTCTTGTCATATTGGTTATAATTTATATGGAAATGTAGAATGCTAGGTAGTAAGTTAGATAACAAACTGAATCCAAAAACACTGGAATAAAAGAGTAAAATGAATCAAAAATTCAACTGCCCAAGTAAAAGATATAATACCTATATTAGTATCCCTATATATACAAAATTTTGAATTAGTAGTGTTAGTTGATTTAATTTCTATAAAAGCAAATGTGATCTGACTGTCAAAATATGTTAATTTAATCTCATACTGTATTCATAGAAGTATAAAGCAGGGCAAAGGAGGTGATGGCCAACCTGTTTTTTACGATGGAGCAAATCAAATGTCTTATTCAGTACTGCACACCAATTTAAAAGAACACTGATAAACCAGACTTCCTCCAAAGGAACATGACCAGAATGTTGAAAAGTGAAGGAAACATATTTGTTTTCAGCTAATGGTAGAGATCTAAAAATACATTACAGCCTTTCAGATCTATTTTGTGCTCCCAAAAATGAAACAAAGAAATATGTAACAAAACAAGTAAAAGTAAAAATTACTTAGGCTAGCGGAGGATCCCTGAGTGGGCCAGAAACCACGCAAATTTCCAGAAACCCAGGAGTGCATAGAGAAGAGAAATGTCCTGGGCACATGACCCCCACTAAGGCTAACCAGAGATGGAGGAAAGCCAGGAGCAACTGAGGGTGAAAATTGTGACCCAACACAGACCATCCAAATGGGGCAACATCTGCATATGACCACCTTTTTTCCATGAAGGTCCAGCTGGGTTATCAGCCCCCAAGTTTAAGCAGTAGGTGAAGTGAGTTCTTTCAGAGAGAGAGAGATTTATCTAGAAGACTGGGCATACCAGGGACACATGGGGAGTACCTGTGATCAGAAAACACAGTAGTCTGTGTCACACACGTCCCTGTGAAGAGAGCACCAAACAGGCTTTGTGTGAGCAATAAAGCTTTTTAATCACCTGGATGCAGGCGGGCTGAGTCCGAAAAGAGAGTCAGCGCGGAAGATAGGGGTGGGGCAGTTTTATAGGATTTGGGTGGGCAGTGGAAAATTACAGTCAAAGGGGGTTTTTCTCTTGCAGGCAGGGACGGGGGTCACAAGGTGCTCAGTGGGGGAGCTTCTGAGCCAGGAGAAGGAATTTCACAAGGTTAATTGCTCAGTTAAGATGGGACAGGAACAAATCACAATGGTAGAATGCCATCAGTTAAGGCAGGAATCAGCCATTTTCACTTCTTTTGTGATTCTTCACTTGCTGCAGGCCATCTGGATGTATACATGCAGGTCACAGGGGATATGATGGCTTAGCTTGGGCTCAGAGGCCTGACAGTCTACACCTCTACACCTTGGCATTTTTTTCATTCTCACAAACTCACCTTCTTGCTCTCCCTTGCTACCGAAGTCTATACATATTAGAGGCAGCAGAGTCTAAGAGAGAATCTTAACTACCAACAGTAAGCACATTGGAGTGATATATTAAGTGCATTTTTAAATTTGAGAGATATATGAGGATAGTGTTGTCATAAAATTCAGATGTGTACTTCTCGTAGGAACACATTAGGAGCTTAGGTTTGAATATTCCCACATTTTTTTGTCTGGAAAAAAAAAAAGAAAAATATGCAGTATATCCAAATTGTGGTTTAGATCAATTTGAAGAAAACGTACAAGCTGCAAATTATATGTAAGTGACCAAAGTCAGAGGCTGACAGGAAGCCAACACAAGAAGTTGAAATGATACTGTGGAGAAAATGGGAGTGCCAAGGGGGGCCTAATTAATGAAATATGTCAGAAATCGCTGAAAAATATTCACACCCCAAAAGAGTAGGAAGGCCCATTCTAAGAGGTAAGTGCTGTGAGCTCAGCTGAGATGATACAGTTTAAGAAGAACAAGTAGGCTTAGAAATTGCTCAGTGGACCCAGAGGAGTCCCAGAAAACATTACAAAAAAAAAAAAAAAGGTGATCAGATCTGGATCATTTATTGATGGCAGCCTGTGAGAAAACTAGGAAAGAAAAGACCTGGAGGGATATGCTCTTCTAAACCAAGAGGTGCATTTGTGCCATTTATCAGAAGGAAATGGTCCACTGATATAGAAGAAGAACAGGGATCTCTTGAGCTGGAAGAAGGGAGGAATCAGTGTCTGAAAAACCATTCTAGTCTCTCTGTGCTTCTTTCCAGAAGCCATCTGTTAAGAGTTCAAGAAAGTCCAACTGATATATTTGTGAGAAAAAATAAATATGCATACAAAAATACTATAAGTAAACAAGATAAAAAAGAACAGTACAATTTTCCTATAGACTATGAAAGATTTTGTAGAAAACAACCCATGTGCTCTATCTGTGGATTAATCCATTGAACAATCTATCTTCTTTGCTCCAGGACAAATACCATGAGAAGAAAAAGGGAACAGAAGACAGGAGAGGAATCTGGGAAATACAACAAACCTCCTCCCTTTCTCATCCTTCTGCTCCAAGCCATTGGAGACAAAGGTTTCTGTACTGGAGAAAGAAGGAAGGCTTTGAATCAAATGTAAGATTGAAAATTGCTAAAGTTTAAACAAAGTGTTGACTGAAATGAGATTGTTTTAATAAAAGTGGAAAGGTGAAAGAAAAGATGACGTCACACAAAGATGTCCTCTAGGAAGCCTCTTGTTCCGCTGTTGATGGGGCTTTGACAGAGAATAGTGGAAAGAAGGAATTGGCAAAAATTAAAATTTTAATCAAACCAGTCACATGATTTGATTTTCAGACCATGAACATAGGTATTAACATCCCCATTTTACTGTTGAGAAGTCTTGAGCCCAGAAAAGTTAAGCTTGATCATATGTGAACTATGTAATATACAACTGAGAACTATGTAACATACAACTGAGATTCAAACAATCCTATTTTACTGTCCCTGCACCATGAAACATACTTAAAATGGACATGACCCATTCATGCCCTTTATCTACTAACATGAAATTTTACCATACATATCTTCACATTTCAAACTCCTCTCCATAGTTCAATGTTAATTTTAAATATTACCTTTTTATCTGAAAACTACGTTTACCTAGTCAAAACTATATCCACAGAATTAATTTCTTCTTCTACAATAATCTCACAGAATTTTATTAAGACTTCTGTTGTAGCCTATGTCAGGCCTCTGAGCCCAAGCCAAGCCATCGCATCCCCTGTGACTTGCATGTATATGCCCAGATGGCCTGAAGTAACTGAAGAATCACAGAAGAAGTGAAAATGCCCTGCCCCACCTTAACTGATGACATTCCACCACAAAAGAAGTGAAAATGGCTGGTCCTTGCCTTAAGTGATGACATTACCTTGTGAAAGTCCTTTTCCTGGCTCATCCTGGCTCAAAAAGCTCCCCCACTGAGCACCTTGCGACCCCCACTCCTGCCTGCCAGAGAACAAACCCCCTTTGACTATAATTTTCCTTTACCTACCCAAATCTTATAAAATGGCCCCACCCCTATCTCCCTTCACTGACTCTCTTTTTAGACTCAGCCCGCCTGCACCCAGGTGATTAAAAGCTTTTATTGCTCACACAAAGCCTGTTTGGTGGTCTCTTCACAGGGACGTGAGTGAAATTTGGTTCTGTGACTCAGATCGGGGAACCTCCCTTGGGAGATCAATCCCCTGTCCTCCTGCTCTTTGCTCCATGAGAAAGCTCCACCTACGACCTCAGGTCCTCAGACCAACCAGCCCAAGAAACATCTCACCAATTTCAAATCCAGTAAGCGGCCTCTTTTTACTCTCTTCTCCAACCTCCCTCACTATCCCTCAACCTCTTTCTCCTTTCAGTCTTGGCACCACACTTCAATCTCTCCCTTCTTTTAATTTCAATTCCTTTCATTTTCTGATAGAGACAAAGGAGACACATTTTATCCGTGGACCCAAAACTCTGGCGCCTGTCACAGACTGGGAAGGCAGCCTTCCCTTGGTGTTTAATCATTGCAGGGACGCCTCTCTGATTATTTAGCCATGTTTCAGAGGTGTCAGACCACACAGGGATGCCTGCCTTGGTCCTTCACCCTTAGTGGCAAGTCCTGCTTTTCTGGGGGAGGGGCAAGTACCCCAACCCCTTCTCGCCATGTCTCTACCCCTTCTCTGCCTTTCTGGGGGGCAAGAAACCCCCAACCCCTTCTCCTTCACCCTTAGCAGCAAGTCCTGCTTTTCTAGGGGAGGGGCAAGTACCCCAACCTCGTATCTCTGTGCCCCAATCCCTTATTTCTGCACCCCGACCTCTTATCTCTGTGCCCCAATCCCTTATTTCTGCACCCCGACCTCTTATCTCTGTGCCCCAATCCCTTATTTCTGCACCCCGACCTCTTATCTCTGTGCCCCAATCACTTATTTCTGCACCCCGACCTCTTATCTCTGTGCCCCAATCCCTTATTTCTGCACCCCGACCTCTTATCTCTGTGCCCCAATCCCTTATTTCCACACCCCAACTTCTTATCTCTGTGCCCCAATCCCTTATTTCCATGCTCCGACCTCTTATCTCTGCACCCCAACCCCTTATTTCCGCACCCCGACCCCTTTCCCGCTTTTCTGGAGGGTAAGAACCTCCGAACCCCTTCCCTCCGTGTCTCTACTCTCTCTTTTCTCTGGGCTTGCTTCTTTCACTATAGGCAACCTTCCACCCTCCATTCCTCCTCCTTCTCCCTTAGCCTGTGTCCTCAAAAACTTAAAACCTCTTCAACTCACACCTGACCTAAAACCTAAATGCCTTATTTTCTTCTGCAACACTGCTTAGCCCCAATACAAACTTGGCAATGGCTCTAAAATGGCCAGAAAACGGCACTTTTGATTTCTCCATCCTACAAGACCTAAATAATTTTTGTCAAAAAATAGGAAAACGGTCTGAGGTGCCTGACGTCCGGGCATTCTTTTACACATCGGTCCCTTTCTAGTCTCTGTTCCCAATGCAACTCGTCCTAAATCTTCCTTCTTTCCCTCCCACCTGTCCCCTCAGTCCCAACCCCAAGCGTCGCTGAGTCTTTCTAATCTTCCTTTTCTACAGACCCATCTGACCTCTCCCCTCCTCACCAGGCCAAGCTAGGTCCCAATTCTTCCTCAGCCTCTGCTCCTCCACTCTATAGTCCTTTTATCACCTCCCCTCCTCACACCTGGTCTGGCTTACAGTTTCCTTCCATGACTAGCTCTCCCCCACCTGCCCAGCAATTTCCTCTTAAAAAGGTGGCTGGAACTAAAGGCATAGTCAAGGTTAATGCTCCTTTTTCTTTATCAGACCTCTCCCAAATCAGGCAGCATTTAGACTCTTTTTCATCAAATATAAAAACCCCAGCCCAGTTCATGGATCATCTGGCAGCAACCCTGAGACGCTTTACAGCCCTAGACCCTAAAAGGTCAAAAGGCCAACTTATTCTCAATATACATTTTATTACCCAATCTGCTCCCGACATTAAACTCCAAAAATTAAATTCCAGCCCTCAAACCCCACAACAGGATTTAATTAACCTCACCTTCAAGGTGTACGATAATAGAAAAAAGTTGCAATTCCTTGCCTCCACTGTGAGACAAACCCCAGCCACATCTCCAGCACACAAGAACTTCCAAACGCCTGAACCACAGAAGCCAGGCGTTCCTCCAGAACCTCTTCCCGCAGGAGCTTGCTACAAGTGCCAGAAATCTGACCACCAGGCCAAGGAATGCCTGCAGCCCAGGATTCCTCCTAAGCCGTGTCCCATCTGTGCACGACCCCACTGGAAATCGAACTGTTCAACTCACTTGGCAACCACTCCCAGAGCCCCTGGAACTCTGGCCCAAGGCTCTCTGACTGACTCCTTCCCAGATCTTCTCAGCTTAGCAGCTGAAGACTGACACTGCCCGGTTGCCTTAGAAGCCAGTTCACAGACACTCTAGGTAACTCTCACAGTGGAAGGTAAGTCTGTCCCCTTCTTAGTCAATACGGAGGCTACCCATTCCACCTTACCTTCTTTTCAAGGGCCTGTTTCCCTTGCCTCCGAACTGTTGTGCGTATTGACAGCCAGGCTTCTAAACCTCTTAAAACTCCCCAACTCTGGTGCCAACTTAGACAACACTCTTTTAAGCACTCCTTTTTAGTTATCCCCACCTGCCCAGTTCCCTTATTAGCCCGAGACACTTTAACTAAATTATCTGCTTCCCTGACTATTCCTGGACTACAGCTGCATCTCATTGCCGCCCTTTTTCCCTATCCAAAGCCTCCTTTGCGTCCTCCTCTTGTATCCCCCCACCTTAATCCACAAGTATAAGATACCTCTACCCTCTACTTGGCGACCAGTCATGCACCCCTTACCATCTCATTCAAACCTAATCACCCTTATCCCGCTCAATGCCAAGATCCCATCCCACAGCATGCTTTAAAAGGATTAAAGCCTATTATCACTCACCTGCTATGGCATGGCCTTTTAAAGCCTATAAATTCTCCTTTCAATTCCCCCATTTTACCTGTCCTAGAACCAGACAAGCCTTAGAGGTTAGTTCAGGATCTGTGCCTTATCAACCAAATTGTTTTGCCTATCCACCCCGTGGTGCCAAACCCATATACTCTCCTATCCTCAATACCTGCCTCTACAACCCATTATTCTCAAACATGCTTTCTTTACTATTCCTTTGCACCCTTCATCCCAGCCTCTCTTGGCTTTCACTTGGACTGACCCTGACACCCATCAGGTTCAGCAAATTACCTAGGCTTTACTGCTGCAAGGCTTCACAGACATCCCCCATTACTTCAGTCAAGCCCAAATGTCTTCCTCATCTGTTACCTGTCTTGGCATAATTCTTATAAAAACAAACATGCTCTCCCTGCAAATCGCGTCTGACTGATCTCTCAAACCCCAACACCTTCTACATCCTAGGCATAGTTAGATACTTTTGCCTTTGGATACCTGGTTCAGCCATCCTAATAAAACCATTATATAAACCCACAAAAAGAAACCTAGCTGACCCCATAGATCCTAAATCCTTTCCCCACTCCTCTTTCCATTCCTTGAAGACAGCTTTAGAGACTGCCCCCACTCTAGCTCTCCCTGACTCATCCCAACCCTTTTCATTACACACAGCTGAAGTGCAGGGCTGTGCAGTCAGAATTCTTACACGAGGACCAGGATCACATCCTGTAGCCTTTTTGTCCAAATAACTTGACCTTACTGTTTTAGGCTGGCCATCATGTCTCCGTGCAGCAGCTGCTGCCACCCTAATACTTTTAGAGGCCCTCAAAATCACAAACTATGCTCAACTCACTCTCTACAGCTCTCATAATTTCCAGAATCAATTTTCTTCCTCACACCTGACACATATACTTTCTGCCCCCCGGCTCCTTCAGCTATACTCACTCTTTGTTGAGTCTCCCACAATTACCATTGTTCCTGGCCCGGACTTCAATCTGGCCTCCCACATTATTCCTGATACCACACCTGACCCTCATGAGTGCATCTCTCTGATCCACCTGACGTTCACCCAATTTCCCCACATTTCCTTCTTCCCTATTTCTCACCCTGATCACACTTGGTTTATTGATGGCAGTTCCACCAGGCCTAATCGTCACTCACCAGCAAAGGCAGGCTATGCTATAGTATCTTCCACATCTATCATTGAGGCTACCACTCTGCCCCCCTCCACTACCTCTCAGCAAGCCGAACTAGTTGCCTTAATTCAAGCCCTCACTCTTGCAAAAGGACTACATGTCGATATCTATATTGATTCTAAATATGCTTTCATATTCTGCACCACCATGCGGTCATATGGGCTGAAAGAGGTTTCCTCACTACACAAGGGTCCTCCATCATTAATGCCTCTTTAATAAAAACTCTGCTTAAGGCCGCTTTACTTCCAAAGGAAGCTAGGGTCATTCACTGCAAGGGGCATCAAAAGGCGTCAGATCCCATTGCTCTAGGCAACGCTTATGCTGATAAGGTGGCTAGACAAGCAGCTAGTTTTCCAACTCCTGTCTCTCACAGCAATGCTTATGCTGATAAGGTGGCTAGACAAGCAGCTAGCTCTCCAACTTCTGTCCCTCACGGCCAGTTTTTCTCCTTCACATCGGTCACTGCCACCTACTCCCCCACTGAAACTTCCACCTATCAGATCTCTTTCCGCACAAGGCAAATGGTTCTTAGACCAAGGAAAATATCTCCTTCCAGCCTCACAGGCCCATTCTATTCTGTCGTCATTTCATAACCTCTTCCATGTAGGTTACAAGCTGCTAGCCTGTCTCTTAGAACCTCTCATTTCCTTTCTATCACAGAAATCTATCCTCAAGGAGATCACTTCTCAGTGTTCCATCTGCTATTCTACTACCCCTCAGGGATTGTTCCGGCCTACTCCCTTCCCTGCACATCAAGCTCGGGGATTTGCCCCTGCCCAGGACTGGCAAATTGACTTTACTCACATGCCCCGAGTCAGAAAACTAAAATACCTCTTAGTCTAGGTAGACACTTTCACTGGATAGGTAGAGAGGCCTTTCCCACAAGGTCTGAGAAGACCACCGCGGTCATTTCTTCCCTTCTGTCAGACATAATTCCTCGGTTTGGCCTTCCCACCTTTATACAGTCTGATAATGGACCAGCCTTTACTAGTCAAATCACCCAAGCAGTTTCTCAGGCTCTTAATATTCAGTGGAACCTTCATATCCCTTACCATCCTCAATCTTCACAAAATGTAGAACAGACTAATGGTCTTTTAAAGGTACACCTCACCAAGCTCAGCCTCCAACTTAAAAAGGATTGGACAGTACTTTTACTTCTTGCCCTTCTCAGAATTAGAGCCTGTCCTTGAGATGCTACAGGGTACAGTCCATTTGAACTTTTATATGGATGCACTTTCTTGCTTGGCCCCAACCTCATCCCAGACACCAGCCTTCTAGGTGACTATCTTCCAGTCCTCCAACAGGCTAGACAGGAAATTTGCCAGGCTGCTAATCTTCTCCTGCCTACTCCAGATCCCCAGCCATATGAAGACACCCTAGCTGGACGATCAGTTCTTCTTAAGAATCTGACCCCTCAAACTCTACAACCTCGATAGACCGGACCCTACTTAGTCATCTATAGTACCCCGACTGCCGTCCGCCTGCAGGATCTTCCCCACGAGGTTCACTGTTCCAGAATAAAGCTGTGTCCATCGGACAGCCAGCCTAATCCCTCCTCTTCCTCCTGGAAGTCGCAAGTACTCTCCCCTACTTCCCTTAACTCACTCGTATTTCTGAAGAACAGTAATAGAGCCTAATACATCCCTTCATTCTATTAGGTCTGTTCGTCCTTACCCTACTTTTTGCAACAGGGCTTTACGAAGTCACCCCCACCACTTAGGCCGAGCCCCAAAAAACTTGTCATCCCTACTATTTTCTGTCTAGTCATATTCCTATTCTCCGTTCTCAACTACTTATAAATGCCCTACTCTTGTTTACACTGCCGGTTTACACTGTTTCTTCAAGCCATCACAGCTGATATCTCTTGGTGCTATCCCCAAACCGCCACTCTTAATTCCCTCTTAGAGTGAATAGATGATCTTTGCTGGCAGGGCACACCCTTCAATACTTCCACCCTGATGAAGTTCTATTCTTTACTTTTATACTCACTCTTATTCTCATTCCCATTCTTACGCCACCCTTTACCTCTCCCCAGCTATCTCCACCACACTGTCAACCTTACCCATTCTCTCCCAGCCACTTCTAATCCCTCCTTAGCGAACAACTCCTGGCTTTGTGTTTCCCTTTCTTCCAGTGCCTACATAGCTGTCCCCGCCTTACAGACAGACTGGACAACATCTCCTGTCTCCTTACACCTCTGAACTTCCTTTAACAGCCCTCACCTTTACCCTCCTGAAGAACTCATTTACTTTCTAGACAGGTCCAGCAAGACTTCCCCAGACATTTCCCATCAGCAAGCTGCCGCCCTCCTCCGCACTTATTTAAAAAACCTTTCTCCTTATATTAACTCTACTCCCCCCATATTTGGACCTCTCACAACACAAACTACTATTCCTGTGGCCGCTCCTTTATGTATCTCTTGGCAAAGCCCCACTGGAATTCCCCTGGGTAACCTTTCACCTTCTCGATGTTCCTTTACTCTTCAACTCCGAAGCCCAACTACACACATCACTGAAACAATTGGAGCCTTCCAGCTCTATATTACAGACAAGCCCTCTATCAATACTGACAAACTCAAAAACGTTAGCAGTAATTGTTGCTTAGGAAGACACTTACCCTGTATTTCACTCCATCCTTGGCTACCTTCCCCTTGCTCATTAGACTCTCCTCCCAGGCTCTCTTCTTGTTTACTTGTACCCAGCCCCAAAAATAACAGTGAAAGGTTGCTCACAGATACTCAATATTTTTTCATACACCATTAAAATTGAACCTCCTCCTCTACGCAGTGACCCCATCTGTCCCCATTACAACCTCTGACAGCTGCCACCCTAGCTGGATCCCTAGGATTCTGGGTACAAGACACCCCTTTCAGCACTCCTTCTCACCTTTTTACTTTACATCTCCAGTTTTGCCTCGCACAAGGTCTATTCTTCCTCTGTGGATCCTCTACCTACATGTATCTACCTGCTAATTGGACAGGCACATGTACACTAGTTTTCCTTACCCCCAAAATTCAATTTGCAAATGGGACCGAAGAGCTCCCTGTTCCCCTTATGACACCGACACGACCAAAAAGAGTTATTCCACTAATTCCCTTGATGGTCGGTTTAGGACTTTCTGCCTCCACTATTGCTCTCGGTACTGGAATAGCAGGCATTTCAACCTCTGTCACGACCTTCCGTAGCCTGTCTAATGACTTCTCTGCTAGCATCACAGACATATCACAAACTTTATCAGTCCTCCAGGCCCAAATTGACTCTTTAGCTGCAGTTGTCCTCCAAAACCGCCGAGGCCTTGACTTACTCACTGCTGAAAAAGGAGGACTCTGTATATTCTTAAATGAAGAATGTTGTTTTTACCTAAATCAATCTGGCCTGGTGTATGACAACATAAAAAAACTCAAGGATAGAGCCCAAAAACTTGCCAACCAAGCAATTATGCTGAATCCCCTTGGGCACTCTCTAATTGGATGTCCTGGGCCCTCCCAATTCTTAGTCCTTTAATACCCATTTTTCTTCTTCTTTTATTCAGACCTTGTATCTTCCGTTTAGTTTCTCAGTTCATCCAAAACCATATCCAGGCCATCACCAATCATTCTATACCACAAATGTTTCTTCTAACATCCCCACAATATCACCCCTTACCACAAGATCTCCCTTCAGCTTAATCTCTCCCACTCTAGGTTCCCACGCCACCCCTAATCCTGCTTGAAGCAGCCCTGAGAAACATCACCCATTCTCTCTCTCCATACCACCCCCCAAGAATTTTCACCGCCCCCACACTTCAACACTATTTTGTTTTATTTTTCTTATTAATATAAGAAGGCAGGAATGTCAGACCTCTGAGCCCAAGCCAAGCCATCGCATCCCCTGTGACTTGCACATATATGCCCAGATGGCCTGAAGTAACTGAAGAATCACAAAAGAAGTGAAAATGCCCTGCCCCACCTTAACTGATGACATTCCACCACAAAAAAAGTGTAAATGGCCGGTCCTTGCCTGAAGTGATGACATTACCTTGTGAAAGCCCTTTTCCTGGCTCATCCTGGCTCAAAAAGCTCCCCCACTGAGCACCTTGCGACCCCCACTCCTGCCCGCCAGAGAACAAACCCCCTTTGATTGGAATTTTCCTTTACCTACCCAAATCTTATAAAACGGCCTCACCCCTATCTCCCTTCCCTGACTCTCTTTTCAGACTCAGCCCGCCTGCACCCAGGTGATTAAAAGCTTTTATGGCTCACACAAAGCCTGTTTGGTGGTCTCTTCACATGGACGCGCATGAAAGCCTACTTGTGATATTTATTTATGTCTGCTCTGTACCCATGAGATAGTAAGCTTCTTAGGAATAAGTTCTGTCTAGTTATTCTTTATATTGCTCATACTACATAGTACATTATTTTGCACCTATTAAGTATTCAAGTTTTTTTTAATTAAATTATACATGCAGTATTTTAAATGCCTTGAAGAATGGGGCTATTGAGTGCCTAATCCTGGTCTGACCCAAAGTCTTATACACATTGTTGCTCAGTCATTTGTTGACTTGAAAGAATGAATATTAAATATTAAGGAATGTTAAAGGTAAAGAAAGAATATAAATATTAATATGAGAAAGAATGGAGTAAACTCTGTAGACCAGTAGACAAACTGGGAAGCTGCTCACTCATTCTCTAGCATGGATTAGATGTTATCTTAAAGCAGATCAGAGGAAACGTCAAGTAAGTGCATAAAGTCACAGGTTGTCACTTCTTGAGATGGTTACTTTTATAGGTCAACTCAAATGAACCATGGGGTGTCAGTTATGTGGTTAAACACTATTCTGAGTGTCTGTGAGGGTGTTTATGGGCGAGATTAATATTTGAATCAGGAGGCGGTAAAGCAGATTGCCCTCCCAACGTGAATGGGTCTAACCCAAGTCATTGGAGGTCTAAAAAGAATAACAAAAGAGTGATTAAGAAAGAATTTTGTCTCAGTGTGACTGTCTCTGAGCTGTAAAATCAGTCTTCTCCTGCCTTTGGACTGGGACTCAGACTGGAACTTACATTATCAGCAGTCTTTGGTCTCCAGTTTGCTGACTGCAGATTTTGGTACTTCTCAGTCTCCATAACCATGTCCTTTATCTACTAACATGAAATTTTAGTAGTTCATGTGGAGCGAGAGAGAGGGATTTAATGTTAATTTTAAATATTAAATCCTCTATTAATATTAAATTCCTCTCTCTCGTTACACATTCATACATATTATATATTTTCAAGAAAAAAAAAAACAGACCTTATAGGATGTGTGTGTATCTCTTCATATACCAAATATAAAACTCACACAATGAGAATCAGTGTGAGTTTTCTATTAATATAAACAAATCACCTCAAACTTTATGACTTAACATGAAAGTCATTTATTATTCAACAGTTTCTGTAGGTCAGGAGTCCAGGCATAGCTTACCTGGGTCCACTGCCCAGGGTCTCAAAAAAGTTGCAGTAAGGTATCAAACAGGCCTTCAGACCCATTTGAGCTTGGGGTCTCCTTCCAACCTCATGTGGCTGTTGGCAGAATTCACTTTCTTGTAGCTGTGTAAGTTATGGTGCCTTTCTTCTTCAAGGCCAAAAGGAAAATATCTCTGAGCTCAAGGAAAGCCTAACCAATCTTTTAAAGGGGCTCATTTGATTTGGTTAAGTCCTACTGAGAATAATAACCCCTTCGATTAAATCAAAATAAAACTGATTTGGGGCCTTAATTACATCTGCAAAATCTCTTCACCTTTGCCATATGATATAATGTAATTATTGGAGTGACTTCCATCAAATTCACAGGTAATTCCTACATTCAAGGGGAGAGATATGCATATCAGAGGGTAGTAATATTTGGGTCATCTTTGAATTTTACTTACTTAACCTAGTTAATTGTTTTAGATTATATCTGATATGTCCTTTGCATCTTCCTTGCCTTTAATTTCTGAAGACTCACTGACATTAAAAGTTTAGAAATCCTGAGAGCTTTAAAAATGAAATGGCTAAAAAGTTTGAGATCCTTAGAAATGCCCAGATTGGAACTTGAAATACAATACTATCGGAAATAAAATAAAGCTCTAGAAAAGACTGAAGAAAAAAAAAACCAACCTTACTTCTTGCTATTTATTAGAGCAAAGGGTGTTTCTACGAACTATATAAAGTAGGGTCAAGATGTTCTTCTTTGGAATGGGCTGGAAATATCCCAGTGCTTTCATGAAGCCTCTGGGTTTCATCAAGATGACATATTTTAAGTCTTTATAAATCTATCATTTCCTGGATTTTTTTCATCTTTTAAAAATATATAGTACAAAATACATTTAGTATATTCTGTCAAATTAGATCATCTCCCTTAAACTGGAAAGGTGTGGTTAATACATTAAACACAAGCATTTATTCTTTCATTTTCTATAACATTGAATAAAAAGAAATAGTGTAGTATATGGGTTTCTAGCTCACAATGAACACTGTTCACACTTTTTTTAGAGAGAAAGCGAAACAATTTTACAGGGTAGTCAGATTGCTAAGCACATAATTCAAACCACTGCCATGACTTTCTTTATTTTATTTTATTTTATTTTTTTGAGATGGAGTTTCGCTCTTGTTGCCCAGGCTGGAGTTCAATGGCACGGTCTCAGCACACTGCAACCTCGGCCTCCTGGGCTCAAGCAATTCTCCTGCCTCAGCTTCCCAAGTAGCTGGGATTACAGGCGTGCACCACCTTGCCCAGTTATTTTTTGTATTTTTAGTAGTAGAGACGGGGTTTCACCATGTTGACCAGGCTGGTCTCGAACTCCTGACCTCAGGTGATCAGCCTGCCTCGGCCTCCCAAAGTGCTGGGATTACAGGCATGAGTCACCGCGCCCAGCCTGCCATGACTTCTACTTTGTGGATGATAGCAACTTTCATGGCATGTAGTGCTTCCTGTCATATAATCATGCTTATAAGGAACTATGGTTTTTTCAACTATTAGAGAAAGGAAAATATTTACCATCCTATGCCTCTGCTTCCAACACAATGTATGTGATATACATTCCCAATTCCAGAATAAAAAATAATCTCTCAATTTATTCTTATAAAAGGCTCGTGTGGAAAATTGCAAAAGAGATTGGGACATCAATTTGATCTCTAGGAGAGAATAAGCAGAAAAGTTGAATTAGCTTTGCTTTCTTTGGCTAATTTCCATTCCTCCCTCCTCCATTCCAAAAACAAATGGCATAAGATAGCTTATCCGATAGAAATTCACTCATTTACTTCTTACTTCACCTCCATTGGCATCTGTGACTACAGTAAATTTCCCTTTAGTTCACTGCGGGTCAAGGACCATAGAAAACTATTCAGAACTTAGGGTGAGATGATCAGTAAGAAAAAACTATTACTAAATGGACTTTGAATTATTGGTTACCTTATAGGATTCTGGTGTGACTGCTTAAAAAGAAAAGAAAAAGAAAAAAAATGAAAAAGAAAGGAAGTAAATGGAGGGAATCAGAGAAGAATGTATTAATTACTTGGAAAAATCATGTTACATTGATCATATTCAAACACTATTCTCTCAAGGACTAGCTCACTATGCATAACATTTACAGTGTTACACAGGACTGTATCCTTGGAGAAAACTCTCAGTTCTTTCTTCAATTCACAGTCCCTTGTATATTATATAAATCTTTATATACAGTAATAGTCAGGAATCCAAGTAATCTATCATATTTGATCAAGACAAGCATAAATCATTTATTCATGATTTACCATTCCTAGCTTGAGTCATTGATTCATCTCCAGACAAGACAAGGTCAGTACCAAAAAAAAGATTAAGCTCCTTGCCCTTAGGAGAGAACAGCTTAACCAACAAATTCATCTTCACATCTGACCTCATGAATCTTGACACTGGGAGTACTGTGAGAATAAAAATAGCCCTTCTAGACGGCTCTTTAAATGGAAATGTCCGTATAAGAGTAAAAATACAGAGTGGAAGAATTAATGATGAAAATATGATGGGTGTGTCATCCTGATCCTCACAATAGGACAATCTGATTCAACTAACATACAGTTACCTGTACTTAACAGAATTTATTTTTAATATGTTTGCCACACCAATTCATGGCTTTTGCAGCTTTACTTCTTCCCAGTCTCCTATCCTGTGGCACCTCATTTATCACATATACCATTAGCTCATTTGCGTAGTGATGCTTAGCTATGAGTTAGGAAAAGTGAGGGGTGGGAAAATAGTAGTATCTTTTAAATCTCTCAGTATGATGCCACAACAAACAATAATCAAATAGGCATCAATAATAGGCTTCTAACCCCGACTATCAGGGTCAGTGCAGTCTTTGGCTCTATTAATTCTTGTTCTGCTTCCCCACCTAACTTTTGCCCTTATTTCAAACACACAGGCATAAACAGAGTAAACTTGTATACTGTCTTAGCTCAGGCTGCTGTAACAAAATACCATAGATTGGGTGACTTTAACAACAGACATTCATTTTTTCACAGCTCTGGAACCTGGGAAGTCCTTGGTCAAAATGCCGGCCTGTTTGGTTTCAGTTGAGGGCCCTCTTCCTGCTTTGCAGATGACTACATTCTTGCTGTGACTTACAGCATAAAGAGAGGGCTCTGTTCTCTCTTCTTCTTGTTATAAGGACACTTATCCCAGCATGGAGGGTACCAAGCTAATTCCCTCCCAAAGGCCAGCTTCTAAATACCGTATCATCAGGGGTTACAGCTTCAACATATACATTTTGAAAAGAGGCAAATCAGTCTACAGCACATACCCACAGTCACATGGCATATGTATTGCCTTAAATGTTGAAAATATTCTTGCAAATACATCTGATAATTCTGTTTTCTGCTCAAAAGTGTTTGGATGGCTGAGTTGATTTTTCATGGTGTTCCGGATAATTTCCAACTTTCTTAACATAAGAATACAAGACAGTTTTACTACCTGACTCCAATTTACTTGATTTCTATATTTTCCTTCCTTCTATTATTCTCATTTTGTGCTTCACAATGTGTTTTTTTAACCTTCCCTCAAAATGTTTGATTTTTTTCTATGCCTTTGCATATACTGTCCCATCTCCTTGATACGCCCATCCATCCCTTGGTATTGGGATAAACCCTTATTCATCCTTTTAAACTGAGTTTCTAACCTCTCCTTTTTCCCAATGGAGTTACTCTTATCTTTAATTCTATCCCATTTTTTCCACACTTTTTTTTTTTTATTATACTTTAAGTTCTAGGATACATGTGCACAACATGCAGGTTTGTTACATATGTATACATGTGCCATGTTGGTGTGCTCCACCCTTTTTAAAAACCGTAGAAGAAAACCTAGGCGATACCATTCAGGACATAGGCATGGGCAAGGACTTCATGACTAAAACACCAAAAGCAATGGCAACAAAAGCCAAAATTGACAAACGGGATCTAATTAAACTAAAGAGCTTCTGCACAGCAAAGAAACTACCATCAGAGTGAACAGACAACCTACAGAATGGGAGAAAATTTTTGCAATCTACTCATCTGAAAAAGGGCTAATATCCAGAATCTACAAAGAACTTTCCACACTTTTATTACAACACTGAAGCTATGAATTTTGCCATTACTTTATGTGCCTATCTCTCCAACTGGACTGTGGTTCCCTTGAGGAGTAATTTCTAACAAAACTTTTTAATTTGGCGAACTCATACCCGTGCCTGATTCAAGGTAACACTCGGTATATGAAAAAAGGAAGAATGAATGGATGAATGAATGAGCCATTAACTTAGGCCACACAGAGAAGTATGAGACCAGTTGTTTCTTGGTACTTCTTGGCCCTAAAAATACTTGCTTCTTTCACACTATCCGCTCTTCTTAATCTGTTCAGTTTTGCCTGTGTTTGTGCTACTCCAGCCTTGCAAACCTGCTACTTAGCTACATCCTCCCTTACTTCCTATTGCGAGAGATCTTGATGCTGTATGTTACCTAAGCACCTAAGCAGTGTTTCCCAAACTTACTTAACCATAAATCTTAACCAGGATGCTTATTAAAGATACAAATTCTTGAGTATAACCTCAAACCTACTGAATATGAAACTGCAGGAAATGAGCTCAGTTATCTGCGTTTTTAAACATGCTCCTCAGATAATTCTGAAGAAGGTAAGTGAGAATAACATGAATGGAGAGTAAAACAGGGATGTCTCGCCTGTTTGGTATAACTGCTTCCTCTAGTGCCCACTTGTCTTTAGCTTGGGACCTTATTAAGCAATAGTTCAGCTTCCTCAAATCTAGAAAGAACCCTCTCACTTGAATGTTTTTCCTAATGTTGGTTCTTTGGGCTTTTAGGGAAATTAAAAATCCCTCCAATGCACCTCCAGCCACTCCATACTACTTTCCCCATACGCAAGCCACTGCAGAAGCTTTATCCTGCTGACTCTACTCCTAGATGCTCTCTGAATTTCTGTTTCACAGGTTCTGTAACAATGAATGGCTGCTGCTAAATCCTAGACCAACTCTGGGTATTGGCAGTCTGCAAACCGATTCTTATGAGGTGTGACAGTTCTTGCTCTGTGGGTTTATCCTCAATCAGACTAGACTCTGAGGATGTATGGATTCTCCATAGAAAGTACAGATTGGGTGTCACTCAGGGTTAAAAATGAGGATGAAGACTAAGTACTTAACATAGATTCTGGCACAGAGAAAGCACTCAATAAATATTATGAATTAGTGATATATCTATTGTTGGATGGATGACATATACTATTCTTCTTCCTTTGATTCTAGCCCAAGGAAACCCATACTATATAGGTTTTTAAACTAAATTCTTAGAAATGTGAAAATAACCTAATTGTATATACTAGTTATACACTAAGATTAACTTTGATTAATTACAAATTATAGATGTATATAAAATATCTATACAGCTATAATTTGTAATTAATCAAAGCTAATTTTAGCATTATAACTAAAGCTCCAGGTGTTTACCTAACCGTGTTAGACTTACAGGGGCCATAAACTCATTTTGATGATCCAGTAGGCATATAGATGCTTTAAGAACACTTTTATGAATACGTATTCATTAGCTATTACTGTATAACAAACAATCCCAAAACTGTGTGGCTTAAAACATCTACCATTTATTATTTTTCATGAATCTGTGAATTGGCTGGGTGATCTGACTTAGGCTGAACTTGGATGAGTTAGGCTGGGCTCACTCATATATTTGTGGCCAGCTTGGGGGTTGCTAGGGATAGTCTAGTTGTCTAGTATTATCTCAACTGAGATTGCTTATCTTATCCTATAGAAGAGTATCCCAGGTTTGTTCAAATGGTGTTCACAGGAGTCCAGGGGAGAAAAGATGCATGCAAGGTCTCTTTACCTAGGTTTGGCACTGATACAATGTCATTTTTATGATATTTCATGGGTCAGAACAAGTTACAAGTTTATCCCAGACCTAAGGGGTGAGAAAGACTTCATCTTTTGATGGGAGTTGCTGAAAAGTTATTTAAAAGAATACAGTGAAACTATTATTTAAAGTTGTTAATGCAATCAATCTGCAATGTTAGTCATTGTGGCAAAATGTCTCACTGTTTGGGTTCTGGAATTATTTATATAAAAAAATTAGGTTCTGAACCCAAATGTCCAACAATGATAGACTGGATTAAGAAAATGTGGCACATATACACCATGGAATACTATGCAGCCATAAAAAGTGATGAGTTCATGTCTTTGTAGGGACATGGATGAAGCCAGAAACCATCATTCTCAGCAAACTATCGCAAGGACAAAAAACCAAACACCGCATGTTCTCACTCATAGGTGGGAATTGAACAATGAGAACACGTGGACACAGCAAGGGGAACATCATACACTGGGCCTGTTGTGGGGTGGGGGAGGGGGGAGGGATAGCATTTGGAGATATACCTAATATTAAATGATGAGTTACTGGGTGCGGCACACCAACATGGCACATGTATACATATGTAACTAACCTGCACATTGTGCACATGTACCCTAAAACTTAAAGTATGATAAAAAAAAATTAGGTTCTGAGCTAAGATCAAAATAATGTCTTTTGACTCTGTTATCACTGAAATATAAGAAAGCTATCAAAACCTTCAGACAATCATTTACTTATCTTTAAAATCATAATATAAATCTCATGATTTATGGGTTATCAATATTAATATAGTTATTAATAATATTATATAAGATAAATCAGGACAAGTGGGATGGCTCACAACTATAATCCCAGCATCTTGGGAGGCCAAGGCAGGTAAATCACTTGAGTCCAGGAGTTCGAGGCCAGCCTAAGCAACTTGGCAAACCCTCATCTCTACAAAAAATACAAAAATTATCCCTGCTTGGTGGCACACGCCTGTGATCCCAGCTACCAGAGAGGCTGAAAAAACAGGTCCAAGGGAGAAAAGATGCGTGCAAGTTCTTTTGCCTGGAAGACAGAGGTACACCCTGTCTCAAAAATGAATAAATAAATAAAAATTATATAAGATAAATCAGTGAGCACCTACCATCGTGCCTGGAAAAAGATAAATCTATAGATAAATATGAGATTTGATGGAAGTAAAAATAACAGATTGTGGCTTTTATTTGGTTTCTTTATAAAATGTATTAACTAGACTCACAATTGTTTTTTCTTTAGTTTCCTCCATATATTGCCATTCTACTGGTTTTTCATGATATTAAAATTATTTGGTAATCTTCTTCAATATCATTCATCCTTCTGAAACATTAATTTTCCAACTAATT
The DNA here is from genome assembly GCF_000001405.40 of Homo sapiens. Lineage (NCBI taxonomy): Eukaryota > Metazoa > Chordata > Mammalia > Primates > Hominidae > Homo > Homo sapiens. The sequence continues at coordinate 175,844,679 of NC_000003.12, forward strand.
ATTTCATCTTGACAGATGAGTAAGCACCTTTGTTCTTTTTATCAATGGGGCTTTGCATTTTTAAGAAACAAAAATGATATCTGGCTAATTTAAACAGAAAGGAAATGTGTTCAAAGAATAGTGAAACACTCATAGAATTGACAAAAGTGTTGGGAAAGCAAAGTCAGAAAATGAAGGCAGAAAAGTCCAGGAAAGTCACATCAGAAACAGTTTTCAATAACACTGGTTAAACTCAAATGCTCTTGACTACACTGTGGGTGCTTATGAATAATTTTTAACTCTCCTCTGAGCCTCACATCAAACCCTCAAGATTTAAAGCCCTTTGCAGGAATATCTGATTGACTGAGGCTAGGTCACACAGCCCCACTACGGCTGTCAGATAACTGAAAGAGGGACTGTTTGTCCGCTTCTGCTTTTCACTGTAGAAAGCCAGGCCCTGCGGTTAAGCTTTCTTAGGATCCCAATCAATAAAAACGATGTTTGGATGCTGGGCAGACTAAAATAAATGCCTACTGTAATCTACTCCTTTACATGCTCAATATCAATTCATCACATTATAGTTCAAAAAAGAATTCTATGCTCTAGCATAAAGTAAAAGTATCTTATATACATTTACACTGTTTCCAAAGACAGGCACCTGATAGTTCATCCTGTTTAATATCCATCCCTGTCCTACACCTGCTGTGATTCCCACCTCAATATTCTGAAACCTGAGTATGGAGGGAAATTGAGACATTAACCATCACAATGTTCTATAGTGGTAAAGAGGAAGAGAAAAGTAAAATATCTGTATAAAAAGTAAATATGCAGATTTTAGTGAGAAAGTAAGTATGAACAGAAGCTGTAGTTTTATATTATGTAAATTATTTATGTCATAGTGCAATTGACTATAAATTATAGTATTTATAATTTTCTTTTTATATTATGAATTCCATATTCACATCATCCTAGGCAAAACAACCTTCTTTTTATCTGTTTGTCCCAAGTCATATGAAACTCAAAATGGTATTTAATAAGCATTGCAATGTGCCTTCATGAAAGCATCTCTTTTGAATACTATTAATTATTTATTGATTCATAAAAATTACCCTAGAACTTAGCAAATTCGAACAATAGCACTAGTTATCTCATACCTCACAGGAATTCAGGTACAACTTAGCTGGGTCAGCTTACTAGGGTGCCTCACAAAGCTGCACTCAAGATGTTGGCTATGTTGTAGTCTCATCTGAAGGCTCTAGTAGGGGAAGACCCATTTCAAGCTAACTTATGTGATTGTGGGAAGAATTCAGTTCTTCATGGGCTGCTGGACTCAGTCCCTTTCCACGTGGGCCTGTTGAGAGATGGGGAGCTTACAACATGACATCTGCCTTCCATTAGAAGCAAGTAAGGGAACAAGAGTGGTAAGCAAGATTAAAGCCAGAGTCATTTTGTAACCTAAGCTTTAAATGGCATCCCATCACTTTTGCTGTATTCTATTCATTTGAACTAAGTCATTAGGTCCAGAACACACTCACGGGGAAGTAATTATGCTAGGTTGTTCAACGCCAAGAGGCATGGGTCACTGGAAGCAATTTTAGAAACTGACTACCACTAGTACTTAGATCTGTAACCAGCAGATCACAGTCTTGGGTATAGAAAGCAAAATTTGCTCAAGTAGGTCATTAGTTATAATTATGACAAGCATCATTCCTACTTACATGCTCTGGTTCCGGATACAGGTATTATGGCTGTGGAAGAAACAACATGTATTACTTCCTGATTAAGAACATATATCTTACTTGTCAAGTCAGTAATTCAAACAGGAGTCTCAAAGCTAGTGACAGAACTGCAATAAGCTGTTCTATCATTCTGTAAGTTTAGGAAATGTGATATAAGAGAAATCTAAAAAATATGATATAAGAAAACACCAGTGGCTTCCATGAGCACCAAAACAATGCTTTATTTATTTCATTGTTAAAATTTATTTCTCAGAAGAAATATTTTTCTATATATTGGATGATGTATAAAGACATTCAATCAGTCCACATATTGCAAGGCTGGCAGAAACCTGATGGGCAGGGAAAGTAAATCTAAATTCAGTACCTATTTCAGTGAAGGAAAAATGGTTTACTGTGCCAAGAATCTGGTAGAACAAATGATCACATTACCATCACCAGGCTGGTCCCCATGGGAAGTGGCACTTCCCTAGAGAATCAGAGTTGTTACCTGCTGCTGCCAATGAGCACTTCTTGATTGTAGCAACAATGTCATCTCTGAACTTGGCCTCGGTGTCTCTGGCCATTTGCTCATGTGCCTATTGAGTGAAGATAGGGGTTAAGCTGGAGACTGTGGGAGAAAGCCTATTGACATCCAGAAACAATTTATCATTTTACTCTGACTATGAACAAGCTTTTCTGAAGTTTAGGTGTTTTGCAGTAGAATATTTTCATGGGACCCAACTATTCTTACATTCTGGGTCTGTTCTGAAGGGTAAAGCCTTGTACCTATCTTCATACTTTTTTTGTCAATAATTTATCTATCTTAATTCTTCCAGATCCCTTGACTTTGGCTAAACCATCAGCCATTGCTTTCAAACTGTTAAGAAGCTTCAATTCAGGCAACACCTCTTTCTAGGAAAAAGCAGGTAAAAAGCCAAACCAAACAAAAAAACACAAACTGGAAACTTAAAAAAAAAATACTGTGAGGATTCACCTTATCCCTTCCCTTTCAGAATTACACCAAAGTGTTGTAGCACTATTCCTGGGAAGACCTATACTTAGGTGTCTAAGAAAAATACAAAATAGAGCCTAATATACAGATGGCTTTGCAAGCTATATTAACACAAGTTAGGTATCTATCCTCATGCATTCAAAGCTGGAGCCTCAGTTAAAATATTACAATACCATTTCTTCTTTTAAAAAAGGCAAAAGAGATGCAAAGTACATGAATTGGTCCTTCTGTTTTGAGGGAATACTCAGTCCCTAAATTTCTCCCATCTCTTCACTCTTTTGGGTGAAAGTTGTGTTTTCAACTATGAAGGTAGACAAAATACAGGCCATATAGGTCATATAAAGTCATCCAGGATGCTACTTTCATGCTTTACTGTTTCTATCAGAATTAGGACATTAATGTAGGGATCTGCATATTCTACCACAAAATTATTAGATGATTAAGTTTTCCCCAGAGGTGGAAATTTGAAATAACATTGATGCAAGATGGTAAAGGTATAGCAAACCTCCTTTCCAGACAAAAGCACAATGGGATAGAAAAAAAATTCAAATTAAAAGCTGGGCAACATTTATCTGGAGTCGTATTAATTAGGAGAAAAAAACCTACCACAGCACATATAATCAGATTCATTTGCTGATTAAGTAACTATAATCATGTGTTATTTTCCATGATACTCCTCCAACTTTTGTGCTCAGCCCAAAGTTTAAGTGGAGTTGTGATAGAAATCACTATTTTGTATCTTCAAGTTATTAATGATGGTGTTAATTACTAAAGTAATTAATGTAATGTAACCCATAGAGATGTACAAATGCTTTTGATTTACTATTTTTTGTAGAAAAGGGGCCTCCACTTGATATTTTCTGTGAAATATTCCCACATCATATTGTCTACCAAATTAACTCACTCTTATCACACAACTCGGAACCAAAGTGGGGATTTTTCTAATTCCCTAAAGTATCTCCTAAAGATATAATCTATTTTGACTAGCTATTTGGGGAAAATATGAAAAAGAATTGTTCAGGATTCCACTGAGCCACATTCCCTTCTTCATTTAATTTCTTGGGCCCCCAATCTGCTGGATAATCACAGTGGAATTCTACAACTCCAGGAAACTTCTGTTATTTCACACCCAGTGATCAATAAAACCCAAAATGTTTGGATATTTTCTGTTCTCTAGTACAGAGTTTTCCTTATAGATGATTCCAGATCTTAAAGGAAAGATAAGAGAAAGATTAAGCAAGCACATATTTGATGTGATTTCAGAGTATTTCCCAAATTGTTCTGGCTTCTTCGTAGCATAAAGGACTTTGGTTTGAGTACTCATTCAGATAGCGGAATTGGGATGAACGTCAGCAACAATCTAATTTTGTGATTCAAGTCAGGCTTCACTAACTAAATCTCTCTCTTTTTCAAAAAATTGCTAGCTACTCACCAAAACAGATTTCCTTTTCTCCCTTGGCCCACAGCAAGGTGATAGTTCCAGCTTTTTCTGAAATTGCATGTGGCTACATGACTGAATTCTAGTCAACTGAATAGTATCATAACTGATGTTTGCCACTTGCTGGTTTAACCCACAAAATCCTCTTCCATGGACTCCTTCACAGTCTGTTCCCTTTGAGTAACGCAGGGTGCCCTGTGGAAGCTACTCGTTGGAGTTGGCAGAGGCACCATCAGCCTGGGTCAGTGAATGGCTTTTGGGCACCCTCACCTTTAACCTGAAGAAATCATTTTTTTCTCTAACCTGAAGAAATCATTTCTTAAAAAAAATAGAAGAAGAAAATTGTCATTCCTTCCTACCATTTACATTTTAGTATCCAGATTTTTAATTTGTATCTATTTAATTTGTAAACATAATAGGGTATACATATTCTGGAATAATTGTGCACATTCTAATTGTGCATATTTTATGTCCAGGTTGAAGAGTTCCCTGAACCTACAGCCAGGACCACCTTGGAGTCTTATTTGGGCAAGAACTAAATTTTGTGGTGTTAAGCCATTATCTATATTTACATTATACATATTCATATATATATATATATATATATATATATATGGTATATTTTTAGCATGTTTAGAGGGTGTATGTGTGTATTTGGCATCTACCTACATGACTAATATAAGCTTTAGTGTATTTCTCACATGTAGGGATTCTAAGAATCTCCATGACCAATTAGGAACCACCGAAGATCTCAGACCATTCCAATTATCACAGATATTTTCCTCCTCTCATGGTAACCATGACCACTTTGTCTTTGAATCATATCAGGGAGCTCATTTCAATTGCATTTTCTCCCACTAATATATGGTGATTATTAAACAAAAAAAAAATTTTAAAGCACTTTTCAAAAATTCTTACATGCACCTCATTGTCTTTTCTGAGTCATTTGGGAAACACAGTAAAAGAGTAGGTCACAAATGATAAATGTTTTCTAGCATTTCTGACCACTAAATCTTTGAATTCCATGATACCAAGAAAAATATCTCATTTCAACTTCATTTTTTATGTATTCTTACTGAGTTCAGGTTTTGGTAAATAAGCTGTATAATTAAAATATGTCCAGGTGTTAGCATGTGCACAATATATCCTATTATGTCTACAAATTAAATAGATATGAATTAAAAATCTGAATAATGAAATGTAAGAGGTAGGAAATAAAGACAATTTTCTTTCTTTTATTTAAAGAAATTATTTCTTCAGGTTAAAGGAAAAACAGCTGCACCAGGCAAGGGAGGGAAGAAGAACTGCTTCAAATAGCAAGGAACACTGTGTGGAGTTTGGGATTCAGGGTATACAACATACTCTACATCATTGCATATAGGCCCAATACCAGTTCTTGGACTCATATCATATTCTAATCAAAGCTCTAACTTTCCCAGAAAAGAACTGGTGATTAATTGAATTCAACTAGTATTATAATTTGGCAGACTATATATTCAACTGTTGCATTTGATTCTTGGCTCCTGTAGTCCTACAAATATAGCTATAGCATGATCACAGAAAATTTGTGTACTTTCATGCTGTGAATTAAGAATTTAGGATTTTGAGCTTGTCATTCTCATTTTTAAGCCGTGCATTGTCCTAAAAAAATAGCCAATGAACTCCATTGTTCCAGAAGTCCTCTTTTCTTTCTCATTATTTTAAAGTAGAGGCAACTCAGTTTTATAAAGCCTTGCTTTCAAAGGACATTTGATTCCAGAGGAACACCACTGATAATTCAATTAGAAAATTTATTGTTGCAAGTTCCAGTCCAGCAGAATCATATTCCTGAACACCAGCAGGATTTTCTTCAGCTTCAGGCCCAAAGAGGCAAGATAACTGTCTTAGTTTGTGTGTGTCGCTATAAAAGAATATTAGAGGCTGGGTATTTTATAAAGAAAATAGGTTTATTTGGCTTGTACTTCTTTAGGCTGTACAAGAAGCATAGCACCATCATCTTCTTCTGGTGAAGAACTCAGGCTACTTCCATGCACAGAAGGAAAGTGAAAAGGAGCTGGCATGTGCAGATTACATAGAAAGAAAAGAACAGGAGAGAAAGAGGAGGAGATATCAGTCTCTTTTCAACAACCAGATCCCATGGGACTAAGAGTGAGAACTCACTCACTCCCATGAGAATGGCACAGAAAACATTTATGAGTAACCTGCCCCTGTAATCTAAACACCTCCCACCATGTCCCACCTCCAACATTGAAGATCATAATTCAACATGAGACTTGGTGGGGCCAAATAAACCATATTCACATGATAGCAATAATCAATTCCAGATCCTTTGACAGTTTATTACCTGTCATGTCAGTATTCTTGTCAGTATTCTTGATTATGAACAACAGAAAACCACTCTGGTAAACCTAAGTAAAAATTAAACACATTTAAAGACTATGGGATAGTAAAAATATCCTATAGTAGGAAGTATGGGCAGAGACAAAAGGAAACAAGCCCAGAAAAGGTTATGCCTCAGGCATGTCTCTTTAGGACACCACCTGTCTCTGGCATCCCTGTCACTAAACATTTTCTGAGTTCCTGAACTGCTCCATCTCTGAGTTCCTGCCACTGCACCATTGTAATCTGCTTTATGGGGCAGATGCTTTAAGTATAGGGCATGCAGGGATTAATCTCTGCATGCTATATAACTCCAGATGACAAGACATTTGAATGAGGAGGATCTCAAAATTACAAGTATCCACTACAGTTAATTGGATAATGTATGAGCAAGTGGGCTTTAAATGTCTATTCTTCCATTATCCCTTTGAATAATTGACGCAAAACGCTCTGACTATCAGTAAAAACTCCAGCCAAATCATCCAAAATGTAATTGTTGGGAACCAAGCAACTTATATACACACACTCACCTAACCTAATTTCTGGCCGCTTCTTCGTGGAAAAGTGATTATTTAGATGACAGAACCGGAGATTAGCCATGATTACTGAAAGCAGGATCATGGTTCATGTGGAGGTCATATGCACACAGCATTCTTCTCCATGCCTCCTCGCTTTAGGGGTTCATGCATCCTTAGGTGTGTTCGTCATTGCTTTGGGGATTACACAAAGTGACATAACCTCCAAATCCTATTTCAGGATTAAAGGAGACAGGTCTGATTTGGCCACCTGCTGCTAATTCAGATACCCCTATTCCCAGATTTACCTGAGCACTGAATTTGGACATAGCAAGCACTTTGCTTCTGGATAAAATGCTAACTTTGCCGTTTTGATATATGTGGTTAGTTCCTTTGGGGAATTTGTGGGAATGAAGAGTGATTGTCTAAATAGAATTGAGTATTCCTGGGTCCTCTAATTAAATAACAGAACATATCATCAAAACATAACTCACCACTGAAAATCTGCTTTACTAAATTAACAAATGACTTTTATCTGAAATGTTGGCATTTTGCAGAGAGAACTTACTCATTCTACTTTGAAGAATTACTCTTTTGATTCCTTTAACGTCTGTCACTGTTTGAAATAACGAACTCAGCATAGTTCCTCTGTAAATAAAATGATAGGTTGAGATAATTATAAATTCACATGCAGTTACAGGAAATAACACAGACAGATCCCATCTACCTTTTACCCACTTTCCCCCAGTATTAACACTGCAAAACTCTAAAAAAAAAATCACATCCAGAATATTGACATTGAACCACCATGTTGAAGAGTATTCCATTACCACAAGGATCTCTCATGTTGCTTTCCTTATTTCTATAATTTTGCCATTTAAAGAGTGTTATATAAATTGGCTCATGTAGTATTTAACATATTTGGATTAATATTTTACACTTAGTCTATTGCTATGGAGAGTCATTCAAGTCATTACATGTTTCAATAGTTAATTTCCTTTTATTTCTTAGTATTCTATGATATGGATGTACCACAATCTGTATAACTGTTCACCAATTGCAGTACATCTGTGTTTTTCTAACTTTAAGCTATAACAAATAAGGCTGCTATAAATATGCATGTACAAATTTTTGTGTGAATATAAATTTTCATATATCTGGAATAAATTTGCAGGAGAGAAATTACTGGGTTGTATGGTAGTTGAAAATTTAGGTTACCAAGAAATTTCCGAATTGTTTTCCAGAGTTTCTGTAATATTTTGCATACCTACCAGCAATGTACTAATGATCCAGTTTGTCTGTATCCTTGCTTTGGATTTCTTTTGCCTTTCTTCTTCTAGATTTCTTTTTTGAGGTGAGAAATTAGATCACTGATTTGGGAACTTTTCATTTTTTACTGGTATATGCACTTGATATTATAAACTTCCCTCTCACACTGCTTTGGCTTTATTGCACAGGTATTTATATGATCTATTGTATTTTAATTTAGTTCATTTTATTTAGAAATTAGTTGTTTAGTTTTCAGTGTTTGGAGATTTTCCTGTTATCTTTCTATTATTGATTTCTTCTATGATTTTATGATGGTGAGGCACACAGTCTCTATGATTTCTTTGTTTTAATTTATTGAGGTTTGTTTTGTGGTTCAGGATATGTGCTATCTTGGTAAATATTCCAAGCATACGTGAGAAGAATATATAGCCTGCTGTTGGGGGGAGTGTTCTAAAAATATCAATTGATCTTGGTTGATGGTGTTGAATTATTTTGAATCCTTGCTTTTTCTCTGTCTAATTTTTTGCCACTTGTTGAAACAGGGTGTTGAAATATTCAACTAGAATTGATTTTGTTGTTGTTGTTTTATTTTTTAATTTTAAAAATTAAAAAAATAAAGATATTGGTCTCACTCTTTTGACTAGGCTGGTTTGGAACTTCTGGCCCCAAACAACCCTCCCATCTAAGCCTCCCAAACTGCTGGGATTACAGGCATGAGCCATCATGCCTGGCCTCAAATAGAATTGTAAATTTGTCTATTTCTCCTTTCATTTCTATTGATATTTTGCAGCTCTGTTGTTTGGTGAATACACATTTAGGATTTCTACATCTATTTGGAGAATTAACCTTTTTATCATTATATAATGTAGCTTTCTGTCTCTAATTCTTTTATTTGTTCTAAAATCTACCAAATCTAATATTAATACAACCATTCATGCTTTATTTTGATTTAATATTTGTGTGGTATATATTTTTTCCATCCTTTTAATTTAAAGTTGCCTCTACCATAGCTGAACTGAGTTTCTTATAGATAAGATACAGTTTGAGACTGGTCTCAGAGTCTTGCTGTTGCCCAGGCTGGCAGGCAATGGTGCAATCTCAGTTCACTGCAACCTCCATCTCCTGGGCTCAAGCAATTTTCCTACCTCAGCCTCCCGAGTAGCTGGGACTATAGGCTAATTTTTGTACTTTTAGCAGAGACAGGGTTTCACCATTTTTGTACTTTTAGTAGAGACAGGGTTTCACCAAGGCTGGTCTTGAACTCCTGAACTCAACTGATTCGCCAGCCTCGGCATCTCAAAATGCTGAGATTACCGGTATGAGCCACTGTGTCTGGCCGAGTTGGGTCATGCTTTTTAATTCACTTTGCCAATCTCTATCTTTAATTTAATAGGCCATATATATTTAATACATTTATTGATATGATAAAGCTTAAACCTGCCGGTTTTTTTTTTAATTTGTTCTTTCTGTTTTTTATTTTTCTATTGCCTTTTTCTGCTTTCAATTTTAATTCAACAGTAAAGCTACAGTAGTTTCAATGTATCTTTTCATATAGCTTTTTTAGTGTTGCCCTGGTTATCACATTATGTTTACATGTTAACTATCAAATCCTACTGGTGTTGCCAGTTAGGAGAAGTGTAGACATCTCCTCATATTCCCTTATCCTACATTCATAATATATTTACCTTATGTACATTTAGAACCATATTGGATTGTGTTATAATTTTGCCTTATGAACCAAATATAATTTAGAAACTCAAGGCAAGTAGAAAAATGTATTTACCCATGTTTTTACTCCTTACATTGTTCTTTCTGCTTCCCTGATTTCCAAGATTCTTACTATTTTTCTAGTTTAGTGAATTCCCTTTAGCCCTTTTTCAGGGTCAGCTTTCTAGTGCCAAATAGTCTTCGTTTTTCCTTCAACTGAGAAGGCCTTGATTTTCTCTTCATTCTTGAGCATATTTTCACCGGATATAAGATTCTGAGTTTAAAGTTCTTTTCTTTTGGCACTTGAAAAATGTATGCCTTTCTTTTTCTGATCTTTATGGTTTCTGAAGAGAAACTGGCTGGCATCAATCTGTTATCCCCCTATAGATAAGGTGTCATTCCTCTTTTGTTACTTTCAAGATTTCACTTTGTTTGGTTTTCAGCTTTCAGAAATTTGGCAATGATGTGTCTTGGTATAGATTTCTTTTGGTTTATGCTGTCTGGGATTCACTCCACTTCATTAACTTTAAATCTGCAGGTTTATATTTTTTGTGAACTTTGGAAAGTTTGTAACTTATTTCTTCAAGTATGTTCTTAGCTTCACCCTTTTTCTCCTGTTCTTCAAGACTGATGATACAAGTCTTAGAACTTTTCTTATAGTACTACAGGTCTGTAAGAATCTATTTTTTTTTAATTCCACAGTGTACATTTTCTCTGTTTTTCAGATTGTATACTTTTTATTCAAGCTCTAAGTTTATTGATGATTTCCTCTGTTGCTTTCTTCCTATTGCTGATCCCATCCATTGAGTTTAAATTTATCGTTGTACTTTATAGTCCTAAAATTTCAATTTGTTTCTTCATATCTTCTCCTTATTGACTGTGGTTTTATATTTTTTGCTGAGACTTTCTATATTCTCAATTATTCATATAATGTTTATAATTGCTCATTCAATGATAGTTATTAAGATTTTTATAATTCTGACAGTTTTGTCACCTTGCTCACTGTTGATGTCTATTTTTTTATTTGTTTGAACATCTTCCTGATTTTAGGTATGATGAGTAATTTTTTATTGGAATATGGACTTTTAAAATTAAATTATGAGACCAAATCTTATTTAAAATTTCTGTTTTAGCTGGCTTCCTTTCACATTTCTCTGACGGGACAACAGGGTAGAGATTTGTTATTCCCACTAGACATAGAAATCCACATTTCCCATTTGGTCTCCATTTACACTAATTGGGAAAATTATTACAGCTGAGAGGAGTGAAGGCGGGCATTCTGCCTCCCCACTACTAGGCATCCGCTGACAGCTCCCTGGATGGGAGAGTTAAGATTGCCTTGTTACTGCTCCTTATGTCGCCTCTGCTGATATTCCTGTGGTGCAGGGCAGGGTGACCTAGTTATCAGTGGGCAGGTGTGAAAGTACTGATTTTCCAAGAGGCTCCCTTTGATATCACCCAAGTGGGGACGAGGGAGAGTTCATTACCACCAAGTGGGAGTGGAAGCTCAGGCTTCCCATGTGGTCTCCTCTGACACCTCAGGGAAGAAGAGATTTGTTACCACCTGATGGAAATTAAAGCCCAAAATCCCCATTTAGTCTTATTTGACATCATTTCAGTGGGGGAGTTGGGTGTCTCTTTATGGCCAGGAAAGAGTGTAAGTGTAGACTCCCAACTAACCTCGCTATTATGGATGTGGTGGGGGTCCCCATAGTTTCTACTGTGGTTTTCGGGCAGAGTAGAAAATTTATTGTCTAAAGTTTTCCTTCTCGTTATGCTGGACCTTTCCAAATTTTTTGTCTACCGACAGCAGGACTTTGTTGGGGCTTATTTTTTTTTCCTCGCTCCCAATGAGATGTCCAGATTGCCAGTTTCTTGGGTTCCAAGTCTGGTGTATATATAAGTCCAAAAGAAAACACCTAAGCAGTGCACTCTGGTGTCATCTCTGGGTTCCTGTGGTCCCTAGCCTGTTTTCCCTCAACTTTTCAGGATTTTTTTTTGTTGTTTGTCCAAGGATTTTAATGGCCCTCTGTGGGAGATAGAGGGAAAATGTTTCAATTTCCTGGAAGCAGTTCAGTATACTTTTTAAATAATAAATTCATATTTTAAATATACTTTAAATACATATTTTTTACAAAATACATATTTTTTACAAAAAGTAACTATTCACTGCATTTTTTCCTTAAAAGGAATGATATCTCAAAGTGCCTTTTAAGTCTCATTTTGTCTCTTTTTGGCTTCTGTCAGCACTTAGAAGAAAAAACACACTATTGAAAATAGTGTGTTTTAAAAGAAAAAAAACAAAATTACATTTCTTGTTATTAAGTTCAAGAAGACTTCAGAAAAAATGTGACACATGAGCTAGGTCTCAGTGCAATCCCTATCAAAATACCAATGTCATTCTTCACAGAAATAGAAAAAAAAAATCCCTAAAATTTATATTGAACCATAAAAGATCCAGAAAAGCCAAAGCAATCCTGAGCAGGAAAAACAAACCTGGAGGCATCACATTACCTGACTTCCAATTACACTACAAAGCTATAGTAACCAAAATAGCATAGTACTAACATTAAAAATAGACACATATACCACTGGAACAGAGTAGAGAACACAAAAATAAATCCACCCATTTACAGTCAATCATTTTTTGACAAGGCATTTGGGGACAGGGTAATCTCTTCAATCAATGGTGCTGAGAAAACTGGATATCCGTAAGCAAAAGAATGAAATTAGACCCCTATCTCTTGCTGTATTAAAAAAAATCCAATAAAAATAGGTTAAAGGTTTAAATGTAGAATCTTAAACTATGAAACTACTGGAAGAGAATATTGCAGAAATGCTCCAGGATATTGTCTGCACAAAGGTTTCTTAAATAAGACCTCAAAAGGACAGGCAACCAAAGCAAAAATAGACAAATGAGATCATATCAAGCTTAAAAGCATTCACACAACAAAGAAAACAATTAACAAAGTAAGGAGACAACTTACAGAGTGTGAAAAAATATTTGCAAACTATCCAACTGACAAGGGATTAATAACCAGAACATATAAGGAGCTCAAACAACTCAATAGCAAAACCACAAATAATCCAACTTAAAAATGGGCAAAATATCTAAACAGACATTTCTCAGAAGAAGACATACACATGGCCAACGGGTATATGAGAAATGCTCAACATTACTAACCATCAGAGATATGCAAATCAAAACCACAATGAGATATTATCTCACCTCAGTTAAAATGGCTTGTATCAAAAAGTAAAAAAAAAAAATAATGAACACTAGCAAGAATGCAGAAGAAGGGGAAGGCTTATACACTGTTGGTGGGAATGTAAATTCATACAGCCACCATGGAGAACAGTATAGAGGTTCCTTTCTAGACATTAACAATAGAGCTATTATATGATCCAGCAATTCCACTGCTGGGTATATTCAAAAGGAAGGAAATCAATATATGAAAGCTGTATCTGCACTTCCTTGTTTATTGCAGCACTATTTATGATAGCTAAGACATGGAATCAACTTGCGTCCATCAATGGATGAATGGATAAAGAAAATGTGGTGCATATTCCACACACAATGGAATATTATTCAGCCATAAAAATGAATAAAATCCTGCCATTTGCAACAACGTGGATAGAATCAGAGGACATTAAGTGAAATAATCAAGGCACAGAAATAATAATATCACATATTCTTACTCATACGTGGGAGGTAAAAAAAAATGATTTTCATAGAGATAAATATTAGAATGATGTTTTCCAGAGGCTGGTAAGGGTAGTGGGAAGGAAGAGATAAAGAGGGGTTCATTAATGGGTGCAAAAATGCAGTTAGGAAAAATAAGATCTAGTGTTGAGAAGCATGATAGTGTGACTGCAGTTAACAATAATTGATTGTATATTGTATATTTCAAAATACCCAAAAGAGTGGAATTGGAATGTGCTTAACACAATGAAGTGATGAAGACTTGAGGTGATGGGTGTCCAAATTACTGATTTGATCATTATACATTGTATGCTTGTATTACAATATCATATGTATCCCATAAATATGTACAACTACTATGTATTTATAAAAGTTAAATATTTTTTGAAAATTTAAAGTTCAGTGACGTGAAGTCATTTCCAGTTGAAGAATATATATTAAAGGATTATATACAGAGGTATTTTTAGTGATGCTCAGTAAAGAGTGAATGCATTGACTTGATGAGAACCCAAGAAACGTGGATTGTTATGGTGATCTGAAACGTAAAACGGAAGCACATTATTATATTCTTTATGTGTTAGTTAAAGGGTGGGCTTATGGTACTTTATGTCTTTTAAAGTGAGTTTATGTCCCTATGATTTATGATATTTCATCTATATTGACATGTATTATACATTAAAAGAATGAGAAAATGGAGGCAGAGAGGGAAGTTAAAACAAAAAGATCCAATATAGAAATATGTATGATATTTCATAAACTCTAAAGAGGACTTGGGGTAAAAAGGGTCAAAATTAATAATAATAAAAGCACTAGGTCTGGGTGCAGTGTCTCATGCCTGTATGCCTGTAATCCCAGCACTTGGAAAGGCCAAGGCGGGCAGATCAGCTGAGGTCACAAGTTGGAGACCAGCCTGGCCAACATGGCAAAACCACGTTTCTACTAAAAATACAAAAATTAGCTAGATGTGGCGGCTGGTGCCTGAAATCCCAGCTACTCGGGAGGCTGAGGCAGGAGAATCGTTTGAACCCAGAAAATGGAGGTTGTAGTGAGCGCCACTACACTCTAGCCTGGGCAACAGAGAAGACTCCATCTCAAAAAAAAAAAAAAAAAAAAGAAAGAAAGAAAGAAAAAGAAAAAGAAAATGAAATAAAAGCACCAGTATATAAAAATAAACAAAACTGTCTTTATAGCTATATCTCAAATCTGTAACTTCTGCACTTACCTTTTTTTGGAACTCTATTCCTACATTTCTAAATGATGACTTAAAAATAGTACCTTATCTTTGCAAGCTTTTAAAAGTGTACTGTACTTCAAATTATTCATTCGTTAATTTATTATTTTATTCAATAAATAATTGGTAATTTACATTTCATAGATATTTTATTTTGTGGTAAGAAGACAAAGATAAGTAAGACACGGAACCTGCTCCTAATAATAGAGTCTAGGAGTGCATATATATATATATATATATATATATATATATATATATATATGTATGTATATGTATATGTATGTATTTATATATACAGATAATCAAACTAAAAAATATAAAACAGTGTAAGGGGATTTAAAAATCTTTATAGATTTATTGACATACTACTCTCACACTGTAATAAGTTCATAAATAATTTATAAATAGTAACTCCTCTGATGATTATTTTACAATGGTATCTAAGATTTTCATGTTCAGATTCTTTAATCTAAGTACATACTAACTTAAAATAGTAAAATCCACCTTAAAGGCTATGATTTCTATTTTATTATTTCAAGAGGTATTTCTTTTAGTAAAGATGTGTAATCATATAGTTACTTAATATTAGAATTGGAGAAGATTTTGAAGAAAAACAAAGTCCAGAGGACTAATCAGACCTGGCTTTTCTGAATCATAACACAACGTTCATCCCCTTAATAATGCATTAAACAAATGTTTAGTTAGTCTATAGGTATACCAATTTTATTTTGAATAAGGTAGGCTATAATACATTTCTGGATATCATGCCTTTGAAGTACCTCTGGTTACACTGTTGTGTGTTTTGCAGCCACACTGGGATAGGCAGAACTCTAAGACAAGGCTCAGGTTCCCTATCCCCTGATGTGCATGTCCTGTAAATTCCCATCCTTTTTAGTGTGGGCAGAACAGTGGTTATGATAAGATATCACCCCTCCTCCAGATTAAGTTACTGATCAATTTACTTTGAGTTCAGCAGAAAGGAATTTATACTGTGTGGGCCTGACCTGATCAGAACAACCCTTTAAAAGAAGATGAAGGAGCAAACAATGATCTGCTAGTCTCAAAGATGAGCTAAGCTCCCATGTTTTCAGAGGAAGAAGCCACATAGCAAGGACCTGAGGGAGGCCTCTGGGTGCTGAGAGCAATCCCTAGCTGATAGGTAGCAGGAAAACAGAAACCTCAGTCAGACAAGAGGAAAATGAATTCTGCCAGTAACTTGTGAGGTTGGAAGAAAGCCCTGAGCCTTAGATGAGATTGCAGTCCTGGCTGATACCTTAATTGCAGCCTGGTAAGATCCTGAACAGAGGAGTCAGCTAATGCATAATCTTCAAGTCACACATGATGATGGCAGGAGTGAGGTAAAAATAACTATTAAGATCTAGATGACAACGTCTTTGATAGAGGTAGGGGGATGTAAGCAAAAGGTTTGTAGAGGTCTGTAAATAGGGAGTATATGGGCTAAATTGGGTCTCCCCTACCCTCCTGAAAATTCATATGTTGATATCCTAACCTCCAGTACCTCCAAATGTGATTGCATTTGGAGATAGGGTCATTTAAGAGACAATTACATTCAAGCAAGGCAATTAGGGTAGGCCTTAACCCATATGACTAATGTCCTTATAAGAAGAGGACATTAGGACACAAACAGAGAGGACAGACCACAGAAAGACTCAAGGAGAAGATGGCTATCTGTAAGCCAAGGCGTGAGGTCTCAGAAGAAACCAACACTGCCAATACCTTAATCTGACTTCTAGCTTCCAAGATTGTGAGAAAATAAATTTCTGTAGTTTAAGCCACCCAGTCTGGTACTTGTCATGCCAGTCTTAAAATAATTAATACAGGGAGTAAGATACCTATTGATCAAATAAATATATTAGAATGCAAGTTTTGACCCTTAGTAGACCCTGGGTAAGTATGTCAATTCTGTTTGCCCGTGCTTGCCTGTAAGCAGAATCAGTTGAAGTGATAATCATGAAGTAAGAAGAGTGGCTTTGGTGGGTCCCAGTTTCCTCACTTCTCAATTGTTTTGGCTATTGCAGGTGAGTCTTATCTTTCTACTGACTTTGATGGGCCATTTATTTTAGTACATTGTGAATACAGGAGACCTTGCCCTGCTCCCCAGAGAGCATTATTATCCCATATCATCAAAATACTTAAGCAGAACTTAGATGATTGTATACAGAAGACAGAATAATTCTTTTAAAGTTAGATGTTTAAAATATACTACACATATTGTTTTGGGCTACCAAATAAAATTTAATGGCCTAAATTAGAGACATTATCATTTTAAAGTTTCTCACATGCTTACAAAAAATGCTTCCCAGTATCCAGTCTTTTAAATGCTTTTTCAGCCTGGCATCTGTGATCTGGGATGCAGGACTTGCATAACTCTAAAAGGAAAGATTAGTTCCTCCAAATATATCCTCTACGTCTTAGATATGTAAGCGTGGTTTGGTCCAAGATGGGAAGATGTTTTCCTGATTCATTTTGTTCCCTGTGGTTTGAAGCCAAAACAATGGCTCAATAGAAAAGAAACTAAAAGAAGGAAATTCATACTGGGAAAAAGTGTTGAGAAATGAAAAAATCACAATGAGCCTTAAGAAAAGATATGATAGGCCAGGCATGGTGGCTCACGCCTGTAATTCCAGCACTTTGGGAGGCCAAGGCGGGCAGATCACAAGGTCAGGAGATCGAGACCATCCTGGCTAACACAGTGAAACCCCGTCTCTACTAAAAAAAAAAAAAAAAAATACAAAAAATCAACTTGGCACGGTGATGGGCGCCTGTAGTCCCAGCTACTCGGGAGGCTGAGACAGGAGAATGACGTGAATCCAGAAGGCAGAGCTTGCAGTGAGCCGAGATCACGCCACTGCACTCCAGCCTTGGTGACAGAGTGAGACTCCGTGTCAAAAAAAAAACAAAACAAACAAAAAAGGAAAACATATGATTAGAATAAATTCTGACAGGACTAGAAGATTTTAAAAGCCTTTGTGTGTGTGTGTGTGTGTGTGTGTGTTATTTCACACATTTTTATGCTTATGTGTGCACGGGTCATAGTATTGAATATAGTTCTTATATTCAATGCCATAAGACATTTAATGTTAAAGCCTGTTTCATGTGGCAAGGGAAAGCAAATTTCTTCAATTAAAGGAAGCTCATTGTCAGGATGTGCAGTAGGACCTTAAATTGGAAAGTTTAGATTAAGGCAGATATAATCTATAATATATATATAACATATTATATATAATCAATAATATAAAATATATAATATATAGTCGATTCCAATGGTACACTCATAAAAATAGCAAAATTTTGACATAGATAACCAGAAACTAGTTATGTGACCTTAAACCCCATTACTGTTAGCAGCAATACAGAAAGGTTAAATGAGTAGGGAAGATTTTTATGTTGGAGCCACTACAATTTAACCCTCCCCTTTCCCCTAACATATCTGAAGACCTCTGTGATCGCAGAGTAGAGAGTTGCATCTTAATTTATAACTGCACTTTGATGACAGTCAAAAGTATATGAATTCTGGAGAAGTGGTATGGAAGCTGTGGCAGAAATTTTAGTTTGAGTCACTTTTTCTATGGGGTGACTCCTGGAAGCAGAGGTTGAGAAGGTATTGGTAGTAGCCAGTTTAAGATGTCCTGTCCACATGAAGAGATTTTCAATTAAAGAGAGTCAGTCAGAAAATCATGAGCAAATCCACGAAAGTTCCCCCATGTGAAAGTCAACTGTAAATATTTGTGAGGCCCAGAGAAAATAAAATGCCCTGCCCTGACATTGAAATCTCTGTTGCAACAATGGAGGGATCAGAAAAAAAAAAAGGATTTACAAGCTAGGCAAGGAGAAACAATGATAGGTACGTAAAGAAAGAAAGACATCAACATTTGCTGCACTGCAAGAAGCTAGTTCCAACCAGGTCTCAAATTGGGATGCAATTGAGGGAGTAGATTTAATTTCAAATCTAGTTGGAGTCCTGGTTATTACAGGTAACTAGACTTTTTCTTTTTCAATACTTCATTGAGACTACATTTGCAGTTTAAAGTGATTATAAGAATTTTTCTTATTTAAGAAGGATGAGAAAATTTACCGGACAGCCTGAGTTTGTATGCAGGGGCAGAGGAGTAGTTGCTCCCACCAAGCAGGGATGAAAACACAGTGGGACACAAAATAAAGTGACTTTTATGATTGGCTCTCCTTGAGTTCTGCTTGTTATCGTTACATAAGAGAATAAAGCAGAGCAGGGCACAGTCTTAGTGGCCATACACTCAGGCTTCACTGAAAATGGATTGTCCTGAGGGAACATAGCAGCTGATTTTCAGCGACGGGGAAGTCAGATCATCAGAAGGATGTGGCCACTGCTCACTGACACAGTGGCTGTGTCTGTACAGTTGCCGATGCTGAGCTTCCTCTCATATATATCAGAATGCAATATACTCCGATAATTAAAGAATATATATTACATGTATTTATAAAAGACCCAAAGCATATTATATTGATACAGTAATTATATATAATACATATAATTGTATGGAATTATAATATGTATCTATATACCTATATACATTTGTAAACTTAAAGAAATAGATTGATATAATATGTTATATAAACTGTAGGCACGTTTCACTCTACACTAGATTGCTAGAATAGGAAACAGTTTTGGAAGGCTAAAGTGTAAAATTTGACTACAGGCAGGGCAGTCGCAGTGGACACTATCCTTAGGTCAGGAATTTAAGCTTGTTTCTTGCCCTGTCTCTACAAGTCTAGTTCTCAATTTCTTCATCCAAAAAAAGAAAAAATATACAGGACTGGAGTCCACAGTCTCTCAGGCCCCCAACTGTTCTAACACTTAATCATTCTCATAGATCAAGTAAATGAAGCTTGTACCACACAAAACTGACAATCTGGTTTTAGGTTAATTTCACAGTTTGAAGTCTCCTTCCTCAGATTCCTATCTAGTGATCCTGCATGATAATGGATTAACCCAATAAAGCTCTGAAGGTTAAGGCTTATATAATACATATAAACCTGTTAAGGTAATATCTCTGGAAAAACTAAAAGTGTTTTCAAGGTTAAGGTATTTTATGATTCTTAACTCTTCTAAAATTTCATCTTGTATGTTCTTTCCTAGTCTGGCCATAACACAGATCTTTTAAATCAGCATGTCATGGCCTTATCTTGCCTGATGCGCAGGTAATTCCAGTTTGCAGGTGAAGACAGCTCACCTGCCTATAGCCATGAGTCTTATTTTCAAGCAGTGATTTCTTGGTTCTATAAAATACTTCTTTGGGTTCTATTTGTACTTGACAGCTTTGCTTCCTTGTGCCGTAGAACTATTAAAGTACTTTTTTTCTTTCCTGTCTTTAGCAAATGACCCAAGCAACAGAGCTGCCAGTCCATGCTGAAAGTTTATGGCACTGAAGCCTGATCCTGTCTGGCCTCCAGGATCTTGCAGGTAACCGTGGTATTAAGCACCCTTCCCACATTACTTTCAGAAACTGACAGCCAATAAGGAAAGGCTTGGGGAAGTATGCTGACATTTTGGAAATAACCAATTGAAGAGTCATGAAAGAGAGAATTTAAAAATAATTCACAGCACAACCTTCTTTGACAGACAACTTTGGGGAACTTTTCTTGCCAGATGCCAGGACAGAAGTTTGAGTTTGGTGTCTTCCACATTCCTCATAGGATCCAGTACTGAGAAAAAAACCAGATGTCCTAGAAGAGAGAGACGAAAGTGCTTGAAACAAGACATATGTAAATCAGTACTTGGAAAATAAACCCAGAATATGCTGCTCAGTGATACTCTTGGCAAACAGAGAGAAAAACAGAAGGACAAGTAGCAAACTAACTCTAAATCATTATACCAATGATGATTTAATTAGGTCAAGGGCATTTTTGCTTATTTCCAGCCTGGATTTTTTCTTATATAATTGGACTTCATAACTGATTTTCAGCTTAATGCATTTGCAAAAATGTACTTCATACTGCCTTCATTATTTTCTTGACACTTGAAAAATTAGAGGCATTGTATCATTTTAAATCAAAAGCACGTTTTACTCTTAGTCTATGCAGATTTCTCTTGTACATTCTGAACCTGTGTTATGTATAAAATTTTAGTCGACATCCATGAAAGATCCACACTCAATATATGCAATATAGGTCAGCATGGCTTATAAGCCCCTCAAGTTGCAGATCAGAAAATTGTACTCCTTGGGAGTACATCTGAAATGAATTTTGAAAGGTCTAGAGGTTTTGTTTGGCAAAGAATTGAGCAAGAAATCTCTTGGGCTTCCTTAGAGAAGTTTTCCTGAAAGAAATCTTTTGTATGTGTGTATATGACATTTAGAAATGAAAGTCAAACATTAAACCTTTGGTAAGGCCCACATTCTTCTTTTGCTGTATTAGTTCATATTCAGAACATCTGAAGAACAATGTGGGCATAAAGTATATTTTAGGAAAAGATGCAAACTAGGAGGATATTTTCTTAATATAATAAAATGATTTTTGGCAACATGATGGTCAAAGTTTTTATTTATTATTAACAAAAATAATAACTACTCTTTATACTCCAAGAGTTCTTTAATCTCCGTAACAAATCTGAGGTCCCTTTTTTATAGCTCTGAATCTGAGACATTAGCAACAACATCAGTATAAGTCCCTTTACTTTTATGGACAACCATATTAAACTGCTATTTTTATAAGTCAAAAATGACTAAGTATCACAATCTCATATGATTCAACCTAAATGATAAAGTGAGAATATCAACAATGAACACAATCATGGAATTTCCCTATGTTTATTTTTTTTACAGACTAAATCTATCATCATTTAACTGTTGTCTCATTAAGGTCACATATCACATTGAAACAGCAATTTTAATAATTTTTATAAAGAATAAATTACCTCTGTATTTCTATATTTCTTTCTTAGTTTAATTTTTCAATAATTTAAATACCACTTAGGTGTGGGAGACATCTTATGTGAAGATCTTATTATCTGATTATCTGAATAAATTATGATGTAGTGAATAGAAGTATAAATAGAGACAAGATACATAATTTTATTTCTACTAATAGACAGTAACCAGCCCATCACTTTCGCCTGTGCTTATTAGTGATTGTTAATATACAGTTACATTAAATATTTTTCAAGTTATAAGTAGAAACATATGCTGCACATTTGCATCCAACAAATATTTATACAGTGTCCCAAATAAAGAGTACATGATTATGCAGACTTAACTTCATATTGGAGTCACGATATGAATTTATTCATCAACTTAGGAAATAGGTATTGAAATTCCAGCTACTATGGTTGGAGAAACAAAACAAAAAAAGACTTAGTTTGCACCCTCAGGGAGCTAAAGGTAAACTTCCTAGTAGAGATTTAATTTTGTGAATTATCACATGACAGAAAATTTTGAACATTTAGAATTGTATAAATGTGAAATTAAATGCCTTTTGAGAGAGTGAGCTTTTTGCCTTTGATAATTTTCTTTCTTTCATTCATGTCATTCTTTCAACAAAATTCCAAATGAGTACCTGTAATTTGTTAGAGCACAATCTTAAATGCCAGTGAAATAACGAAAAATGCAAATTGAGGTGTATTTGTCCAGATGGGGCTCACTTTCTGGGAAAGGCAGTATAATGCTGCGGCAAGAATGACTTTGGAATCAAACAGATTTAAATTCGAATCCTGGTTCTTGCATATATTTCCCATGTGTACTTCTTGAGCCTTTATGTCCTTTCCAGTGAGACAGAAATACTACTTTATAGAGTTCGCAATTTTGAAAGAAAATTTGAATGCCTTGTTTCAACCAGTAAAACAAACAAACAAATAAACAGAATTGTATTGTGATGTCCAGAATATATTTTGTTGATAGGCTACCTACCCATAACAATACAAGTAACTCGGACTAGCTGCATGCACTCTCTCTTATCTTCAACTCTTCTCGCTGTATTCTGCTTAATCTCCTGTTTCTCATATGCACAAATTTGAATACATATATTATTCAAAATATTATTTTAAATGATGTAGTACAATTGACTAAATTTTCCCTTTTGCATTTTACTTTTTATATTTTTTTAATCTTCCCTTTTGCATCAATATAGATACATCCTCTCCGTGTTATGTATCAGGCAACCTGTATTTGATGATATCCTTTTGAATTAATGTATTCTAGATTATACATACTTAATATTGATGCTTCTTCTTCTGCTCTTTCTTGGCTATAAACCCTTTGGTGAACTGAATACAGCAACTGACAACAATTATAAATTTCAAATTAAATTTTTATGGAATCTTGTAATTATAAGGAAAATTAGGGGTCACTTTTACTATCATGTCTGTAAACATGCTTTTCTGCTTATCTGCACAAAATCCATATTTTAAAATACAGGTGCTAAAAGCATGAAATAATGAGATGGTGCATATAAACTACATAGCTATTCAAACAATAATTTGAATGGTGCATATAAACTACATAGCTATTCAAACAATAATTTGTTTAAAAACTACCAATAACTAAAGAACAAGACCAATGAAGAATTTACCATGTGCTCGGCAATGCACCTCTCCCGCTTTACATGTACTATCTTATTAATCAGCTTTTATTCCTTTTTTTCGATCATTGCAGCAATTACATGAGACAAGCCTCATTTAAAAACCCATTATAGAGATGAGGAAGCTGAAGCTAACAAAGGTTAAGATAATAGAACTAGGAAGCATTTTATGTAGGATACAATTAAATGCAGAATCCATCTTAAAAATAGTGCAATTTTTCTGCTTGGATCAGCTGCTTCTAGGCTTTTTGAAAAGCTTGATATCAATCTTCTGGCTTCAATTATTGAAAAACAAGACGCAGTCCTGAAGTTCTAAAGAAGTCTTGTCTGAATAGACATGCATTGTGTTTGAGGGTGCTCATGAAGGCTCAGAAAGTTTTTCACAGCCCCTATTCCATCTAAAGTTAGGACATTGGGGGACTTATTCAAAAACCTAAGTTTCATATATGAAATCTACAGCCCAGTGAGAGCATTCCTGCCCCCCACACCACAGCAACTCTTCGTGTGTCTTTACAGTATCTGGTGAGAATGTAAAATATTCTTGTATGAAGCTTTATGATAAAGCTCTCTGCAAGGCCTCTGAACTTAAACAAAATCTGGAAAAGCTTGTAGACAGTAAATCTTCATCATACATTTGGAAAGGGTAGGCTCTGTGGGAGAATGCTCTTCATAAAACAATAAAAACTTTTCCAGGAAAATAAAAACACATTCAGAAAATAGATATGTCACTTTCTAGCATTTTTTATAATACCAAAACTCTCCAAATAAAATCTTGCATACAATAGGACAATTATTAAAGCAGATTAAAGGAATTGGATCAAGTTGCAATCTATAACCATTATATTAATATCTTTCTAGTTCAAATGCTTTATAATGACAAAAATATGTGTGTATGTGCATGTATGTCTGTGTATTTATATACATACAGGCATGCCTCATTTTATTGCACTTTGCTTTATTGTGCTTCACAGATATTTTACTGTTTTAGAAATTGAGGGTATGTGGCAACCCGCCATCAAGTAAATCTATCAATGCCATTTTTCCAATGGCATGTGCTCTCTTCATGGCTTGGCATTACATTTCAGTAATTCTCAAAAGATTCCCAACTTTTTCATTATTATTATATCTGTTATGCTGATTGGTGGTCAGTAATCTTTGATGTTACTATTGTAACTGTTTTGGGGTGGCACAAACTGCATCCATATATGATGATGGACTTAATCAATAAATGTGTTTGTTCTACAGAGTGCTTCACCAACTGGCCATGCCTCATCTCTCTTCCTCTCCTCAGGCTTCCCTATATCCCAGGACACAACAATATTAAAATTAGGCCCAGTTAGTAACCTTACAATGGCCTCTAAGTGAAGTGAAAGGAAAAGCTGCAAGACTCACTTTAAATGAAAAGCTAGAAATGACTAAGCTTAGAGAGGAAGGCACGTTGAAAGCTGAGAAAGGCCAAAAGCTAGAACTCTTTCACCTTTTAGCCAAGTTGTAAATGCAAAGGAAAAACTCTTGAAGAAAATTAAATATGCTACTCCAGAAAACACATAATAATAAAGCAAAACAGCATTAATGTTGATATAGAGGAAATTATACTGGTCTGGATAGAAGAGCAAAGGAACCACAACATTTCATTAAGCCAAAGCCTAATCCAGAGCAAGGCCCAAAATTTCTTTAATTTTATGAAGGCTGAGAGAGCTGAGGAAGTTGCAGCAGAAAAGATTGAAGTGAACAGAGGTTAGTTTATGAAGGTTAAGGAAAGAAACCATCTCCGTAACATAGAAGTGCAAGGTAAAGCTGTAAGTTCTAACTAGAAGCTACAGCAAGTTTTTCAGATCTAGCTAAGACAATTTATGAACACTAAACAAAAGATTTTCAGTGTAGACAAAAGTCTTCTATTGGTAGAAGATGCCATCTAGAAACTTCACAGTTAGAAAGAAGGCAATACCTCGCTTCAAACTTCAAAGGATAGACTTACTCTCCTATTAGAGGCTAATAAGAACTGCAGCTGGTGACTTGAACTTGAGGTCAATGCTCATTTACCATTCTTCAGGTGGTAGCGCCCTTCAGAATTATGCTAAATCTACTCTGTACTCTATAAATGGAACTTAGCCTACATACACCTATATGTAGTATGGTTTACTGGATTTTTTAATTATACTTTAAGTTCTGGGGTACATGTGCAGAATGTGCAGGCTTGTTAATAGGTATACATGTGCCATGGTGGTTTGCTGCACCCATCAACCCGTCATCTACATTAGATATTTCTCCTAATGCTATCCTTCCCCTAGCCCCCCACTTCCAGACAGGCCCTGGTATGTGATGTTCCCCTCCCTGTGTCCATGTGTTCTCATTGTTCAATTCCCACTTATGAGTGAGAACCTGCAGTGTTTGGTGTTCTGTTCTTGTGTTAGTTTGCTGAGAATGATAGTTACCAGCTTCATTCATGTCCCTACAAAGGACATGAACTCATCCCTTTTTATGGCTCCATAGTATTCTATGGTGTATATGTGCCACATTTTCTTTATGCAGTCTATCATTGAGGGGAATTTGGGTTGGTTCCAAGTCATTGCTATTGTGAACAGTGCCGCAATAAACATACGTGTGCGTGTGTCTTTATAGTAGGATGATTTATAATCATTTGGGTATATACCCAGTAATGGGATTGCTGGGTCAAATGGTATTTTTGGTTCTAAATCCTTGAGGAATTGCCACACTGCCTTCCAGAATGGTTGAACTAATTTACACTCCTATCAACAGTGTAAAAGCATCCCTATTTCTCCACATCCTCTTCAGCATCTGTTGTTTCCTGACTTTTTAACGATTGCCATTCTAACTGGCATGAGATGGTATCTCACTGTGGTTTTGATTTGCATTTCTCTAATAACCAGTGATGATGAGCTTTTTTCATATATTTGTTGGCTGCATAAATGTCTTCTTTTCAGAAGTGTCTGTTCATATCTTTTGCCCACTTTTTGATGGGGTTGTTTGTTTTTTCTTCTACATTTGCTTAAGTTCTTTGTAGATTCTGGATATTAGCCCTTTGTCAGATGGATAGATTGCAAAAATGTTCTCCAATTCTGTAGGTTGCCTGTTCACTCTGATGATAGTTTATTTTGCTGTGCAGAAGCTCTTTAGTTTAATTAGATCCCATTTGTCAATTTTGGCTTTTGTTGCCATTGCTTTTGGTATTTTAGTCATGAAGTCTTTGCCCATGCCTATGCCCTGAATGGTATTGCCTAGGTTTCCTTCTAGGGCTTTTATGGTTTTAGGTCTTACATTTAAGTCTTTAATCCATCTTGAGTTAATTTTTGTATAAGGTGTAAGAAAGGGGTCCAGTTTCAGTTTTCTGCATATGACTAGCCAGTTTTCCTAACACAATTTATTAAATAGGGAATCCTTTCCCCATTGCTTGTTTTTGTCAGATTTGTCAAAGATCAGATGGTTGTAGATGTGTAGTGTTATTTCTGAGGCCTCTGTTCTGTTCCATTGGTCTATATCTCTGTTTTGGTACCAGTACCATGCTGTTTTGGTTACTGTAGCCTTGTGATATAGTTTGAAGTCAGGTAGCATGATGCCTCCAGCTTTGTTCTTTTTGCTTAGCATTGTCTTGGCTATTCAGGCTGTTTTTGGTTCCATATGAAATTTAAAGTAGTTTCTTTTAATTATCTGAAGAAAGTCAGTGGTAGCTTGATGAGGATAGCATTGAATCTATAAATTACTTTGGGCATTATGGCAATTTTCACAATATTCGTTCTTCCTAACCATAAGCATGAAATGTTTTTTGTGTCTTCTCGTATTTCCTTGAGCAGTGGTTTGTAGTTCTCCTTGAAGAGGTCCTTCACATCCCCTGTAAGTTGTATTCCTAGGTATTTTATTCTCTTTGTAGCAGTTGTGAATGGGAGTTCACTCATGATTTGGCTCTCTGTTTGTCTGTCATTGGTGAATAGGAATGCTTGTGATTTTTGCACACTGATTTTGTATCCTGAGACTTTGCTGAAGTTGCTTATCAGCTTCAGGAGATTTTGGGCTGAGATGATCGGGTTTTCTAAATATACAATGATGTCATCTGCAAACAGAGACAATTTGACTTCCTCTCTTCCTACTTGAATACCCTTTATTTCTTTCTCTAGCCTGGTTGCCCTGGCAGAATTTCCAATACTATGTTGAATAGGAGTGGTGAAAGAGGGCATCCTTGTCTTGTGCCGGTTTTCAAAGGGAATGCTTCCAGTTTTTGCCCATTCAGTATGATATTGGCTGTGGGTTTGTCAAAAATAGCTCTTATTATTTTGAGATATGTTCCATCAATACCTAGTTTACTGAGGGTTTTTAGCATGAAGGGGTATTGAATTTTGTCAAAGGCCTTTTCTGCATCTATTGAGATAATCATGTGGTGTTTGTCATTGGTTCTGTTTATGTGATGGATTACATTTATTGATTTGCGTATATTGAACCAGCGTTGTATCCCAGGGATGAAGCTGACTTGATCATGGTGGATAAGGTTTTTGATGTGCTGCTGGATTCGATTTGCCAGCATTTTATCGAGGATTTTCACATTGATGTTCATCAAGTATATTGGCCTGAAATTTTTTTTTGTTGTGTCTCTGCCAGGTTTTTGTGTTTGGTATCAAGATGACGCTGGCCTCATAAAATGAGTTAGGGAGAAGTCCCTCTATTTCTATCGTTTGGAACAGTTTCAGAAGGAATGGTACCAGCTCCTCTTTATACCTCTGGTAGAATTTGGCTGTGAATCAAACTGGTCCTGGACTTTTTTTGATTGGTAGGCTATTAATTACTGCCTCAATTTCAGAACTTGTTATTGGTCTATTCAGGGATTCGACTTCTTCCTGGTTTAGACTTGGGAGGGTGTATGTGTCAAGGAATTTATCCATTTCTTCTAGATTTTCTAGTTTATTTGTGTAGAGGTGTTTATAGTATTCTCTGATGGTAGTTTGTATTTCTGTGAGATCAGTGGTGACATTCCCTTTATCATTTTTTATTGCTTCTATTTGATTCTTCTCTCTTTTCTTCTTTATTAGTCTGGCTAGTGGTCTATCAATTTTGTTGATCTTTTCAAAAAACCAGTTCCTGGATTCATTGATTTTTTGAAGGGTTTTTTGTGTCTCTATCTCCTTTAGTTCTGCTCTGATCTCAGTTATTTCTTGTCTTCTGCTAGCTTTAAGCCCACTACTGAGACGTGATGCTCAGGAAAAAAAAAAAAAAGATTTATTTTAAAGTATTATTTCTCACTGACAGTGTACATGGTCACCCAAGAGCTCTCATGGAGATGTATGAAGAGATTAATGTTGTTTCCATGCCTGCCAACACAGCATCCATTTTATAGCCCATGTACCAAGGAGTAATTTCGGCTTTTAAGTCTTATTATTTAAGAAGTACATTTTGTAAGGTTATAGATGCCATAGATAGTGATTTCTTTGATGGGTTTGGGCAAATTAAATTGAAAAAGGGCCCCAGTTGGTAAGGTCTAAGTCTAGTATTGCTTTCAGGGAAGTCTTAAAACCTTACTTTTTCTTGTACAGACCTTGGAGTAAACACCGAGAGCTCTGAACTCATAATTAATCATTTTCTTCTCCACATTCCTCTGAAAAAAAAAAAAAAAACAACCACACCCATTTTTGATATAAATACCTGTATCTATCAGGGAATTAGATCCCCTGTATTATAGGAATCAGGTACTTATTACAGAATTAAACCTTACAGAAATTTAGGAGGAGCAGGGCAAATAATGGTCTGGAATAAGGATTAGAAGGAGAAGAGAAATAGTTGCTGATGCATCTTCCAGAAGCACTAGCATAGGTGGACAGATCAGAACTTTCAGGAGAAGCTAATAAGCCAAGAATAGCCTGCTACAACAGGTCATGAAGGACGAACACTGAAGAAGTCTATGATAATCTGTTATCTCTGGGTAGCCACCACCTCTGCGGGTCTGCGTTCAAGCATCTGGTAGCGTGTTTAGGGCTCCTATTAGCAGGGCTACCAGCCAAAAAACTAGCTGGACATAGTAGAAAGATGGGAATGACTGGGTTCCCGTGAGGTTGTCCAGCATCATATTTGACTACAGTGGACTTCTAAGAGTAAAGTTGTGGCTTCACCATTAACTTCCAAATGAAGTGGAAGTTCCTCTTTGACCAACTCTAACCAAAAAGTATGTACTAAAAAAATAATATCTTGGAAACTGTAGTGGCGGTCTTAATGAAATTAACATAGCAGAATCCAGCATACTTGCTTCAGGCCTAAAGCAATGCATTTATGATATATTTTCTCACTCCATTTCCTCTAAATCTAAATGTAACCTTTTGCTGGCTGTTTTTGTAAAACTTTTGATAACTTTAAATTTATAACTTATACTCCAATAAGAAATGAAAGAGTCAATCTCCTTCAAAATCTTCAAGAAAAATTTTTTATCCCATCTTATTGTTTTGATTGGTTTGCAAGTATATGTCTAAACCAGTCACCGTCTCTGGTGGAATGAAATATTTTGTTTGGCTTAGAGTAGTTAGTACCCACTGTTAAAACTGATGATGAGATGAATCCTAGTCAAATATCAGGACCACCTGTATGTGTATGCAGACAGCAGCATATTGTCAATGTAATGATGTCTTTCCAAAATTGGATAAGAACAGAAGAGAAATAGTACTGGCTCTCTTACACTAAATGAAGAAAAATTCTCAATGCTGATGAAAGATGTATCTTACAATCAAAGAGTGAATTTAGTAGCATGCAATATTAATGTAAACAAGCAAAGTATACATGGATATATCTTCATGAAATTTTTGGATTCCAAGCATAGAATTAAAACATTAAAAGCTTCCACAGAGCATAAAACAAATTGTCTAGTCAGAGAAGAGGATTAGGTTGTCATCAGAAGTCCAAATGACTACATTAAATGTTAAAAAAAATAGAAAACAATCTTTAAAATTTTAAGAATTTTAAACACACGATCCCAACTATCGTTCAAATATATAGAAAATATAAAGATATATTTGGATATGCAAGGGCTGACAAAAGTACCGTCCACCATTCCGTCCAAAATTAATTACTCCAGGATGTACTGCAGCAAAATAAAAAGGATTTAAACAGGAAGATATGGGATAAATAATAATGCTAAAAATCAGTTAAAATAGGTAATTATTGATACAAAATGTAAAGACTTTTTTAAAATTACTATCTATGTCCACAATCTCAGAGCCTGTGCTGGGCAAGATGCAAAGAAAGATGGTCTACTGTGGCAATCTTATTTGATTCAAAGTAAATGTGCTACTTGATAAAGTGTGACTTGATAAAGCAGCATAGCAGGGACATCTAGAGTAGGCATTGGCTGTTTTTCAGCTGCAACTTCTACAGATCCATCTATTTTCCCTGACCCACCCCCCCAAAAAAAATGACTAAAATGGAATCCTTTATTCTAGATGTATTATGTAGTGGCTAACCACTTTCTGATTAAAAGATTTTGCCAACTGTGAAGCCACAGAGTGGCTATGTATGAGACAGGGCTTTATTGTTTACTATTAATGCTTTATTCCTTCTTAATTCATTAGTAATTAGATGGCATTTTTCCAGGGAGTGAATGCTCCTTTGATTTCTTATCATTTAATACTGCTAAGATTTAGAGTGGAAGTAATTTGGATTGTTTTGTTCCAATAAAAGATTGGCCTTTTCCCCCTTTTTCTTGTTATTATTATCCAATAGAATGGGTTTATAATCAAGTGGGAAAATGTGGAATATGTACATAAAATAAGAAGTAAAAATAAGCAGATAGGAATGGAAATGGTTAAGAGAATGTTATAGAATATGCTACAGAGATGGGCACTTCCTAGTTGTAGTTTCAGCTCTTCTTTTATTCTCAATATTAACATTCATAATTTGTGAGACTCGGCATGTGTTGACTTTAAACGTGCAATCAGAACTGGGATGGAATAGATATTATACACTTCACTATTCTCCTGCCCCCTGTGAATACTTAAGACACTTTTCTTGCATCTGAAATGGACAGCATTGACTTATTTCTGTACTGGCAAGTTTCACATCTCCTGTATCTTTTGTCTTCATTAAGTCACAGTAACTTTCTAGTTGTCTCTAATAAAGCCTTTGCCTTAATATATTGTAGCTTCAATAAAAGTAGGAAAGTCTATGTCTAATTTAAAAACACATATTTTATGTTTATAGTTAATGTTCCCTGTGGCATATTTAACGAAACTAGCCAAGTAACCATATACTTGGAAAAAAAAAAAGAAAATGCACACAAGCAAAAATCCATTCATTCATATGATTTCTTCTATAAAAATCTTTCACATGAAGGGAGAAAGAAGAATAACAATTAAATAGCAGAAATCTCTAAATATTTACAGTTAAATCTGTATATCGGGGGATAGTATGTAGGTTATGTTCTTTATTCTATTGAAAGATTAGTACTTTGCCAACTATTTTTAATGATTTTTTTTGAAATGTGTCATTATTTATAGCTGATTCATTCCACTTTGAGTAAAGTATATCTCACCTGTTCTTTAGCTTAGGATGGCAGCATGTAGGTGGGATTATAAAAAATTCTGTATACAGAAATATATGCAGTGTCATGGTCTCCCCACTGTTTTGTACTTTTGATTATTAAAATTATGTTAAAAGAAAATTGTGTTATATCACAAGTAACTTGGCATAAAAATTAAATAGTGAGTTTTATTATTTTATACATAGCACACTACACATAAACTAATTTTAGGCCAGGCGCGGTGGCTCACGCCTGTAATCCCAGCACTTTGGGAGGCCGAGGCGGGCGGATCACAAGCTCAGGAGATCGAGACCATCCTGGGTAACATGGTGAAACCCCGTCACTACTAAAAATACAAAAAAAAATTAGCCGGGCGTGGTGGCGGGTGCCTGTAGTCCCAGCTACTCAGGAGGCTGAGGCAGGAGAATGGCGTGAAGTGGGGAGGCGGAGCTTGCAGTGAGCCGAGATCGCGCCACTGCATTCCAGCCTGGGCGACAGAGCGAGACTCCGTCTCAAAAAAAAACAAACAACAACAACAACAACAAAAAACTAATTTTAATAAACAATCATAGTTTCTACTTTATAAATCAGAAATATTTTATGAAGTAGCATATTAAGGAATTTGGTGAACTCCTCAAAAACAAATGCCAAACTTAAAATTGAGGAGAGAGAGAAATTGAAACCTGCATCTCCATGAGGAACAGCAAACACTAGTGGAGACCTGGGAAGGTATCCCTGGGAATCTCAGAAGCACAAAGCAGCTACCTAGTGCCTTTCACACTAAGACAATTTCCTAAAGAAATGTATTTATACAGTTTTGGTGTTTCTCTGTCTCAGTTATCTATCACTGTGAAACAACTCAAAACTTGGTGACTTCAGGCAATGATGATTTATTATTTCTCATAAGTCTGCGGGTTGGGTGGGTGCTTAGCTGGTTGGTTCTTCTGATGACCTCCTCTGGAGCATTTCTTCATCTAAAGACATTCAGAAGGTTGGCAAGGGCTGAAGGATCTGAGACAGCCTTATTCAGATATGCAGGGCCTTGCTGCTATTTGGCTAGCCCCTCTTTCTCTCTCTCCACATGGAATCTCATCACAGGGGGGCCCAGTCCAGCCACTGCAAATGGAGCATTCTAATAGGGCAAAGGAAGAAGCTCGGGAGCTTTTTGAGGCCTAGAATTTTGAATTCATACAACGTCGCCTGCCACATTTTCTTACTCAAAACAAGATGCAAGTTCAGTCCGGATTCAAGGTACGGTAAAGTAAATTCCCTCTCTTGATGGAAGGAGCTACAAAATATCATGTGTTTCAAGTCAATTCCTTTCTCTCTCCCTTTGTCTCTGTCTCTCTCTCTCTGTTTTAGTTTTCTTTGCATGTTATCATAAAGAAGGCTGACTTTTGTCTAATGCAGGAGTCAGGAAACTTTGTGTACAAGTTTAGATAGTAAATATTTGACATTTTAAGAAATTTTAAGTTCTCTATCACAACTACTCACCTCTACAGTTGTAGCATGAAAGTGGCCATAGATAATTCATAATATAATTCATTGGCTATATTACAATAAAACTCTGTTTACAAAAATACTGGCTAGACTTGGTTCATTGGTCATTTGCTGAACACTGGCGTTACAGGTTGAATTATATCCCCCTGCCAAAAAGAGGTTTTAAACTTGGGTACTTCACAATGTGACCTTTCTTTGAAAATAAGGTGGTGGTAAATATAATTAGCTAAAATAAGATCATACTGAAATAGGGAAGGTTCCTAATCTAGTATGACAGGTGTCATTATAAGAGCAGAAATTGGAATGATTGCAGCTGCAGGACAAAAATTGCCAAAGTTTGCTAGCAAACCAGCAGAAACTGAGACGAATTATGAAAGGACTTTCCTACAGATATTGGTGTGGTCTTGTTGATACTTGGACTTACAGATGTCTAGCCTCCAGAAGTGTGACACAACAAATTTCTGTTGTTTTAAGCCACTCAGTGTGTGGTACTTTGTTACCATTGGCCGAGGAAACCAATACACCTGACGTTATGTGTAATGCTGATAAATTCCACATGTTATTCTTTTCTTATATTTTCTCTATTTTATTTTCTGATTGCATTTGAATCCTAGGCAATATCCACCTTCCTGCAAATAGAGTGAACCAAAAGCTTTGAACTTTGCATCTGACCTTTGCTTGTTAATGGTAGCCAGTCTGATCAGATTATTTCTACTAAGGGATTCATAAGTGGTGTTTAATAGGATATTTTGCCTTTCTTACCTAACATTTGTATTTCAATAGAACCCTGAATGCATTTATTTAAGACAATATTCCTCAAGTTATTTGAAATTTAGCAGTAGTTTTCTGTTTTTCATCCAGAACAAAATTTTCTCTGGAAATTCAACACATAAAAAGTAGTCCCGGCATGGATGAAGCTGATATGGGAAGCCTGAAGCTTTTCCTCTTCATTTTCTTCCTGATTTGTGTCTCCTCATCTCTTAAGACTCACTGATGAATTCCAGCACCTTATAGAAAAGAGATGAAAACTGGTATTGTAAAGGAGTACTATTGTTGAGACTTCTGGCAATGAAGACAGGAATTAGGGAGAATAAAGACAATTTCAGGTGGCTAGATCTCATTAGATGCATGGTTATCAAACGCAAGCATAAGATAACAAAGATAAGAAAGATAAGAAATTTTGATGGTTTAACTGAATATCCGATTGAATAAGAATAGAGGTTTATTTCATAATAAACTAGATGTCATATATATCCATCCTTTTCTCTAACGAGAGATGCTAATTTCAACAATGGCTGTTAAAGTGCCAAGAGGCAGAATTGGGAAGGGTTCTCCGGGCAGTGGGCATGTTGCTGGAAGCAGCTGCATAGCAATGTACATGGTTGAAAACACAATTCATTGTCTCAAAGGCTGGCAATATGATCCCTTGGAATGTGCTCACTTGCTAATCTTTTAAAGTGTATGTGTGTGTGTGTCTGTGCATTTGTGTGTCATGCTATTTTTAATCAAGATTCTAGACAATGCCATACAGAGCCATTACTATTATGCACTCAGTATAAATTTATTCTGCTTAATTATATGAGAATAAGTTTAGCCAGATAAGCTAATATTAATTATATCACATATTGTTGTCTAAAAATAAAGAGAATTTTAAAGAAATACAAATGAATTTATATGATCACCATTGTTATTTGTCCCGAGCAAGAAGAGAAGAAATGTGGGTAATTTCAAAACAGACTGATACTTTAAAAAAATTACTTCATATTTACTTTTAGATTGAGATACTGGTTTATTTCACGGACAACATTGCTTTCACATAGTTGAGTTACTCTCTAACTACCAACCTCACTATGATTTCTTTTTTCTTACTTTGCTAGCTTATTTATATCTCACTTTCCAGGCTTTCTCCTTCTTCTGCAATGTTTCGTTTTGCACATTTATTTACCACTCTTTTATTGAGCAGGAACTTAAGAAACCATGAAAAGAGATGTTAGTAAGAGATGAGTTAGGGATGGACCATGCATGCAAACATACAAACACCTGTAACATGTCTTCTAAGGTATATTAATTGGCTGAAATCAACTCTATTTTAAGCAGGATAATCAAGGAAGAGGGTAAGTGAAGAAGGGGGTTGTAGATTAATCCAATCCTTCTTATAACAAAAGAAGTCAAATTCTATAAATTGAATCATATTAAAATCATTATATAAGCATCAAATAAAAGCACAAAAATGCTTTTATAAATGCTTTTTGTTTAGGAATACAAAAGTAATGTAAGTTGATCTCTGCTATAATAGTCTGATTTTGCTATTTCTTTTTCTTTTCTTTTTTTTTTTTTTTTTTTTTTTTTGAGACGGAGTTTCATTCTGTCACCCAGGCTGGAATGTAATGGCATGGTCTTGGATCACTGCAACCTCCTCCTCCCGGGTTCAAGCAATTTTCCTGCCTCAGCCTCCTGAGTAGCTGGGATTACAGGCATGTGCCACCATGCCCGGCTGATTTTGTATTTTTAGTAGAGATAAGATTTCACCACGTTGGTCAGGCTGGTCTCGAACTCCTGACCTCAGATGATCCACCCACCTCGACTTCCCAAAGTGCTGGGATTACAGGCGTGAGCCAACATACCCGGCCACTATTTCTTAAGTGAGTTCTTTTTTCTTAGAAAAATTAGAAAAATCCCACAAAATTCTGTACTAGCTGCTAGCTCATTGCCCTCAAAGTTGTAAGCATTTCTGGCCCTCCACCTAGTAAGCCCACCACGCTCTTAAGATTCACTGTGCCTAATCGGAGTGTGAGAGGTAGTTGGGAAAATGAATCATCTATAAATTTTATCACTCTACCCAAATTATAGTCTGCCCATTCCTCGGTGTACACTTAGCTCCCTACAAGGCAACCATTTGTATTTGTCTACAGCCAAAGATTTTTTAGTGAGAGCTGACTGCTCCAGATTTAGTAGACTTTGACAGAAAGGCTTAATACTGAAGTGGTCTATCCATAGCCCTCTTTTTTCTCCTTTTCCTGTTTCTGCTAATAAAACAACTTGGAGCAGCTAGAGAAAATATTTCTCTTATTTTCTGACTGCCCTTGTAACATTTCGACTGCCCTCCTACTGCATAGGAATAAGGTTACTACTGTCCAGGACTCTGAGAAAATTAACATATAGATTTCTAGAAATCCAGGACTTGGGATAACTAAGGTATGATTTTTTTTTCTATAGTAATTATCATAGCACAGTATTATTATTGAATATCGAGGTTCTGGAGTCCATACTCAATGTTTCTGATATCTTTTAAAAGTCTTCTGATGCGACTCTCCCTTCTAATAATATGATAAATGAAACCCCCTACTCTTTCCCTCTGTCAATTCGGGCAATTGACGGATGGCTGTAAGTACTCAGTTTTATTTACGACTGAAGAAAGAAATCCCATATTGATAGGAACAATCTGGCCTCTTTTGTTCCTATACTTTCAACAACATTATAAATATTTAAAGTTGAACTTTTATAAAATCTTCATAATGTATATCATTAGTGTTATTATTCACAAATCTTATAGCATTCTCTATTATATAATGCTCAATAAAATGGAAATATTATACTTGCATTGTTAAATGGCAACTAGACATTTCTGAAAGGTTGTAAACTCATTTAACTTGTTTGTCTTCATTTATTCAAAGTATGAACATGTGTATTACTTTTTGAAATTAAGAATAACATATTCTCTGGAACACACAAAATCCAAATCAAGTTGAAGTTGACTTTTCCTCCTTTTTGCGAATTAACAGCTGTAAAGAAGACCATCATCGAAACTAATTTGGAGTAATGCAGCTCTTTGATGCCGTAAATGCATGAAATACATCAAAGAAAGCTAATTGAATTTTTAAAGACTACTTGCAATGCTCAGATCAGGTATTTTTATATCAAATATACAGGAAGCATTTAATTAGGATGAGACATAACAATACAAATCTCACAGATTTAAAGGGCATACCTTCTTCTACAGATGAGAGAAAATGATTTTAAACACAATTAGTTAATTAGAATGTATACAAATCCTATCAAAAGGAATACTAAAAACTTTCAAAGTTAAGATACTCCTGGAACTCAAGGAAATAGAAGCACTAGAGAATAAATGCTTAATACAGATTATTGTAGCATGAGTATTATTCTCCAGTGTGTGCTGGCAATACTCTTTTATCTTCTTAAACTTCCCTAAGTGACTTCCCTTTCTAGAAGTAATGCACTCTTGATATCCTATATAGCTGTCCCATTGAACATAAACAGCAAAACTAAATTAAAAACAAACAAACAAAAAACCTTGTACTAAGTCCTCTAAAATAAATACTCTGAAGCTATAAAGTGAAGAAGTGGCACTTTAGATTTTCTAGTGTATGTGCATAGAGGTGTTTATAGTATTCTCCGATGGTTGTTTGTATTTCTGTGGGGTCAGTGGTGATATCCCCTTTATCATTTTTTGTTGTGTGTATTTGATTCTTCTCTCTTCTCTTCTTTGTTAGTCTAGCTAGCAGTCTATCTATTTTATTAATGTTTTCAAAAAAGCAGCTCCTGTATTCATTGATATTTTGGAGAATTTTTTTCTCTCTCTCCTTCAGTTTTATCCTGAGCTTGGTTATTTCTTGTCTTCTGCTAGCTTTGAGGTTTGTTTGCTCTTGGTTCTCCAGTTCTTTTAGTTGTGATGTTAGGGTGTCAATTTGAGATCTTTCTAGCTTTTCAATGTTGGCATTTAGGGCTATAAATTTCCCTCTTAACACTGTTTTACCTGTGTCCCAGAGACTCTGGTATGTTATCTCTTTGTTCTCATTGGTTGTAAAAACTTCTTGATTTCTGCCTTAATTTCATTATTTACCCAGGAGTCATTCAGGAGATGGTTGTTCAATTTCCAAGTAGTTGTGTGGTTTTTGAGTGAGTTTTTAAATCTTGAGTTCTAATTTGATTCCTCTGTGGGCTGAGAGACTATTTGTTATGGCTTCAGTTCTTTTGCATTTGCTGAGAAGTGATTTACTTCCAATTATG
Organism: Homo sapiens; assembly: GCF_000001405.40. NCBI lineage: Eukaryota > Metazoa > Chordata > Mammalia > Primates > Hominidae > Homo > Homo sapiens. The sequence goes on from NC_000003.12 coordinate 175,883,238, forward strand.
TGATCAATTTTAGAGTAAGTACCATGTGGCACCAAGAAGAATGTATATTCTGTTGTTTTGGGGTGGAGAGTTCTATAGATATCTATCAGGTCTACTTGGTCCAGAGCTGAGATCAAATCCCGAATATCTTTGTAATTTTCTGTCTTGATGATCTACCTAATATTGACAGTGGGGTGTTTCCTACTAATATTGTGTGGGAGTTTAAGTCTCTTTGGAGGTGTCCAAGAACTTGTTTTATGAATGTGGGTGCTCCTCTTCTTTGTCTTTTTTGATCTTTGTTGGTTTAAAGTCTGTTTTGTCAGCAACTAGGCTTGTAGCTCCTGCTTTTTTCTGTTTTCCATTTGCTTGGTAAATTTTCCTTCTTCCTTTTATTTTTGAGTCTATGTGTGTCTTTGCATGTGAGATAGGTCTCTTGTATACAGCACACTGATGGATCTTGACTCTATCCAGCTTGCCATTCTGTGTCTTTTAATTCGCACATTTAGCCCATTTACATTTAAGGTTAACATTGTTATGTGTGAATTTGATACTGTCATCATGATGCTGCCTGGTTATTTTGTAGAGTTCTTTTTGTAGTTGCTTCATAGTGTCATTGGTCTGTGTACTTCAGTGTGTTTTTGTAGTGACTGGTAACAATTTTTCCTTTCCATATTTAGTGCTTCCTTCAGGAGTCTTACAAGGCAGGCCTGGTAGTGATGAATTTCCTCAGCATTTTCTCTGAATAAGAATTTATTTCTCCTTAGCTTATGAAGCTTAGTTTGGCCAGGTATGAAATTCTAGGTTGGAAAGTTTTTGCTTTAAGAATGTTGAATATTGGCCCCCTATCTCCTCTGGCCTGTAGGGTTTTTGCTGAGAGGTCTGCTGTTAGTCTGATGGGCTTCCCTTTATGGGTAATCTGGCCTTTCTTTCTGGCCGCCCTCAACATTTTTTCCTTTATTTTGACCTTGGAGAATCTGATGTTTATGTGTCTTGAGGTTGATCATCTCATGGAGTATCTTACTGAGGTTCTCTGGATGCCCAAAATTTGAATGTTGGCCTGTCTTGCGAGGTTGGATAAGTTCTCCTGGATAATATCCTGACGTGTGTTTTCCAGCTTGGTTTCATTCTCCCTGTCTCTTTCAGGTGCTCCAATCAGTCATAGGTTCAGTCTTTTTACATAATCCCATAGTTCTCGGAGGTTTTGTTTGCTACTTTTCATTATTTTATCTCTAGTCTTGTCTGCCTGCCTTATTTCAGCAAGATAGTCTTGAGGCCCTGATATCTTTTCTTCTGCTTGGTCTATTCAGTTATTGATATTTGTGTTTGCATCATGAAGTTCTCATGTTGTGTTTTTCAACTCCATCAGGTCATTTATATTCATCTCTAAACTAGTTATCCTGGTTAACAGCTCCTGTAATGTTTTATCATGGTTCTTAGCTTCTTTGCAATGAGTTAGAAAATAATCCTTTAGCTCAGCAACATTCATTACTACCCGTCTTCCGAAGCCTACCTCCCTCAATTCATCCATCTCAGCCTCAGCCCAGTTCTGTGCCCTTGCTGGAGATGTGTTGCAATCATTTGGAGGAGAAGAGGTACTCTGGCTTTTTGAGTTTTCAGCATTTTTTAGTTGATTCTTTCTCATCATCATCGGTTTATCTACCATTGATCTTTGAGGCTGCTCGCTTTTGGATGTGGTTTTTGTGGGGTCTTCTTCGTTGATGTTGTTGTTTTTGTTGCTTTCTGTTCGTTTTTCTCTTAACAGTCAGGCCCCTCTTCCATAGGGCTGCTGCAATTTGCTAGGGGTCCACTCCAGACCCTATTCTCCTGGGTCCTTCCTGCCCCTGGAAGTGCCACCAATGGAGGCTGCAGAACACCAGCGATGGTAGCCTGCTCCTTTCTGTGGGAGTGGGAGCTCTATCCCAAAGGGGCACTGACCTGATGCCAGCGGGAGTGCTCCTGTATGAGGTCTCTGGAGACCCCTGTTGGGAGGTCTCACCGAGTCAGGAGGTGCAGGATCAGGTACCCATTTAAATAAGCAGTCTGGCTACCCCTTTGCAGAGCAGGTGTTCTGTGCCGGGGGAATCCTCTTCATCTGGGCTGCCCTGACTCTCCAGAGACAGCAGGCCGAAAAGACTAAGACTGCTGATACATGATACCATAGCTGCCCCTCCTCCCAGGGGCTCCTCTCAGGGATAACAGAGTTCTGTCCATAAGCCCCTGGCTGGGGATGCTGAAATTCCCGCAGGAAGTTCCTGTTCAGTGAGGCCCCCACTTAAAGAAGCATTCTGGACATGAACTGTCCCAGCTGTGGTGCCGTGCAGTCTCGCTGGCACCGGCAGCATGGGAAAATGGCCAGCTGGTGCCACAGTGATGGCAGCCGCTCCTCCTCTGCCGGAACTCAGTCTTCTTAGGCAGTCTCCAGCCTGCTGCTCTGGCCAGTGGGGATTCCAAGCCAGTGGGTTTTTGCTTATGGGGTTCCATGGGAGTGGGACTCGCTTAACGAGACTGCATGGCTCCCTGGATTCAGCCCCTCTCCCAAAGGAATGGATGGCTCTCCTGCCTCACCGGAGTTCCCAGAGCCAGAGTATGCAAAAACTCCTCTGTCTCAATACTTGCTCCAGCAGTCGCCCATCCAAGGAGCCGCCTTGAGTCTGCACAGCCCTGTGCCTGGGACCCAAAGTGCTGGTTGCGTGGGCTTATGAAGGGATCTCCTGATCTGCTTGTTGCAAGGATCCATGGGAAGAGTGAGGTTTTCAGGGATGGGTGGCACAATCCCTCATCGCCTCTCTTGGCTTGGGGAGAGAGCTTCCTCCGCCCCACGCAGCTCCTCGGTGATCCCTCCCTCTACCTTGCTTTTTCTCACTCTCCATGTGTCACAGCAACCATCTAGTCAGTCCCAGTGAGAAAACATGTGTTCCTGAATTGAAAATGCAGAATTCACCCACCGATTTCATTCTTCTTGGTGAGAGCTACAGGGTGCAGCTGTTTCTATTCGGCCATCTAAGCTGCTCCCTCCAGTTTTCTCTTTTAAACCAGATTTTCATACAGCATTAATAAGAGTCAAAAGATTTTTGTTCACCTTTTGATTAAATACAAACCCCCCCGCCCACATTTCTTTGTCAGATATGTCTTTAACCATGGCCATTTTAAGTCTTGTCCACAATTAATTGCTTTATTCTCATGCTTCTTCTAAAAAATCTTTGCAAGCAATTTTAATTATAAAATGTTATGTCTTCAGAAAAGTTAATCCGTTTATGCCTAGTGTTCCTTTATTGGAACACTAAACATGTGGGAGTTATTTATATCCTACTGCTCAAGGTCATCACCAAGGTCTGATTGCAAAAATTTAAAAACATTGCAACCTCAAGAATTAATGAGTTTTAATGGAAAGGATGAAAAGGACCCTTACATGAACTCTTTTGAATCAGGGTTCTAATAAGTTTAGGATAATATCATTTGGATTGGGTAAGAATCCTCAGAACTCTATGAAGAGACTGACTGACTTATAAAACTGCTAATCCAAACAGGATAACAATTATTTTAAAAACTAAGAAAATACTTTGGCAGATTTTAATCCTAAGTCAACCAATACTGAAATTGCTAAGATATGCAATTTGAATGAACTCCATGATCCAAGTCAAATTGCCTATAATAAGCCATTTACTAAGCAGTGCTATGCACCTGAATTGGAGACACAAAATTGGTATTGAAGATTATATAAATCCAATGTTAAGCATGGATTCATGGACAGCCTGTACAGCCACTTAGTCCTTCTTCAGTCCTGAAAGTTTTCATTATTAAAATCTATGCATTCCACGACTCATCATAAAACAGATAAAATGATCCAAACTATGAAAAAAATATTGGTGTGGTCACTGTTTTAAGTTGCTAAAATGGTTTATGACCAATGTTTGGGTTGTCAAACCCTTATTCCTGAAAACATAAACAAAACTTTAGGTACATTTCTGCTACCTGCTCATCCATTTGAATATTTATAAAGGAATCTCAGTAAATTTTTATTTTCAGTGCATGTTTTCTGGTTGTATAGAAGCTTTCCCATGCAGAAAGTCTGATGTTATAACAATAGCTACAAGATTCTTAGGAAATGCTTATTTTATGGGATATTCCTGGAGAAATCTCCAGTGATTGAGGTACTTGTTTCAATATACAAGTTGTAAGACATTTAAATAAAGTATTATGGATATGATAGCACTAAGTAAGGCTAGCTGAATTGACTGGATTGCCTTGGTCAAACATACTGAAGATTGATGACAATAAGATCCACATCCAGTAGAAAAAACACAAGTTGACGCTTTGTTAGTCACTGAAACAATAGAATGTTTTCTATCTTTCTCTGCTAAACTCTGAAAAGACTAAATCCTGCAAGGGTTTAATGCATTATGCCAAAGTGTATTTTCACAGGTAAAGGAAACTTTTCATGATCTAGTGATTGAGGACAATCAAACTCTTTACAATTTAGTTTGGTCTTCTGGAAACTACACCAGAGAAGGCTTGCCCTTGTCACCCATAATGCAGTAATAATTTGGGATCTAGAATCTTAGTTTCTAATTTCACAACTTAGAAAGGCCCCTCTAGACCCTTGGAACTGTACCCCCTGTTGGAGACCTTAAGGTAAAGCTAATTAGGGAAGCTTCTTCCCATAAGCAGATGATATCCTAGACATGGATAGTTCTCCCAAGATTATAGATCATGACTTCTCTGCCATCATGAAACTCTTACTTTTCTATTTTTTTCCTTTTGCTTATGATTCTATGAACAATATAACAAGAGAATGGGATTTGTGTGCACCCGTGAGGTATACTTTCATTTTTGAAGAATTTTGATCCAACATTATGCATGGACAGCCTTATGCCTCGATGGATGGAAAATGAAAGGCCAATGTGAACTAGGAATTTTGTTGCTCCATAATCATCGAAGAACAGAACATTGGTCCACTTCTCTTAACCTACATCATAGGTTAAAGAGAACATCACCAAGAAGACATCTCCTTTCTAGATGGGCATCATTTATCAAGTCCCTTTTTCCATGCCTTGGAATACATATAAATGAGGCAATAATTAGAAATTTCTCTCTCATAATAGACTATATGAGAGATCCTACTGCAATGACTATGACTGCACAACAGACTTCTTTAAATTATTTTGCTAATGTTGTGTTAGATAATAGAATTGTTCTAGATTACCTACTGGCTGAACAGAGAGGAATCTATGCAGTTGCTGAAACTTCTTTTTGCATATGGATGACATATCAGGTTACAGAGACTCAGTTACAGGGGATTAACCAATAAGCAGTTTGGTTAAAACAGATAGACTCCTCATCTGACTCATTATTTGATCTATTTGATTTTGGTTGGTTTCGTTCATGGGGACCCTGGCTAGGGAAAATACTTCAAACTCTTGGTAGTATCTTCCTTATAACCATAATAGAAGTCTCCCTGGTGCCCTGTATTATCTCAAAAGTTTTAAACATTTGCAGGCAGCCATCCATAGAATGTCAAATGGTTGCATTGACTGGAATGACAAAAACTCAAATAAATGTATGATCAAGAGGACACAATAACCTATGAATGACATGTTGAGACCAGAAACTCAAAATGATGGTAACTGAGAGTAATGCCAAAGCCCTAAGTTTTGTTCACATTCTCACCTATATGACAAGCTCACCAGTAGGAGGAAATTGATAACCAAAATCATGGGAGGCCATTATTGTAGACTGAGCTCTTGTTCTAGGCCCAAGCAGACCACAGCAAACTGACATAGAGTCACTCTGAACCTATTCTAGGTCTGTGGGCTGTCTGATTCACAAATCATTTTTTGCTTAATTAAACTCCATTAAATTACATTCAGCTAAAGTTTTTCTTTTAACAAAGAAATGAGAAGTACAATTACATAATAAAAAAGTTTCAGATCATTATGAATATTTAACTACCTAATCTAAGTGAACTTTATAATGTAGTCTGAGTAGAAAAACTTTAACAAGACAATAAGCAAAAAAAAATTGAGAAATCTCTCATCAAGTAACAGATTTTATTTAATATATATACATAAGCACGAATATACAAATATATGAATATATATGATCATATATAACAATTATTGCATGTATTACATATACAACTATATGTATATAATTTAAAATAATTTTCATTAAATTTTCAGAATTGGTATCACTGAAATATTCTTTGATCAGAGTGCAATTAGTTTATAAATGAATAATATAAACAAAAAGAGAAAAGACATTCACTCAGCTGAAACAAAAGGCCTTTAGACAATTTATGAGTCAAAGAAGAAATCATAATCAAAATTTAAAATGCATTTACAGCTGGACCATAAAAGTATTATTATACTGCAAAGTGCCTGCTTCAAGTCTTCAGTCATTGTTTTTCCAGTTGTATTTCATACAATAGTCAGTCATTTCTTTCAGGCTGCAATAATTTCAGCATATTTTCCTAATCTCTACATGTCCTTTGTTTTTGCTACCATTTTTTCAAATACACTTTCAGTGGCCATTAAAAATAATTTACACACTCCACATAGACAACAAACAGACACAAACACAGACATAGACAAAGTGCACATTAGTAAAGAAGTATTTTATATTTCACATTGTATATATTATATATTATGGATTGTATTATAAATTTTGTATTATATATAATTCTATATTATAAAGTATACAATACATATTTCACACACAATATTATATATCATATAGTCTATTTTCTATATTATATATGTATCATAAGTTATATTGTTTTTCCTAGAGAATGTCGAGACAAATAGCATTTTTAATAATAAAAACTGGGGTGTGACATTGAAGAACTCACCTCAGTTATTACAGTAGTAATCACGTGTCCGGTACTTGTCTGTAATTATGGCAATCGTCTCTCTCTCACACTCTCTGTTCCTATCATCCCTAAAATATTTGAGGTTGCTTATAAAAATAAGTGCAACATTAAAACATAAACTAAACAAAGGATTTGAGTAAAGGATGGAACATAGCTAAGCCAACGATGAACTGAATGTGCAGAAATGTTTTTATAATGCTTAACACATGGCTAGAGTTTGACCAGACAGTTGTATTTTTGCTTACCCAAAGCACAGAATCTGCAGAAGCTCAGATTTTCCCTGATTTGGAGAATAGAGAAAAATATCTAAAAATCTTATTGAAATATACTCAAAATATATTAAATTATATTCTTTTTTTTTTTTTTTTTTTTTGAGACAGAATCTCACTCTGTCACTCAGGCTAGAGTTTCATGGGGCGATCTCGGCTCACTGCAACTCTGCCTCTCTGGTTCAAGTGATTCTTGTGCTTCAGCCTCCCGAGTAGCTGGGACCACAGAAGTGCACCACCATGCCTGGCTAATTTTTGTATTTTTAGTAGAGATGGGGTTTCATCATGTTGGCCAGGCTGGTCTCAAATTACTGGCCTCAAGTGTACTGCCCGCCTCGGCCTCCCAAAGTGCTGGGACTACAGGGGTGAGCCACCATGCCTGGCCCTTTTTTCTCAATTCTTAATATGACATCACTCAATTGCTTTTTGCTTCTGGGCAGAGGATAAGCTGTAAGAGTGGCTCTCATAGATTTGCAGATATCCCTAATAGTAATATCCCAAAGCTCCTATGGCTGTGATATGGAAAGAGAGAAATGATCTACTTTCTCCTGGGTGCTCTGGAGGGCACTGGTCTACACGGTATGGAATGGTGGAGCAAAATGTTATTTATATAAATATTTTAAAAATATAACTGTAGATAAATGTTTAACTTTATTAATATTTAGAGTAAGGATAGTCAGAGGCACCTCCACACTAATCATAGTTCAGATGGTCACATGTAAAGGTATTTTGAGGGAAGAGCATATGTACTTTATATGGACAGAACTCACAGTGCTGCATTCACATATTATCCACTTTTAGCAAATAGTGAAATGACACATTTTTACATGGATGATGCTGTTTACATGGATTTATAAACTATATACTTTTAATTGAAACCAGCTAGGTATATCTTACTGCATTTTAAGACAGTCCCATCGTGAACATTTGGGAAAATATTATATATCATAACCTAGTACATAATGTTCAAAAATGGTTACAGAAGTAGCTTAATATGTTGGGGATAAACATAAAAAAAGCAAATATAATGATTACATATCTAGATTGTGAAACCTCAGATATCATTAAATGTATGCTATTATTGATGAAACATACCATGAATGAAGCTAGTTCCAGTTGCTGGAAGGTTGCTATAATGTCCGAGTGTTCACTTTCCTCATTGCTCAAAAGGATTCATTCTACGAATACAGTGGATCCCTTAAAAAGAACAACTTGGCCGGGCACGGTGGCTCACGCCTGTAATCCCAGCACTTTGGGAGGCAGAGGCGGGCGGGTCACGAGGTCAGGAGATCGAGACCATCCTGGCTAACACGGTGAAACCACGTCTCTACTGAAAATACAAAAAATTAGCCAGGCGTGGTGGCGGGCGTCTGTAGTCCCAGATACTCGGGAGGCTGAGGAAGGAGAACGGAGCGAACTCAGGAGGCCGAGCTTGCAGTGAGTCCAGATCGCGCCACTGCACTCCAGCCTGGGCGACAGAGCAAGACTCCGCCTCAAAACAAAAACAAAAACAAAAACAAACAAACAAAAAAAAACTCGCTGTGTTTTCATGGTGCCACCTCTACTTTCAGTTTGACTCACCACTCCACATTTTCTTCTGCCTCAGTTTTTTTTTCCCCCTGCAGTGGGGTTCCACCTTGAATGACAGCCTTTGTTATATGTAATACGTCCTGCTTCTGTGCATGTAGACACTGCCATAATGAAAATTGACAAAATCACTTAACCAGTAAAATAACCATACAACTAAAATAGTGAAAGGTTTACATCTTATGAAGATAGTTGGTATGACAACAGAAACTCCCAGATGGATCCTCTAGCAAATTGGAGAAAAGCCAGATGATTTCCTAGATTAAATTAATTTACAGCTTTCTGTAATACACTGTTATCAAATTCTGCAATTGATTTTAACAGCTTCCATGGTAAATTTAATTAATTATCTAATATCTATTCCTGTCTCCAATAAATGCAGACCTGCATGTCTGTCTTGCTCATTATCAGATTGATGTGGATATAGAATAGGTACTTTGTTAAATTATTGTTGGTCGAATATATTAATCACTTAATATTGTTATCCTCTAGAAATGCCTTCAATCTGACAGTGTTCTTTAGAATTTTGATTTCTAGTGTTTAATATAATAGTTCAGATATTTATGGAGTATATAGAGGTTAGTAATATACCCTAACTTGAACTTACAATCTACTGAAGCCAATAATTTTTTTGTTTTTTTCTCACAAACTGTTGAGTTATATTTTTCTCCTTAGACTCATGTATTTTTTGAAATATAAATTATTACCATTATTATTATATTTTAAATATTATAATATTTGATCCATTTGGAGCCCAATACTATCATTCAAAATATAAACTGTCTTTCTCAGCTTTGTGATACCTGAAACGCCCATTATCAAAGTCAACATCTAAATCTAAAATACGTGTTGAACAGGTCAGAACTGAGGGCAAATTCTACAATATGCAGAAAAAGTCACTTTCCAGTTAGCCATCTGTTCCTTTCTTAATACTACCTGAACACAAGCATTGGGCTGCTGCAAATTTGCCTAGTGGCATACTCATTCAATGTACATTTACCCATGTTATCTATAAGCATTTCATGAGATTACTTGATAACTATGTTTCTAGATTCTAGATTTGGAATCTTAAACACTAGTTACTGAAGTTAGGTAGGAGAGTGAAGCCTGATTAGATTATCGAGAAATTTTAAACAAATAACTTGAAAAATTACTGATGACAGTGGTATAAAGACAATCATCTTGTATCAGATCAGTGATCATGAGATGGGATAGCATTTCCTATTAAGCCATTAACTCTCTTGTCCTGTCTAAAACCTGAATAGTATAATAAATATTTCTCTGCTTATGTCTGATTAGCACCTCATACACATATTTTTTCAACAAACATTTTCTCTGTATATCTCCCTATATAATACTGTAAAAAAATTATTTCATAAAAAGGAACTGTTTTTGGTTGACTAATCAATAGACAGAATTACATTTTCTTTACACTATCAAATGTACTCTATGTAAACCTTGCCATATTGAAGAAAATACTTTTTAAATGGTTGACTAATCAATAGACAGAATTACATTTTCTTGACACTATTAAATGCACTCTATGTAAACCTTGCCATATTAAAGAAAATACTTTTTAAAAGTCTGAGGTGCCCAGACCAGAGCCCCTGACCTGCCAGCCTGTGGGCCAGAATCAGCATGCCTACGATAAGCAAAAGGGCCATTGGTAATGAGAATGTCCTACTTGTCCCTGGTGAGAGACAAAGAGAAGTAAAAGCTCACTATCAATTCTAGAGATAACCTTCTTCCATTAGCCCCAATGAGTTGCCTTAGCCAATTAAGTTTACTGGGAGTCTCAGACCCTTGACCCAGCAGACAGCTTCCTGCAGTGGCAGAGAGGCAGCTGCCTGAACATTTTTCTTTGGCGTCTCGACTTCTGGATGAGCTCTCTGGTGGCTCACGGACTCCAGAGTTTCCCCTTGGGCAATGCAATTCACCTCTTCCTTATTTGATGTTATGGAATTCCTTCCCTGCCTCTTCCTGTTTTCTATACCTGTTGGGGCAAACAAAATTTGGCCACGTACTTGGGAGCCAATTTTGAATTGGTTAATTCAATTGAATTAATTGAATTGAATTGAATTAATGAATTGAATTGAATTGTACTGTATAGGTGATTTGATGTATTAAAACACATTAATTACTTAATATGTTTAGGCATATATACAGGTATTGTGATATGTGTTGTGTCTAACAGGCTGTCAAATTGGCTTGTAAATAAAAGAGTAATCATAAATTAAATAAGACTAGTCAAAGCTTATCAGTTTGAAGTGAATGTAATGTCTTCTAAAATTTAACTTTAAGATTTTTATCTGGGTAAATCATTTTAAAATGGTTAAAATGGCTTTAAATGATGACTAGCTTTGCATGGTATCTTGGTACTTGGAGGTGGTTCACTGTTAAAAGTGGAAGAGTTAAATACATGTGAATGGAATAGATGCTTAAATAGTGAACTTATTGTGTTTAAATCTTAAAATGGTAGAATGTTTTTTTGTCTACAGAATGCCAATGTCTGGCAGGCAGTTCAGGACTTTTTTCTTCTTATGCTTATATAAAATGTACCAAAGAAATGTAGTCTTTATTGGGAAAAACACTTTTGTCTAATTTGGAAATTATTAAAAGAGAGGTTCAAAGTATGAGGGAACCCATAAGTAGAAAAGAGAGATGTAAAGAATGTTATGAATAGAAAATGTATTTTTCTGTTTTACAAGGAAGAAATAAAGAAACAGTAATTTGGCCGGGCGCAGTGGCTCACGCCTGTAATCCCAGCACTTTGGGAGGCCGAGGTGGACGGATCACAAGGTCATAAGATCGAGACCACCCTGGCTAACATGGTGAAACCCCGTCTCTACTAAAAATACAAAAAAAATTAGCCTGGTGTGATGGCGGGCGTCTGTAGTCCCAGCTACTCGGGAGGCTGAGGCAGGAGAATGGCGTGAACTAGGGAGGCGGAGCTTGCAGTGAGCCGAGATCGCACCACTGCGCTCCAGCCTGGGGGACAGAGCGAGACTCCGTCTCAAAAACAAACAAACAAACAAAAAAACCCCCAGTAATTTTATATGAGGAGATATCTTGTATAATAAATTCTTGTCCTACAGTTAAATGACTGGTTATTTAAGAAAGATAGTATAGGACAACTCAGAAAGTTCAAGCATGTTGGAGGTGGTCTGCCTAGTCTGGGAAGGTGAGAGTACTGCCCCTTTCCAGAAAACAAAGACCGTTCAACCATCCTCATTGGAACAGGGGAAAAATATCTCTATAGACCCAATAAGGCAACAAAGATAAACTTCATACCCTGTAGGCTCTCTTTGTGTGTTCCAGCTGGGCTCATTTTTGTTCGTGGCCATAAGTAGGAAAAACTCACATCCTGTAACCACTCCCAACTTCCTAGAGACTCATGTGTTCTTTTAAGAGTAGCTTTCCCTTATAAATGAAAAACTTAGACCTGAGGTGAATGTACCTTGGCCACCCTTGTCCCTCAGGGGTCACTGTCTATAACCCCATAAGACTCAAGAATAACAGAAGTAAGTGAGCAGATTAATTCTGGCAGGAATCAGGGAAGTGATAAGACTAGTAGCACCCTGGGATGGCTTTGCTCATCACTGGTCAACCCTAAAGAATTTGACTCAAACCCTAGAATCTTTAGCCATCAACACAGCTCAGACAGTAAAGGAATTCAAGAGTCCCCAGATTCTTTGGCAAATGTAGTTCTCAATAACAGACTAGTGTTGGGTCATCTACTAGCTGAACAAGGTGGAGTCTGTGAAGTTATTAATAAAACCTGCTGCACATGTATTAACAACTCTGGACAAGTTGAGATTAACATTCAAAAGCTCTCTGAGCAAGCTACATGGCTACATAGATATAACCAGGGCACTGACCCCAACTATGTCTGGTCAACTATGAAAAATACCTTTCCAAGTCTCACCTGCTTTTTTTACCTACCTCTTTTGGGACCTTTGATAGTTGCCTTGTTGTTACTAATTTTTGGCCCTTGCTTGTTTAAACAGTAAAGTTTGTGTCTTCTAGATTACAACAGCTCCGGGTAAATACAATGCTGGCACAGTGCTTCCAACCCATCCCACCTGCTGACCTGGAGAATAAAAGCCTCCTGTCTGTGGGCCTCTCAGATGAGGTATCTAAAGATTTTTACTCTTTTGGTGCTAGGAAGGGCCTATGCTCATAAACTCAGCAGGAAGCAGTTACAGAAGAGGGACTTCTGTCTTTCTGCAACCCTGTAAGATTAAGGAGGAGTTTCTAATCTCTGAGTGTGGAGTGAGCTAGGAGGTGGGCCTTGACTCTGGTGGTGGGGCTTGGACACTGGACCAAATTGAGGACTAGCTAAAACAGATCCAGGGCAGAAGTCGCTTTTCATAATACATGCCCACCAGTGTGCAATGTTAGTTTACCATTGCCCTGGCAACAAGGAAGTTACTGCTCCTTTCCATGGCAATAACCTGACAACCTGGAAGCTACCACCCTCATCGTAGAAATTTCTGTATAAATTGCCCCTTAATTTGCATATAATTTAAAGTGGGCCTAAAAATGACTGCAGAACTGCCTCTGAACTGCTATTCTGGGCACGCTATCTATGGGGTGGCCCTGCTCCACAAGGAGCAGTACCTAGATGCTGTACACTGCCACTTCAATAAAAGTTGCTATTTAACACCACCAGCTTGCCCTTGAATTATTTCCTGGGCAAAGCCAAGAACCCGAACAGGCTAAGCCCCAGTTTCAGAACGTATCTGCCCTGCATCATTATTGCATTATCATGTCTCCTTTATGGGATAGTTAACAGCATTTTTCAGCTAGTTTCAGCAACCCACAAAACCAGATTGCCAGCAGTATGAGCCTCTGCCACAGGGAAAGATATTGCTGGAACAAATATGGGTGGTTGAATGCTATTTTCAAAACTGGCATTTTTGACACACATACAATTTCAGTTTCTGTACTGCCCCATTCTTCAATCTCATTTTAGAGCTTGATGCTACTTTGGTTTCAGTTAAAGAAAGTACATCATTCATAAAATCTGTAATTTGCTGGACAAATTGTTATGTTATATTGTGGTGAATGAATAAAGCTTAGGTAAATGTATCTCTGGCATACGTCTGGTCTCATTTAAACAGAAAGTGATAAATGCAATAAAGTCATTATCATTTTCAAGTTCAGGAGCTCTTAAGGCTGAAGTCTATTTACACACTAGTTCACTTGGTAGTATGTTTGTCTTCTGCTACATGTATATTCAGTATCAGAAAATGCCAGAAACCCATACGATATATACCAAATAATGAAAATAATAAAAGTAACAGACAATAAGACTCTTAGTTTGCAGTGATGAAGGGGGAAATGGCAATCAAGGTAGATTAATGAGATGAATGATAATTCTCATATGGAAAAGAATGAATTTTCATTTCCAGCAAGTGAAGAGGATATGCCTACTGAGAACATAAATAAGAAAAATCAGCTGTTGAAAATAGAATGTGAGGAATATTTGTTCTTATCCGATAATGAATTAGATTTTAGTGATGAGAATAATAATGATTCTATTACTGATGCAAAAGAAAACCAAAAGTAGACTTGAAGATAGGACCATCAAATGGCTTCTTTGTGAAAAATGGAATCTATAGATTCTTAAGGAGAAAAATAGGAAAATCTAAGGATAAAAGGGATAAATGAAACATATAACAATGTCATGAGAAAAAGATTTTTTTTACTTTTATTATTATTGGCATCAGTTATAGAACTAGTATGATTGAGAAATTCATTTATAATTTTAGCTCAAATCTGTACTACTAATCTCAAGTACACACTATAATAATAAATCATGAAAGTTTCAGAAAAAAGCTTGTTAAATGAAACAACTACTAATATTTTATTCTTCAATGCATCTACTAATCTTTTTGAAAAATTTGTTGGATATATGTCTAATTTACCTAAACTGAGATTTCTTAAATCTAAGAAAGTGTTCTAAGTTAGCATACTTGTAAAAGTGAACACATTATTTAAAAAGAAGGCACATATTCAAGAATATAAGGTATTTATAAATATGAATATAAATAAATGACATTTATAAATATTTCTCAACTGTGTGTAGAAATAGAAAAGTGAGAATAATTTTCCTTCTCTTCTGGAGGTAGATAGGAGGAAGGATTTGATTCATATGCACTGAAATTGTATAGTGTTATTGTTACTTGACACTTTATTTATGAAAGACATCTAGTGAAAAAATTCTGAGAAAATAAATTAAACATTTTTCTAAATTTTAAGAAGGTGGATATCCAGAAGCTCAGCAGAAAGGTAGCTAAGTTTTCAAAGCTGATGTAATATTCATGATGCTGAAGAGTATGGGAAGATTAAAACTAGTCTTGGTAAGGCTGAGTTTTGAGGTCTGGAGCAGCTTTCAGTTCCAGGACACATTTCAGCCTATGTTTAGTTTAGAACAAAAATTTTTTAAAAATTCTTTAAATTTTTGAGGAAAGATGAGGATTTGGCATGGTATTTGGGGAGTGTGGCCCAACCAGCTCTCCTGCTCCCTTACTCGAAGTGCAAAGTTAACACATAAATCCTCACATGGAAGAAGAATTCTGGCCAGGCATGGTGGTTCATGCCTGTAATCCCAGCAGTTTGGGAGGCTGAGGCGGGAGGATCACAAGGTCAGGAGAGTGAGCCATCTTGGCCAACATGGTGAAACCCTGTCTCTACTAAAAATACAAAAATTACCTGGGCGTGGTGGTGCGTGCCTGTAATCCCGGCTAATCGGGAGGCTGAGGCAGGAGAATCGCTTGAACCAGGGAGTCAGAGGTTGCATTGGAGGAAATAAACAAACTTACCCACACGACAGAATAGAAAATCCACTGTAGCTACCAATATTAATCAGCTTAGATCTTTCTTTTAAAAAAATGCAGGGCCAAAGCTTTGCTAATTGAAGAAAACCCACAGTACATATGAGAAGGATCATAATAACCAAAAGATCAAACACAGGAAAGAAAGAAGTCACTGATTAAAGGAAATTTAAAAGAAAATATCTAAATTTCTGCTCTTAGCAAGATAATACTTTTAGAAATTAAAATATTGATGAATTAAAAAATAAAAAAGAGGGCTACAAGATCCAATGAGAAAACTTGTCAGATTATAGATTAAAGAGAAAAGAAACTGAAACTAAAATAAGTGAAAGTTTAGATGCATAGAGGATAAATTCAGAAGATTCAATATCTTCTCAAAGAGTGTGAAAAGATAACAATAAGTAAAATCGAGATTTAACAATAATCTAATCTTTCCTGAAAGAAAATATTTTAGGGCTGAGCAAAAAGACTAGTATTCAAATTTCATGGGTGCTCAAACTCTAAATAGAGTTCATTTATACATTTATTCAACAAAATTTGTGTATGTCAACCACGTCATGCTCTTCTAAGAGCTGAGGATATAACTATACATAAAACAGATCCTTACCTAATGAAAGTCCTTTTGAAAGTTAAGAACAACAAAGGAAAAAAAGGAAAAAACCCTTAAAGCATCTTATGGAGAAAAAGCAAGCTACCCATAAACATACAAACATCAAGCATTCGTACTGGCATTAGCTTTCTCATCAGCACACTGGATGTCAGAAAGAGTGCAGTGAAGATTTTAGAGTTCCGAGGCCAGAGGAGATTCTGCAGATCCAGACACAGAGATGCCAGAAGCCATAGCTGAAAGTAAGGACTCGTGTTACCTATCTACGGATAAAACTGAAGCAAGTAAAAGCCAAGCATTTGTCACACTGGTTTGGAGGATTCTGCCAAGATGTGCATGAGCTTCTCTTGGGCTAAGTGCATAAAGACCCTCACTATGCTTCCCTTCAAAATGTGCTAACAAGTAAGCCTTTCAAAACACATGAAAGCTTTTCATCAATATATTGGAGGTAATGAGAATCTTTAGTATGAGATTCAAGATGTGTATCAGTCTGTTCTCACACTGCTAATAAAGACATATCTGAGACTGGGTAATTTATAAAGGAAAGAGGTTTAATTGACTCACAGTTCCACATGGTTAGAGAAGTCTCACAATCATGGCAGCAGGCAAGAGAGCTTATGCAGGGGAACTCCCATTTATAAAACCATCAGATCACGTGAGATTTATTCACTATCATGAGGACAGTATGGGGGAACCTGCCCCCATGATTCAATTATCTCTACCTGACCCTGCCCTTGACATGTGGACACTATTACAATTCAAGGTCAGATTTGACTGGGGACACAGAGCCAAACCATATCAAGCTTCTTCAAGATTTGGCATCTATTTATCATTTCAACTGATACGTTTTTAAAACAATATTTTATCTTCCAAACTGCCTCATTCTCTGTCTACTCAATGTCCTTGTGCATATTGTCCCTTTTCTTTTCTACCCCTAGAACACTTCTTATCATTAACCTGCATTTAAAATGTCATTGTTCCTGAGAAGATTCCTGCAATAGTGCTGGTTTTGGTCAGGTGCCCCCCTTCACGCTTCCAGGACACCTGGTGCAAATTTCTCTTTCAGGATGGGAAACATTACTTTTGGTCATTTGACGGCAAGCATGTACCTTGTACATTTCTACAATTATAGTAACTAGAAAAGTTCTTGAACCTTGGATGTTCTAAATAAATGCTTAGTAATTGAAAGAAAAAGGAAGTGGCTGGCCTTTTTGGGCTGAGGGATAATTAAGAAAATGTAATACAAACCGCAATGGCTTTGAAATTTGAGGTAGACCATAGTCTATGATATTCAAAAGAGGTTTTAAACTTGAAGAGTACAAAAATAAAAACAGATCTTTAAAAATAATGATTGAATCCACATCACATAACATTTAACTTTAGCATAAAAGTATATGCCTACTGATAAATCCTGTTCTTTGGATTCAGATACCAACTTCAAGTTTTGCCTCAACCAGGAACTATAGAGAACACCGAACCGGTCTTTCTGTTCTGATCTGATATGGATTCGCCTTTCAGGCTTGATTGATCTTGTACTATGTGAACTGCATTGCTATTGTTCCACCAGATAAGCTTTGGTAGTTTCAAGGCTCTTATTTTTATTTGGAGACCATTATCCTCCTTTAAAAATGTGGTTGCTTGAAGTTTGCTTTAATTACCTTAGCCTAACATTGATTTTTACAAAGGTTAGAATCTTCCACAATGCAAATTTTTGAGCTACTAGGCTCAATGAAGCAATTTGCATGTGGGCTTAATGTAGCAATTTGCATCTCTGTGTTTTCTGTGTTTTGTTAAGGATCTTTCCTGCATAGGAGAGGCATTTGGTCCAGGTCTAAAATTCACAGGCCTCAAATTTTGATTTTACCTTTGATACAAACCTTCTAGTGGATAACAAAATTTCATTGCATTTTGCTTCGTTTGTGTGTATTATATGCACGATTATGAAAATGTTAACATTTAAAATATCCCATGAATTTTAGATCTCTGTTTTATTATTTTAGACCTCTATTATTTAGACCTCTTGTTTATTATTTATTTTTAAGCTATCAGAAAACCCTGAAGATTAGGCAGGTTTTCTCAATTGCAGAGAGGCCCTCTGGCCCTTCAGTTGTACTTTCTCCCCTCAGCTATGAGATCTGCTATGTTGAAAAAATAAAATAAAATGTTGTGTTCTACCCATTTAAATGGAAAATATGACTTCCTATTTGGATTCAACTTTCCTAAAAAAGCTTTACCATTAGACAGTGTGGGCTTTTTATAGTTTGGCAGTGGTGAATTTTATCAATTTGGACTTTAATAAGGAGCTAACTTTCTAAATTAGTGAAAGTTATGAAAAACTTACAAATGAAATTTAAAACCGTGATTTGGAATATTTGATGGGGCATATTGAGATGCAGAAAAACTAGAGGTATTCAAAGTATATTCCAAGTTCTAGAATGCATTAAGAGGTAGGAGAAGCAAACAAAGCAGTAATTTATTAGAACTAGCATGGGTTCACCAAGAACAATTTGTGTGAGGCTCTCATTTTTTAGTATCTCAAACTCTGTGCCTTTTCAAATAAATCACAAATATCTTGAAAATTTATCACTCAACTTATAGCTCTTCAAGACTGTAGATGCTAGTTTACATATTGTTGAACTTCAATAAAGAAATAATTGAGTTTTGAAAAAATATAGTAGATAAATCATACCATATTTAGTCACATAAATCATCATGACATGTAAAATAATATTCTGGACAAGATAAACATATTTTATCAACTTACATGATGATGACTTAGAGATTTTTCTTACTAGGGTGTTTAATTTGAATTGACAAAGTTGTTTCAAGGGACAGAGGATGTGCTGGGAGATAGAATTGCCCAGGCCATCCCCAAGTTCAATGATTTGCTAGAAGAACTCACAAGACTCAGCATATAGTTGTACTCATGGCTATTATTTATTACAGCAAAATGATACAAAGCAAAATCAGCCAATGGAAAGTGTACATAGAATGAATCTGGATGAAATCAGGCTGGGATTCAAAAAGTCCTCTTCCAGTAAAGTCACAGGGGACATGCTTAATTTCCCCAGCAATTAATGTGACAACATGCATGAAATATTGTCTACTGGAGAATCTCATTAGAAGAGGCCAACTGAATTTGTACTGGAGACTGGCCACATAAGCATCTTTGACTTAGTATGTACCAAAACTCCAGGTTTTCAGAAGAAACGCACAAGATCTGAACAAATCCTATTGTTTGTACAAACAGTTTAGGTACAGTGAGCTACTACAGAATTCTGAGAATGGTGGGAATACTCACAAAATCCAGATGACAGCCAAGAGCTTACCACATAATCAGGGCATTCTAAAAATAGTATTTTCATGCCTGCTATATTCACCTTTTTCTTCACAAAAATAAATAGCAAACGGGAGGAGGTTCTAAGATGGCCAAATAGGAGCAGCTCCAGTCTACAGCTCCCAGCGTGAGTGATGCAGAAGACGGGCGATTTCTGCGTTTCCAACTGAGCCTCCACTGGTGATACCCAGGCAAACAGGGTCTGGAGTGGACCTCCGGCAAACTCCAACAGACCTGCAGCTGAGGGTCCTGACTGTTAGAAGGAAAACTAACAACAGAAAGGACATCCACACCAAAACCCTATCTGTACGTCACCATCATCAAAGACCAAAGGTAGATAAAACCACAAAGATGGGGAGAAACCAGAGGAGAAAAACTGAAAATTCTTAAAGTCAGAGCACCTCTTCTCCTCCAAAGGAATGCAGTTCCTCACCAGCAATGGAACCAAGCTGGACAGAGAATGACTTTGACAAGTTGAGAAAAGAAGGCTTCAGACGATCAGTAATAACAAACTTCTCTGAGCTAAAGGAGGATGTTCGAACCCATTGCAAAGAAGCTAAAAGCCTTGAAAAAAGATTAGAGGATTGGCTAACTAGAATTAACAGCATAGAGAAAACCTTAAGTTACCTGACGGAGCTGAAAACCATGGCACGAGAACTACGTGACGAATGCACAAGCTTCAGTAGCCGATTTGATCAAGTGGAAGAAAGGATATCAGGGATTGAAGATCAAATGAATGAAATGAAGCGAGAAGAGAAGTTTAGAGAAAAAAGAGTAAAAAGAAATGAACAAAGTCTCCAAGAAATATGGGACTATGTGAAAAGACCAAATCTATGTCTGATTGGTGTACCTGAAAGTGATGGGGAGAATGGAACCGAGTTGGAAAACACTCTTCAGGATATTATCCAGGAGAACTTCCCCAACCTAGGAAGGCAGGCCAACATTCAAATTCAGGAAATACAGAGAACATCACAAAGATACTCCTCAAAAAGAGCAACTCCAAGACATGTAATTGTCAGATTCACCAAAGTTGAAATGAAGGAAAAAATGTTAAGGGCAGCCAGAGAGAAAGGTTGGGTTACCCACAAAGGGAAGCCCATCAGACTAACAGTGGATCTCTCGGCAGAAACTCTACAAGCCAGAAGAGAGTGGGGGCCAATATTCAACATTCTTAAAGAAAAGAATTTTCAACCCAGAATTTCATATGCAGCCAAACTAAGCTTCATAAGTGAAGGAGGAATAAAATCCTTTACAGTAAAGCAAATGCTGAGAGATTTTGTCACCACCAGGCCTGCCTTACAAGAGCTCCTGAAGGAAGCACTAAACATGGAAAGGAACAACCAGTACCAGCCACTGCAAAAACATGGCAAATTGTAAAGACCATCCATGCTAGGAAGAAACTGCATCAACTAACGAGCAAAATAACCAGCTAACATCAGAATGACAGGATCAAATTCACACATAACAATATTAACCTTAAATGTAAATTGGCTAAATGCTCCAATTAAAAGACACAGGCTAGCAAATTGGATAAAGAGGCAAGACCCATTGGTATGCTGTATTCAGGAGACCCATCTCATGTGCAGAGACACACATAGGCTCAAAATAAAGGGATGGAGGAAGATCTACCAAGCAAATGGAAAACAAAAAAAAAACAGAGGTTGCAATCCTAGTCTCTGATAAAACAGACTTTAAACCAACAAAGATCAAAAGAGACAAAGAAGGCCATTACATAATGGTAAAGGGATCAATTCAACAAGAAGAGCTAACTATCCTAAATATATATGCACCCAATACAGGAGCACCCAGATTCATAAAGCAAGTCCTTAGAGACCTACAAAGAGACTTAGACTCCCACACAATAATAATGGGAGACTTTAACACACCACTGTCAACATTAGACAGATCAAAGAGACAGAAAGTTAACAAGGATATCCAGGAATTGAACTCAGCTCTGCACCAAGCAGACCTAATAGACATCTACAGAACTCTCCACCCCAAATCAACAGAATATACATTCTTCTCAGCACCACATCACACTTATTCCAAAATTGACCACATAGTTGGAAGTAAAGCACTCCTCAGCAAATGTAAAAGAACAGAAATTATAACAGATTGTCTCAGACCACAGTGCAATCAAATTAGAACTCAGGATTAAGAAACTCACTCAAAACCGCTCAACTACATGGAAACTGAACAACCTGTTCCTGAATGAATACTGGGTACATAAAGAAACGAAGGCAGAAATAAAGATGTTCTTTGAAACCAATGAGAAAAAAGACACAACATACCAGAATCTCTGGGACACATTTGAAGCAGTGTGTAGGGGGAAATTTATAGCACTAAATGCCCACAAAAGAAACCAGGAAAGATCTAAAATTGACACCCTAGCTTCACAATTAAAAGAACTAGAGAAGCAAGAGCAAATACATTCAAAAGTTAGCAAGGTAAGAAATAACTAAGATCAGAGCAGAACTGAAGGAGATAGAGACACAAAAAACCCTTCAAAAAATCAATGAATCCAGGAGCTGGTTTTTTGAAAAGATCAACAAAATTGATAGACTGCTAGCCAGACTAATAAAGAAGAAAAGAGAGAAGAATCAAATAAATGCAATAAAAAGTGATAAAGGGGGTATCGCCACTGATCCCACAGAAATACAAACTACCATCAGAGAATACTATAAACACCTCCACATAAATAAACTAGAAAATCTAGAAGAAATGGATAAATTTCTGGGCACATACACCCTCCCAAGACTAAACCAGGAAGAAGTTGAATCCCTGAATAGACCAATAACAGGCTCTGAAATTGAGGCAATAATTAATTGTAGGGGTGGGTTGCCCCTCCACACCTGTGGGTGTTTCTCATAAGGTGGAACGAGAGACTTAGGAAAGAAAAAGACACAGAGACAAAGTATAGAGAAAGAAATAAGAGGACCCGGGGGACCAGCGTTCAGCATATGGAGGATCCCGCCAGCCTCTGAGTTCCCTTAGTATTTATTTATCATTTGTGGGTGTTTCTCCGAGAGGGGGATGTGTCAGGGTCACAAGACAATTGCGGGGAGAGGGTCAGCAGACAAACATGTGAACAAAGGTCTTTGCATCATAGACAACGTAAAGGATTAAGTGCTGTGCTTTTAGCTATGCATACACATAAACATCTCAATGCTTTACAAAGCAGTATTGCTGCCCGCAGGTCCCACCTCCAGCCCTAAGGCGGTTTTTCCCTATCTCAGTAGATGGAGCATACAATCGGGTTTTATACCGAGACATTCCATTGCCCAGGGACGGGCAGGAGACAGATGCCTTCCTCTTGTCTCAACTGCAAGAGGCATGCCTTCCTCTTATACTAATCCTCCTCAGCACAGACCCTTTACGGGTGTCGGGCTGGGGGACGGTCAGGTCTTTCCCTTCCCACGAGGCCATATTTCAGACTATCACATGGGGAGAAACCTTGGACAATACCTGGCTTTCCTAGGCAGAGGTCCCTGCGGCCTTCCGCAGTGTTTGTGTCCCTGGGTACTTGAGATTGGGGAGTGGTGATGACTCTCAAGGAGCATGCTGCCTTCAAGCATCTGTTTAACAAAGCACATCTTGCACCGCCCTTAATCCATTTAACTCTGAGTTGACACAGCACATGTTTCAGAGAGCACGGGGTTGGGGGTAAGGTTATAGATTAACAGAATCTCAAGGCAGAAGAATTTTTCTTAGTACAGAACAAAATGGAGTCTCCTATGTCTACTTCTTTCTACACAGACACAGTAACAATCTGATCTCTCTTGCTTTTCCCCACAATTAATAGCCTACCAACAAAAAAAGTCCAGGACCAGACGGATTCACAGCCGAATTCTTCCACAGGTAAAAAGAGGAGCTGGTACCATTCCTTCTGAAATTATTCCAGTCAATAGAAAAAGAGGGAATCCTCCCTAACTCATTTTATGAGGCCAGCATCATCCTGATACCAAAGCTTGGCAGAGACACAACAAAAAAAGAGAATTTTAGACCAATATCCCTGATGAACATCGATCCCAAAATCCTCAATAAAATACAGGTAAACCAAATCCAGCATCACATCAAAAATCTTATCCACCATGATCAAGTGTGCTTCATCCCTGGGATGCAAGGTTGGTTCAACATACACAAATCAATAAAAATAATCCATCATATAAACAGAACCAAAGACAAAAACCACATGATTATCTCAATAGACTTAGAAAAGGCCTTTGACAAAATTCAACAGCGCTTCATGCTAAAAACTCTTAATAAATTAAAATTAGGTATTGATGGAACATACCTCAAAATAATAAGAGCTATTTATAGCAAACCCACAGCCAATATCATACTGAATGGGCAAAAACTGGAAGCATTCCCTTTGAAAACTGGCACAAGACAGGGATGCCCTCTCTCACCACTCCTATTCAACATAGTGTTGGAAGTTCTGGCCAGGGCAATCAGGCAGGAGAAAGAAATGAAGGGTATTCAATTAGGAAATGAGGAAGTCAAATTGTCTCTGTTTGCAGATGACACGATCGTATATTTAGAAAACCCCATCGTCTCAGCCCAAAATCTCCTTAAGCTGATAAGCAACTTCAGCAAAGTCTCAGGATACAAAATCAATGTGCAAAATTCACAAGCATTCCTATACACCAATAACAGACAGAGAGCCAAATCACGAGTGAACTCCCATTCACAATTGCTTCAAAGAGAATAAAATATCTAGGAATCCAACTTACAAGGTATGTGAAGGACCTTTTCAAGGAGAACTACAAACCACTGCTCAACAAAATAAAAGACAACACAAACAAATGGAAGAACATTCCATGCTCATTGGTAGGAAGAATCAATATCATGAAAATGGCCATACTGCCCAATATAATTTATACATTCAATGCTGCCATCCCCATCAAGCTACCAATGACTTTCTTCACAGAATTGGAAAAAACTTTAAAGTTCATATGGAACCAAAAAAGAGCCCACATTGCCAAGACAATCCTAAGCAAAAAGAACAAAGCTGGAGGCATCACATTACCTGACTTCAAACTATACTACAAGACTGCAGTAACCAAAACAGCATGGTACTGGTACCAAAACAGAGATATAGACCAATGGAACAGAACAGAGCCCTCAGAAATAATATCACAAATGTACAACCATCTGATCTTTGACAAACCTGACAAAAACAAGAAATGGGGAAAGGATTCCCTTTTTAATAAATGGTGCTGGGAAAACTGGCTGGCCATATGTAGAAAGCTGAAAGTGGATCCCTTCCTTAAACCTTATACAAAAATCAATTCAAGATGGATTAAAGACTTAAATGTTAGACCTAAAACCATAAAAACCCTGGAAGAAAACCTAGGCAATACCATTTAGGACATAGGCATGGGCAAGGACTTCATGTCTAAACCACCAAAAGTAATAGCAACAAACGCCAAAATTGGCAAATGGGATCTAAATAAACTAAAGAGCTTCTGCACAGCAAAAGTAACTACCATCAGTGAACAGGCAACCTACAGACTGGGGGAAAATTTTTGCAATCTACCCATCTGACAAAGGGCTAATATCCAGAGTCTACAAAGAACTTAAACAAATTTACAAGAAAAAATCAAACAACCCTATCAAAAAGTGGGCAAAGGATATGAACAGACACTTCTCAAAAGAAGACATTTGTGCAGCCAACAGACACATGAAAAAATGCTCATCATCACTGGCCATCAGAGAAATGCAAATCAAAACCACAATGAGATATCATCTCACACCAGTTAGAATGGTGATCATTAAAAAGTCTGGAAACAACAGGTGCTGGAGAGGATGTGGAGAAATAGGAATGCTTTTACACTGTTGGTGGGACTGTAAACTAGTTCAACCATTGTGGAAGTCAGTGTGGCGATTCCTCAAGCATCTAGAACTAGAAATACCATTTGACCCAGCCATCCCATTACTGGGTATATACCCAAAGGATTATAAATCATGCTGCTATAAAGACACATGCACACATATGTTTATTGCAGCACTATTCTCAATAGCAAAGACTTGGAACCAACCCAAATGTCCATCAATGATAGGCTCGATTAAGAAAATGTGGCACATATACACCATGGAATAGTATGCAGCCATAAAAAATGATGAGTTCATGTCCTTTGTAGGGACATGGATGAAGCTGGAAACCATCATTCTCAGCAAACTATTGCAAGGACAGAAAAACAAACATTGCATGTTCTCACTCATAGGTGGGATTGAACAATGAGAACACTTGGACACAGGATGGGGAACATCACACACCAGGGCCTGTGGTGGAGTGGGGGGAGGGGGTGGGATAGCATTAGGAGATATACCTAATGTAAATGATGAGTTAATGGGTGCAGCACACCAATATGGCACATGTATACATATATAACAAACCTGCACATTGTGCACATGTACTGTGGAACTTAAAGTATAATAATAATAATAATAAAAGAAATAAATAGCAAATGACCATGTGTTCTGATTTAGTTTTTGCAATGAACATTTACGTTTGAATTACATGTAGCACTTCCTTTATATGACCAAATGGTACATTGTGGAATCCTGAACAACGATAGTGACTTGTATTTAATAGGGATTCAGTAAGATTTTGTGAAGCAAGTGAATGAATGAATAAATAAATAAATAAATAAATAAGAAAAGAAATTTGCTGGCCGGGCACAGTGGCTCACTCCTGTAATCCCAACACTTTGGGAGTCCGAGGTGGGTGGATCACGAGGTCAGGAGATCTAGACCATCCTGGCTAACATGGTGAAACCCCATCTCTACTAAAAATACAAAAAAATTAGCTGGGCGTGGCGAGGGCACCTGTAATCCCAGCTACTCAGGAGACTGAGGCAGGAGAATGGCGTGAACCCAGGAGGCGGAGCTTGCAGTGAGCTGAGATGGCGCCACTGCACTCCAGCCTGGGCGACAGAGCGAGACTCCGTCTCAAAAAAAAAGAAAAGAAATTTGCTTAATGCTAGTGTTAAAACAGATTTTCATTCTTGAGTTTTAAAGGAAAGAATTGCTTGGTGGAGAGGAATTAGACTTGTCCTGTATGGCTGTGCTCAAATTTAAACTAGTTTCAAAGGGTCAAAACTATCAATGTAAAAGAAGACTTTCTAAGACTGAGAGCTGTCTGCAGACAGTACTTAGATATTGTGAGTTCAAACACAGATAATGAGTGTTGGAATGAATGTTCTAGTTCATCTGTTGGATTTGTTGATTGATGGGTTGAAGTAGGTTCCCTCACAGTTTATTCTGATGCCAAAAGTTGATGATACCTTGCTGTGTTTTCTCTAGTGTGTGAGCAGTGCAGGTAAGTTTGAAGGCAGGACAAGGAAGGGTGGAGATGCAGTAGGTGTGTGCAAGCCAAATCAGCTAGTGATTTTCTTACCATACAGAGCTTAGAAAATAATTTTTAAAAAGTATTTTGAGAAGCATTTGGTCAGCTACTTTATTAAAATTCAGGCTGAGTAAAGAGAGGTTGAAATCAGTGCATGGGAAGAATTCTTAAAGATGGTATTAGTTTTTCATTACTATGAAATAAATTATGTGGTTTAAATTAATAAACATTTAGTATCTCACAGTTTCTGTGGTTAAGAAAAATTGTGGTTGTTAGCTAGGGGTCTCTCATGAGCTTGCCGTTAAGATGTCAGCTGGGCTGCAGTCATCTGAAGGCTTAACTGAGGCTGGGCCACTCACTTCTAGAATGCCTCACTCATGACACTGTTAGAGGCCTCCACTCACTGCTGACTCTAGCAGGAGACCTCAGTTCCGTATTCAGTGGCTATCTCTGTAGACTTGATTATCTTTAATATCTTTAGGGCAAGGCAGTCAGCTTTTCCCAGTAAGAGTAACCTAAGAAAGGCAGCAGGGAAGATGCCACAATGCTTTTTATGACTTAATCTCAGAAGTTATACAAATTACTTATGCCACATTAGATCTTTGAGAATTGAGTCAGTAAGTCCAACCCATTCTCAAAGGGAGGGAATTCCTAATTCTCATAAAAGGTGGCAATATTCCTATTTATAACTTTTATGATACTATCATAGTTCAATAGCAGACATTTAGTCTATAATTCAATTGTCCACTAGTTTTTAAATCATCAGATTCTTGATTACTTTAAAATTGGGGGAATTATATCTTTTTAAAAGACTTAAAAGGCTTTAATATTTAAAAATATTTTCTAAATCAAATTCTGATGAAATCTAACAAAAAAGTACCTATTAGAAGGAGTAAAATGTATAGCTGCATTTATTTTGACTCAAATGATGCTGTTACTCTTATGAAATCTATGGAGTGCAAATGTGAAGAATAAATGGATCAATTTACCTGATTTGCCAAATCCCTGATTCCTGAGTTTCAAATGTAGGAACTCATCCTAGGTAACTAGCAGAGCCTGATCAGCACCCTTAAAATAATTCCATGAAGAGAAGATAGTTTAAACTAGAGGTTCAGGCTAATGCATTACCCTAACAGCTTGTTGGGGGAGCTCAGTTCTGCCTTGTCATGAATCTGAGACTAGAAGCCCTTTAGAGCTCTGTCTAATACCGTGTTCTGCTTTGGGGAGCAGCGAGCAGAAGACTGTAAACTAAGAGAATTGTAAACTTAATTTCAAACTGGGGAAATTCTTAAGTCTAGGTATTGATATAGATCACCAAGGGCTCATTGTAGATTAGAAAAATGCCCATGGGACTAGGCAGTTCCAACTATCTACACTCAATCATGCGGTCATGAGAAACGATGTGGCTTTTAGAAGTGGGTCTCTGCCTTCACCTTTGGATTGCTCAAATCCCACATTCTTAAACAATGGTCTGTGAGAGGTGGATGAAGAGAGATATAAGACTTTGTTCACCTTATGTCAGTGGACTCTTAAGTAATTAGAAATATAAAAGAGATACGAGCATATTTGTGATATAAATTGAAGTATGTGGTTATAGTATTACATTATAACACATGATATGTAAACTATAAGATGAATGTGTTTTAAGGGGTGAAAGTGTCTTTCGAGTTAGAAATAAAAATGTACACAAAGTGTTAGAAAAACTTGTGCGTGTGTGAATGTAGCTGACATTATTGTGTTAAATGTGTGTTGTCTTTATTTGTATTATAGATGAGGAAGAGATTTCACATCTGTTTTCTTCTTTATGTATACTTAAAGGCCTGCATGAGGCCTGTCATAAGGAACTCAAGGAAGGTAGTTATAATTTAAGGCTCAAGTATAATGAAAAAGGGAGAAATTACAATTAAGAAAATCACTTCAAGTCACTATGGAGCCTATTCCTAATGACTATATAACTGGTGGAACCATTGAATTTCTTACTTATTTTTCCAGATTATTGCAGGAGGTTTACAACAGTAGGCGAACCTGCACCTGAATGAAATTGCTGAGTCAGTTGTGCTGTTTTAATAGTAAATCTAGTGAGTTGAATAACTGCCAAAATACTTTAGTTCCCAAGGAGAACCATAAATATTCATCTTAGACTGAGTCTTTGCACACAAACTAAATTGAAGGATTTAGGATAATTACTAGATATCTCAGGCCAGAAAAGGAAATAAAAATAGAAATTTCACCTGAGATGTCAGATAATATAGATCAAGGGAAATGTTTTCTCTTGAATTATCCTGGTATTTTCTTTCATCTTCTATTTCAGGTTCAGATAAATTCAACAAACATCTTTCTATTATACAAAGCATTTAAGCAGACACTGTGGAGAATGTGGAGATAAATGACTTCATCTTTGCTCAGGATAAGATGGGAGCAGTGATGGAGTGGAAATGGCTACCACTAGGTTTGTTGAGAACACACTGTGCATCTGCAGCTGTGTTAGCCAACTTTTATGTATTTTTATCTTCTTAAAACAGATTTTCTTCCTCCTATAAGTATGTATTAGTTAAGTACTGTTTTTCTCGGTATGCAGAAAAGAAATCTGATAACTGGAGAACTTATGTAACTGAACTAGGAAACTCACATTTCTGGTAAGTAATTAAGGCAGAATTCAAATTCAAGTCACTCATATTTCAGAACTGACAATGGATAATTAGTATGTATTTGTTGAAGTCAGTTGGATATGTACGTGTCTTTAAGAGTAAACATTCTTTGGACAGACATTCAGTTAGAACTCATCACACCAGCTATCCTAATTTATGAAATTTATGAAGAATATAGGCAATATTCAATCACTTTATGACAGTGTTGTTTCTACTGTTTACATTTCAATGATATACTTCCAGTACAAGTCATGTACAATTTCAGAGTTCTATGTAATTCCCTGATTACCATTTATATTTTGTCTACATTCTCATTTTACTTACATACCATATGGATGTTGGAACACTGTAACAAATAAAATCAGTCATTTTTGATAAGCAATTTTAGAGAGTTTAAAATGAGACATACGGGCCAAATGACAAACTCTAGAAACTGCCTTTGTGTTATATACAAAAATGTTTTACCCAACAAATGAATACATATGAAGAAGGAGGCCAGAAGGATCTAACCATAGCTTCCCTTGTGCCATTGTGTAACTGTCGCCAGCTGTCACGCCAGAAGTTGTAGATCAATTATTTACAGTTATAAAAGCAAAATGAAAATAATGATCTAAGTTTGAACTCCCTAAGTTTAATCATGATTAGATTTTGCTGTAAAACCAAGGCATTCCAGAAGATAAAAAAGTATAAAAAACGCAGACTTATGACTTTGATTCACAGTGATCTCACACCAAATGTGGACAATTCACTTCACCATGGTTACCAATGATATTGTTAATGCAAATCACACATATGGAATGTCTCACGACTCAAGAACATGGACATTTCTTATAGATACAATCCCTTGAATATTTTCATTATCTTCTTCACGTCCAAAAAAAGCACTGAGTACATATTAAGCATATGTTTCTTTATTTGTATTTGCATATCTTTATTACATAAAAGAAAATAAGTCACCCACAGTGTGACTCCCTACAAAATCAATTGTCCTTACAAGGTAGAATAATTTTGACAGACACAATGTTTTTATTCTCAAAAACTTTAGTAGAAAACAAATAGCACCAATGCAACTATACAAAATACAAGCAAGAAAATGATAGTATTGGACTGACACAGACTAGAAAACATTAGCATTATATGTTTATTCAACACAAAGTAGTATAAATCATGATTTGGCATGATTGATCTTATAGCTACATTTTCTGGTGGCATGGTTAAACTTCCATGTATTTATCAAAGTCCAGCTTTGTGCGCAAATGTTTCTCTAGGTACATGGCTGCCCACCTAGAAAATATTGTGTAGTCTAACTTAAAGTTAAGTGTGATTGTGTGTCTAAACTCACCAATAGAATGTGACGTGGATGTGTCATGCGCCCCTTTGGGTTTGAGCATTTCATCCCAGGACACATTTAACCATGTCTTGTTGTTAGGAATGTATTTGAGGCAGTGTCTCAGCTTCTACCATGCAGAATATGACAATACTATAGGTGAAACTGGAACAACAAAGAACAGAAACCTGGCTCTCTGAGAAAATAGGGCAGAGGTTCCCTGAAGATCTAGGCCTTTCTTAAGGACTACTACAATAAAGAGGAAAAAACAAACTTCTTTTGTAATTCTTGTACTTTTGGGTTACTACTGCAGCAGTGTCATTCTAATTAAAGCACATGGAAAAGACCCTTCTTTCAGCCCTGGTTTCCTCATTAAGAACATAATTGTATCATACTAGATGGTCTCTAAAGTCTCATCAAAACATAATATTCCATAAAATTGATTATTTTACTTCATAGCAAGTTGTTAAAACACTGGAAAATAAAGGTTGAAAGAGATTCATCTTAGTTAGCAATTATTACATAAATATGATGAAAATAAATTACAAATTAAAAAATATATAAACATTTATATGGTCTTGATAGCCTTTAGTTCTTTTACATTCCTTTAACTGGGAAGAAAAAAAAACCTGTGGAGATTCTACAGAGAAATAGGCTTCAAATTTATTACTAACTTCTTTATTAAATTTATTACCACCTTCTCCATATTGCTATAGGAAATTGACATATGGTGCTATACAGAACTGATTGGAGAGAGATAAGACAAAAATAAGAGTGAATAGTTCATGCCATAATTCAAGATTAAGAAGTTCTGAGGCTGATAAAAGTAGTATTAGAAATCATGTGACTTCTGATTTTAAACCAGCCAACCCAGTAGGTATACAGATGATGACATTTATCTGTAAGTATGTGATGTTGGGCAAGTTGTTCAATCTTTCAGTTCCCTCATGGGTAAAATGAAAGTGAAAATAAGGTCTATCTCAGGGTATTGCAGCAAGGTTTAAAACAGACAACATATGTAAAGGACTAGAATGCCTACTAAGTGCTGAATAAATGCTAGCTATTTTTGTTATGCTAATATTGTTGTTATTATTAGTAGAAGTAGTCTTATAAGTTATCAAAGACACTGCTTGCCCAGACATTGTAAAATGTAAACACCAAGTAAAATAAGATAAGTGGTCTTCAAGGAGTTTGCAATTGACTTGAAACTAAGACATGAATATGGAGAATTAATTCATGAGTATCAGATTATATGCTATTGCACAGAAATACTGTAAGTATTCAAAAGAAGGAGAGAACATTGTGAAGTGGAGTGGGCTTTATGTAGAAAATAACATTGAAAGCCTCTGATAAGAGTAATAAAGTCTTGAGGCATCTTATGTGTTGAGTATTATTCTAAAATTTTTATGCACTTTGTTTACCTAATCTTTATAATAATTTTATGACTATGTAATTTTAATCTCTATTTAATAGATAAGTAAACTGAGATATAGAGAGCTCAAATAACTTGTCCAAAATTGGAGGTATGTGATGAAAGCTGTATGGGAACTGGCAGACTGAAACTGGGGCCAGGTCACTGCAGCATGAAATTATACCAAGTTCTTATAAAGGAGAAATCAATGAATGAAAAGGCTATACCATTCCAACTGGTGAAGATATAAACAAAATCAAGGAAGAAGAGTTTGAGTATGGCTTACATCTTAATCACAGAGGAAGCATCTTATTGGAGCATTGACTGAATAATTATGGGCACTCAGTTATTAAATTCTGTGAGTTTATATACAGATAATTACATTTTAATATGAAAGAATGTCATTTTTACAGAAATCTTGAAACTATATTTTAATCATTAACCAGTGTTGTTTATTTGTTTACCTAATTCTACTTATATATGTCTAATCCCTGGCTGATGTAATATTAAGAGAAATATAGTTCTCTTCTTAGAGTTCTGAGCCTTTCTGAATGCATAAAAAATCAGGCCAGGAAAATGATAAGTAAGCTTCTACTCTTTAATGGAAATGATGTTAAAATATGTCCCTCTTTTCAGCCACTAGCCCTTTGTATTAGTCCGTTCTCATGCTGCTATGAAGAAATACCCAGGTAATTTATAAAGAAAAGAGGTTTAATTGACTCACAGTTCTACATGGCTTGGGGGGGCCTCAGGAAACTTAGAATTATTGCGGAAGGGGAGGTAAACACACCCTTCTTCACATGGCAGCAGGAGAGAGAAGTGCAGAGGGAATCAGGGGAAAGCCCCTTATAAAACAAACAGATCTCATGTGAACTCACTCATTGTCATGAGACTAGCATAGGGGAACTGCCCTATGATCTAACCACGTTCCACGAGGACTCTCCCCCAACATGTGCGGATTGCAATTTGGATTACAATTCAAGAAGAGATTTTGGGTGGAAACACAGCCAAACCATATCACTCATTTTAAAATAAGTTTTCTACATGAATAACTTAGGCTAAAAAATGCAAGAATTTTATTTGAAGAGAAATTGATTATCTCAAAAAATATTACACAAGTCTAATGTGAAGTATCTGCTGGCATAATAAAACCCTTGCAAAAATATGCCTTGCTTTTAACTAAATTTAATTTTATAAATCAAGCACACTTTCAAAAGAAGGAAAACAGGACCCAGTGTCATTTGGCAATAGTTTTACAGCTGAATATTTAAACAGTGAGTCTTGGCATCCATAAAAGAGTTTAAACATCAATTTAAAAAAAAAAAAGCTGACCAAATGGCAGTGAAGCTGTGGTAATTCTGCTGACTTTCCATGTAAAAAATAATCTGAGGTCTATTTCCCTGATGTCATTTATATGCTACATTAACAATTTAAAAATCATATCTTGTTTAAAAATATTCTCAAATAATGGATTTTCTTAGTGGAAAAATATAAATGGGTATTTGATATCTAGATTAAATATATAGTCATTTTAAAAGTATTTCTTGTTATGTTGGTGTGGTAAAAATCTTTTATTTTATAAATATAAAGTGCTCATCATATTTTTAGACTAGAACTTATTTTATATCAGCAATCAACTGTTAAATTAACACAACAAAACAAAGTATTGAAGCTGTCAAAACTAACAGTGCTCTTATTCTTACTGGATTCGTTTTTATAAATATCAAATTGAGACATCAATATTCATCAGTTTCTTATAATGTAAACAAATTAAACATCTCTAGTCCATCTTTATTCTTGTTATTGTGTTTAAAGTATCAGGCAAGTCTTATTACTAGCATTCTGCTATTTACAAATAAACCTGTATTTTCAATATAGATGATTTTATTTATTCAAGAATTATGTTAGGCTCTAGGCCATGGAGCTAAACAAAAATACTATGATCCCTGCTCACATGAAACTTATAATTTACTGTGAAGGCTTCCTCTAAAAAATAATAATTTTTAAATCAATAATTTAAAAAATGAATTTGTCATAATGGTGTATTTTGAATGGCTTTAGCAGAAAGTTTCCTGTCAGACACTTCCAAGTTTTAACAGGGATAATAATTAGAATGCTTTATTTCCTTGTATATATTTATTTAATTTTTAGACCATAGAATTAGGGTTTTTAATCTTTCTTACTCTGATTTTCTTTTATGCAAAGTACCTAAATATAAAGTTGCCTAGAGAGACAAACATGTTTAGAGGGGGCTGTATTTGAGTTCAGTTCAGGATTCTTTGGACTTTTTGAGATTTATGAAATGCTTATATAAATACTGCATTCTTATAACCAAAAGTAAGAGTGCAGAAAAGTCCTTAACACTTTCAAAAGACATCAGTCATTTACTTTGCAGCATATAGATATGTTTCTATTCACATTATTCCAAACATTGGAGAAATGTAAACAAACTAAATGTGAGTAAATGTCAATAATTCTATGTTGTTCTATTCTAAACTGTATCTGCCCCTCTTTAAAAATATTAATATCTATTAAAAACAACTGAAATGTAATCCATGTATTTGTAAAAGAATTCCTATTTTCTCTTCCAGATGTACTATTAAAAATAATTTATTCATGGAAAAAGTCGATTGATTTTTTCTGTTCAAAAGGGATGGAATGAAATGACTGATGCTTATCATGATGCAAGAAATGTGATGGAGGCTTTAGGGAGGGAAAGGGAATATATTTGTCATGGGGTCCCCTTTATTATTTTCTAAATTTTGCCAAAACTTCCAAACAGAATTTGGTCTGCTTTCTTTGTTCCAGAGGTATTCCTGTATCACATTTTCCTATTGCCCTGTCTTTCCATTATCCTATCTGTTATCCATATAGCTATCCTGAAATTTAATCACCTTGATCATTCTCCAGTTAAGTTATGTGAGGTGAGACTCTAACTCAAACTTACAGTTCCAATGACTGGGGAGGCCTCACAATCATGGCAGAAGGCAAGGAGGAGCAACTTATGTCTAATATGGATGGCAGTAGACAAAGAGAGAGAGCTTCTGCAGGAGAACTCCTCTTTATAAAACCATCAGATCTCATAAGACTTATTATGAGAACAGCACATGAAAGACTTGCCTCCATGATTCAATTACCTTCCACCTCGCCCCTCCCACAACGCATGGGAATTCAAGATGAGATTTGGGTGGGAACACAGCCAAACCATATCATTCTGCCCCTGGCTCCTCCCAAATCTCATGTCCTCACATTTCAAAACCAATCGTGCCTTCCCAACTGTCCCCCAAAATCTTAACTCATTTCAGCATTAACTCAAAAGCCCATAGTCCAAAGTCTCATTTGAGACAAGGCAAGACTTCTCCACCTATAAGTCTGTAAAATCAAAAGGAAGTTAATTACTTCCTAGGTACAATGAGGGTACAGGCGTTGGGTAAATACAGCCATTCCAAAACAGAGAAATTGGCAAAAACAAAGGGCTACAGGCCCTATGCAAGTCTGAAATCCAGCAAGGCAGTCAAATCTTTAAGCTACAAAATGATCTGCTTTGACCCCAAGTCTCACATCCAGGTCATGCTGATACAAAAGATGGGTTCCCATGGTGTTGGGCAGCTCCAACCCTGTGGCTTTGCAGGGTACAGCCCATCTCCTGGCTGCCTTCATGGGCTGGCATTGAGTGTCTGCAGCTTTTCCAGGCACATGGTGCAAGCTGTCAGTAGATCTACCATTCTGGGTTCTGGAGGAAGGTGACCTTCTTCTCACAGCTCCACTAGGCAGTACCCCAGTAGGGACTGGGTACTCTATGTGGAGGCTCTGTGTGGAGGCTCTGACCCCATATTTCCCTACTGCACTGCCCTAGCAGAGGCTCTCCATGAGGGCCCCACCCCTGCAGCAAACTTCTGCCTTGACATCCAGGCATTTCCATGCATTTTCTGAAATCTAGGCAGAGATTCCCAAGACCTAATTCTTGACTTCTGTGCACTCACAGGCTCAGCACTATGTGGAAGCTGCCAAGGCTTAGGCCTTAAACCCTCTGAAGCTATGTCCTGACCTCTATGTTGGCCCCTTTCAACCAGAGCTGGAGCAGCTGGGATGCAGCGCACCAAGTTCCTAGGCTACACACAGCACAGTGACCCTGGGCCCCAGCCCACAAAACTACTTTTTCCTCTTAGGCCTCCGGGCTGGTGATGGATGGGAGGGACTGCCGTGAAGACCTGTGGCATGCCCTGGAGACATTTTCCTTATTGTCTTGGGGATTAACATTCAGCTCCTAGTTATTTGTGCAAATTTCTGCAGCTGGCTTGAATTTCTCCTCAGAAAATGGGATTTTCTTTTCTATTGCATTGTCAAGCAGCAAATTTTTGGAACCTTTATGCTCTGCTTCTTTTATAAATTCAGTGCCTTTACCAGGATCCAAGTCACCACTTGAATGGTTTGCTGTTTAGAAATTTCTTCCACCAGATACCCTAAATCATCTCTCTCAAGTTCAAAGTTCCACAAATCTCTAGAGCAGAGGCAAAATGTTTCCAGTCTCTTTGCTGAAACATAACAAGAGCCACCTTTACTCCTGTTCCCAACAAGTTCCTCATCTCCATCTGAGACAAGCTCAGCCTGGATTTCATTGTCCATATTATTATCAGCATTTTGGTTAACGCCATTCAACAAGTCTCTAAGGAGTTCCAAACTTTCCCACATGTTCCTGTTTTCTTCTGAGTCCTCCAAACTGTTGCAACCTCTGCCTGTTACCCAGTTCCAAAGTCCCTTCCACAGTTTTGAGTATCTTTTCAGCAGTGCCCCATTCAACTGGTACCAATTTACGGTATTAGTCTGTGCCCACACTGCTGATAAAAACATACCTGAGACAGGGCAATTTACCAAAGAAAGAGGTTTAATGGACTTACAGTGCCACACGGCTGGGGAGGCCCCACAATCATGGTGGAAAGCAAGGAGGAGGAAGTTACGTCTTACATGGATGGCAGCAGGCAAAAAGCAAGAGCTTCTGCAGGGAACACCTCTTTATAAAACCATCAGATCTTGTGAGACTTACTCACTATCATGAGAACAACATGGGAAAGACTAGTCCCCAAGATTCAATTACCTCCCACACGGTCCCTCCCACAACACATGGGAATTCAAGATGAGATTTGGGGGGCGACACAGCCAAACCATATCACTCAATTTATATATATCATGTGGAGAACACTTTATTTATTTCAAACACTGCTAACATTCTCCTGTTGTAAGTTGATTCATAGAAGAGAAACATATGTATTCTTTTCAATATTCATTTAAAGACTGAGTGATGCTTTTATTTTTATTCAATTAACAATTTTTTAGCACTTAAGTTTGAAGATGTAAATAGAATATATATTGGATTCTTTATGACTTGGAACTATTATGATTTACTAAAACAAGAGCAAGCGTAAGGAGTATTCACCTGCTATCTACTTATCTTTTACTTTTTTAATATACAATGCTGTAATTTTTTTACCTGCCCCGCCAAAAAAAACCCCAAACTATAGTATCTACTTCTAAAGACTGCTTTTCTATAAATAAACAGTGAGGTTTTTTGTTATTCGGACTTTCTAGACTTGGGGAAGTTACATAGATTTTTAAAGAACTTAGTAAACTTTCCTTCTTAGACTGATCATTAAAATTTTGAAGTTATTAGAATGAGTAAAAGTGTTTTATATGTAAGTTAAAATGCTAAATTTTAAATACCCTAATATATAAAATATTAGAATTCAAGAGGTGATTTAATGAAAATAAAATAAAATAAACACCAAACATGTACAGATGCTCCTTGACTTATAATATGGTTACATCCAGACAAACTGATTGTAAGTCAAAATATACTGTAAATTGAAAAGGCATTTGATGCCTGGATAAACTCATTGTAAAGTTGACAAATTGTAATTTGAACCATCATAAGTAAGGGACTGTCTTTATTTAATAAGATAGATGAAAATATAGAGATTGAAAAATCTAATTCTAGTGGCATTGGATTTCTCAGCTGTGAAACAATCATGATGGAGAGTCAGTTGTGTCAAAGGGTTTATCGTCTATAGCCATGAAAATAATTTAAGTGTACTTCAGTGTTAGTAATATATGTTTTAGTAAATGTTAATAGTTCCAAGTGATAAAGAATCCAATATAAATTATATTTACAACTTCAAACTTAAGTGCTAAAAAAAATTGTTAATTGATAAAAAATAAGTGCATCACTGAGGAACCTTGAAAATAATATATATGAAAACCAAATAATTGTTTGTTCAAGTTTAGAATTATTATCACTAAATTGTTTTTCTTGGTAAGAATTCTTTTCTGTAAATGGATCTTAATGGGCTTATGTTGTACAACTCCAGGGGGCAATATTCAAGTGCCATTCATGCAAAGCACCATGTGAATGACAACCTCAGGGTTGAGAATCATGGAGGCCCTGTTGTCTATACTCTATACCTGGCCCTCCTCTGGTTATTGTGAGATTAATAAACACAGAATCTGTCTTGTCACATCGCCATTCATATTAAAATGACAACCATCACCAACTGCATAATTTCCAGGGCCCACCACAAAATGAGAGTGTGGAATTCCTTGTTCAACAAAACAGGAAAAAAAGTTTTAAATGTTTCTTCTTCAATCTCTATTTACCTGCCATGGGGCTTTTCACTTTTCTATTTAATGCTACACTCCTTCAGTCACAGAAATAAAAAAGAAACAATTACAGAAGGAGTCCAATACCTCACAGGTTCATGAGTTCCTGCCCTGAAACTTGTTGAGCCAACCCTAATCCTCTCTGTCATTGGGCCCAGAACCCAGGTGAATCTTTCTGAGCATCAGTTCCTGTGCTACTGCACTGTTTGTAAACCCCTGAAGCAGGTTCTGGTGACTATATAATTTATCATATAAATTAGGGCAATTTTTATAATATAAGGGGCACCTTTAATAACCTTCCTGGAAAAAGAAGCATAAACCAGCCTGATTTGGGACAAATGGAAAAATGAGTAAAAATGCTTTAATATAAGTTAATATGCTAAATTTTAAATACCCTAAAATACAAAATATTATAAATCAATAGGTGATTTAATTAAAATAAAATAGACACTAAACATGTGCAGATGCTCCTTGACTAATAACATGGTTACATCCAGACAAACTGATTGTAAGTCAAAAAAATACTGTAAATTGAAAAGCATTTAATGCCTGGATAAACCCATTGTAAAGTCAACAAATTGTACTTTGAACCATTGTAAACTTTCTGTAGGATAGTCACCCTACAGAAAGTAAAACTCAAGTTGGCCTTGGAGTTCACCCATCACAGGGGAGGGCCAGAGGGCCAGTCACTTGAGCACCCATCACAGAGGAGGGCCAGTCACTGAAATGAAATGAAATAAAAATAAGAAATGTTATAGGAACCCATGAGTGAAAGTCCAGAGGTGAGGTTGGCTTAAATATTAGTTTAATCCAGTGATTCTTGTTCTATTTCTGTATGATTCTCTTTGCTCCTCTTCAGATCCTTTCATCCTGAGGCAGGTATTATGATAGTTACAGTAGTTCCAGGTCTCATATCCAGTTAAAACAATGTCCAGGAGAAGAGTAAAGTTCTCAGTCACCCAACCCCAGGCACTTTCAGAACAAAAACAGCCTCTGAAGGAGCCTTGGAAACCTCTATTGGAGTTGCATTGACCTGAATTGAATCACATGCCCATTTGTGAACCAATTACTATCAAAAAAGACTAAGTAAATGTTAAGCCTATTAGAACCATCCCTGGAGATGGGAGTGGGCTCCAATGAAAAGTATAAATCTTAAGAAAAATCAGGTTTTTATTAAGAAAATTGCTACTGGGAAATGGAAGTAGTGAATGGTGTACATAAAAAATTGTCATTAAATAATGTTGATAAGTTGTGTTTATTGATTTTTCCTGGGTAGATAGAGGAGTCATAATGGTATGATCCTTTATCATACCTGCAGTGGCATTTACGTAGGCACAGCCAAGCCAGACAGACACAGTTTTCAGACAGTTTTATTTTATTCTATCTTTTTTTTCTTCTTGAACTGTTATTTATTATTTATGTATTGTATTAGTCTGTTTTTATACTGCTGATAAAGACATACCAGCGATTGGGAAGAAAAAGAGGTTTAATTGGGGTTATAATTCCACCTGGCTAAGGAGGCCCCAGAATCATGCTGAGAGGTGAAAGGCACTTCTTACATGGTGGATGCAAGAGAAAAATGAGGAGGAAGCAAAAGCAGAAACCCCTGATAAGCCCATCAGATGTCATGAGACTTAGTTCACTATCATGAGAATAGCATGGGATAGACCGACCCCACGATTCAGTTACCTTCCCCTGTCCGTCCCATAACACGTGGAAATTCTGGGAGATACAATTCAAGTTGAGATTTCAGTGAAAACAGCACCAACCCATATCATTCTGCCCCTGGCCCCTCCAAATCTCATGTCCTCATGTTTAAAAACCAATCATGCCTTCCCAACAGTCCCCCAAAGTCTTAACTCATTTCAGCATTAGCCCAAATGTCCACAGTCCAAAGTCTCATCTGAGGCAAGGCAAGTCCCTTCTGCCTATGAGCCTGTAAAATCAAAAGCAAGCTACTTACTTCCTACATACGCTGGGGGTACAGGTATTGGGTAAATATAGCCATTCCAAATTGGAAAAATTGGCCAAAACAAAGGGATTACAGGGCCTATGCAAGTCTGAAATTCAATGAGGCAGTCAAATTGTAAAGCTCCAAAATAATCTCCTTTGACTACAGTTCTCATATCCAGGTCACACTGATGCAAGAGTTGGGTTCTCATGGTCTTGGACAGCTCTACCCCTGTGGCTTTACAGGGTACAGCCTCTCTCCCAGCTGCTGTCACAGGCTGGCATTGAGAGTCTGCAGCTTTTCCAGGT
This sequence comes from Homo sapiens, assembly GCF_000001405.40. Classification (NCBI taxonomy): domain Eukaryota; kingdom Metazoa; phylum Chordata; class Mammalia; order Primates; family Hominidae; genus Homo; species Homo sapiens. The sequence continues at coordinate 175,924,371 of NC_000003.12, forward strand.
GTGCAGTGCAAGCTGTTGGTGGATCTACCATTCTGGGGTCTGGAGGAAAATGGCCCTCTTCTCATACCTCTTCTAGGCAGTACTCCAGTAAGGACTGTGTAGAAGCTCTGACTCCATATTTTCCTTCTGCACTGCCCTAGCAGAGGTTTAAAATTTGGAGCTTTAAAATTTGACTGCCTCACTGAATTTCAGACTTGCATAGGCCCTGTAATCCCTTCGTTTTGGCCAATTTCTCCAATTTGGAATGGCTATATTTACCTAATACTTGTACCCTCAGTGTATGTAGGAAGAGGTTCTCCATTAGGGCCCTGCCTCTGCAGCAAACTTGCCTAGGCCTCCAGGCATTTCCATACATCTGAAATCTAGGTGGAGGTTCCCAAACCTGAATTCTTGACTTCTGTGCACCCAGAGGCTCAGCACCACATGGAAGCTGCCAAAGCTTGGGGCTTCCACCTTCTGAAGGCACAGCCCAAGCTGTACATTGGCCCCTTTCATCCACAGCTGGAGTGACTGGGACACAGGGCACCAAGTCTCTAGACTGCACACAGAACGGGGACTCTGGGCCTGGCCCATGAAACCAATTTCCCCCCTAGGCCTCCAGGCCTGTGATGGGAGGGGCTGTTGTGAAGACCTCTGACATGCCCTGGAGACATTTTCCTCATGATTTTGGGGATTAATATTTGGCTTCTTGCTACTTATGCAAATTTCTGCAGCCAGCTTGAATTCCTCCCTAGAAAATGGGTTTTTCTTTTCTATCACATAGTCAGGTTTCAGATTTTCCAAATTTTTATGCTCTGCTTCTCTTATAAAACTGAATGCCTTCAACAGCACCCAAGTCACCTCTTGAATGCTTTGCTGGTTAGAAATTTCTTCCACCAGATACCCTAAATCATCTCCCTCAAGTTCAAAGTCCCACAAATCTCTAGGGCAGGGGTGAAATGCTGCCTGTCTCTTTGCTAAAACATAACAATAGTCACCTTTGCTCCAGTTCCCAGCAAGTTCCTCATCTCTATCTGAGACTACCTCAGCTTGGACCTTATTGTCCATATTGCTATCAACATTTGGGGCAAAGTCAGCCAACAAGCCTCTAGGAAGTTCCAAACTTTCCCACATTTTCCTTTCTTCTTCTGAGCCCTCCAAACTCTTCCAACTTCTGCCTGTTACCCAGTTCTAAAGTCGCTTCCACATTTTTGGGTATCTTTTCAGCAATGCCCTACTCTACTGGTAGCAATTTACTATATTAGTCTGTTTTCACACTACTGATAAAGACATACCTGAGACTGGGAAGAAAGATATTTAATTGGAGTTCCAGTTCCACATGGCTGGAGAGGCCTCAGAAGCACAGCAGGAGGCAAAAAGCACTTCTTACATGGCAGTGGCAAGAGAAAAATGAAGAAGAAACAAAAGCAGAAACCCCTGATAAACCCATCAGATGTGGTGAGACTTAATTCACTATCACGAGAATAGCATGGGAAAGACCGACCACCATGATTCAATTACCTTCCCCTGAGTCCCTCCCACAACATGTGGGAATTCTGGGAGATACAATTCAAGTTGAGATTTGGGTGGAGACACAGCCAAACCATATCATTTACTTATTTATTTTTATTTATAATAGATACATAACAATTACACATAATTATACATATTAATAATTGTACATATTATAGGGTACAATATTTATAGGTTTCAATGCATGTATACATAGTATAATGATCAAGTCAGAGTAATTACTTATTCATCACTTTAAACTTATTATTTCTCACATGATCTCACTCATATATGGAATCTAAAAAAGTTTTGTTCATGGAAGTAGAGAGTAAAATAGTGGTTACCAGAGACTGGGAGGGTAGAGGGAAGAGACGTACCTGGGGAGGTTTTTCAATGGATAGAAAGTTACAGTTAGACAGGAAGAATAAGTTTTGGTGATTTATTACACAATAGGGTGGCTATAGCAAATTACACTGTAGTGCATATTTCAACGTAGCTAAAAGAGAAGATTTTGAATTGTCACCACAAATAAATGATGAAAATTTAATCTTCTTAACATGTCTTTCAGGACCCCTTATAATTTTTTCTTCCACTAATATGTCTCACTATATAACCAACAAACAAATGAATTAACCTTAAAGAAATACTTGAATGGTCCAAATGTATGGTGCTCTATTATTTTTTTTCATCCCAAGTTTCTAGCACTTACTGAACATTGAAGGCATACATATGAAATTGAGAAAGGATAAGAGCATTAGGGCTGAAAGGTATCACATTTTGGTAAAAGTTCAGGAAGACAAAACATTTCATACTTACATATATCTAAAAAATAGTTAAAACACATGAAGAAAAAATGATAAAAGTACAAGAAAAATTACATAAATTTATAATCATAGTGATTATCAAATCTTCCAAAATCTACAGATCCAATGTAATTCAAATAAAATTCCACACACTTTTTTCTTCTAAAATACAGATGGGAAAACAAAAGGCCAAGAATATCCAAAACATTATTGAAAAAGAGCAAGATAAAGTGACTTGCCCTACCATATATCAAGACTTAAACTTATTTTTTTGAGATAGAGTCTTCCTCTCTTGCCCAGGCTAGAGTGCAGTGGTGTGCTCAGGCCTCACCGCAGCTTTAACTTCCCAGGCTCAAGTGATCCTCCCACCTCAGCCCCCTGAGTAGCTGGGGGTATTGGCATGTACCACTATGCCCAGCTAAAAGATTTACTCTTATTAGAGGAAGCAAATGATAAAAAATAAATTGACCAATGTAATCTCTTAAAGCCCTGATATTTGACAAAAGATGGTATTGAAAATTCATGAAGATAGCACGGACTTTTTGTTAAACAATGTTGGGATAACTCATTGCCCATATGGGGGAAATACATAGAGTCTAGTGTTTGTTTTATTTCTTATGCAAAAATTTATTACACATAGAGAAAGACATCAAGACAAAACTTTGAAATACTTAAAATAATATCTTCATAACTTTAGAATTGAAAAGTTTCCCTAAACAATTTACTAAGGAACCTACCACAAAATTTTGACAAATTTGTCTACTTTAAAATGAAGTATTTCTGTTTACTAAGATGTCATAAAAATGGGGATATATTTTCAACAAAGTATTATTATTCAGAATGCATAAAAGTCTTTCAAATTAACATAAAAAAGACAAAAAAATCAATACAAAAAGGAAGGTAAGACGTGAACATATATTTTACCAAAATAAGAAAATACGAATGGTGAGTAAACATCAAAAGGATGCTTAACCTCACTTGTTATAAGAAAATGAAAATTAGATTTTCTTTTTTCATCCAGTAGATCGACTGATGTTTATAGTCTGGTAACACCAACTGTTGGAGAAGATGTGATCAACTCTTGTATACTGTTGATTGGTGTGAAAATTTGTTTAACTACATGTAAAATATATTTAATGTCAATAAAATGTTAACATTTTATAAATCAGAATGTATGGATAGTCTATGACAAATAGTTCCTATGTGTGACATATAAGATATTAATCTCACCGTAACATAAGTTCCATGAAAATTGGGAAAGTTTTTGTCTGTTTTCCTTTTCTATTAAAACAGTGCCTGGCACCTAGAAGATGTTTAATAAATATATGCTAAATGAAATAATGAGGAAAATCACCAAAACATTTCATCTCAGAAGAATAGGTAAAATATAGTATATTCATAAAATAAATATCAAATTAAAAATTAATAAACTATAGCTAAATAGTATGTTCAAAAAATAACATGATATGTTACTTTTGTGGAATTTGAAAGCAAAGAGAAATAACTTATATTTTAGGGAGATAAACATATATGATAAATCTGTTTGTTAAGATTTCAAAAAAATGATAAACAAGGGGGAGGGGAGGGAGGGCAAAGGCTTGAGGAGGAACATATGTAAATCAAAGAGTACTGAAATGCTCTTTATTGTTATTAAGTTAATAATGCTCTTTATTAAGTTATTAAGTTAATAATGCTAGCTAAGTTAAGAGGCTGTTCAAAGGAATTATTATTATTAAGCATTTTAATTTATACATGCTATATATTTCTTGTATGTATTAATTATATAATTAAAATAAAAACACAACTCTAGAAAACAAATTAATAAACCCCCTTTTTAAAATGTATAGATAATTCTGCACTTGCGACATTCAGACAAAACCTATAAAATCTTTTTGCAATTACATAGTCAGCCAATTATACATCTGGCACAGGGACAAAGTTTTCCACTACCTACCTTGGTACAGTTTCAAAAAGTACATACTTTCCAATTTGCTAGATTAATAGTTAGAACTTTGTAAGATTTATTGTTTTTAACTAGAATTTGAAACTTTGAGTTCAGAGCCCACCAATTTGGAATTGGCAACAAGTTAGTGTGAACCAGGCTAATATTTACCATTGTACTATTTATCATGAATTGGTACTTTAAGCAATTCATTATATTAAGGCTCGAAGTTTAAAAAAGATTTGTATTTTTCAGTTGTTTAAACTTATCATGGATATAAAAACATACTGTTTAAACTATAAATAAACACTCTTCTATTCACACAGAAGGCTTATCTATTTATTTGAGCAGGATCTCAGGACTTCGTTTATCAAGAGATGATCTTTTCCTCCAGAAACTTAAATATATAAAATTTTAACTGTTTACAAAATACTAATGAGCCTTATTTTCCAATAATTCCAGTCGCTTTCTTTACTTGTGGTTTAAAAATGGGAGCTTTTTATATAAAATTCCCTTTTAAAAGATTAGGAATTTCCAATACTTGAAGACAAATACCAAATACTCCTTAATTCTAAATTCTATGACCCAGTCTGATTAGGATTCAATATGGCTTGTTTTGACCTAATCCAAAAATAGTCAGAAAGGACAATTGGAAATGTTTCAGATGAATAAGAGTGATAGTAAGAGGAGGGTAATTAGGCTAATATGTTTAATGTTCTGAGAAGAAAACACATGGAAAAAGATTTCTCCTATTCCCAGGAACATAAATCGTCTCAATGTTAAAGAATTACCGAAAGAAATGTTGAATAATCTATCTCTGTGAAAAACATATTATTTAAATATAATGTCTTAAAGCACTTAAAGGACAGAATATTTTAAAAGTGTATTTAGAGTATATTGATTATAGCCATACATTTATATACTTCTTGTGTAAATTCTTTACTATAATCCATTAAAAATTACCATTTTAGATGGTATTGCTCTATACAGCATGCTAGCAAACTGTAGTGAAGCTGATTTATTCAAGGGAATTATTCATTTAATTTCCACCATTTAGTATTTATGTTCCGTTTCCATTCATTTATTCATTTCATCTTTATTCATTTATACATTTATCAAATATTCATTTAAATGACTTTCATTATAACTACAGAAACTATAGGGTAAGATTTGCAGTAAATATATTTTTTAATAGTTTTATTCTTACAAAACCCTCTGAGCAGATAAAGGCTGCTTGACCCATCATACTCACATCTCTCTAAATTTTTACAACTTTGACCTATTCATTTTCTTTCTTTATTTGGACGGTACTCTGGAATTTCACAGAATTGCTTCACATTACCCTTAGTAGTTTATTTAATATTTGACACATTAAATATTTAGTTATACAATGAGTGTGTTATATGTTATAGTATAGACTTCAGAGAGTAGTCATTGAGGAATCTTTACCATTCAACAGCCAAGCAAACTTTTTTCACACTAGACAGTATAATAATTTGCTAGTTTTCCTTTGTTCCCTATTCATGTTCCACTAACATTGTCCATGGTCATCTGAGATTTTTTTTCTGCCTTATAATTTCTTTTTGTTGTTGTTTTTCCAGTAAAACCAAACTTGCTATTTACAAAAACATAAACTAATTAAAATTTACACTGCTAATGGAGCCGTTATTATTATTATTTGTTTGTTTAATGATGGTTTTGTATAGAGTCTTGCTAGTCCAACGGAGCTTAAAATATTGCTTTCCTCTGAGCTTTAGTTTGGCCATATGGCTTCCCTTTTCTGCAAATGAGCATTTTCCCACATGTATCAACACAGAGAGAGAGGGACAATGACAGAGACACAAAGAAAGGGGCAATTCTTCCTATGTTGAATTTGATTCTTGTTTTTTTTTTAAGGGTAGTCACTTAAGAGATAGCTTTTATTTCTTGTAGTTGTTGATTTTTCCTCCCACCATTATCATTCATGTGCTCCCATTTTCTATGTCTATTTCTGCCCATACCCTTTACTCTATTTCAGCTCTTTTGGGTGTTATTGATTTTGGTTTCTTGCCTAGTTTTGGTTTTCTACTCTTCTTTTGAAAATCTGAAGTTAGAGTCCATTGCTCAGAACAGTTCTAGTTCAATAGATCAATGATCAGGAGGCCTGATTCTAGTCAAGGATAATTCTTTCTCCCAACTCTTCTTGCAATCATTTCAGAGAACAATCTAATAAAGTCTGCTCAACATTTTTGTATGTAATTTCCCCCCAATTTAAATTGCTACTACTGAGAGAGAGTAAAGGAATTAGCCAACATCCTTATACTGATCTGTATTTCTGACACCAGAAAGTAGGAACACCAATACATCCTGTTTAATTATTTAGTTATTACTCTTCTTGTCTATATTGTTAAGTATTAGGCTTCCTGTTAAGGGATGGGAGATAAAAAGTAGCAAGATCCAAGGTAGGAAGCAATTGTCATGTTCTTCTCTTTGAGCTTCAAATTTTATTTAAGGTCAGCATGGATACATAGATAAGCTCAACAATGCCAATACAAATACATAGAAGTATGAAAATTGTGTACAAAAATGAGTGCCAGTATAGTAGCTAGGTAGTAAAGAGTTGAACAAAAATTCCATTTGCCATAAATTGATCTACAGAAATATCATCTGGAAGAACATTGCTGAGGGGTGTACAAACAATCCAAAAGCTTTTTCTAGAATTTAGAGAAAAATGGATGGAATAGGTTCCTCCTTATATGTAACTTGATGATTATACAAAATCACAAGTGTGCTTGGGTAAAAGAGAGCATTCTGGAGCTGTGTTGCCTAATGTTTGTTTAAATTCCTTGTCTTGAAACTATGATTATGTTCAATTTTTCTACAGAAAATATTTTCTACAGAAATATTTTGAGGGTATGTATGGTACTTATCATTTTTGCATTTTAAATGAAATTTTTAAAACAGGACATTTTATATAAATCATAATAATTATGTAAGCAATAAACACTAGCCTCTTAGTTCAAATCTCTTTGACATCAGTAGTCAAAACATAGAGAAAAATTCTTGTGTTAGTCCATTTTGTATCATGATAAAGAAATACTGGAGGCTGGGTAATTTACAGGGAAAAGAGGTTTAATTGTCTCACGGTTCTGTAGGATATACAGGGAGCATGGCATCAACATCTGCTCGGTGCTGGTGAGGACCTCAGGAAGCTTACAATCATGGTGGAAGACAAAGGGGGAAGCCCACATATTACATGGTAAGAGAAAGAATAAGAGAGAGGTGGGGAGTTGGAACTCTTTTATACAAAATAGGTCTACATGAACTATCAGAGCAGGAATTCACTCATCACCAAGGAGACAACACTAAGACATTCATGAGAGATACAGCTGCATGATCTAAATACCTCTCACCAGGCTCCACCTCCAACATTGGGGATTACAAGTCAACATTATAAATGGAGGAGACAAACATCCAAACCATATCAATTCTCATGAAAGCCATTTACCCTAAATGTTATGTACTGATGAGAACTTTAGGTAGCAACAAAGAGCTTGAAGAGATTTAAGTCAGCATCTTGAGAGATTGTGTTTTCATGCTTTAGTTTTGTCCACAAGAGAATCAAACATTATATATAAATGCTCTCATACATATACACATATTCCTCATGTTTTATTCTTGCCTCAGTTACAGTCTCTTAGATAAGTACTTGTTACCCACCTATTGTGAGTCATCTTCCTAATGCATTCTTTATTACTTTAAAAAACTATTTTTTATTCTTTGTCAGTTACAACATCAATGACATACAGAGTCCCTAGAATAGCCCTTCGTAAGGCACAGAGCCTAGCTCCAGATTTATAAGTGCCCTGACCATATAACCTCTACCTCAACGACCTAATCTGAAAAAATGGCATTCTTTTAAAATATTTCTTTGTCTTTAAACCTGTTGTTTCTTTCCTTAAAACTTTCTACCCTCCCTTGCCTAGTAAACTCCTCGTTCTCTGCACCAGCTCATTTGTCACCACTTTCATGAAGCTTTCCTATACAGTTAATTCCTAAAGTTTGTTGCTCCTTTTCATTGCTCCACCATAGTTTTGTTCACATCTTTAATAGTGTTATTTTATATAGCACAGAGGGAGTGTATTATAGTGGTTAAGATCATGGCTACCAGAATCAGACTATCTGAGGTCAACTCATGACTCAGCAATTCCCAGAACATGACCTTTGGCAAGTTATATGAGCTCTCTGGCTTTCATTCATTCAAAGAGAGGTAATACTATTAAGTTAAAAGTGGTTGAATATTTCCTGCTTCAGTTGTGACATGTAAAGAGCTTGGAAGTCACACTCCTGTCCTCACAACAAGAAAAAGCTGAACAAACTGAAATTCAATTACTTTTTGTGGCCCCAACAGAGAACTGAAGTTTCAGGGCAAAACAGAAATCTGGAGAGATGGGATCATCCAGAGTCAGAGATGAGAGCTATCTACTTGTAGCAAAAGACTTTGAAGCTATGAACTGGTAGAAAGACTTATGAAGTACTTTGGATGAATTGTGAGAGGCTGAGTGTAGACTAGTATGAGAGTGAGAGTGAGAAATGCTTGGGGTCAGCGGTCATAGGGGACCTTATATTTTGGGGGGCTTTGCCTGCAGGAACTCTGTTGAGTTCTCACAGTGAATATCAGAGACACTCCCTCATGGCTCTGGCAGTGACAGGGACAAAATAAATTATGAAATATCCCTAGACTTCTGTACAAAAATAGACTCTGCTCCAGGGGTGAAGACTTGCTGGACTTATCCCATTGGAGGAAGGGTATTCCTCCCACTCCTGCCTCCTCTAGCTTCATGGCGGAAGTCAATAAAGTTTTAGGGAAATGGATTAGGATACAGCAAACAGGAAAGGGAGCAGGGGACAGGGAGAAAAAAACAAAAAACAAAAAAGCTACATCGCTGGAGAAGTACTTGTGAATGTCACAGTTCTAAGATATAGGTCTATTAAAACAGTGAGATGTAATCAGAAGACTACAGAATGCTCTCTATTCCCTACACCTTATCATTACACTAACAGAACTCCAATATAGTAAGAGTTGAAAGAGCTACAAGACACAGACTGTTTAAGACAATAGTGTTTAGGGAAATCTAAAGTCAAGAGGTGAGACAAAAACAAGGCACTAGAGAAATTTGAAGCCTCTAGCACCTATAGCTACAGGACACATTACAGCCCCAACCATATTTGCATAAATCCACATAATAAAGGCCTATTTAGCTCATTTTCTATTATCCAATATAACATGCTGTTGGCTTTCAACAAAAAATTACAAGATACATCAAATGCAAGTATTACACCACCTGAAGTGAAAAAGCCATCATCAGAACCAGATTCAGGTATGACACAGTTGTTGGAATTATCAGACAGGGATTTTGAAATGATTGTGTTTAATACATTAAAGTCTCTAATAAAAAAAATACAACATTTAAGAGCAGATAGTTAATTTAAGCAGAGGTAGAAAGTTTAAGAAAGAATCAAAAAGAGATGCTAGAAACCAGAATCACTGTAACAAAAATAAAGGATGCCTTTGATGGATTTGTTAGTAGACTTGACATAGCTGAGGAAAAAATCAGTGAGCTTGAAGATAGGTCAATAGAAACTTCTCCTCAAAAAAGTTCAGAAAGTGAAAGAAATGTAAAATGCAGAATAGAATATCACCAAACTGTAGAACAATATCCAAATATACTTGTTGGAATACCAGAAGGCAAAGAAAGGGAGAATGGAGTAGATAAATATTTGAAATGATAATGCCTGAGAACTTTTCAAAATTAATGACACTAAACTACAGGTTTGGAAATTTCAGAGAACAGCATTCAGGATAAATACCAAAGGAGAAGGAGACAAACCATATCTAGAAATATTATATTTAAAAAGGAGAAGGTCCTTACATAGAGGACCCAGAATAAGATTTACAAAGGATTTTACTTCAGACAGTATGCAAGCAAAAAGAGAGTACAGTAAAACTCTCAATATGTTGGGTGAAATAGATCCTACTAACCCAGAAGTGAAATTATCCTTCAAAAGTGAAGGAGAAATATATTTTCTCAGACTAAATTTAAAAAAAGAAGAAGAAGAAGAAGAAAGAAGGAAGGGGCATTAATTAGTAGTAGTCCTGAACTGCAAAAAAAAAGTAAAAGTTATTTAGGCAGAAAGAAAAATGGCATGCCAGAAACTTGAATCTACATAAAGAAAGAAAAAGCACCACAGAAGAAAAAACATGACGGTAAAATAAAATATTTATTCTCTTATTTTCAATTTGTTTAAAATACGATTATCTGTTCAAAATAATAATATTATCAGGATACTGGGTGACTAAAGCATAAAGATCAGTGAAATAAATGCCAATAATGTTACGAAGAATAAAAAAGGAAGAATTTGGAATACTCTGTATAGTGTATATCTGGTATGGTTTGGATCTGTGTCCCTGCCCAAATCTCACGTTGAATTGTAATCCCCAATGTTGGAAGTGGGGCCTGGTGGCAGGTGATTGGCTTATGGGGGGAGTTTCTAATGGTTTAGAACCAGCTCCCTAGTGCTGTCTTGTGATAGAGTTGTTACGAAATCTGGTTGTTTAAAAGTGCGTGGCACCTCCCCCGCCCCCTCTTCCTCTTGCTCTGGCCATGTAAGACATGTCTGCTCCCCATTCACCTTCTACCATGATTGAAAGTTTCCTGAGGCCTCTCCAGAAGCCATCATGCTTCCCAAAAAGCCTGAAGAACCTTGAGCCAATTAAACCTCTTGTCTTTACAAATTACCCAGTCTCAGATATTTCTTTAAAGCTGTGTGAGAATGGATTAATACAGAAAATTGTTACTGGGAGTGAAGTATTGCTATAAAGATACCTAAAAATGTAGAAAAGACTTTGGAACTGGGTAATTGGCAGAGGTTGGAACAGTATGGAGGGCTCAGAAGAAGACAGAACAATGAGGGAAAGTTTGGAACTTCCTAGAGACTTGTTGAATGGTTGTGACCAAAATGCAGGTAGTGATATGGGCAATAAGGTCAGGCTGATGAGGTCTCAGATAGGAATGAGAAACTTATTGGGAAATGGAGCAAAGGTCACTTTTGTTTCTTAGCAAAGCAATTAGTTGCGCTGTACCCCTGCTCTAAGGATCTGTGGAACTTTGATCTTGAGAATGATGATTTAGGGTATCCGTTGGAAGAAATTTATAAACAGTAAAGCATTCAGGATGTTGTCTGGCTGCTTCTAGCAGGCTAACTCATATTTGTGAGCAAAGAAATGATGTAAAATTGGAACTTATATTTAAATAAGAGCATAAAAGTTTGGAAAATATACAGCCTGGCCATGTGGTAGAAAAGAAAAATTCACTTTCTGGGGAAAAATTTAAGCCTACTGCAGAAATTTGCATAAGTAGAAAAGAGCCAAATGTTGATAACCAAGACAATGGGGAAAACACCTTGAAGGTATTTCAGAAACTTTCTTGGCAGCCCCTCCCATAACAGGCCTAGAGGCCTATGAGGAAATAATGGTTTGATGGGCCAAGTACAGAACCCCTCTGCCCTGCGCAGCCTTGAGACACTGCTCCCCACATCCCAGCCTCTCCAGCTCCAGTCTTGACTAAAAGGGGTCAAGGTACATAAAGCTGGAGCCATTACTCCAGAGAAAGCAAGCCATAAGCCTTGGCAGCCTCCCTGTAGTGTTAAGCCCATGGGTGTGCAGAGTACAAGAGCTGATGCTTGGGAGTTTCACCTAGATTTCAAAGGATACATGGAAGAGCCTGGATGTCCAAGCAGAAGCCTGGTGCAGGGTGAAGCCATCATGGAGAACTTCTACTAGGGCAGTGTGGGGATGAAACATGGGGTTGGAGGCCCCACACCGAGTTCCCACTGTGGCACTCCCTAGTGAAGCTGTGAGAAGAGGGCCACTGACCTCCAGAACCCAGAATGATAGATCCACTGACAGCTTGCACTGTGCACCCGGAAAAGCTGCAGGCACTCACTAGCCCTTGAGAGCAGCCATGGGGGCTGAGCCCTGAAGAGCTACCTTGGGAGCCCACCCACTGCATCAGTGTGCTCTGGATGTGGGACACAGAGTCAAAAATTATTTTTGAGCTTTAAGATTTATTGACTGCCCTTCTGGGTTTTAGACTGTTCTTTTGGCTGAATTCCCCCTTTTGGAATGGGAGTATTTACTCAATGCCTGTATCCCCACTGTATCTTGAAAATAACTCACTTCTTTTGATTTCACAGTGTCACAAGCAGAAGGGACTTGCTTTGTCTCAGATGAGACTTTGGACTATGGACTTTCGAGTTAAAACTGAAATAAGTTAAGACTTTGGGAGCCTGTTGGGAAGGCATAATTGTATTTTGAAATGTGACACAGACATGAAATTTAGGAGGGGCCAGAGGTGGAATAATATGGTTTGGTTCTGTGTCCCTGCCCAAATCTCATGTCAAATCATAAACCCCCATGTTGGAGGCAGGGCCTGGTGGGAGATGATTGGATCATGGGGGTGGTTTCTAACGATTTAACACTATCCCTCTAGTGCTATCTTGTGATAGAGTTCTCATGAGATCTGGTTATTTACAAGTGTGTGGTACTGAGAGGTGACAGCGTGCTGGCAGTCCTCACAGCCCTTGCTCGCTCTCAGCGCCTCCTCTGCCTGGGCTCCCACTTTGGCGGCACTTGAGGAGCCCTTCGGCCCACTGCTGCACTGTGGGAGCCCCTTTCTGGGCTGGCAAAGGCTGGAGCCCACTCCCTCAGCTTGCAGGGAGGTGTGGAGGGAGAGGCACAAGCAGGAACCGGGGCTGCATGCAGCACTTGTTGGCCAACTGGAGTTCCGGGTGTGCGTGGGCTTGGCGGGCCCGCACTCAAAGCAGCCAGCTGCCCTGCCAGCCCCGGGAAGTGAGGGACTTGGCACCTGGGCCAGCGGCTGCAGAGCGTGTACTGGGTCCCCCAGCAGTGCTGGCCCACCGGCACTGTGCTCGATTTCTCACCGGGCCTTAGCTGCCTTCCCGCAGGGCAGGTCTCGGGACTGCAGCCCGCCATGCCTGAGCCTTCCCCCACCTCCGTGGGCTCCTGTGCAGCCCGAGCCTCCCCCACAAGCGCCGCCCCCTGCTCCACGGCGCCCAGTCCCATTGACCATCCAAGGGCTGAGGAGTGTGAGCACGCGGCACACGACTGGCAGGCAGCTCCACCTGCAGCCCCAGTGCACGATCCACTGGGTGAAGCCAGGTGGGCTCCTGTGTCTGGCGGGGCCGTGGAGAACCTTTATGTCTAGCTCAGGGATTGTGAATGCACCAATTGGCACTCTGTATCTAGCTCAGGGTTTGTAAACACACCAATCAGCACCCTGTGTCTAGCTCAGGGTTTGTGAGTACATCAATTGACACTCTGTATCTAGCTGCTCTGGTGGGGCCTTGGAGAACTTTTATGTCTAGCTCAGGGATTGTGAATGCACCAATCAGCACTGTGTATATAGCTCAAGGTTTGTAAACACACCAATCAGCACCCTGTGTCTAGCTCAGGGTTTGTGAGGGCACCAATCGACACTCTGTATCTAGCTGCTCTGGTGGGGACTTGGAGAACCTTTGTGTGGATACTCTGTATCTAACTAATCTGATGGGGACATGGAGAACTTTTGTATCTAGCTCAGGGATTGTAAACGCACCAATCAGCGCCCTGTCAAAACAGGCCACTTGGCTCTACCAATCAGCAGGATGTGGGTGGGGCCAGATAAGAGAATAAAAGCAGGCTGCCGGAGCCAGCAGTGGCAACCCGCTTGGGTCCCCTTCCACACTGTGGAAGGTTTGTTCTTTCACTCTTTGCAATAAATCTTGCTACTGCTCACTCTTTGGGTCCACACTGCTTTTACGAGCTGTAACACTCACCGTGAAGATCTGCAGCTTCACTCCTGAAGCCAGCAAGACCACGAACCCACCAGAAGGAACAAACTCCGAACACATCTGAACATCAGAAGGAACAAACTCCAGACGTGCCACTTTAAGAGCTGTAACACTCACCGCGAGGGTCTGCGGCCTCATTCTTGAAGTCAGTGAGACCAAGAACCCACCAATTCTGGACACAGTACCTTCCCTCTTTCTCTCTCTTCCTACTGCTCCAGCCATGTAAAATATGCCTGCTAATGCTTTCACCTTCTGCCATGCTTGAAAGTTCCTGAGGCCTCCCCAGAAACCATCATGCTTCTCGTATAGCCTGTAGAATGGTGAGCCAATTAAACCTCTTGTATTTATAAATTACTCAGTCTCACGTATTTCTTTATAGAAGTGTGAGAATGAATTAACACAATATCCATTACACATAAAGTGGTACAGGGTTGTTTGAGGTAAAGACAGATTAACTTACATTTTATTTGGTAAATTCTACAGTGATCATTTTTTTTTTTAAAAAAAGAAGTACAATTAATACACTAATATATGATATAAATTAAATATTATACATGGTCAGTTAAAATCACAGAATTCAGAAAAATTGGAAGGAAAAAATAAACTAGGAAAAAACTACAAGAAATAGAATACAGTTATAAACATAGTAGATAGTTATCCAACTATATCACTCAATAATCTCTTTAGATGTTAATGTTCTAAATATACCAGTTAAAGATAGAAATTGTTGAAGAGGATAACAAAACCAAACCTAGCTATATGTCACTTACAAGAAACCCATTTTAAATATATAAAGATACATCTGGGTTAAAAGTAAAAAGATAAACACACAAAGTGCTAATCAAAAGAAAGCAAAGGAGCTACATTAATTTCAGACAAAGCAGACATCAGGAAAGATAGAGATTATTAGGGCTACAGAGCTTTATCTAATGATAAAAGGGTTAATTTTCCAAAAAGACATAACAATCCTAAATGTGTATGCCTCATACAAGAGAACATTAAAATACATGCAGTAATATTGATAAAACTGAAGGAGAAATAGGCTAACAGAGGCACTATTATACCTGTAGATTTCAGCACTTACCCATTAGTAATTGACAGATGCAACAAGCAGAAAATGAAAATATATTTAAACTGAACATCTCTATCACTAACTTATCTAGTTGACATGTTTAGCAAAGTACATCCACAATGGCAGAATATATATATATTTTTTTCATGATCACATGGAACGTTCTTCAAGGTTGACCACATTTGGGCCATAAAAGACATCTTAAAAATATAAAATAATAGAATTAATACAAAGTATGTTCTCATACTACAATGAAGTTCAAATAGAAGTCAGTAACATGTAGATAACTGAGATAGCTCCAAATATCTGAAAATTGACACATTTCTAAATAAGTGAGAGGTCAAAATAGAAGTCTCAGTAAAAATTTAAAATTTTGAAGTAAATAAAAATGAAAACAAAATATATCGATACTTAGCTTTTTTTTCTCCAAGATGGAGGCATAGAGGCTTTGTTAGCGAACCTCATTCACTTGGAAATAGCAAAATAGTGTGCAGAGATTCACATTGTGATCAAGGAAAGAATAGGAAGCTCAACATAAAAATGAAACAAACTTTGGATACTTTGAAAAATATGGTGGGCAGCAGACCACACTGTGGGTCTGACGGAAAACTGTGAGTTCCAAGTTCCTGAGAGGGGAAGAGTATCTTCACAGTATACATTTCCACTTGGGAGTCAGGCAATCCAGGCCACAGAGGAGCTCCTTGACTCTTCCAACTGATACAATTCTGGGATCAGTGAAGAGACTGTGAGAAGAGGCAGCAGGAAGTACTTTGCACATGCTCCCAGACCTTGATGCTAATAGGAGATCATTCCTGATCTTAACTCATAGGGGGCTGTGCGGAAATCTGTCATCCAGAACAAGCATTAGTCATCGGTTTAGAGAATCTCAAGAATGAGATTTGCAATCTAGTCTTAAGAGGAGGAAGAGCCCCATGGCCAGATCTGAGAGATGAGTGTAGCATGGGTTTGAAACACGGGCATAAGCGTTGGGCAGTCCCACTGCAGGATGCAGGACTGGAGTCGGAGGGGTGTGGCCTGGGAGTCCAAGTTTTTGTCCCTGGCAGGGAGTTTTGTGGCATAGGACAGTTTTGTAATCTGAAGACAGATTGCTTGTGTCTTGACTTACTGTTTCAGCTTGCTGCCAGGAGTGGGTTATGGGAGGGAGCCTTGCTGGGTCAAGGGTGTGGGAGTGAGGCAGGTGTCACTACCATCTGCTAGGTTGTGGAACACAAACTGCTTCTCTTTTCCCATGCTGACTCTTTGGCACAAAATAAGTTGTTATGCTCCTCCTTGAAGCATTGCCCCAGTGGCCTGAGCACTGCCTTCTGATCCATGTTATGGCCGTTGCTTGTACCTACCATTGGGGAGCCTGAGTACAGCCCTGCCTGGCTCAGCCCTGCCCAGCTTTACCCCAGCCACCAGCCTCAGAGGCAGAGCATGGGACTCGGACTCCTGGAAGTCCCACAGCGCAGCCTATTGCCTGCAGCTTCTCAGTACTTCCGGTTAACAAAGGTCAAGCAAAAGCCCAACTGCCATTATCACAGTTGGCTCTCACCTGCAAGTGCCACCTACTGGCTAGGAGACAAACCTGCAAAGCCCGTTTTGTTTTTTACATCTGCTGAGACAATTGCACAACATTTGAAAAAGAGAAGAGATTTGCATGACCTCTGCCACCTCCGTTGTTCACACCACCCTGTCTACTCAGAGGGACTTGAGTCTGCTCCCCCACAGGGTACGTTACGACTACACCAGGCATTTGGGAAAGCCACCACAATAAGACTATCTGTATCCAAGAAAATAATACAGTCTATACAACTTCCTTGCCACCTGTATCACAAATGGTGCTTGTGCCTGCCATTGCAGGACCCTAAGGCAGGCCAGCCCAGTCCAGCTCCACCCAGCATCACTCCCACACCTCAGGGCTGAGTACAGAGCCCTGGACACTCTGCATTTTATGGGCCAACCCATTGCCTGAGGCTGTGGAGAGCTTTTCCTGGTAAACAAAGATCAAGCATCAACCCTACTGCCAACTGCTGCAGCCAACTCTTACCTGAAAGTGCCACCTACTGGCCTGGAGGTTGAACTGCACAACCCAATACAAAATCTGCTGCCAGAAGTACACAGCTCTTAGAAATGAAATAAGCTTTTTAAGACCTCTGTCAACCCTGCCCTACAGGAGGCCATGAGCCTGTTCACATGTTCAGTACACTACTAGTACAACTGGTGTTTGAGAAAGCCACTAAGGCTATCTATAACCAAAGAATTCATACAGGGACTTGCCAGTGAAAGCACCCAGAAGCAAAGCCAAATGATCCTATTCAACAGACAATATAGTCACATCCTTAAGGTGGGAAAATAAAAATCCCATTTAAATAAAACTAAATTATAAAATAAGAAGTGACATTTTTCCAAATGAGAAGAAACCAGCATAACAATTCTGGAGAAGAAACTGGGTGTTACACCACCACCAAGAATCACTCTAACTTTCTAGAAATGGATCCTAACCAAAATGAAAATTTTGAAATAGCAGACAAATAATTTAAAATATTTACTTTAAAGAAACTCAGTGAGATGCAAACCAATACAAATAAATCAGAATATCAATTGAGGATATGGTTTAGGCTATGATAGAAATTTACCCATGAGGTAGATATTTTTTAAAAAATAAAACTTATGGAAATAAAAAATAACTGAAGAAATTATAAAGTCGAGTTGAAAGCTTCAACAATAGGAGAAAGAATCTCAGAACTTGAATACAGGTTTTCAAAAATTCAATCAAAAATTCAAAAATACAATCACATAAAGATGAAGAAAAATAATGTTTAAAAAATGAATGAAGCCTTCAAGAAGTGTAGGACTTCTTAAATATCTGAACCTATGAAGCATAAATATTTCTGAGGGGGAAGAAAAAACAAAAAATTTTAAAAACCAATTTGTGGAAAACTTCCCTATTCTAACAAGAGATCTAGACATTCAGATACAAGAGGATCAACAACTTCAGAAAAATGCATTGAAAGAAGATCCTCATCATGATATATAGTCATCAGATTGTCTAAGGTCAAACTAGATTTAAAAAAAAACCTAAAAAACTAAAACTAAAATCAGCAATATCCAGCCATCTACAAAGAAAACTCCATCAGACCAACAATGAACTTCCCAACAAAAACTTTACAAGCCACAAGAGATTGGGATTCTATTTTCATAGTGCTTAAAAAAAAAGCAAAATTGTCAACTCTAAATTTTGTATTCTGCTGGAATATACCTCATGAATGAAGGAGAAGTAAAGTGTTTACCAAACAAGAAAACGATGAGAGAATTTGTCATTGGTACTACAAGAAGTGTGCAAAGGAGTTCTAAACATGGAAACAAAAAGTCAATACTAGTCATCACAAAAACACATGAAATATAAAACTCACAGATCTTATAAGACAGTTAAACGAGGAAGAGAAAGAAATGAAATGGCAACGTAAAAGAACTTCACCAAACCACAAAGATAAACAGCAAAAAAAAAAAAAAAAAAAAAAAGAAACAAAAAATCTACAAAGCAACTATATGACAATTAGCATTATGAAAGGTACAAAACCTCAGATGGCCATAGTAATCTTGAATGTAAAAAGAGTACATGCTCCAATTAAAAGGTATAGATTGGTAAAATGTATAAAAGAAAAGAACCAACCATATGCTGCCTACAAGAAACTCACCTTACTGGTGAACACACTTATAGACTGAAGGTGAGGGGTTGGAAGAAGATATTCCATGAAAAAGGAAACCAAAAGCAAGCAAGAATAGCTATACTTGGATTAGATAAAACAGACTTTATGTCAAAAACAGTAAAAAAGATAAACAATTATATATTGATAAAAAGATCAATTCAACAAGAAGCTATAACAATCCTGAATATGTATACATCTGACTCTGGAACAGTCAGATTTGTGAAACAAATATGACTAGATCTAAGAAATACAGAAAAACAATAACAGTGAGAGACTTCAACACCCTACTGACAACACTAGACAGATCATCACAACAGAAAATCAAGAAACAAACACTGGACTTAAATTAAACTCAATTATCAAATGGACCTAACAGACATTTACAGAACATTCTATGCAACAACCACAGAATATATATTCTCATCAACACATGGAATATTTTTCAAAAATAGACCATATATTAGGCCATAAAACAAGTTTCAATAAATTTTTAATATTGAAATCATACCAAGCATCTTCTGAAACCACAGTGGAATAAAACTTGAGACCAATTCCATGGACATAAACACGGTTATCTGGAATGATCTTTGGGTAAAGGATTTAATTAAGACAAAAATTAAAACATTTTTGAAATGAAAAAAAAGGGAGACAAAATACACCAAAACCTCTTGGATACAGCAAATGCAGTGTGAAGAGAGAAGTTTATAGTGGTAAATGCCCACATCAAAATAATGGAAAAAATCACAAATTAACAATCTAACATCACACCTTAGGAAAACAGAAAAATAACAGTGCACAAACCAAAAAGCTAGGTTAAGTATAGAAATAACAAAGATTAGAGAAGAACTAAGTGGAATTGAGACAAAAAATACAACGATTAATGAGACAAAAGATAGCTTCTTTGAAAAGATGAGCAAAATTGATAGACTTCTGGATAGACAAACCTAGAAGATAGACGATTCAAGTAAACACAATGAGAAATGAAAAAGGAGACATTACAACTGATACCACAGAAATAAAAACCATCATCAGAGACTACTATGAGTAGCTCTACACTCACAAACTAGAAAAGCTAGAGGAAATGGATAAATCGTTGGAAACATACAACTTCCTAAAAGTGAACAAAGAAGAAATAGAAATCTTGAACAGGTCAATAACCAGTAGCAAGATTGAATCAATAATGAAAAATCCCTCAATAATCAAAGCTCGGCTACAGACCGATTTACAGCTGAATTCTACCAGATGTACGAAAAACTGGTACCAGTCTTACTGAAACTGTTCTGAAAAAATTGAGAAGGAGGGAATTCCCCGTAACTTATTACATAAATTCAATATCAACATGATACTCAAACCAGAAAAGGACACAAGAAGAAAAGAAAGCTACAGACCAAAGTTCCCGATGAGCATACATGCAGAAATCCTCAAGAAAATACTAGCAAACTGAAATCAACGTTACATCAAAAATATAATATACCATAATCGGTTTGGTTTTATTCTAGGGATGAATGGATGGTCCAACATACACAAATCAATTAATGTCATTCACCACGTAAACAGAATAAAAAACACAAACCATATGATTATCTCAATAGATGCAGAATGAGCATTTGATAAAATACAGCATGGCTTCATGATAAAAACCCTTAACAAACTAGGTATAGAAGGAGCATACCTGAAAATAATAAAAACCATTTATGACAAACTCACAAGCAACATTATACTGAATGGGGAAAAGTTGAAAGCATTACTTATAAGAACTGGAATAAGACCAGAATGCCCATTTTTCACCACACCCATTCAGCACAGTACTGGAAGCCCTAGCCAAAGTAATCAGGTAAAAAGAAAAGGCATCCAAATTGGGGATGAAGAAGTCAAATTATCATGTTTGCTGATGATATGATAAGAAAACCCTAAGACTCCACCAAAAGACTCCTAGATTTGATAAATAAATTCAGTAAAGTTTCAGGATATAAAATCAATAGCATTTCAATACACCAGTAATGATCAAGCTGAGAACAAAATCAAGAAGTCAATCCCATTTACCAAGGATAAAAAACTCAAAAATATAGGAATATATTTAACCAAGGAGATAAAAGATCTCTACAAAGAAACTACAAAACAATGATGAAAAAAATTGTATGTGACAGAAATAAATGGAAAAATATTTTATGTACATGGATCAGAAGAAAATCAGTATCATTAAAGTGACCATACAGCTCAAAGCAGTCTACAGATACAATGAAATTCCTATCAAAATACCAATGTCATTTTTCACATCATTAGAAAAAGAAACCCTAAAATTCACATGGAACTAAAAAAGATCCCAAATAGCCAAAGCAATCCTCAGCAATAAGAACAAAGCTGGAGGCATCATATTACGTGACCTTAAATTATACTACAAAGCTATAGTAACCAAAACAGCATGGTACTAGTATTCAAACAGACACATAGATCAATAGAACAGAATAAAGAACCCAGAAATGAAGCCACATGGCTATAGTCACAAATATTTGGGGTATGTCTAAAGAAAAATGGAATCAACTTAGAGTTCCAAAAAGTCAAAGCTGAAACAATTTGAGCAACAACAACAACAAAGTGGAATTGGATTGTAATCTAAATAATAAAATAAATATCCCTGCCTCCATAATAATATAAACAACTGATTGAATACATAAATAAATGGTGTAGAATAGAAAAACTCACATGTGGAAGGATTTCAAATTATATATGCAGATATCCTGAGCATAAGTTCTCACTAATAAGTGTTGGCTGTGTATAATGACTCTTCAAAAGAGTACAGTCTAAAAAAGGGAAAAAGGTAACTACAGTGGAGAAACCTGAAAAATACTATCTCAACCAGTTTTTCAATGTTACCACCAATAGTGATAAGTCTTTGATATTATTTACCTTTGATGTGATGAAAATAGTACTTTATCTCTGTATTCTTTTCAAAAACCTGAAAGCCCAGTCTAACCATGAGAAAAAACATCAGAAAAATTTCAATAGTAAGACATAAAGCAAAATTCCTGACCAGTATTCATGAACGCTTTCAATTTTATCAAAAATAAGGAAAGTCTGAAAAACTGTCAAAGCCAAGGAACCTAAAGAGACATGAAAACAAAATGTAATGTGATATCCAGGTAAGATTTTAGAGTCAAAAAAGAACATTAGGTGAAAACAAGAAGTCTAAGTATGGACATTATTTAAAATAGTGTATAACATTGGTTCATTACTGTGACTGTATTAGTCCATTTTCACACGGCTGTAAAGAACTACCTGACATTGGGTAATATATAAAGGAAAGAGGTTTAATTGACTAACAGTTCCACATGGCTGAGGAAGCTTCAGGAAACTTACAATCATGGTGGAAGGCAAAGGGGAAGCAAGGCACATCTTACATGGCAGCAGGAGAGAGAGACAGCAAGGGGGAAAAGTGCCACATTTTTAAACCATCAGAGCTCATGGGAACTCACTGTCATAAGAACAGCATGAGGAAAACCACCCCCATGGACAAATCACCTCACACCAAGTCCCTCCTTTGACACATGAGGACTACAATTTGAGATGAGATTTGGGTGGGGACACAAAAGCAAACCATATCAGGAACAAATGTTCCATGCTATGATGGTTAATTTTATGTATCAATTTGGAGAATCAGGTGCCCAGATATTTGGTTAAACATTATTCTAGTTGTGTGTAGGAGGATGGTTCTAGATGAGATTAACATTTGAATTAGTAGGCTGAGTTAAGCAGATTGCTGTCCCTGATATGGGTGGGCTTCATCCAATCCATTGGGAGCTTGAGTAAAACAAAATATGAGATAAATGAGAATGTGCTCTCTTTGATGATTGTTTTCAAGCTGGAACTTCATCTTGTCCTGCACTGGAACTGATACTTACACCACAGAATTTCCTGATTCTCAGACCTTTAGACATAAACTGGAATTTATACCACTGGTTTTCCTGATTCTCAGGTCTTTGTACTCAGTCTGAAACTAAACCACTGGCTCTCGTGGGTCTTCAGCTTGCAGATCACACATCATGGGACTTCTCAAGCTTCATAATCACAGGATCCAAGTCTCTCTATATATCTATATCTATAGATAGATATCCATATATCAATCTCTATATATCTGTAAAAATATAGAGAGATATATCTATGTGTCTATGGGTATATATGTATACACACACACACACACACACACACACACACATCTATATCCGTTTCTCTTCCTGTTAGTCTACAGAATCCTTACTAATACACTAATCACTTACAGACTCAGTGCTATTCCTATTAAACTACCAATGACATTCTTCACAGAATTAGAAAAAAATGATTTTAAAATTTATATGGAACCAAAAAAGAGCCTGAATAGCCAAGGCAATCCTAAGTAAAAAGACATAAGCTGGAGGCATCACATTACTGGACTTCAAACTATACTATGGTATTCAAAAACACTACAGTAACAAAAACAGCATTGTACCAGTACAGCATGGTACAAAAACAGACATATAGAGCATTGGAATAAAATAGGGAGCCCAGAAATAAAGCCACACCCAGAACCGTATGACCTTTGACAAAATTGACAAAAAACAAACATAGAGGAAAGGACTCCCTATTCAGTAACTGACGTTGGGATTACTGCTTAGCCATATATGGAAGATTGAAACTGAACCCTTTCTTTATGCCATATACAAAAATTCATTCAAGATGAATTAAGACTTAAATCTAAAACTGAAAACAATAAAAACCCCGGAAGGTAAACTAGGAAATACTATTCTGGACATAGGACCTGGCAAAGAATTCATGATGAAGACATCAAATGCAATCGCATCAAAACAAAACTTGACAAATGGGACATAATTAAACTAAAAGCTTCTGCACAGCAAAAGAAACTATCAACTGAGTAAACAGACGGCCTACAAAATGGGAGAAAATGTTTGCCAAGTATTCATCCGACACAGGTCTCATATCCAGCATCAACAAGGGATTTAAACAAATTTACAAGCAAAAATCAATCCCATAAAAAAGTAGGCAAAGGACATGAACAGATAAGTGTCCAAAGATGACATATACATGGCCAAAAAGCACATTAAAAATGCTCAAGATCACTAATCATTAGAGAAATGCCAATTCAAACCACAATAAGATACTAACTCACACCAGTCAGAATGGCTATTATAAAATAGTCAACAAATAACAGATGCTGGAAAGGTTGTAGAGAAAAAGGAATGCTTATACGCTGCTGATGGGAATGTAAATTAGTTCAGCCATTTAAGCAGTTTGATGATTTTTCAAAGGGCTTAGAATTACCACTTGACCCAGCAATCTCATTATTGGGTATATACATAAAGGAACACAAATCATTCTACCAAAAAGACACATACCCACATGTTCATTGCAGTACTATTCACAAAAGCAAAGACATAGAATCAACCTGGGTGCCTATCAATGATAGACTATATTAAAGAAAATGTAATACATATACACCATGGAATACTATGCAACCATAAAAATGAATTATTTCATGTCCTTTGCAGCAACATGAACTGAGTTGGGGGCCATTATCCTAAGCAAACTAATGCAGGAACAGAAAAACAAATACCACATGTTCTCACTTATAAGTGGGAGCTAAATGTTGAGTGCATATGGTCACAAAGAAGGATTAACAGACATTGGGGCCTACTTGAGGATGAAGGGGTGGGGGAGGGCAAGGATTGAAAGCTATAAATAGGATATTATGCTTATTACTTGGGTGATTAAATAATCTGTATACAAAATGCCCTCAACACGCAATTTACCTATTTAACAAACCTGCACATGTACCCTTGAACCTAAAATAAAAGTTAAAAAACATTAATTTAAAAAATGTTTTTAAAGAAATGATGGTGTGGGGTATACGAGAATTCTCTATCTCCTATTTTTGCACTTTTTTGGTAAGTCTAAAACTGTACTAAAGTAAAAAGTTTATTTTTCAAAAATTAAATTCATTAATGTTGGTTTAATTCTTCACAGCATTGTAATGTAGATTAATGAGGCTAACCTATGTAAAGTTTTTAGAACAATGCCAAGCACAAAGTAAATGTCAACAAATACTACCTATTATTATTAATGTATCATGCATGTTTATTTCATCAATTTTTTACAAGACTGCAATTTTCTTGTCTCTGCCTGAGACTTATTATTTATTTTTGTAATCTCTGGGGATTGATTTTATTATTTCTGCATATGGCAGACTCTGGAAATTGAAAAAGAAAAGCCGAAATGAATTATTCAATAAGTAAGTATGGAGAATATATTTTGTGTTTTATACTAGTCTGTCTATTACAGAAGTAAAAAAAAAAAAAACAGAAAATGTTTTAAAGAAACCTAAATCTCATCTGGTGGGACTTACTTTTTATGTTCTTTTTTTTTTTTTTGCTATTTTCTATTTTTGAACTTTTTTCACTCCATCTTACTCTGAATAGAGCTAATATAAATATGTGAGTTAACCAGATAATAAATAAAAAGACATAGAAGTAATAATGTCATGTTCAATATGTAAATAACTCTCCCAATTACGCATAAAACTCTTTCTGGGAAGAAATGTTTAAGGACTGAGTGACCTGAAGTCACACCCTGCAAGCTGTGTGCATTGAGCAAGTTTCTTAGCCTCTATGTTTCAGTTTATCCCATTTATAGATAAAGATAAAAGAGTGGTTATTGTGAGAAATAGGCTACGTAGATGAAGGAGCTAAAATAAATAGTGTGTGCTCAATAAATTGCCACTAATTTATGCAGTTATTCCAGCAATAAAAATTCATTATTTATTAATTTTGAACCTTGGGTGTTGAAGAAAAAGTACATCACTGAATAGGTAGGACGTTGTTAAAACGTTCTATATTATCTGATGCTGATATTATGTTAAGTGAGTAGCATCAAATTGCTTCCCAATTAAGGAATTTTTCAGAGGTCTTTTTCCTCCATCTCTCTATTACAAATAGAATCACAGCATAATATTGCACCTAAAAATTATGTCCCTTAACGATATGCTTTTTTACCTGTATTTGATGTCTGAGATTAAAAATAAAAAAAATTCTAGAAATACTAGCACATTTATTATAGATCGTTTTTCACCTTCAAAATCATTTCATGTCTCATTGATGCATTATTCCTCTGTCATTAATTTTCCTCATCCCATCTTTGGTGTCCCATTTTTCTTGTCACTCTTATTTCTCTTTTATCTGTCTATGACTGTGTATACGTTAAGACTGTCATATTTTATTGCCAATTTTGGTTATGAAGTATATTTTCCATCTATTCAGGTTTTCCCCCTCAAATTACTTCTGTTTTATTTTTGTTTTCATAAACCATATATTCACAGGTTTAATGACATTCTTAGGCACACAAATGATTTCCTGTCTCTGCTGTCCTCATTCTTGACAGCATGTGACTTTCAGATGAATCTATTTTTACTGAATCACTTGCTCATCATTTTGTTTCTCTCTTATTCTAATCATGGATTTTTATAAAGTGACTCTTAAAATCTTAGTTTCTATGCTTCTCAAAGAAGCAGCTCTGTTTTATTGCCTGAATCAGTGTCAAGAAACCTCCCAGTAGCCTTGTTCCTCAATCTGAAGATGATTGTCTATGAGATGAAACTTGTATAATGAATTGAAGTTTACCAAGTCTTTAGGTTCCTTGGATGAAGTTGAAATAAGAGTTGAAATCTTGTTTGCACAGATGCAGGGGATGATGATTTCAGTGTTAACTTTGTTTCACCACACACCAATAAGCAGCAGTTTTTGGCAGAGTCTTTGCTGGGGATTCTCCAGCAGCTCAGGTAAAACTGCAAAACGCAACAAAAAATTCCTCTACTTTACTTCTAAGTGGAAGAGAGAGTAGATGCTCTTTCACAGGCTGGAAAGGCACTTATCATGTTGAAAGGACCAGTTTAGCACTGAAGATTGCTAATGGGCTCTGCAAGATGACTCACAATTTATAAGCATTTCTGGCAGAGGGTTGAAGGTTTTATAACTTAGTGAACTGAGGGCCAAAGGACTGTGTCTTAATTTATGGGGAAATAGAAAAGATTTAACATCGTTCTTCTCTTGTCAAAAAGTAAAGTTTTACTTTTTCCCCATGGAGTGTCGTGTGTGTGTGTGTCTAGCTCAGTGTGGTGACATTAAAAATACCAGAGGCCTCATGAATGTCCCTGAGGCAAGTGCCTGCCTTGAGGGGGCCTGCACTGGCCTGATGCATCTCGGAGTTGAACCTGCCCTGACATGGTGTTTTTGAGGTCAGTCCATTCCCTGGTCTCATCTGGCTACTCAGATTCTCAGGGAAATACACCTAGTCTTCAGTGGAAAACTCTGAGTAAAGGTTTGGGATTCTAAAGTGAGGTCTTTTCTTCTGTTCTCTTCCTTTTATTTATAACTTTAAAGAAAGGATTAGCATAAACCATTATGGCATTACATAAACAAAAAAAAAGCAACTATTGATTGAGTGCCTTCTGTGAGTTAAGGACTTTTTTTGATGCTTTACATAAATTATTTCATTTATTCCAACAGGAGATATTGTTATGCTCATTTTAGGATTGGTGTAAAGCAAGCCTTTCTGAAGTCAAGCAATGTGCTTGAAATCACTCAGCTAGAAACAGGGGAGGCTGAATTCGAACCCAGATTTCTGACTCTAAAGTTTGTATCTTTAACCAACTTTTCACTTTATTAACACGCTCTTTGCCACTCTCTTTTCATGCCAAAATATGTGCTAATATGACATAAAGGAGAGAATTGTTCGCCTCCCTGATTCTTTTTGCCTGGAGAAAACATTTGCACAAGCTAAGCCATCAATATGTTTATTACCTTACAAAGAGTTGTTCAGAGAAATATAACATCAGGCACATGTATCATGTTGATGCTTCAGAAATTGTATCAGTGCCCTATCAAATAAGCTACTCTGCCGACTCTGGCTCTCCATGAGCAATACCTGAGATGTATAATTTCATCTTTGGCTTTTTCCTTGGCTCTGGTAACATTTTGTGTCTGCTGTGAGGTAAACTCCGAAGACTAGTACAAACAGAATGTCATAGTTATTTTAACAAAACCAAATCTGGCTTGAGCTTTATAAGCCAGATCGGCTTAATACCCAGTGGAATATCCTCAAAATTGTCCCTTAAAAGTCCAAACCACACATCTTTATTAGATCCTGCCTCAATCTTTGAATCATGTTTCTCATCCCTACCTTTACCAATTCAGCTCCCTTTTGACTGAAATACTATTATTCCCTCCTTTACTCTTCCTGCCTCTCTGAAAAAAATCCTAACCAGCTTCCTTCTTAGCAATTACTTTTTTCACTAACAGAAACTGAAGATTCTCTTGAGCCATGGAAGGAGAATTGGATAGTTAAAGCAAATAGAAAATTTTAGAGAGGAGGCAAGATCATTGTTGATTGCAGAGAGGAGGCAAGCTCATTATTGAATGTTCACTATCTGCTCAAGAATTTTTTAAAAACGTGAAATTTTGTGGAGAAGCTACACATCAAGAAGTAGAGATGAAGATAGGGAGTGTAGAGAAGAGCCAATGAGGGTTAAAAGAGTGTTACAGCATAGTCAATGAGAGGCATGGATTTGAAGTCAGGTAGCATGGGCTCAAAGCCAGTTTTAAACTCTCTAACTTTGTGATCTTGGATGTGTTATTCCACTTCCATAAACCTGAATTTTCTCTTTGAGAAAATTGGGATAATATCTATACCCATAGGTTGTTGTGAACATTAAATGAGTTAATCATCATAAAATAATTAACTCAGAGTGAAGTGTTAAATTAGTAGTAGCTATATGGATTTAATGAAGAAGCCTTGTGAGAGAAGATGAGTTATATCTTACTTATCTTTGTGCCTGGCATGTGGTAGGCACACAGTAGACATTTAGTAAATGTTGGCTTAATGAATGATTCATGTATTTGGCAGAATGGATTAGAGAAATGGATTAGAAAATAAAAGAGAAGTGATATGAACTGAATATTTGTGTCCCCCAAAATTCATATGTTGAAGCCCTATCCTAATATGATGGTGTTTGGAGATGGGGCTTTTGGTAGGTAATTAGGCTTCGATGAGATCGTGAAGGTAGAGATACCATGATGGAATTAGCATCCTTGTAAGAAGAGGAAGAGGAAACCGAGCTTTCTTTCCCTTCGCCATGTGCCGATGCAGTGAGAAGGCTGTCTGCAAGGCAGCAAGAGGGCCTCTTATCAGCCCTGAATATGCTGGCACCTTGGACTTGGACTTCCCACACTCCAGAAATGTGAAAAATAAATGCCTGATGTTGAAGTCACTCAGTCTATGCTATTTTCTTATAGCAGTCCAAGCTGATTAATACAAGAAGAAACCCCAAATCACCCAGATATAAAGAACAAGTTAAACCCAAAATCTATTTGAGTATTTTTATCAAGAGACAAATGTAATTGTCTCTATTCATTAATTGTTAGTAGTCAATATTGCTGTCCGACACTATCAATACCTTCTTTTGGATCCTTCTCTCAATTCCTAGAAATGTTTTGTTGTCAGGGTATACTTTATGTCAGGCTTAAGGGGTTTCATTGTGAACAACCAGGATTTCTCTAATTCATGATACCATTTATAATACTTGATAAATGAGTTCACTCTATGGAAATGGATATTTTAAAACTGGCTAACTTTAAAGCTTAAAGCACTTGAGCACTTGAGATACTTTCAGAAGGAAATAATATATTTTGCACAGTGAAGGGAACAGGTCAATTTCCACAGTTAGCTCCATTGCTGATATCTAGGAGCTAAAATTCTTTGTTTTAAAAGATGTGCTTTAGCACAGGGCATTTCTTATAGTCAGTTCTGCCTTTAAGGGAAGATAAGGTGTTTTTGTTCCTTGTCTTACAGAAACAGTGAACATTAGGTTACATTTAAAGTATTACATTGATCCAGCCAATAACTCTAGGATTTTACTGTAGGGTATTCACATATAATTTCAGGTACGAATTACTGTTCTCTAATTATGACTCTAATTATCTTTCTATACTCCGGTCAGTTCATTAAAACCGTACTGCTCAGTGGCTACTCTTCTATCTTCTTCAGTACAGCCATTGCTGCAACCTTTTGGCCAAATGCTCATCTTCACATACTAAATTGAGGTTTGCCTGCAGTCTGCAACTAGCTTTTTTATACATTTAGACAAGTTTTTAGTCTAAGTGCATTGGCTATACTTTGAGACATCTTTAAAGACTTGAAGACAATAATTGAAGCTATTACAAGCAATGCTAAAGTGCATTTCAACAAGGTGGGAGAATGTAGATCTTTATTTCAAGGCTTAAAAGCCTTTGCTTTTCTTCCTAACACGAAAACTACATGGCTTAGGATATTCATCTATCCTAGAGTAATTTTGAAGGTAAGAATATAGTGAGACCAGCTGTTTGGTCTTGATGTATGCGTAAAAGCAGGTGCAAGGAGAAGGAGAAAGGGCAAAATAATAAAATAATTTTGAAAAAATAATTCATAATTTTATTATGACTGGTTTTACTGTGAGTTTAATCATGGCCCTCAAAATGTTATGTCCATATCCTGACCACTAGAACTTGAAAATATTACCTTATTAGACAAAAGGGTCTTTGCAGACATAATTAAGAATCTTGAGATGAGATTGTTTTGGATTAGCCTGGTGTGCCCTAAATCCAATGACAAGTATCCTTTTAATACAAAAGAGAACACACAGACATAGAGAAGAAAAAAGTGTGTTAAAAAGGCAGAGATTACAGTGATAGAGCTGAGGAGGCCAAGGAATGTCTATAGCCACAAGGAGATGGAAAAAGTGGGGTCTCCCCTAGAGCCTTCAGAGGAATCACAACTTTGCTGACACCTTGATTTTAAATTTCTGACCTCCAGAACTTTGAAAAAAAAAAATCTTTCTGTTGTTTTAAACCACTAAGTTTATGATTATTTGTTATGGCAGCTGCAAGAAACTGATACATTGGTTAAACAGGAACTATTCAAGGCATTCCTATTGGCCATATTTCTCTCTTGACATTTTTATCCTATGTAAGCATATTGAAAATATTGTTTTCAGTATTTGAAAGGAAACAGTATTTGGAAAATCTTTGAAAAATGTTATTCATTTTAATCTGCACATTATCATCCTCATCCATGATCTATTTTTGGTTTAATGAAGAAACAATAAATTACTTCAGAGGATTATATTAATAGTTATTTAGGAATATGCTACTATCACTCCAATCGTACAATGCTTCGTATCTACAAAAGAATATTTGTTTTATCTGGAAAGAAGGCTAAGGCAGAAATCATCTATTTTACTGATGATAAATTTGAGACTTTTTCATTCATTCATTGATTAAATAAACATTTATTGAACACCTAAGTACCATTGTTTGGTACAGATTCAACAGGAAATACCGAAACAAACATCCTTTCTTCTGAATCTTACATTATATTAGAGTTAGAGGAGAGATTTTAAAAAAAGATAACAAATAATAAAGTATATATTATTAAAGCAGGCTAAGGAGCAAAGAGAGCTGTGTTAGAAGGGTTGCAAAGTTAAATAAGACAGTCATATCTCTGAGAAATTCTTCAGGAAGGTGAGGAAGTGAGTTGTGAGGACACATGGGGAAATGCTTTCCAAACATAATGCATAGTCAGTGTGAATATCTGTGCCCTGTCACTCAAGGAACTGTAAATAGAACAGAGAAAGCACACAGGAGGCTAGTAGTAAATGAAGTCAAAGAGATAATAATTTTATTTAAATTTAAATTTCAAACATGTTTTGTGCTACTTGAGGATTTTGACTTGTTTTCGGAATGAAATGCAAAATATTAGAAAGTTCAAATAAAGGGGATAAGGTCTAATTTGTGATTTAAAAGGCATATTCTCTCTGCTGTGTATAGATGATAGGTGTGAAAAGGGAGAATGAAGAAAATCAGGAGACTGTTGGAAGCCTGGTCCAAACAACTGCGACCAGACTGTTTGTATTAAGATGAAACAATGTAGATAGAGAGAAATATAAAATTAAATATGGCTTACTACCAGATTGGATTTAGTGTGTATATTATACACTTTTAAACTTCGTATATTACAGGTGCCTCAACATCCCTGTTTTAGTCTGCTCTGACACTGCTAATAAAGACATGCCTGAGACTGGGTAATTTATAAAGGCAAGAAGTTTAATTGACTCACAGTTCCACATGGCTGGGGAGGCCTCACAATCATGGTGGAAGGTGAGTGAGGAGCAAAATCACTTCTTACATGGTGGCAAGCAAGACAATGAGAGCCAGCAGGGGAAATGTCAGACACTTATAAAACCATTAGATCTCGTGAGAACTCACTCACTATCACGAGAACAGTGTAGGGGGAAAACCATCCCCATGATTCCATTATCTCCACCTGGTCCCACCCTTGACACATGGGGGTTATTACAATTCAAGGTGAGATTTGGGTGGGGACACAGAGCCACACCATATCAATCTCCACAAACAAGCTGTGAGCACCCCACCCAGGTGACCTGATGCACCAGTGTGATAAGGCAGGTTCCTGCCACAAGTTCCCCTTCTTGCCTTTCCCTGACTATAATCAAGTGACATTTCAATGTACCAGTAAAATTTTCTCATGCCTTTTGCTGGTGTACTTCACTCTGACCCTTCAGTAAAAGCACTTGCCCATGGATCATCACTCTCTCTCCGCTCCCCATCTGCTTGGTTGAACCTACTCCCTAGGAACTCCTCCCATATGACCCCATTGCATGGCTTGCCATGCCTCCTGTCTTTAGGACCTGTGCATATAATAAATTCTTTACTTTTATATGCCTTGCTGAGTGCAATGCCTGTGGCCATGTTGGAATAATCCTTAAACGCCCACAAGAGGGCCATACTCTCCTGTTTGCTACACAGAATGGGAGAAAAAGAGGAACCAAAGCTTATTCCAAGATGTTTAACCTGTTTTACTGGAAAGATGAAGCCATCATTAACTGGGAGCGAGAAGACAACAGATAGATTATATTTGAAGAGGTGAGATCATGGATATGATAGCTTTCAGATATTTATTTAATCTACAAAATGTTGAGTTGGTAGTGAGAGATATACTCAACTGAAATTCAAGGAGGAGGTCCAGGATAGCGATGTTTATTTGGAAATCATTTGGATATAGAAGATATCTAAAAGCATGCAACTGAATAAGATCACCAATGAAGTGACATAAATAGAAAAAATAAGAGGTCCAAGGACTGATTCCTGGGGCACTTCAAAGTTTGTCCTCAGTGACATAAGAGGAAGAAACAAAACTTCTGTGGTTCCAGAAGCCATTAGAAAAAAGCAACACCAAAAAAGGTTCTTAAGGAGGAAGTGAGATCAACGTGACAGCTGGCAAGTCACTATTATGATAGCTATTAGTTGACTATTGGATTTGGCAATGTGGAAGTCATTGCTAACTTGAGAAGAAGAAGTTTGGTGGAGTGGTAGGGGCAAAATCAAGATTACAGTGGATTTAAAAGACAATAAGAAGAGAGGAAATGGAGAGAAAAAATATTGACAACTCTTTCAAGGGATTTAACTATAAAGAGCAGAGAAATGAGACCATGATTATGTCAAATGAAGAGGAGTTGTGTCAGAATGACTTTAAAACAGGTAAACTAGCAGGAACAATCCAATAAAGAGAAAAAGCTTGATAATACAAGAATAAAATGAGGAAGTTCTAATGATATTCTAGAGTAGGTGGAGGAGGAGTAAACTTTAGAGTGTAAGTCAAACATTTGCTGTTAAGTAGGACCATAATGACTTCAACTCTACTAACAGAAGAGAGGAGACTATGGGTCTAGATACTAGAGGGTACCAAGATGTAATGTTGAGAGAGTTTCCTTCAGATTGCTTTTATTTTCCTAGTGAATTAGAAAAAAAGATCATCAACTGAGAAAAAGTGGGGTAGGGGATATTAGCAGATTAAAAAGAGAATATGGTGTAATATTCATCAAGGACTGTGACAGAGTAAGTGAGTGAAGAAATGCTTGCTCCATGTTAGATTAAGGTTGTGTAACTTTGCCAAGAATACCACAGAAAAAAATGTTTTGCTCTTTTAGGTTATTCATATCAGGAGTACATGATATGGACAGGGCTTATTACTGGCGATATTGACTTTGATCTCTTGTTTTCATGTGGTCTCTGCCAGGTTTCTCCACTATAAGGTTGTAATTTCCATCTTGTAACTAGTAAATACCATGTATGGGAAAACCATACCAAGACCCCAGTTTTCATTACAATTTTTCTCACTAATTTAGCACCATTTAATGACTCGTGTGTAATAATTATTACTGTGTTATTGGCACAATGAAGATTTGCTATTTCCATCATTCCTTCTGTGTTTACTAATTGGAATCCTACTCTCAGGAAGTGCTGCCCCTTTTCCCACATTTATTTATTTAATTAGTTAATTATTTCTATCAGAATGAACTCCTTTATATTATTCTAGAGAATACAATAAAATATCATAATTATTTATACTCTTGCTCAAATTGTTCCATCTCTGACCATTGTGAGCTCCTGTTGCATGTCCCCTGTGTCATTCCAACATGCCTCTATCTTTTCTGTGCACTTCCTTGCTTTCTGGAACCGCAAGATATTATTATAGGCTCATCTTGTATTTTCTCCACTCCAACCCTAGAATCAGCCATTTCTTCAGGAATCTCTAGTTTCTTTCATTGGTAAATGAAATTTGGAATTCAAAAATCTTCATGCTGGGTGTGCTTATTGCTTGTAGGTCCTCTCAGTGGACAGAACTAAGGAATATATTTATGCATACGCACACTTTTACATGTGTCTATTTTTCTCTCTGTCTCTCTCTCTCTCTATGTGTATATATATATATATATATATACACACACACTCAAGGAAATAAGAGAGGATACAAACAAATGGAAAAACATTTCATGCTCATGAATAGGAAGAATCAACATTTATATATTGATTTATATATATATCAATATATATGATATATATAGATCTATATATCTATATATGATATATATAGATATATATATTATATATATTTATATATTATATTTATTTATATATATTTTTATATATATTTATATATTATATTATATATATTTATATATTTATATATGATTTATATATATTTATATATTATATATTGATTTATATATAATCAATATTTATATATATACATATATATATATATGCATTAGTTCTTGCTGATATATTGGATTCTGATTTAATGCTACGGGGTTTATTCTAGCCTTTTCCCTTTGAATATTTGTAACTCCTTTCTCCCACTGTGAGAAATTTACCTCTTGTTACCCAAAATGTATTTATTTGTTTGATTCTATTACACACATGGTTTCCGAATTGTTAATCCATATCCCTATGGGGGAAAACTACTTACTAGAACAGCATTTGTGTGCACTTCTTTTTGCATGTAATCTTACAGTATAAAGTTGAAATGTTGTGTTCCAATGTTGTTAGGTTAGTATTTATTCCCAGTTACTTAATTTTTCTTGTTATTTATTTATAATACAGTTAAATGTGTATATTGGTGTTTGTATTCCATTTTAAGTTCCCCTCACATCCTATTTGATTTAAATTATTTATTTATGTTTGGAGTATGTGAAACATTTCCACGGTTCTAAAAGTCAGAGTGATACAAAAAGATATACTCACAGAAGCTTCACCTTCTCCCTGTCCCTACCATCCCATTCCTATTTTCTCAGTTCTTTCCAACCTATCCCCCCTTAAATATTTAGATAATAAATTCCATTAGTATCTGGTTTAAATTTCCTGTATTTATTTTTCAGAAATAAGTAGATGCATTAACATTTTTTTTTACATTTTTTTTTCATACATTAAGGATCTCATACTATAGATACACTGTTGTACTTTGCTTTCTTGGTTTTTTAACGTATATCTGAAATGACATCCTATCAGTTCGGAGACATACTCCTTATTCTTTTTATAGATTCATAATCTTGTGGAGTTATCGTAGCTTATTCAAACATCTTATTCAAACGGGTCCCCATGAGGCCTTTTCTGTATGAGCATCAAAGAGTTTATTTGATTTAAACTAGCATTATCAATTTCCTAGGCAAGAAAGTCTGTATGACTTACTCTACTCTGGCAGGTTATATATTACTCTGGCAGGTTATATATTTGCTCCTTTTTCCAGTAGAAGGATTATACTTTGCTGTCCCTTTAATGTAAAGAGTGGTTTTGTAGTTTGCTTTGGCCAATAATATGCATACAGAAATAAAATGTGTACTTTTTAATTATAAGTTTTAAGAACTAGCTCATTGTTCCCCAGGGCTTTTTGTCCTTCTGCCACAAGATGGGCAATGCCTTTGTTAAGGTTTGCTCTGGCAGTCTGGATTCTGGAATGAAGATAGTGTAGAGCAGATTTGCAGCCACGGCATGGTGGTTGTGAAATGTGATCAAGAAATAAACCATCATGGTTACAGGCCACTAAGCCTTGGGATTTTATGTTAATGCAATATAATTTAGACTAACCTTCTTGAAATTACTAAGTGGCATATCACATACGAGTTAAAGTAATAAATATAATTCATATCTTCTGTATCAGTTTCCTTGGCTGTTATAACAAGACACCACAGAGTAGGGTTCTTAAATAACTAACATTTACCTCTCACAGTTCTAGAGGCTAGTAGTCCAAGATCAAAGTGCTGGCAGTGTTGGTTTCTTTAAGATCTCTCTTTGCAGCTTGTAGATGTCTGATTTCTCATTTTGTCCCCATATGGCCTTTACTCTGTACATGTTCAGTGAGCAGAAGGGATCTCTGATGTTTCTTTTTCTTCTTATGAGGATGTTAGTACTATCACATTAGGGCCCCTATCTTTATGACCTTACTTAACTTAATTATTTCCTTAAAGGTTCTATCTCCAAATACACTCACACTGGGGGCTCAGGTTTTAACATGTAAATTTTGGATTGCATAATTTGGTCTATAACATGTTCCTACTCAGAATTAAGTTGTTGGGGAATTTTGAAAATGTACCTTTAAAGTACCCTAAGCATAATTATTATTGAATCTGAAATATGAAGTTATTTATATCATCTAATATATAACATTATGTTAAAATTTTATCCAATTGGTTAGAAATTACATTATTGATATTATACATTAACGTTTCTCAGAAAATTTTCCTTGGTTTATATTCTTTATGTTAAAAAATTGCCCTAGGTGCATATGTTTTGGTAATTCAGAAATGTACATTCTTAAGGTGGCAATTGATGACTGCTTATATATAATTTTATTATACTTATAAATTTTGTCTATTCTTAAGATGTAAGAGTTGGCCTTGTGTTTACATTTTTTGAAAGAAAATATGGAATAATATAGCAATTCATGCAGCTATTTAGCTATATAATCTTGATCAGTATCATTAGCTGTAAAATGGCAATAGTACTATGTACCTCACAAGCCTGTTCTCAGGATTCAGTGAGCTGATTACACACCGAAAGTCTGTAGCCCTATGTGAGTGCTTTATAAAGTGATCTACAGGATAAAAATAAAAGTTACCTTGATTATATAACCATAAAACCCATCATTTAATTTAATCATACAAATTAATTTAAAGGCACATGGTAGCTAATAGGAATAACAATTTTTCTTTGGGTATAAAAAAATCATAAGACTTCTTAGGTTTTATGATGCTTAATCTATAATATTCTCTATTTCAGGGAAAAATATGACTTCAAGGCAAGATTATGAATATTGTGATTTTGCTTTTCCAAAGATGATTGTTTAGTATCCTAGACTAAGATATGGGGACATTGGTGGCATAAGAAATTACCCTTATAATTATGAGCAAACTTCCCATTACTCATTTTTTGTAAAAATAAATAAAGCTAGAAATATTTTCTGCTAAAATCATATGAAACTTCTCTATGTGGCTCTTTGGCAGGAGTGTCCCTTTAACCTAAAACATAAGAAGATAGTTTTTATTTTCCTCTTTGTTTATAGCTATCATTTAATTTAGCAATGGCCTCTTCTAGGCACTCCCAATCTTTTGTCCACTCCTTTTCCTTCTAATATATGTAAATAGATAATAAGAGTATTAATTATATCACTTTTATTGGATTACATCTGGATATCCATCAGAAGTTTTATTCCATTGATTGCAATAAAAGTAAATTGTTTATTTTACTCCTAAATGATGGTAATGATTCATGACTGGACTTAAGAGAAAAGCTTTAGAAATATAAAAAAGTAAATTTCAAAATTATAAAAATATCAAATTCTATAAAAATTAATATTGTTATTAATGATGTTTTTGAAAATAGGGTGCTCCCCCCAATTATTTCAGAAATATTTTTTATGAGTATCTCTATCAAAGGAATGCATTTAAACATCATTTATACCATAACATTCATGACAAAGTTAATATCCTGGAAGCTGGCTAGTTCCTATGAGCTCACATTCAGATTCTCTTATCTTTTCTTTACTCATTAGCTTTCTGAAAATTATTTGCGTTATACATTTCTTCTATAATTTAATTTTTGAAGAAAAGCCCATATCTTCTGCATTTGACTTTCTCTTTAATTCCCATTAGATTACTTTTTCTATAATTTATTTCTAAGAAATCATTTTCTAGTATAATTTAAATACATAGTATTTGTAGAAGGAGAAACTGAGCAAGGTGAGTACATCTGTGTGGGGATGGGAGACAGTCCAATCCTGGATGTAAGAACCCAAGTCAAGTGTGGATGGAGAAGATGTGAGGAGCAGCACAGGATGGGGTACTTGTAGGTTGTGTGGCCCAGCACATGGTTTTGGAGTTTCAGGGGGTAAGGATGACTTCCAGGCAAAGGAGAGTGGAGACCGTGTTTCAGTGTGAGGTGTAAAAGTCCAAATGAAGTTAGGAGAATAACTCTGCAGGAGGCAGCTGTGGTGACAACTTGGCAAAAAGGTTTGCATCCAAAGTGGGATTGAGTATCCAAGAGAGGGTAAAGTATATAACTCTTGGCAATAGGAGATTGGTTGCATTCAGGGAAACTGATCAAATAAGCTCCTATATTAAAGAAAATGAGGGCCTCGGATAAAAGGTTAACAAGTATGAAAAGGGAGAAAACTAGAATTAACCTGTGTTGGATTCGAATTGGAGATATTGGTGGGAATTTGTGGATTCCAATATATCTAAAGACAAATTTATTAAAAAAGAATCACGGATGCAATTTTGTACATGTGTATACGTGTATGTTTATGTGCATTTGTGTATATATGTGCATGTGTATGTATATAGGTATGTGCAAGTCTACATAAAAACATCCGTGTGCACAAGATCTCTGTCCACTGAAAGGTCTAAGGAGCAGGTCACTCTAATAGCAAGGAGCACATTTAGAACCTAGTTTTTAATTCTAATTACCATTTCTCTAAAATGGACCAGGGATCCTTGAGCAATAGATGATTCTAGGTTTGAGCCAGGAAAAAAATGAGATGGACCTGGATAGCTTCTTGTGTTAAAAAGTAAGGAAATACTCAAAAATTTGAAAGAACATGTCGGACTCACACAGAAACCAGTTTGAAATGATGCAACTGGCAAGATGTAGAATGATTGGAGCTTCAAAATACATGATAATAATGGGTTAGAATTCATTGAATAAAGTAAGAATTAATAAATGAATAACAAAATAAATCCATAAATAGAAATCTTGATGACAAGATATTTAATGAATTATAAGTACTTATCCACCAAATATTTAATAAATGTCAAAGAACAAATGTAATATTACAGTGGAAAGGCTTGTCAGATACCATTTTCATCAAGTAATCAGTGTTAACAACACCAGTAATGAGAAATCAAAACTATGTGCCACCTGATGGAAGTTGGAAGAACATAGCATCACATCTGTGCTTCTTTTCAAAGATGTCGAACTTTAGTGTAAAAATGAGGAAATATTAAACATACCAAATTGAGGAACATCCTTCAAATAACTGGCCTGTAATCTTCAATTTTCATTTTAGACTCAGGCTATACATGGGGAGATTTTTTTACAAGGGTATATTGCTTGATGCTGAGGTTTGGCTTCTATTGATCCTGTCACCCAGATAGCGACAGTGCCCAGTGGGAAGTTTTCCAGCCCTTGGCCTCCTCTCTACCTCCCTCCTTTCCTTTTCTTTTTCTTTTTTTTTTTTTTCTTTTTCCTTTTTTTCTTTTTTTGAGATGGAGTTTCACTCTGTTGCCCAGGCTGGAGTGCAATGGCGCAATCTTGGCTCACTGCAACCTTCACCTCCTAGGTTCAGGTGATTCTCCTGCCTCAGCCTCCAGAGTAGCTGGAATTACAGGCTCACACCACCACACCTGAGTAATTTTTGTATTTTTTAGTAGAGATGGGGTTTCACAATGTTGGCCAGCCTGGTCTTGAACTCCTGACCTCAGGTGATCCTTCCACCTTGGCCTCCCTAAATGCTGGAATTACAGGCATGAGCCACAGTGCCAGGTCCCTCCCCCTTTTTATAGTCCCCAGTGACTATTGTTCTCATCTTTATGTTTGTGTGTACCCAAGGTTTAGCTCTCACTTATAAGTGAGAATGTGATATTTGGTTTTCTGTTTTCCAATTAATTTGCTTAGGATGATGTCTTCCTGCTGCATTTACATTGCTGCAAAGGATATAGTTTCATTCTTTTTCATGACTGTGTATAAAAATGGTGTATATGTACCGCATTTTCTTTATCTAATCATCCCTTGATGGGCTCCTAGGTTGGTTCCATGTCTTTGCTATTGTGAATAGTGCTGTGATGAAAATAGGAGTGCATGTGTCTTTTTGGTAGAATTATTTATATTCCTTTGAGTATATATCCAGTAATGGGATTGCTAGGTCGAATGGTAGTCCTGCTTTTAGTTGTTTGAAAAATCTCCAAACTCCTTTCCACAGTGGCTTAACTAATTTACATTCCCACCAACAGTGCATAAGTTTTCCCTTTCTTCTGCAGCCTTGCCAACAAGCAGCAATAAACATGAAAAAGTGCTTACCATCACTAATCATCAGAGAAATGCAAATCAAAACCACAATGTGATATCATCTCACACCAGTCAGAATGGCTGTTATGAAAAGGTTTCTTTATTTTGATTTTTCAAAGGCAATAAAGAGTGAATAGAATAACCAGCTAAAAAGGAGGAAAGGAGTTTTTGTTGTCATTTGGTTTTATTCTTTAAAAGAAGAATATCACCTTATTCTATCAGATATAGATTGAAATTTAGACATTTTTACATAAATATTTTATGCATCACTTTATAGTTAACTTCTAAGTACTTCTAAATTTTTGTTAATATTGTGAATGGTCATTCTTTTTATGAAAGATTTGGAAGAAAAAATGTGTAGTAAAAACTGAAAGAGTGAAAATTACCAGTATTTGTAGATACGATAAACATTAACATAGAAAACCTCAAAACAGTAATAGAGTATTGAACTACTGAAACAAATAAATGAGGAGTAGAATGTCCAGAATATTTGAGTGAAAAATGGGAAGTTCTCTCCCCAAAATGCATGAAGATAAAACTGAGCAAAATTGTCAAACACAATCATTTAAATATCTTAAAACTTGACAAAAGTAATAAAATAATTTAAGATGCATGTCTACTAAATCTTGGGAACAAAATTGAAAGTCTGTGGTGATTTCGCCTCACACTGCTTTGGTATTTCCCCTTCCAGCTTCATAGAATGAAAATTTTGTATGGAAATTCTAACGAGGCAGACAGAGCAAGCTGTGATGTCTGGCAGGTCTCTTGCCCTGTCTGATGGGAATGACTTTATTTGGAGTAGAACATGAAAAATTCCATGCCTAGAAGCCTTATCAAAAATAACAATTTCAAAGGGCTAACATTGGCAAAGCCCAACATCACAGCTATCCCAAGGTCATAGTAGTATTTGGACAAAGTAGAACTTAACAGGGAGATCGAGTAAGGTAGAGAGACAAAGAGGAATTTGCTAAAAACCTACTTATCTCTGGCATTCTGGAAACCTGTGCACGTATGAAAGGTTAAGCCCATTTAGGCGAGATTAGAAAGGGCTTTGACAAGCTGTTCATCTCTAGCTGAGTATAATGTCCTGAGAATGCAGAAACATAAAATGGGAAAGATTTGAAAAGTGCCTGAATTTTGAAACCACTTCTGAAGCCATGTACAGATTCATTGACAATGTGTATAAGCCTTTCTGGAACGAGCTGGTAAGTAAAATCTCTGACCTATCACTGGCTTTCCACTAAGGTATGCTAACCCAGAGATAACCCTAGGAAGCCAAGGCTAGAGATAAAAACAAGAATTAAAAAGTAATTGAGAGGAGACACCAGAGGGTATATACCATGAAAGAAACAGTCCAAATAATTAATCTAGGTAATTCACTATATAAACAACTAAGAAACCAACACCAGATTAGGGGAGAGAACTCAGAGTGAATATAATAAATTATTTTCAAATTAAAGTTTTTAACAACAACAAGTTAAGAGACATGCAGAGAAACAAGAAGATGTGACTCCACAGAGGAAAAAGAGCAGATAATCAAAATTGTTTCTGAAATGACCACCGAGGTAAACTTAGCAAAGACTTCAAAACAACTGTTATGCATCTGTTCAAACAACTAAAGGAAACCACGTTTAAAATTTTAAGGAAACTTTAATGACAATAATTTATAAAATAGATAATATCAATAAATAGAAAATGTAAAAAAAAATCAAGTAGAAATTCTGGGAAAAAGAATGAAGAAAAATAAAAAGATTTCGAAAGACATCAATGTATATATGCAATGGAATTTCCATAAGAAGAGAAAAAAGAAACAGACACAAAATATTTGAATAATGACAAAATATTCCACAGATTTGATGAAAAATGTTCATTTACTTACTTCAAACCTCAATTTTGAGTCACATAAATATACATGTATATATTCCTAGACTGATCATAGTATAACTTGAAAGACAAAGACAAAGAAAAACAATTTTGAAAGCAGCCAGAGAAAAAAGCACTTGTCATATCTAAAGAAACTGTAATAAGACTGATGGCTAACTTCTCATCAGGTACAATAGAGGCCAGAAGAAAGTGAGATGACAGGTTCAAAGTGCTAAAGAAAGCTCTGTCAACCAAGATTTCTATATCTAGCAAAAGTATCCTTCAAAAATGAAAGGAAAATAATGGTATTTTCAGAAAACAAAGGCCAAGAAAATTTGTTGCTAGAAGATCTGCCTGACAATAAATACTAAAGAAGATTTCTCAGAATTAGAAAAAAACTACTTTAAATTTAATATGGAACCAGAAAAGAGCCTTTATAGGCAAGACAATCCTAAGCAAAAAGAACAAAGCTGGAGGCATCAGGCTACCTTACTTCAAACTATACTACAAGGCTATAGTAACCAAAACAGCATGATACTTGTACCAAAACAGATATATAGTCCAATGGAATGCAACAGAGCCCTCAGAAATAATGCCACACATCTACAACCATCTGATCTTTAACAAACCTGACAAAAACAAGTAATGGGGAAAGGATTCCGTACTTAATAAATAGTGTTGGGAAAAGTGGCTAGCCATATGCGGAAAACTGAAACTGGACCCCGTCCTTACACCTTACACAAAAATTAACTCAAGATGGATTAAAGACATAAATGTAAGACCTAAAACCATAAAAAAGATAGAAGAAAATCTAGGCAATACCATTCAGGACATAGGCATGGGCAAAGACTTCATGACTAAAACACCAAAAGCAATGGCAACAAAAGTCAAAATTGACAAGTGGGATCTAATTAAACTAAAGAGCTTCTGCATAGGAAAAGAAACTATCATCAGAGTGAATAGGCAACCTACAGAATGGGAGAACATTTTTGCAATCTATCCATCTGACAAAGGGCTAATATCCAGAGTCTACAAAGAACTTTCACAAATTTACAAGAATAAAAACAAACAACTCCATCAAAAAGTGGGCAAAGGATATGAACAGACACTTCCCAAAAGAAGACATTTATGAAGCCAAGAAACATATGAAAAAAGCTCATCCTCACCAATCATTAGAGAAATGCAAATCAAAACCACAATGAGATACCATCTCATGCCAGTTAGAATGGCGATCATTAAAAAGTCAGGAAACAGCAGATGCTAGAGAGGATGTGGAGAAATAGGAATGCTATTACACTGTTGCTGGGAGCGTAAATTAGTTCAACCATTGTGGAAGACAGTGTAGCAATTCCTCAAGGATCTAGAACCAGAAATACCATTTGACCCAGCAATTCCATTACTGGGTATATACCCAAAAGATTATAAATGATTCTACTATAAAGACACATGCACACGTATGTTTATTGCAGCACTATTCACAACAGCAATGACTTGGAACCAACCCAAATGCCCATCAGTTATAGACTGGATAAAGAAAATGTGGCACATATACACCATGGAATACTATGCAGTCATAAAAAAGGATGAATTTACGTCCTTTGCAGGGACATGGATGAAGCTGGAAACCATCATTCTCAGCAAACTAACACAGGAACAGAAAACCAAACACTGCATGTTCTCACTCGTAAGTGAAAGTTGAACAATGAGAACACATGGACACAGGAAGGGGAACATCACACACTGGGGCCTGTCGAGGGGTGGGGGGCTAAGAGAGAGATAGCATTAGGAGAAATACCTAATGTAGGAGAAGGGTTGATAGGTTCAGCAAACCACCATGGCACGTGTA
Source organism: Homo sapiens (assembly GCF_000001405.40). Lineage (NCBI taxonomy): Eukaryota > Metazoa > Chordata > Mammalia > Primates > Hominidae > Homo > Homo sapiens. The sequence continues at coordinate 175,968,984 of NC_000003.12, forward strand.
TACCTACGTAACAAACCTGCAGGTTCTGCGCATGTATCCCAGAACTTAAAGTATAATAGAAAAGAAAAGAAAAGAAGTGACACCAGATGACAATTTGAATCCAGATGAAAAAATAAAGATCACTAGGAAGGCTAATTACATGAGTAATCATAAAAAGGAGTATAAGTATAGATTTACCTTTTTTTCTCTTCATTTATTTGAAAGACAAGTATGTAAAGCAATAATTATCAAAGGGTACTGTTTAGGCTAATATAAAGAGGTGATAGATGAGACAATGATATCACAAAGGACGTGGGTGGAAATTGAGTTGTATAGGAACAACGAATTGCTACCAGATTGTCAGTCAAATACACAAGAAAAAAATACAATCTATAAAAAATAATTAGGCTCTGTCAAAATTAAAAACTTTTTTATTTCCAAAAATAACATTCAGAAAATAAAAAGATAAGCCATACACTGTTAGAAAATATTTGCAAATTATATGCCTGATAAAGAAAATTTACCTGGAATATATAAGGAAAGCTTATGACTCAATACTATGACAAACAGTGGTTTAAAACAATCAAATTACTTGAATAGCCGTTTCACAAAAGATTACATAAAATGGTCAATAAGCACATGAAAGTGTGCTTAACATTTTTTGCCATTAAGAAAATGCATATGAAAACCACATCTTGTAAAATGACTGTAACAAAAACGACAAGCAATAGCAAGACTTGTCAAGCATGTGGAAAAACTGGAACTCTCGTACAGTCTTCATTGGAATGTAAAATTTTGCAGCTACCTTGGAAAACAGCTTGAAAGTTTTATAAAATGTTAAACATACTTTGCTATAGGACCCAGAAATATCACTCCCAGATTTCTACCAAATAGAAATAAAAACATATGTGCATATAGAGACCTGTATATGAGTGTTCATAATGGCATTTTAAATAATGGTCAAAAAGTGAAAACTATCCAAATGTTTATCAAGGGTGAATTGGGTGGATAAAATGTGATATATCCATGTAATGGAATATTATTAATCAATCAAATGGATAGAATACTGATACATAATACAACATGGATGAACTTCAAAAGATTATGCTAAGTGGAAGAAGACAGACACAAAATTACACATGTAATTCCACTTATATGAAATTTCCATATATGAAATAGTCAAATCTATAGTGACTGACAGAAAGTAGGTTAGCAGATGCATGGAGCTGGGTAAGAGAGAGTAAGTGAAAATTGGGGTAAAGAAAACATTCTAACTTTTCTTGCGCTTATGGTTGTACAGTTTTGTACATTTAACAAAAATTTACTAAATTGAATATTCAAAGTGAATTAATTATATGATATGCAAATCATATTCTATGTGGTAGCCTGAATAGTGATATCCAAAGGCATAGAGATCCTAATCCCCTGTAACTATAAATGTTATATATAGCAAGTGGGACTTTATAGGTGTGATCAGATTAATAATTTTGAGATTTAGAGATTGTCCTGGATTATTCAGGTTACATCTAATTGTAAACACATTACGTCTAAGTGTCTTTAAAAAATGAAGGCGGAGAGTATTTTGATGACAGAATTAGAGAAGGCAATGTGATGATAAAAGCAGAGATTGGAATGATGAGGCCACAAGCCAGGGAATGCCAGCAGCCACCAGAAGTATGAAGAAACAAGAAACAGATTATCCCCGGGAGCCTCTGAAAAAAGCCAGCCCTGCCAACACCTTGACTCTGTGATATTGGTGAAAGAATAGATATATAAATCAATAGAACAGAATCCAGAATCCAGAAGCAAACTCCCAGAGGTATGTCTGTCTTGGTTCATTTCGTGCTGCCCTAACAGAATACCTGAGGCTGGGTAAGAGAAGAAGTTTATTTCTCTCAATTTTTGTGGAAAGTCTAAGAGCATGACAGCAACACCTGCTCAGTTTCTGGTGAGGTCTGTATCTTGTGATAAGACATGACAGAGAAACAAATCAGCCTGTAGGCATGTACAAAGAACGAGAGGACCAAGGCAACTGACCCACTTTATAACATTCTACTCTAGCAGTAACTTACTCAGTCCTGAGAGAGAAATAACTCACTCATTTATTCTTCCAAAACTGCATTTATCCTTTTGTGAGGGTGGATCACGTATGACCCAAATGCCTCTTAAAGATGTTTCCACCTAACACATCTGCATTGGGTACCAAGCCTCCACATGAGTTTGGATGACAACAAACCATATTCAAATCATAGCAATGACCAACTGATATTTGTCAGAAGTGAGAAAACAATTTGATGGGAAAAGACTCACTTTTTCAACAAATGACACTGAAGCAATTGCATATCCCCATGCAAAAAATAATGATCCTCAACATAGTTCTCACACTTTATACAAAAGGTTCTTGGACATAAGTATGTAATGTAAAACTATGAAACTTTTAGAAAGAAACAAAGAAAAAATCTTTGAGACTTAGAACTAGCAAGGAGTTTTTGGGCTGAGCACCAAAAGCATGACTTATAAATGAAAATATTAATAAATTATACACCATCAAAATTGGAAAATTTTACTCTGCATAGACCATGTTAATAGGATGAAAAAATGTTACTGAATGGAAAAAAAATTGGCAAACTGTATATCTGACTAAGACTGGTATCTTCAATATACAAAGAACTCTCAAAAGTCAACAGAAAAAAATGTTTAAATTTTATTATAAAATAGGCAAAAGAAATAAAGAGATATTTCATTGTATATAGTATAAAAGGCAAATAATGTTATAAAAATACTTATCATCATTAGCCATTAGGGAAATGCAAATTAAAACCACAGTTAGAGATCACTATTTATTTAACAGAAAGGCTAAAATAGAGAACACAGTTTTGTGATGTATAGTGAAATTTTAGTCAACAATGGATTGCATATACAATGGTGGTCTTTTATGATTACAATGGAGCTGAAAAATTTCTATTGCCCAGTGAAGTCATAGTCATTGAAACATCCCAGTGCAATGCTTTACTCATGTGTTTGTAGTGATACTGATGTAAAAAAAACTAAACATGTAGCTACATATAACCCAGAAATATCACTCCTGGGCATTTATCTCAGAGAGATAAATACATACGTTCACACAAAAAAAAAACCTATACAAGGATATTTGTATCAGCTTTATTTTGAATTGCTGCAAACTGAAAACAACTCAGATATCTTTCAATGGATGAATGATAAAAATAATAAAAAAAAAACTGCGTTATAACCATACTATGAAATGCCTCTCTTCAATAACCAGAAATAAACTATTGATATACACAGCAACCTCATTGAATATCCAAAGAATTATATTGAATTAAAGAAGCTATTACATACTGTAAAATTACAGTATGTGAAAGAATTACATACTGTAAAATTCCACTTGTAAAACTTTCTTGAAATGATAAAATTATAGAAATGAAGTCAAGATTAGTGGTTGCCAGTTGTTAAAAGGGGAGTGAATGGAGGAGAGAAATAGTTGTGGCTATGTAAGAGCAATATGGGAGATCCCTGTGGTGATGGAACTGTTCTACATGTTGGTGCATCAATGTCAATATTCTGGCTGTGAGATTATTCCACAGTTTTGTAAGATGTTACCACTAGGAGAAACTGAGTACAGAGTATATGGAATGTCTATTATTTTTTACAATTGCATGTGAATCTATGATAATCTCAAAATAAAAATTTTAACGAAAATTTATTGAAGAAAAGAGAATGAAGGAACAAATCAGAAAATGGGAGAATCTATTTGTAGTTTATATATCTAATAAAATTTCCACCAGGGATATAACAAACTCCTGCACATCAATGAGAAAAAGACTGACAATTCAGAAAATAAAAACTGAGTAAGAAACTTGAATATGTCTTTCACAACAAGGATAGAAACATAATTAATAAACATACAAAAAAGTGTTCAATCTCATTAATAGGCAAATACAAATCATAGTCTAATCTTTATACCACTGCGTATGACCAGAATGGTTGAATTACCACGCTTGACAATGCTGAATATTGGTGAGGATGTGGAGCAACAACTCGTAAACATTGTTAGTGGGAGTGGAAGTAACTATTTTGTAAAGCTGTTAAAGATCATTAACTGTAATTGTACATTTGTCACCAAGTAATTTCACTTCTAAGTATTAATCCACAAGGATGAATGCATATGTGATTACTTAGAAGACTATTTTTGTAATCATTCTAAACTGGAAAAAAACAAATGTCTTTCCATGTTAGAAAATATCACATATTATGATATATTCATATAATAAAATCCTGAATATGTCAGCAATGATAATGAACAAGCAATAATCACATATAACAGCAGGAATTAATGTTACACATATAATATTGAGGGAAAGAAGCATCAACAGACATATTGTGTCCTTCTTATAAAAAGGCCAAAACTAGGCAAGACTAAATTGCAGCATAGAATTCAGGTTGTTACCTTTGGTGTTCGAATAGACATTTGGAGTAGCATTAAAAAAACTTCTGGATTATTAGAAATATTGTGTTTCACACCTCTGTGCTTACTTTTGTTCATTCATTGTGCTATATATTAATCATTTTTGTACCTTTATATATGTATGCTACACTTCAATGAAAATATGAAAAATATAAGTCAATAGTTGGACACAAAGCATACCTTTATCAAGTAAAAATATTAACCATTTATTCAAATACAATTGAATATAACTGTTGAATCATTGGAATTTTAAAAGCATTTTATCATGTATCATTTGGAACATAATAGTAATTAAAAATGAGATTACAAAACCTTTTGGAAGCAACAAAAGGTGGAACATGTCATTATCATAATTTTGAGTCACAGAACAATCTCTACTTATAGGACAAGGTATTATATATGTGCTTATATTAGAAAGCAGTATGACTAAAACTTTAAAAATAATTACTCATTTAAAATTTTTAATAATACATCCAAGACAAAAGGAAGCACAAGCATATAACTGAATTTAATAAAGCAAGAATAATAAATTATACAAAGTTTGGGTGAGTACAGTATTTTTCTTTTGAAAAGATGAAGAAAATAGGTATATCCCACATGAACTCAGGGTAAAAAGAGAGAAACAATATAGATTAGTCATGCAAAAGACAGACATTTTCAAAGGTAAAATGGAAATACTACTCTTAACTCTTTGGAAACAAATTTGAAAGGCTAGAGAAAACGGAGCGTTTTCTACCTAAATTTAAATTATTAAAATAAACCCAGGATCATGAAGAAAACTTGAAAAGACGTTTAAGAATGCGAAGATAATTAAAGATCAACCTTAAAACAAACACTATCACCTGACTTTTTCACAACTGATTTCTTTCTCATGTTTAATGGGTTTTTAGAACTTCAAATACTATTTAAGGTATATTTAATAATAGACAAGACAGAAATCTCCTAATTAATTTTATGAGGCTAAAAAAAAGCATCGAAAAATTATAATCTCATTTACATATATTGAAATGTAAATTTTAAACACAATTCATTGCAGACTTAAACTGATAAAACTTTAACATAATACATTTAAGAGGAAAATACGTACAAGTAACTAATAAAAAGAAAACTACAGACATCTTATTGAAGGACATAAAACAATATTGAAAATGCAAAGTAAATAATTTTCTTGGGTGGAAAAAATACAATAAAAGTGTAAATTTTTCCAACATTAATATATAAATTTGATATAATTTTATTTAGGATATCTAAACTATTCTTTCATGTTTTAGCGTTAAATGGTACTAAATTTTAACTGTAAGAATAGATAGAAAAAGAACAGTAGGAGCAAGTAGTATGTAGTAGTGAATATGAGACTTTTTAAAGTGAAAGTAAATTTATTAAGAAACTAAAGGCATAAAACAATGCCTACTATATATGCAGAGCAGCCCCAAGGCCTGCTGGTTGCCCATTTTTATGATTTAAAAAAAAATTTTTTATTTCCATAGGTTTTTGGTGAACAGGTGGTATTTAGTTAGTTCCTTAATGGTGTAAGTTCCTTAATGGTGAGTAAGTTCCTTAATGGTAAGTTCCTTAATGGTGATTTGGGAGATTTTGGTGTACCAATCGTCTGGGCAGCATACCCTGAACTCCATTTGTAGTCTTTCATCTCTCACCACCCCCTACGCTTTGCCCCAAGTCCCCAAAGTTCATTGTATCATTCCTATGCCTTTGCATCCTCATAGCTTAGCTCTCACTTATGAGTGAGAACATACAGTGTTTGGTTTTACATTCCTGAGTTATTTCACTTAGAATAATAGTCTCCAGTTCCATCTAGGTTACTGTGAATACCATTAATTCCTTCCTTTTTATGGTTGAGTAGTATTCCATCGTGTATATATGCCACAATTTCTTTATCCATTTGTTGATTGATGGGCATTTGGACTGGTTCCATGTTTTTGGAATTGCAAATTGTGCTGCTATAACATGCATGTGCAAATATCTTTTTCATATAACAACTTTTCCTCTGGGTAGATGCCCAGTAGTGGGATTACTGGATCAAATGGTAGACTATATTTTAAAGCCACTGTAATCAAAGCAACGTGGTATTGACAAAGGGCTTGGAAAGATGTAAGAAAGAAAATCCAGAAGTATATTACACTATATATGAGACTTTATTGATAATAAAAACATTGAATTTAACAGGTTGTCTCAATAGACTATTCCACAGAAAGATTAGATTATGTATCACATTTCATATGTAAAAAAGTATTTCTAGATGAAATAAAGACATTTTACTTAAATTAGTAAACATCTTTGATGACTACTTAATAAAATCTATGGATGGGACAAATGTTAAGTAAAAATGTATGTACAAACACACAGTTTTGTTATATATTTCAATTCTTTAGAGAATTGTCCTTCACAGAAAAAAAATTAAATGTTTATGTCCTAAGAATTTATCCAAGGCCAATAAAATGACTTTTTAATCAGAGGAAGTACATCTTTAGAAACAGGACCCTGGGCTTTTCAGCAACTTCCTTGTGGCAGATGTCAGGCAACTTTAATAATAATGAACTTTTCTTTGAAAGATCATTATTGCATTTTTGTTTCTTCTTGTCTTTGTCTATATTTTCTTGGCTCTGTTATTGGAATGCCCTCTGGGCTCTAGTTCTCTGGTTTGCCCTTGCTCAGACTTCATAAGGTGGCTAGTCTCTGGCTCTGCTTTCATATTAGACCAGTCTTTGAATATCTGCTCTTTTGCTCCTTTGGTGTAATATAACTTTCATTTGCAGTAATACTTAAGGGACATCAAAATGAATGCTAGTTCTAAGTAACACTACTAAGAACTTTGAGCAACTCAAATACAAGGAGCATCTCACCCATCCTAATGAAAAATTCTTCACTGATAATAAACAATGTTTTAAATAAAGAGGTGCTGCCTTGTGGGACCATTTCTTCCTATGCAAGGAGCATTCTCATAACACAACAAATTTCTTCTTTCTGTCACATAAAAACCCAGTCCCCCGAAAGAGTGGCTTAGTGAATTTCTTCACTGCCGTGTTTTCATGCCTGGCAAATATATAATTCTGTTGTCACTGACTTGATTACTATAGCCTTTTTTTACTCCCTTTAAATACAATTTATTGTAAACTTGATATGCATGATACTCATGTCAATTCTGATGGTTTGTAAGGACCCGAATATGCTATGGAGTAGAGTTTCAGGTAGATGTGCAACCTATCATTTTGAGAATATTTCTATCTTTGCAAAAACATCTCAGCAAAACTATATACTATGTTCCTGAGTAATTCTAAAACATAGACTCATTCTATAAATTCTCACTTAAATTCAGTGCCAGAACAAACATTACTGCTTGCTTACACCAATCAAAAATATATTAACCTGCTGAATTTATTGCTCATCTCTGCTCAAAACCCCATTTTGCATGTATGGTAGTATTTATTCCTCTATGTCTTTTTTTTTTTTTTTTAAGGTGTGCACTTTTATTCAACTGGTCTTAAGTCAGTGTACAAGTAGGCCCTGACTACTTCCACCCACTCCCAGGGAGACCAAAAGCCTTCATACATCTCAAGTTGGGGAACAAAAAGGGGGAGCCACAAAGGCTGATCATTCAAAATAAAACAAAATAAAAAAAATTAAGGTGAAGATTTTAAAAAATTTGCATTACATAATTTACATGAAAGCAATGCTATCACCTCCCCTGTGTGGACTCAGGAGCAGACTAGGGCGTTTTACTTAGAGAAAAGTGTGGTGGCTTTTAGGAGGGCAAGGGACTTCTTGTAACAATGCATCTCACGATATTTGGAATGACTATTAAAAAAAGAACAATGTGCAATCAAAGTCCTAGGCCACATTGTAGAACTTTGGAGAATGCTTGCTCCAATCGGCTGCTATCACCTTTGTTCCTGAGTCAAGCCAAAAAACAAACAAACAACAACAAAAACAAACAAACAAAAAAAGCCATGTGTCAATCTCATTTTGTTTTCTGTGCAAGGTAGGTTTTGTCAAGAAAGGGTGTAATGCAACTAAGTTACAGTCTGCCTAGAAGCATTTGCAGTGGACAATGGAGGGGCCGGACTCGTCATACTCCTGCTTGCTGATCCACATCTGCTGGAAGGTGGAAAGGAGGCCAGGATGGGGCTGCCGATCCACAGGGAGTACTTGCGCTCGGAGGAGCAGTGATCTTGAGCTTCGTGGTGCTGGGCGCCAGGGCAGTGATCTCCTACATCCTGTTGGCGATGCTAGGATACATGGTGGTGCTGCCAGACAGCACTGTGTTGACGTACAGGTCTTTGTGGATGTCCATGTCACACTTCATGATAGAGTTGAAGGTAGTTTCGTGGATGCCACAGGATTTCATGCCCAGGAAGGAAGGCTGGAAGAGCGCCTTGGGGCAGCAGAACAGCTGGTTGCAGATGGTGATGACCTGGATGTAGGGTAGCTCATAGCTCTTCTCCAGGAAGGAGCTGGAGGCCAAGCATGGCCATCTCCTGATCCAAGTCCAGGGCGACCTAGCACAGCTTCTCCTTGATGTCATCCACAATTTCCTGCTTGGCAGTGGTGGTGAAGCTGTAGGCGCTGGGTGAGGATGTTCATGAGGTAGTTAGTCACTCCACGGCCAGCCAGGTCCAGATGCAGGATGGCGTGGTAGAGGGCATACCCCTCATAGATGGGCACAGTGTGGGTGACCCTTCACCAGAGTCCATCACCGTGCCAGTGGTACGGCCAGAGGCCCACAGGGACAGCACGGCCTGGATGGCCACGTACATGACTGGGGTGCTGAAGGTCTCAAACGTGATCTAGTTCATCTTCTCGTGGTTGGCCTTGGGGTTGAGGGAGTCTCGGTCAGCAGCACGGGGTGCTCCTTAGGAGCCACAGGCAGCTGGTTGTAGAAGGTGTGGTGCCCAATCTTCCATGTCGTTCTAGTTCAGGGTCAGGATGCTTCTCTTGCTCTGGGCCTCGTCACCCACTAGGAGTCCTTCTGACCCATGCCCACCATCACACCTTGGTGCCTGGGGCGCCCCACGATGGATGGGAAGACGGCCCCGGAGGCATCGTCGCCTGCGAAGCTGGTCTTGCACATACAGGAGCCTTTGCTGACTACAAGCCCGGTGATATCATCATGGTGAGCTGACTGCGGGTGTGGACCGGCGGTGGGGCGGCGAGGGGGAGGCTCTGTCCTCGCGGGGCAAACGCAGTCTCCGCGGTCCTCCTGTATGTCCTCTATGTCTTTTAAGTATTTGTATATTGTCTTATCTTCAATGTTTCTGTTGATAATACGTTTAAGTCTTGGGGTTACCTTATAACTTCATGTATAGTAGGTGAATCTTAAAATTTATGTAAGGACTTAAATATGTCCCTTTTTTTGTTTATCACTAGAAGACTGTTTGTGTTACTTTGACTGACATTACAAGCCAAATCAGCTGGTGTGACTGTAAATAGACAGGATATTAATATGGGCTACAAAAGAAGACATATGAGTCTAATAATGTTGATGCTTCTTCTAGAAGAAAATGTCCCTTATTCTTATGTGTCCTAGTTAACTTTGTCTTTTTTCTAGCCTACGAATGTACTAGAGTGGCAAGGCTTTACATTCAAATGACCATATTAAGTTGTGTGTGTGTGTGTGTGTGTGTGTGTACTAAAATTAAAAACATTTTATTTTAAATCTTCAATAAATTCAAAGTAGCTTTAAATGTTTGAAACCAGCAACTTCGACTCATATATATATTTATTGTGATATTTATACCAATTGTTTTAGAAATAAAATGTTTCCTTTGGGAGGCCAAGGCGGGTGGATAAACTGAGGTCAGGGGTTTGAGACCAGCCTGACCAACATGGTGAAACCCCGTCTCGACTAAAAATACAAAAAATTAGCTGGGCGTCATGGCACATGCCTGTAATCCCAGCTACTTAGGAGGCTGAGGCAGGATAATTGCTTGAACTGGGGAGGCGTAGGTTACAGTGAGCCGAGATAGTGCCATTGCACTCCAACCTGGGTGACAAGAGTGAAACTCTATCAAAAAAAAAAGAAAGAGAGAGAAAGAGAGAAAGAAGAGAGACAAAAGAAAGAAAGAAAGAAAGAAAGAAAGAAAGAAAGAAAGAAAGAAAGAAAGAGAAAAGAAAGAAAGAAAAAAGTTTCTGTTGATGTAGAAGAAATATAATTTAACATGAGTATGTTTTCTTCTTAATACTGGTTCATAAACTCTTAAATCGTTACCTAATACTGTTCTGTTCTATCATTTTTCTTCCGAGAAATGAGGTGGTTTTAGATAATTTTTAAGGTACTTTCCTTTCTGTCTTCTTACTGCCAACAGTTTTTTATTTCTGGTTATTATTTTTCAATGTTCAATTTCATTTGCTACATTATTTAAATATTATATGTGGGTGGAAATTTCTGTAACCAATGGTTAACTGGTATGTAATAAAAAACAAAACGACTTGGGCATTCAAGGACTATGCTTCAAATATTTGAGTAATATCTATGGTTTAGTATATTAATTCTAATGTTTGATCACTAAGTAATGCATGACTAAATGCTTTATTGATACAATAACTTCAGACCCATTTTCTTTTGTTTCTTTTTTTTTTTAGATGGAGTCTCGCTCTGTCACCCAGGCTGGAGTGCAGTGGCGTGATCTCGGCTCACTGCAAGCTCCGCCTCCCGTGTTCACGCTATTCTCCTGCCTCAGCCTCCCAAGTAGCTGTGACTACAGGAGCCTGCCACCACACCCGGCTAATTTTTTGTATTTTTTTTAGTAGAGACGGGTTTCTCCGTGTTAGCCAGGATGGTCTCAATCTCCTGACCTCGTGATCCGCCCGCCTCGGCCTCCCAAAGTGCTGGGATTACAGGCGTGAGCCACCACGCCCGGCACAGGCCCATTTTCTACTTGATGAAATACAAAATAAAACAAAACACAAAATAAAACAAAACCTTTTCAAAATTAGATTTTATTCAGTCATAGACTTAAAACTTGCCTTTCTTTTTCTCTAGCAGTTATTGACCTTTCTTACAAGAGATTATTAGCTAAAGATCATGGCATTTTTATTTTGTTACCTTGAAGCTAAAGAATTTATTATCTCATCCTTAAGGCTGTGGCAGATCATTTTCTTCATGGGCTGTGTAGTACATAAATAATGCAAGATTTAAAGCCTTAGAATTCCTTTATCAGCAGATAGCAAAGTACTTAAAAAATCCTTTTCTGGCTTGAGGTAATAGTCTGCTTTTATGCTGAATCTACTCAAGGCTTTGTGAACTGCTTCTATATGGGAGATAAGCAAGTGACACTAGACAAATCTAACGGCAGACCTGCCTCAGACTGAATCCACCCTCCATACAATTCACCAGCAAAGAGAATTGATGTAAACACAACTTTGGTGTTTAAGATTATAATTTGGATGCAGCCACCTCTTTTATTTCCATTACTGAGTTTCTGGCATGGCTGTTAGTACAGGAATGAAAGAATTTGGATGATGCAAATGGAACTATGTAGTAAGATGGGGGAGAAAACTGCATAACTCTGATGCTCAGTAGAAATATTTTTGAAATTGGAAACAGAATGGCCATATTTACTTTCCTTAGTCAAGTTTAAATAAAACAGGAGACAGGTCGGGCCTGACTGACAGAAATATAACACATTTCTCAAATACTACAAGTTCTATTACCACCCAGGATAGGAGAAATAAAAGTCGATATTACGCTTTTCCAAAATGTATGTACTGGAATTTTGCCAAGTAATTATGTAGCAAATTTTGACCTGCTTTAAGATGGTTATCAACAGAGGTTTCAAAAGTTCAGCATTTCTGACTCTAGAAATTTAGAGGCCTAATTATTATACCTAACTTAGGTATATATTCCTAACTTAGGTATATATTCTAAAAATCACTTTTATTTGTAAAGCACTATTAAGAATTGGCTTATGAATTTTATTCCCAAGATGTTAAACTGCTATAACCAAGAAAGAAACAAAAATCTTCAATGGACCTGTATCATTTTCTGTGTTAAATATTTGATTGCCAAAATAATTCAATTAGCTGGTATTGAATAATAATAGTGAAAAGAACAAAATTTCAGTGTAAAGTATATAAATTAAATCTTTTACATGTGTAGTATAATGATTATAGGTATTCAAATAAAAATAAACATTTTAATAAAAAAATCAAAATCTTTTTGCCTCACTCACTTTATTTCATGCCTCATTAGGGATCTAACTAAGCAATAAATATAATTGATGATGTATTTTTCAAAAATCTTCAACAAATGTTTAAAAACTAAAATGAGTCTTAGGTAAACTGTGATTGAAACAAAAAAATTCAGTCAACCCAAAACCATATTATGTAATATTTTTACTTTTTGATTCTTTTCTAAAGTTTGTTAGAGCACAGGAAAAATTGAATTATCAAACTTTCAACTGAAGTTAGGTATAGTTTAGGTCTTTTATATGGTTTAACTAATTTAACATTCTCATTGTAAAGTAAAAGAAAGTAAAATCAGTATAATCTACCTCTCCAGATCTATTAATCTCTGCAATAGAAATTTTAAATAGCTCTACATATGCTATCACAATTGTGTCAGAAAATGGATGTGGTACTTTAAATAGTTTAATATGAGAAAATTCAGTTGATATTGTGGGGAAATATGCTACAAAGTCAATTAGTAATTAATGTATCTCAAAGTATTTTTATTATAACAAAATATAGCAAATATTTATCTAAAACTTAGTTTAGGAAGATGGGCCTAAATAAGGGTATTATTTGTCAGATAGAAAAAAATATGAATGTGAGTTTATTTAAACATGGTAATATTATCCTACTAGTATGATAATATTTCTACTGGGCCCATAAAATTTATTTTATCAAGCTTTGTTTCATACTATACATTACTGACAAAATAGGGCATAATTCCTCTGCTCTAAAGGAAATACATACTGAAGCTGTTAAAAAAAATAAAGAAAAAGAAAAGAACATGTTCTTTCATGTAAATGTACTCTTAAGCATTTTGAAGAAGTAGGTCATTGACTTGGTGCAAAAGCTTTTCCAGTCTCTCATGTAAATATGCATTTGACAGTTTAGTAAATTTCAGGTCAATGGTCCAATAGACCAAAAAGTCTTGGGGCTATTGGAGTGTATCCCGTAAATTCATGTTAAGGGAATTTAAAAGTTGCAGATTATTGACTTGATTATTGATGCAAAGTGGCCAATACAGCTTAATAGGTAATTAAATATCCTATCATAAAAAGTACATTTATAGAGTGCAGTCATTTATTAACATTGTAACGTAATATCACTTTTAAAGTTACTTGGTTAATTGTGACATTCTTTTTTGATAGCTCTTCTTTTCTTTTCCATTTTTCTTCCATGTATAAATATGCTTCACTTTAATAATGCTACAGACTTTTGCAAATTTTCATATAAACTTTCAGTAAATTACTTAAATGGACACCAAAAACGTTTACTGCATTGTGATTTTATCAATTATACAGGTAGTGATTATGTTTTGGTTTTAATTTTCATTTTTATTTTAGATTTGGGACTACTTGTTGTAAGGGTGGATTTCATGATGCTAAGGTTTGGGCTTCTATCAATCCCATCATCTAGATAGTAAAAATACTATCCAATAGAACGTTTTTCAGACCTTTCTCTGCCTTTGAAGTCTCTAGTGTCTACTATTCCCATCTTTACGTACATGTGTACCCGAGAATTAGCTCCTACTTCTAAGTGAGAACATGCTGTATTTGATTTTCTGTTTCTGTGTTAATTTGCTTAGGATAATGGTCTCCAGCTGCATCCGTATTGCTGGGAGGGACATAGTTTTATTCTTTTTTATTGCTGCTTATAAAAAGGGTCTATATGTACCACATTTTATTTATCCAAGCCTCTGTTGATGGGCATCTAGGTTGATTCCACGTCTTTGTTATTATGAATAGTGCTATGATGAACATATGAGTGCATGTGTCTTTTTGGTAGAATGATTTATTTTCCTTTGGGTATATATGCAGTAATGGGATTACTGGTTCAAATGGGAGAGCTGGTTCTATTATTAGTTGTTTGAGAAATCTCAAAACTGCTTTCCACAGTGACTGAACTTATTTACATTCTCACAAACAGTGTATAAACATTCCATTTTCTCTGCAGCCTTTCCAACATCTGTCATTTTTTGACTTTTTAATGAAGCCATTCTGACTGGTATGAGATGGTAATTCTTTGTGGTTTTGATGTGCATTTCTCTGATGATCAGTGATGTTGAGGATTTTTTCATTTGATTGTTGGCTGCTTGTGTGTCTTTTTTCGAGAAGTGTCTGTTCATGTCATTTGCCTACTTTTTGATAGGGTTATTTGTTTTTTTCTTGCTGACTTCTTTAAGTTCCTTATAGATTCTTGAGTATTAGCTCATTGTCAGATACATACTTTGCAAATATATTCTCCCATTCTGTAGATTGTCCATTGAATGTGTTCACAGTTTCTTTTGCTGTATAGAAGTTCTTTAATTTAATTAGGTCCCATTTGTCAATTTTTTTTTTTTTTTTTTTTTTTTTTTGCAATTGCTTTTGAGGACTTGGCCATAAATTCTTTGCCAAGCTGATGTCCAGAATGGTATTTCCTAGGTTTTCTTCTGGGAATTTTATAGTTGGTGGTCTCAAATCTTTAAGTCATCTTAAGTTAAGGTAAGGGAACTACAGGTTCATTCTTCTACATGTGGTTAGCCAGTTTCCCTACCACCGTTTATTGAATAGGGAGTCCTTTCCCCATTGCTTGTTATTGTCAACTTAGTCAAAGATCGTATAGTTGTAGGTGTGCTGCTTGATTTCTGAGCTGTCTGTTCTGTTCCATTGGTCTATATTTCTAGTTTTGTACCAGTACCCTCTTGTTTTGGTCACTGTAGTTTTGTAGTATAGTTTGAAGTTGGGTAATGATGGTGCTTTCATCTTTGTTCTTTTTGCTTAGGATTGCTTTGGCTATTTGACTATTTTGGTTTCATATAAATTTTAGAAGAGTTTCTTCTAATTCTGTGAAAAATGATGTTGGTAGTTCGACAGAAACAGCAACAAATCTACAGATTGCTTTGAGCAGTATGGCCATTTTAACAATGATGATTCTTTCAATATATGAGCACAGAATATTTTTTCCACTTGCTTTTGTCATCTATGATTTCTATTAGCAGTGTTTTATAGTTCTCCTTGTAGAGATTTTTCATGTCCTTAGTTAGATATGTTCTGAGGTATTTTATTTTCTTGTGTCTATTGTAAATGGGAATGTGTTCTTGCTTAAGCTTTCAGCTTTGAATGTTATTGGTGTATTAAAATGCTACTGATTTTTGTACATTGATTGTGTATCCTAAAAATTTACTGAAGTCATTTGTCAGTTTTAGGAGCCTTTTGGTGGAGTCTTTAGGGTTTTCTAGGCATAGAATTATATTGTCAGTGAAAAGAAATAACTTCTTCTTTTACTATTTGGATGTCTTTCTTTCTCTTCACTGATTGCTCTGGCTAGGACTTCCAATACTATGTAGAATAGGAGTGGTTAGAGTGGGCATCTTTATCTTCTTCCAATTCTTAAGGGGAATGGTTCTATTTTTGCCCATTAAGTATGATGTTGGCTGCGGGTTTGTCATAGACGGTCCTTATTATTTTGAGATATGTTTCTTCAATGCTGTGTTAGTTGAGGGTTTCTAACATGAAAGGATGTTGGATTTCATTGAAAGGTTTTTCTGAGTCTATTGGGATAATAATGTTAGTTTTTTAAAAATTATGCTTATGTGGTGAATGACATTTATTGAGATGCATGTGTTGAGCCAATCTTGCATCCCAGTAATAAAGCCCAGTTGATCATAATAAATTAACTTTTTGGTATGCTGCTAGATTCACTTTGCTAGTATTTTGTTGAGGATTTTTGTGTCTACATTCATAGTAGATATCGGCCTGTAGTTTTCTTTGTTGTTTGTGTCTTTGCCATATTTTGGTTACAGGATGAGGCTGGTTTCATAGAGTGAGTTACAAAGGAATCTCTCCTCTCTATTTTATAAAATAGTTTCAGCATTAATAGTACCAACTTTTCTTTGTACATCTGGTGGAATTCTGCTGTAAATCTACCTGGTCCAAAGTTTTTTATAGTCAGTAGGTTTTTCTTTTGTACTGAATCAATTTTAGAACTCATTATTGGTCTGCCCAGGGTTTCAACTTTTTTCTGATTCAATCTTAGGAGGTTGTGTGTTTTCAGGAGTTTATCCGTTTCCCCTAGATTTTCTAGTTTGTGTACATGGAAGTGTTCATAGTCGTCTCTGAGGATATTTTGTATTTCTTGGGACGGATTTTAGTGTCACCTTTGTCATTTCTGATTGTGTTTATATGGCTCTTCTCTCATTTTTTCTTTATTAATCTAGCTAATGGTTTAATGATCTTTCTTATCCTTTCAAATAAATAACCAAGTTTTTGATTCCTTGATCCTTTGTATAGTTTTTGGGGTCTCAATTCCATTTAATACTGCTGTGCTTTCTTTTCTTCTGCCAGCTTTGGGATTAGTTTGTTCTTGTTTTTCTAGTTTCTTTGATTGTGATGTTAATTTGAGATCTTTTAACTTCTTCAAATAGTCATTTAGCATTATAATAATTCCTCTTAACATTGCTTTTGCCACATCCCAGAGATTTTGATATTCGTGTCTCTGCTTTCATTTGTTTCAAAGAATATTTTGATTTCTGCCTTAATTTCATTGTTTACCCATAAGTCATTCAGAAGCAATTTGTTTAGTTTCTATGTAATTGTGTAGTTTTTGAGAGTTCTTCTTTGTGTTGATTTCTATTTTTATTTCATTGTAGTTCAAGCATATACTTTGTATGATTTCCATTTTTTTGAATTGACACTTGCTATATCACGAAGCTTGTGGTTTATCTTACATTATCATCATGTTCAGATGAGAAAAACGTATATGCTATGGTTATTGAGTGGAGTGTTCCATAGATGTTTATTGAGTCAAATTGGTCAAGTGTCAAATTTAAGTGGAGAATTTATTTGTTAGTTTTCTGGTTCAACAATCTGTCCTAATGATATCAGTGAGTGTTGAACTTCCCCAGTATTATTGTGTGGCTGCCTAAGTCTTTTTGAAGGTCTAGAAGTAATTGTTTTATGAATCTGGGTGCTCCAATGTTGGAGGCTTATATATTTAGTATAGTTAAATTTTCTTGTTAAATTGAACCTTTTATTATTATGTAATGGCCTTCTTTGTCAATTTTTACTGTTGTTGATAAAAAGCCTGTTTTATCCAATACATGAATAGAAATCTCTACTCCTTTTTGTTTTCCATTTGTGTGATAGATCTCTCTGTATCCCTTTACTTTGAACCTATGGGTGTCATTACATGACAGATGGGACTCTTGAAGACAGCAAAAGGTTGTCTTATTTTTCTATCCAACTTTCCACTTTGTGTCTTTTATGTGGGACATTTAGACCATTTACAGCTAAGGTTAATATTGATATGTGAGATTTTGTTCTTGTCATGGTGTTGTTTGCTTGCTTTGTGGTGATGAATGTGTTGTTGCTTTGTAGGGTCTGTGGGCTTTGTATTTATGTGTGTTTTTGTGGCAGCAGGTTATGTCTTTCATTTTCAAGTTTAGAACTCCATTAAGTAGTTCTTGTAATGCTGGTCTAGTGGTAACAAATTTGCTTAGCAATTGCTTGTCTGGGAAAGGTTTTATTTCTTCTTTGCTTATGACGCTTAGTTTGGTGGGATACGAAATTCTAGTTGGAATTTATTTTCTTTGAGAATGCTAAAAATAGGCTCACAGTGTCTTCTGGCTTGTAAGATTTCTGCTGAGAATTCCACTACTAGCCTGAAAGCCTTCCCTTTATAGGTGATCTAACCGTTTTCTCTAGGTGTCTTTAAGATTTTTTCTTTCATGTTGATCTTGAAAAGTCTGATGACTATGTGCCTTGAAGACTGCCATCTTTTATTAGCATCTCACATGTGTTCTCTGAATGTATTGTTTTTGCAATTTAACCTCTCCAACAAGATTGGAAAAATTTTCCTGGATTATATTCTCAAATATGTTTTCCAAGTGGCTTACTATAATGGTTAATATTAGGTGTCAAATTGACTACTGAAGAATGCCTAGATGGCTGGTGAAGCATTGTTTCTGGGTGTGTCTGTGAAGGTGTTGCCAGAGGAGATTAACATCTGAGACACTTGGCTGGGAGAGGAAGACACATCCTCAATATGGGTGAGCCCTATCCAATCAGCTCCCAGTGTGGCTACAATAAAGCAGCTGGAAGAAAGGGGGTAAGCAGCTTGCAGAATCTGCCCACTCTCGCTCTTCCCATGCTGGAAACTTGCTTTCTCTTCTCCTGCCCATGGACATCAGATTCTGTGTTCTTCAGCCTTTGTACTTTGGGACTTGCACCAGTGACCTCCCAGGGGCTCTTGTGCCTTTAGCCTTAGACTGAAGCCTGCAGGATTGGCTTCCCTGGTTTTGAGGCTTTCTGATTTGGACTGAACCATGCTACTGGTTTCTCTCTTTTCTCAGCTTGCAGGTGGCCTATTGTGGGACTTCACCTTGCAATCACGTGAGCCAATTCCCCCTAATAAACTGTTTTATATTACATATATCCTATTGGTTCTGTCCCTTTGGAGAACCCTGACTAATACACTTCCTCTCTCTTCTTGCTTAGGAACATAAATGAGTGGTAGGTTTGGTTGCTTTACATAATCCTATATATCTTGGAGGATTTGTCCATTTTTTGAAATTCTTTTTGCCTGATGGGCTTGATTCAAAGTACTGATCTTCAAGCTCTGAGGTTATTTCTTTTGCTTGGTCTGGTCTGTTTTTAAGGCTTCGAATTGTATTTGAAATTCTCGCAGTGAATTTCTCAATTTCAGAAGTTCCATTTGATCCTTTCTTAATATAGCTATATCATATTCAAATCTTTTATCATGTTTCTGGCTTCCTTTGATTGAATTTAATCGAAACTTTCTCTTGGACCTCATTGAGCTTCCTTGCCATCCAGATTCTTAATTCTGTGTCAGTCATTTCAGACATTTCAATCTGTTTAAGATTACATTGCTAGGGAACAAGAATGTAACAAAACACTCTGACTTTTTAAATTGCTAGAATTTTTGTGCTGATTCCTTCTCATCTGAGACAGCTGGCATTTCCTTTTATTTTTGAATTTGATGTCACTTGGATGGGGCTTTTTGTTTTGTTTTGTTTTTGTTTTCCTCTTGTGACTATGGTGAATGTTGTGTAGAGTTGAATGGCTTTGTTTCTGAGTGCTTTCAGAAGGCCAAGGTTTTGTACAGAGTCTTAGGTTGTATATAGGCTCCTGTGATGGGTTTCAGTGGCATTGCATGTTGGAGGAATGTATTTTTGTTTGGTAGTGTAATTCAGCCTGCAGTCCAATTAATAATGCTTATGAGTATAGGTGGGCAGATAAGCTCTTACTCAGCCACATGCTTCTTTTGTACTTCAGTGTGTACATAGCAGTGTGCTGGAGAGATGGCAGCTGGTGAGATATGACTCCCTCTCCAAGTCTGCTCCTGGGCCATGTGATGCCATCCCCTTCAACTATTGGTGCCATGACTATTTCCTGTGCCCCAGTGGGAGCTTTGGCAGGCTCTGCTCACCCCTCCCTTAGGGAATCCCAGCTGAGGGCTAAATCACCAGGAGAACCACAACTCCCTGGGGGCCTGCAGTCCCTTGTGTTTTTGAGAATCATAGCAGACTGTGGGATATGTCTGCTAGTGGTCTGATGGTGCACTGGGACAGGAGCAGAAGATCCCTGGGTGGGGCACTGGTACCATAGATATGCAACTTGGAAGGTACCTGCAGGCTGAAGTTTTCAGCCCAGCAGATGGCTGTGAGGAACACCAAGCTTACACTCCCCCTACCTGGTGAGTCTCCCTCTGGCATCTGCCCCAGGAACAGGATTGACCAGCTAGGCTTATCCCAAGCCTTCTGTGCCCAGGTCACTGAGCTGTTCCAGATGCTCTGGGCTACAGGATTCCCTAGAAAAGAAGCGGCAGCTGGCTGTCAGGCCACGCCCTTCCCAGACCAGGCTTGTGAAGGGAGGGATGTCCTGCACTGGCATATGAACCCATGTCACACTCTTCTTTGTCTTCTGAGAGTGGGGGTTCCTTTCCTGATTGAGCTTAGGCCACAGATCTCAGTTCAATATCCGTGAGTAGTGTGCTCAAATCCTAAGGAGTTGGGACTCGGCCCATGGATTTGTCCTCTGGCCCCTCAGGTTAAAGCACTGGCTATGCAGGGCAGGGAGATTGTTAGTGGGGTATGGGGGTTGGGAGAGTGGCTGAACTGCTCCCAGGCCACTAGCAAAAACTCAGGTGGGGAGGTGGTGACTGTGCTGTGGTGATCCTCCTGCAGGAGCATCTAGGCAGGCAGTCTTGAGAGGTCCAGCATGTAAGGGAATGTGTGGATTGGATGCACTCTGGTCCCACAATGGAAGCCTAGCTCTCCCTGGCCTAGCAGAGGGGAGGAGCTGCTGCTACTCAGAGCAAGGAGAGTCTTGGGTGATTGGCATCTAGGTCACATTTTGGTACAGTTGCCAGTGCTGGCGCCTGGAATCTCTGAGCAGGGTTCCCAGCTTCCAATCTCTACAACTATGGTGTCTGCATTGCCTCTCTATTGACTTTCTTTCAAAAGACCTGTTTGGCTAGGTGCAGTGGCTCACACCTGTAATCCAAGAACTTCAGGAGTCTGGGGTGGGAGGATTGCTTGTGACCTGGAGTTTGAGACCAGGTTGGGAAACATAGGGAGACCCCATCATTCCATAATTAAAAAAATAATAATAAGCCAAGCATTGTGACACTTGCCTGTAGTCCTAGCTATCTGGGAGGCTGAGGCAGGAGAATCACTTAAACCAAGGAGTTTGAGGCTTGTAATCCAAGCTGTGAGTACAACCTGAGTGACAAAGTAAGAGTCAATCTCTAAAACAAAAACAAAAACAAAAAAACTTATTCAAATTGTGATGATATTTACTCTCTATTTTGGTTCCTCTCAGTGGTTAAGGTATTCCTGGCTGTGTCTAGTCAGCCATCTTGCCTCCTCCAGGTAATGATCTTGGATGTATGCTAATATGAAATAATTTAAAATATTTTCTTTCAAATTTTTCTTCAGAATAAACTTATGTTTTATATTTTGAAAAGAACTTGAGTCTTATCTCTTCTGTAATGGTTGACAGTTTAGTGAGCTTTCCTGTTTATGGCACTGATAACTTATTTAACTTTTCCTTGATGGACTTTTAAAATTATTTATTCATGTTTGCAATTATATCTGTTAACACATATAATTAATTTATTTAGACAAAAATCAGTCATTTAACTAAAAACTATTTTATTTAACTTTGAGGCTAGTGTATATGAGCTCTGAATCAGACCATATTTGATATATTAGTTTTCCAAATAACAGTAATAAGAAAACATTTTAGTCAAATAAATGCAGCTTATATGTGATACCTAGAACATGTTCTACAAATGTTTCATATTATTTTTTAAAATTACATGAAAGGGCTGGACATGGTGGCTCACGCCTGCAATCCCAGCACTTTGGGAGGCCAAGGCAGGCGGATCACCAGAGGTTAGGATTTCGAGACCAGCCTGGCCAACATAGTGAAACCCTGTCTCTACGAAAATACACACACAAAAACAAAATTAACCGGTCATGATGGCGGGTGCCTGTAACCCCAGCTACTTGGGAGGCTGAGGCAGGAGAATTGCTTGAACCCAGGAGGCGGAGGTTGCAGTGAGCCAAGATCGCGCCACTGCACTCCAGCCTGGGTGACAGAGTGAGACTCCATCTCAAAAAAAAATAAAATTACATAAAAAGAAAATTTTAATATTTGTAAATAAAAAAATTAAACATACTTATGAAACACTATTCTTGGTTTTAAAAATTAATATTTAATATTTTCAAATGTTTTACTTGGATCAATACTTGATAGATAAATGGCCCATCTTTTCATTCACTTTTTTCCTCCCATACTTGAGCTATTTATTTCAAAGAGAGATGCCTGAATATTTTGTTGCCTATTGTTACTTCCAGGATGAACTCTAAACCTTACAGGTCGTGATTATGTAAATTCCTTTAATATCTAGCTTCCAGCTTACCTTTTCTGCCTAAACTCTTTACAGACCCACCACAAAACCTATTCACAATTAGTAGGTTCCAGAAGCTAACATGCTGTCATGACAATATGTCTGTAAATATTACAGCAAGAATATAGAGTATGTAAACTACAGGCATAGTTTTAATTCAATTTTTAGATGAAAAACTTCTCCCAGGTATGCTAGACACTGATATTTCAAAATGAATGAGACACAATTCCTGCTCTCAAAAATCTTTACTGCTCTTTTGGGGCCCTATTTAGTCATTTTTTTGGAAATCTTTCTTTTCATTTCAAAATAAAGTTAAATATATCTTCGAATCTTACAACTTCTTTTACATACTTCCACTGTAAATGTAAACTCTCTTATTCTATAAAGATCTATAAATCTATTTATATTATACTTATTAAATTATTTTCTGTGTCTCTTTGTCCTCAGAGATAAGGATGCCTCAGGACACCTCTTACATGAGGATCTTATGACCTGCTTCAGGGGAAAGCCAGAAAACCTAGGTTTTATGATCTGCTTCAGGGAAAAAGGGCTAGGGACGGTCAGAGTAAACTTCCTACTTCTGCTGTTTCCCAAATTGTTTCAGTTTAAAATAGTATTTTAAGGTGTCATATTTTGGAGTAGGGTGTACTGAACCACACACACACACACACACACATTTATAATTTTAAAACCAAAACATTATTAATATCATTTTATAGAGTAATTATTTATTTAAATCTACCTGTATATTTAATATTTCTTTGGTTCTTCATTTTTAACTGCATCCTCATGCTTTTAATATATGATGATTTTTCTTCTGTCTAACAGATTTTCTGGCCAGGTGTGGTTGCTCACACCTGTAGTCCCACAGCACTTTGAGGGGCTGAGGCAGGCAGATTGCTTGAGCCTGGAAGTTCAAGACCAGCCTGGGCAACATGGCAAAACCCTATCTCTACAAAAATACAAAAAATTAGCCAGGCATTGTGGTATTCACCTGTGGTTCCAGCTGCTTGGGAGGCTGAGGTGGGAGGATCACTCGAGCCCTGGAGGTCAAGGCTGCAGTGAGCTGTAATTGTGCCATTGCACTCCAGCCTTGGCAACACAGTGAGACCCTGTCTCAAAATTTTTTTTTATATTTTCTATAATATTTCCTTTAATTAAAATCTGTTGAATAGCCCTTTCTTTCTTTTTTGTATTCATATCTAAAATGTCATTATTTAACTACCTATAGAAAAATGTATGCAACTCTACAAACACACATATATATGTAAATACAGTAGTTCCACCCATCCATGGGGGATACATTCCAAGGACCCTAGTGGATGCCTGAAACGACAGATGGTACAAAACTCCATATAATGAACAAATTGCTTTTTCTGTCTTCACAATATCATGGATCGAAGATTCATTCTTATCGTAGATCCCAGCAACCTCTGAGTAATTTTTTTTCTTTCCTTAAGTAAAGACCTTTTACCTTTTTACTTAAACACTTTACGATTTCTCTTTAGCATATCCAAATTGCCAGCATTATTATTTTTGTGCGTTGGGGACATTATTAAGTAAAATAAGAGTTACTTTAACACAAACACTGTAATATCACGACAGTGGATCTGATAAATGAGATGGTTACTATGTGACTAATGAGTAGGCAGCATAATATACAGCATGGATAAGCCAGACAAAGGGATGATGCACGTCCCTGGCAGGATGTGCATGATAAAAATTGAGATTTTTGTCATGCTCTCCAGAATGGCATGTACTTTAAAACTTATTAATTGATTATTTCTCAAATTTTCCATTTAATATTTTTGGACCACAGATGACCACAGGTAACTGAAGCCATAAGTAACTGAAATCATGGAAAACAAACCTATGGATAAGAGGAACTACTATATTCTTGAGTTTAAGGTTTTGGACTTGCCCACTGCCTCTTTCTTTTTTTCTTTTTATTCTCTTTGGAATAGAAATGTCAGTCCTGTGCCTATCCTACCACTATATTGTGGAAGCACATAACTTGTTTGATTTTACAGGCCTACAGCTGAAGAGAAATTCACTTCAGGATGAAGATACCTTAAATCTCACCCATATCTAATTTAGATGATATTTACATGAGTCTTTTGACTTTTGACTTAATGTTGGTATGAATTAAGACTTTTGGGGCTATTGGAATAAAATAAATGTATTTTGCATGCAAGAAGAACATACATTTTGAGAGGCAAGGGGCAGAATGCTATGGTCTAAATTTATGTGTACCCCCCAAATTCATATGGTGAAATTCTAACCCCCAAGATGATGATATTAGTATGTGAAGCCTTTGGGAATTGATTAGACAATGAAAGCAGAGCTCTTGTAATTGGTATGATTACCTTGTAAAAGATAACCCAGAGAGAGAGCTCACTCTTCCACCATGTGAGGGCATAGAGAGAAGGCACCATAGAAGAACCAGGAAACAAGCCATCACCAGACACTAAATCAGCCCATACATTTTTTTTCCCCAGGGATATGCAAATTTATTTTATTATTTTTTTCTTCAACTTTTAACTTTTATTTAAGTTCCAGGGTACATGTGCAGGATGTGCAGGTTTCTTACATAAGTAAACGTGTGCCATGGTGGTCTGCTGTACAGATCAACCCATCACTTAGGTATTGAGCCCAGTACCTATTAGTTATTCTTCCTAATGCCCTCCTTCCCTCTTTGCCCCATGACACACTCCAATGTGTGTTGTTCTCCCCCATGTGTCCATGTGTTCTTATTGTTCAGCTCCAATTTGTAAATGAGAACATGCAGTGTTTGATTTTCTGTTCCTGCATTAGTTTGCTGAGGATAATAGCTTTGAGCTCCATCCACGTCCCTGCAAAGAACATGATCTCATTTCTTTTTATGGCTGCATAGTATCGCATGCTGCATATGTCTTTATCCAGTCTATCATTGATGGGTATTTGGGTTGATTCCATGTCTTTGCTATAGTGAACAGTGCTGCAATGAACATATGCATGCATGTATCTTTATAATAGAAGGATTTATATTTTTTTGGATATACATCCAGTAATGGGATTGCTGGAACAAATGGCACTTCTGATTCTAGATTTTTGAGGAATCATCACATTGTCTTCCATAATGGTTTAACTAATTTACATTCCCACCAACCGTGTAAACATGTTCCTTTATCTCTGCAACCTTGCAAGCATCTGTTGTTTATGGACTTTTTAATAATCACCATTCTGACTGGTGTGAGATGGTATCTCATTGTGGTTTTGATTTGCATTTTTCTAATAATCAGTGATGTTGAGCTATTTTTCATACGTTTGTTGGCCACATGAATGTCTTCTTTTGAGAAGTGTCTATTCATGTTCTTTGCCCACATTTTTTTTTCTTTGAGACCAAGTCTTATTCTGTTTCCCAAGCTGGGGTGCAGTGGTGCAATCTCTGCTCACTGCAACCTCTGCCTCCTGGGTTCAGGTGATTCTCATGCCTCAGCCTTTTGAGTAGCTGCGATTACAGACATGAGTCACCATACCCTGCTAATTTTTGTATTTTGAGTAGAGACGGGGTTTTGACATGCTGGCCAGGCTGGTTTCAAACTCCAGGGCTCAAGTGATCTGCCTGCCTTGGCCTCCCAAAGTGCTGGGATTATAGTCATGAGCCACTGCACCCAGCCCTTTGCCCACTTTTTAATGGGGTTGTATATTTTTTTTTTTTTTGTAAATTGTCTTAAGTTCCCTGTAGACTCTGGATATTAGACCTTTGTCAGATGCTTAGATTGCAAAAATTTTCTCCCATTCTGTAGATTGTCTGTTTACTCTGATGATAGTCTCTTTTGCTGTGCGGAAGCTCTTTAGTTTATTTAGGTCCCATTTGTCAATTTTTGCTTTTGTTGTAATTGCTTTTGACATTTTCATCATAAAACTTTTGCCCATGCCTGTATCCTGAATGGTATTGCCTAGATTTTCTTCTAGGGTTTTTATAGTTTTGGGTTTTACATTTAAGTCTTTAATCCATCTTGAGTTAATTTTTGTATAAGGTGTAAAGAAGGGGTCCAGTTTCAATTTTCTGCACATGGCTAGGCAGTTCTCCCATCATCATTTATTAAATAAGGAATCCTTTCCCCATTGCTTATTTTTGTCAGGTTTGTTGAAGATCAGATGGTGGTCTTATTATAATAATAATAAGACCATAATAAGACCACAGTGGATGTGTGGTCTTATTTCTGAGCTCTCTATTCTGTTCCATTGGCCTATGTGTCTGTTTTTGTAGCAGTACCATGCTGTTTTGGTTACTATAGCCTTGTAGTGTACCTTGAAATCAGGTAGCATGATGCCTCCAGCTTTGTTCTTTTTGCTAAAGATTGTCCTGGCTATTCAGGCTCCTTTTTGATTCCATATGAATTTTTAAATTGTTCCTTTTTCTAATTCTATGAAGAATAACAATGGTAGTTTGATAGGAATAGCATTGAACCTGTAAATAACTTTGGGCATTACGGCCCTTGTCACAATACTGATTCTTCCTATCAATCAGCATGGAATAGTTTACCATTTGTTTGTGTCCTCTCTGACTTCCTCGAGCAGTGGTTTGCAGTTTTCTTTGACGATGTTCTTAACTTCCCTTGTTAGCTGTATTCCTAGGTATTTTATTCTCCATGTAGCAATTGTGAATGGGAGTTAATTCAGGATTTGGCTCTCTGCTTGACATATAGGAATGCTAGCAATTTTTGGTGTATAAGAATTTTGTTGGTTTATGGGAATGCTATCAATTTTTTGCATGTTGATCTTGTATTCTGAGACTTTGGTGAAGTTGCTTATTAGCTTAAGGAGTTTCTGGGCTGAGACAATGGGGTTTTCTTGATATAGGATCATGTCATCTGCAAACAAAGACAATTTGACTTCTTCTCTTCCTATTTGAATACGCTTTACTTCTTTCACTTGCCTGATTGCCCTGGACAGAACTTCCAATACTATGTTGAATAGGAGTGGTGAGAAAGAGCATCCTTGTCTTGCGCTCATTTTCAAGGGGAATGCTTCCAGCTTTTGCCCACTCAGTATGATATTGGCTGTGGGTTTGTCATATATGATTGTTATTATTATTTTGACGTATGTTCCTCCAATACCTACTTAATTGAGAGTTTTTAACATGAAGGGATGTCAAATTTTATAGAAGGCCTTTTCTGCATCTATTGAGACAATCATGTGGTTTTAATAACCAGAATAGCCAGTTTAGACAGGAATATAACTAACCTGATGGAGCTGAAAAACACAACATGAGAACTTCACAATGTAATCACAAATATCAATAGCAGAATAGTCCAAGTGGAGGAAACAATCTCAGAGCTTGGATACTATCTTTATCTTTCTGAAATAAGACAGGTACACAAGAACAGAGAAAAAAGAATGAAAAGCAATGAAGAAAACCTCTGAGAAATTTGGGATTATATAAAAAGTCTGAACCTACAACTGATTGGGGTACCTGAAAGACACAGGGAGAATGGGACCAACTTGGAAAACATACATCAAGGTATCATTCAGGAGAACTTCCCCAACCTAGCAAAACAGGCCAACATTCAAATTCAGGAAATCCAGAGAACCTCTGTAAGATACTCCACAAGAAGATCAACCCCAGGGCATATAATCATCAGATTCTCCAAAGTCAAAATGAAAGAAAAAATGTTAAGGGCAGCCAGAGAGAGAGGGGCTACAGGGAAGCCCATCAGATTAACAGTGGACCTCTCAGAAGAAATCGTACAAGCCAGAAAATATTGGGGGCCAATTTTCAACACTCTTAAAGAAAAGAATTTCCAACCTAGAATTTCATATCTGGCCAAACTAAGCTTTGTAAGCGAAGGAGAAATAAGATCCTTTCCAGACAGGCAAATGCTGAGGGAATTCGTTGCCACCAGGTCTGCTTTGCAAGAGCTCCTGAAGGAAGCACTAAATATGGAAAGGAAAAACTGTTACTAGCCACTACAAAAACACACTGAAGTACATAGACAAGTGACATTATGAAACAACCACATAAACACGTCTGCAAAATAGCCAGCTAGCATCATGATGACAGGATCAGATTTACACATAGCAATATTAACCTTAAATGTAAGTGGGCCAAAATCCCCAATTAAAAGACAGAGAATTGCAAGCTGGATAGAGTCAAGACCCATACATACGCAGTCTTGAAGAGACCCATCTCATGTGCAAAGACACACATAGGCTCAAAATAAAGGGATTAAGGAAAATATACCCAGCAAATGAAAAACAGCAAAAAAGCAGGTGTCAGAATTCTAGTTTCGGACCAAATGAATTTAAACCAACAAAGATCAAAAAGACAAAGAAATACAGTATATAATGGTAAAGGATTCAATTCAACAAGAAGAGCTAACTCTCCTAAATACATAAGTACCCAATGTAGGATCACCCAAAGCAATTTCCTGGAGATCTACAAAGAGACTTAGTCTCCCACACAATAATAGTGGGAGACTTTAACACCCCACTGACAATATTAGACAGATCATTGAGACAGAAAATTAACAAAGATACTCAGGACCTGAATTCAGCTCTGGATCAAGTGGACCTGATAGATATCTACAGAACTCTCCACACAAAAACAACAGAATATACATTCTTCTCATCGCCTCATGGGGGTTACTCTAAAACTTATCACATAATAGGAAATAAAACACTCCTCCACAAATGCAAAAAAACTTAAATTATAACAAACAGTCTTTCAGACCACAATGCAATCAAATTAGGGCTCAAGATTAAGAAATTCACTCAAAATCACACAACTACCTGGAAATTGAACAGCCTGCTCTGGAATGACTACTGGGTAAATAATGAAATTAAGGCAGAAATCAAGAGGTTCTTTGAAACTAATGAAAACAAAGAGACAATGTACCAGAATCCCTGGAATGCAGCTAAAGCAGTTAAGAGGGAAATGTGTAGCACTAAATGCCCATGTCAAAAATCTAGAAAGATCTCAAGTAAACAACTTAACATCCCAATGAAAAAAACCTAGAGAACCAAGAGCAAACAAACTCCAAAGCTAGCAGAAGACAAGAAATAACTAAGGTCAGAGCAGAATTGAAGGAGATAGAGACACAAAAAACCCTTCAAAAAATCAATGAATCCAGTATCTATTTTTTTTTTGAAAAAAATAATAAAATAGATATACTACTAGCTAGATTAATAAAGAAGAAAAGAGAGAAGATTCAAATAGATACAATAAGAAATGATAAGGGGGATATCACTACTGACCCCACAAAAATACAAACAGCTATCCGATAATACTATAAACACCTCTATGCACATAAACTAGAAAATCTAGTAGAATTAGATAAATTCCTGGACACATACACCCTCCCAAGACTGAACAGGAAGAAATTGAATCCCTGAATAGACCAATAATGAGTTTTGAAATTGAGACAGTAATAAATAGCCTACCAACCAAAAACAAACAAACAAACAAAAAAACAACAAAGAAACCCAAGACCAGATGGATTTATAGCTTCATTCTACCAGAGGTACAAAGAGGAGCTGGTACCATTTCTACTGAAAGTATTCCAAACATTTCAAAAGGAGGGACTCCTCCCTAACTCATTTTCTGAGGCCAGCATTATCTGATACCAAAACCTGGGGGAGATACAACAACAACAACAACAACAAAACTTCAGGCCAATATCCCCGATAAACATTGATGCAAAAATCCTCAATGAAAAACTGGCAGACCAAATCCAGCAGTACATCATAAAGCTAATTCACCACAATCAAGTTGGCTGCCCATGCTTTGATCTTACACTTCCTAGACTCCGGAACAGTGAGAAAAATATTTTTTGCTGTTTATAAGCTACTCAGTTTATGGTATACTGTTATAGCATTCTAAATGGATTAAGGCACAGGCCAGAGCCTAACAAACTCACAATATCAGAAACTAAGTCCAGTTAAAGAAGTATGTCTCAAGAAAATGTGGATATAGCTTTGGCATACGTAGTAGACTGTAATCATCTATATAGAGCTTTGGGAAAATGAGCTTTGGGAAAATTCAGTTGAATTCAAAATTCAATTTTAATGTTTTTGAATGTGAATCACTGTTTAATTTATCTAATTTGCACATTATTTCTTGCTTTTTTATTTCATCTTCTAGCACCAACAAGAAAAATAAGCTTGTGAACATTCAACAGAGGTCTTCTCTACTATTCTCTTTAGAATGGTGCATCTTGATTTTATGGTTAAAGATTCTAAAGAGATATTTGAATATACTGTAAATTTAAAGACTTCTTGTGTTTGATATAAAAAACAAGAAATGTTTCTATGAATCCCAGGTGACTATCTTCATATAGGATATTTGGATTTCATATTTTAAAAATCCAGGGAAAAGGCATTGGCACCAATGTTGGCAACATGATTATATTGTGACTAAAAGCTCAACTTTGGCTGAAGTCTCACTATAGAGAATGCCAATGATCAAATTCAGTAATTAAGGTTTTTTATGCCATCCAAATAGGATACTCAGTAACAGTGATTCTAATACACAGAGTCCCCAGCTCCAGAGTTTCTGATTCTGTAAGTCTTGGGTGAGGCTAGAGAATGTGTATTTCTAACAAGTTTCCAGGGGACATTGATGCTGCTGGTCTGGTGCCAAAATTTAAGAATTGCTACGCAAACATATATGCAATACCCTCTTTTTGAAATTTTTTCAGCTTATCTAAAGACTTCAGAAAGATCTAACCTACTTCACCTGCCTGATATATTGGCATCACTTGGCCCTTATATGTTATTAATACTAAGCTAGGAACCTCACAATAATAATTTGGCTACTGTTACTGCTGTGAAAAATGTCATCTTTTGTCTCTGACCCAGGAGTCTCATGTCTTTTGCCAATATTCATTAAACTGTGAATTTGCAAGTAGGGTAAAAATCTCTGATCAGTCACAATTATTAATAGCAGATATTAAAATATAAAGTCAATTTCAGGAATTGACATATTTAAAGCATGGTAAAGACACAGTTTTCCTGGTGTATTGTAACACGGACATTGAAAAAGAGCTACAGCATTTTCTTTTAATTGGAAGCCCTGAATAGTTTCTTCTCTTCAGAACTTCTCAGCTTTCAGTTTAAGTTGGATTCTTAGAGCTCATAACTTCTATTAAACACACACACACACACACACACAAAAAAGGAAATGTGTAAGTCTGGTTTCAACTGAGCCAGAAAAAAATATGTGCTAGTTCTGACTTTTCTTAGAGGCAAACTTTCATTCATTTTAGGCCTGTCTCTATACACAAACAGCAATAAAAATAGATCAGAATGATTTAAGTAATCTCGACATACAGAATGGCATATCCAAGAGAGTTTATGGCTGGTCTTTGAGATAAACTCAGCACACAACATGTGGATTAGTATCTATCAAGCTTTAGAGGAGGACTGGTATAATTTATTTATTTTTCTTTTTTGAAGTAAACAAACCATTTGAAGCTAAAAAAAATGATCAGTCTCATTTCTTCTCCATTCTTATACTTCCATGGCACATTCTAATTAGAAAGAAGGCAAAACTCTTAAAATTTTTTTCTTACCTTCAATCTCTATTTTCTTCTCATTAACCATTCACAACAGCCAGCTTGATCAGCAGGAAATGTTGTAGCTGACAAATAAAAATGGTTAGACATATTTTCTTCGTTATTCCCTCACTGATCTTGCCCCCTTTTCACTTCTTCATTATGAATGATCACTAGAGAATCAAGTTATTAACTCATGTTTAAGTATCCTTCTTGTGCTGTCTTGCTGATATTAAGAAAATTTAACTTTGCTGATGTTGGTTTTTCATTTTACAATGACACTAATGTTTTTCATCTAAAATATAAACTTTTTATCCCTAGAAATTTTAATATATCACTCACAAAGACATTGCTTTGTCATTTATATACAAAGTACACAGTTTAGGCATTTATATAAAATGAGGAGTATGGAAATTTAAATTTATAATATAAATTCATTTTCATTTGAAATGAACCTTTCAGAATAAGACCTACTATTCTTTAACTAACAGCTGTTGATATTCTCATAGGCAGTAGAAAATTAAAACATATAATTATATAATGTATTAAAAATACGTTTCTGTGCTACCTGGTATAACCTACAATTTAAAGTTCCCTTGTAACTTCAATTTGATTTGATAATTTACAAATATGGTCTTTCTTTTTTAATTTAAAATGTAATTGGGTTTCCCCCTCAGTTTATCAAAAAGTTATCTATTTATCCAAAAGTTAAAGGGCAATCCTCTAAAATATATTATTAAAATATCATTTCCCTTTAAAATATTTATTTTTTTGTTTAAATATTAATTAAATTGATGGTGCATTTGAAGATGCTACAAAATTTGGCACACATTTCCTTGTTGTGTGGTGAGTCTTTGGAAGATAAATAATCAAAATCTTAGCCTACATTTCTATCTTCAGGGTTAGAACTTCAATAGATGTTACATGGCCCACACATCTCTTACCTCAATCTAATCTGCTTCCCCTTTCAATACCAATTTCTCTTTTACCTTAAACTCCATCTGCTTCACTTTTTCTTAGCATCTTATTTCTAAGACTCCTTCTGTAGGATTTTAATATATTCTTTGCATTTATCTAGGCTCACATCTTAGAACCCTTTTTAGTTGTTTTCCTGTAGTTTTAGTGATGAGAACAAGGAAAAGAGAATAGCAAGTAAGTTTCCATCTATAATGAATGAGTTTGGAGAAAATTCTAGACTTTATTTATTCCTATTAATGCTGTGATGCAAACCATTACAACATGTCTACCAATATGGTCATGTAAATTTGCATGCTTAATGATTCTGTTGCTTCAAGTTGATAAATATTCCACAGTAAATAGTTTGTTTGCTTTATAATAGAATTATTACCAGGCAGGATAAGAGCCTCTAGGGCAATAATTACTTCACAGTAAGGGGCATCTACATCTGAAATTGCTCTGCATCTGGCCTCTAAATCATCTGTACAGAAGGTGGTACTCGCAGCCAAAACAGCAAGAAAAGCAAGGCCTATTTATCTGTATGCAGGTCACAATGTATTTAGAATATCTATAATTTACCCATATTTTTCAAACAGAAAACCTAGGGACAGTATGGCAGTTTTGTTAGTTCAAAAATGGAATAAAACTTATGAATCTGAGGCTTCACTAGAAAATCAAGGTGCTATTATAACCACAAGTAAATGTTACTATTTCTAGAATTTTCTAGAAAAAGGTAGACTATTAACAAAAATGTATAAAAATAAGAGATAATCCATACTTTTGTCTACTATATCCTAGGTACTCAGTTATATGCAATATATTACATATTACAATTCTAAAATAATGTATTACTTTTTATTACAGTAAAATACACATCACATGAAATTTACTTCTGAATCATTTTAAGTAGACAGTTTAGTAGTATTAGATACAGTCATACAGTTGTGTTATCATCACCACCCTCCAGCTCCATAACTCTTTCATCTTCTAAAACAAAAATTCTGTACCCGTTAATAACTCTCTACTTCCTCTTCTCCCCCTACTCCTCACAAGTACTATTCTACTTTCCGTATCTATGATTTTGACTTATCTTAACTACCTCATATAAGTGAAATCATAAAATATTTATCTTTCTGTGACTGGGTTATTTCACTGATAATGTCCAAGATTCATCCGTGTTGTAGCACATGTCAGAATTTCCTTCCTTTTTAAGGCTGAAAAAATATTCCATTTTGCTTGTATATTGATCCATTGATGGACATGTGAATTGCTTCCACATTTTAGCATTGTGGTTACCACTGCTATGAACATGGGTGTACAAATATCTCTTTGTGACACTGTTTTCAATTCTTTGGGGTATATATGCAGAAGTAAAGTTTTTGCATCATATCGTAGTTTGTATCATATGGTAAAAAACCTTTAATTTTTTGAGGAGCCCCCATACTGTTCGCCACAGTAGCTGCATCCTTTTACATTTCCCCCAACAGTGAGCAAGGGTTCCGATTGCTCCACATCCTTTCCAACACTTGTTGTTTCCTGTGTTTTTGATATTAGCCCTCCTTACATATTATATTTTATCCGTACTTCACATCTATAAGATAGAGGGGTTGTTCTAAATTTATAGATGAAAAAACTTAGGTTACAAGAAGTGACGAAACTTGCTAAAAGTCACAACTAGTAGGTTGCCTCTATGTAAATACACTTTATTTTCTGATACTGAAGTCTGCTTTCTTAATGACTGGGATATTTAACTGTATCTTAAAATATGTACGAATTTTATGTCTATTCCAACATCTGAAATATTGCTCAGGAAAGGTAAACAAACATGTAACAGATATGGCTCCGTTTTAAGATTCTGGAGTTATTTGCTGCTACTCGAGGAGATGTGGCTGTCATAGAACCAGGCCACAGTGTTTTATTGGGTAATGTGCTGGTGCATTTGCAGAAGCCACTAGAAAGACAGACTTGCCCATGCTATATTTCAGGTAGCATTCCCAAATGGCCAGGAAACCTGTCATTTTTCTACCTCATATCATCTTCTTTTGTTTTCTGCTTAGCTCTCACAAATACATGAAATTATTTTAGGTACTGAATTATATTTTACTCTCTGTGTGCCTCCCCTTAAATGTAAGCACCATGCGAATAAGGTTCTTGTGGGTGTTGTTCTCCACCAAATCCTCAGAGTTTAGAATAGTGTTGAAACTACAGTAGGCACTGCAAAAATATCTGTGGAATGGATGGATAAAATAAAGAATAAGTGAAAGTAAGAAATGTTTCTTAGAGGAGCTATAAAGAATAGCAAGGAATTATTTCCAGAGACCTATGGGCTAGCTAGATGTGAACTTTTTCTTACTGTTTGAGAAACTCTGGTACTAAGTGTTGTTGATATCATTTGAGAATACTACTTGAAACAAACCAATAAAGGCAAGAGGTGCTGTTAAATAATCACTAAGGTCAGCTTATTTAGAGAGGATGGGAAATAATCCAAGGAAATGCCACTGAGAAAAAAAAGTTATTTAATAGGAGGAAGGAGATGAAACAGTCAAAATATTGGCAAAATTTAAAATCTGCAAGAGAGTTTCTCTCTCTAACCAAGGAAACTTTATAGCATAGAAGGCATGTTTACCAAAAGTAAATCTGGATTTATTGAATCAATTTTTACATAACAATAAATAATTTGAAAATTGTGTCAGATTTGAAGAACAATTGTAAGAAGAGACAAAACAAGCTGGTGATTTCCCTTCAAGGAACAACAATTTCATGGCTAACCAGGCAATGAGCTAACTTCTTGGAAAGTAAGACTAAGATGTGAAAGACATTCCCCCAGGACAGGAAACAAAAACTCATTAACCTTTTACTCCATTAGGCTGAAACATCTGAGAATAATATTGGAGCTAGAAAAACCTAGACTCTGTCACTTGGTTTTCAAGTATTAGGTATAAAACTGAAGGGCATGGAGTCCAGGTGGTGTTTTCATCTTTTTTTTTCCCATTTGAAGGTCATACCTTTGGAAGAGAAAAGAGGATTTAAGAAATGAACAGCTGGTTGCTTAAATGTCATCAAATAACAGGATTTGGGTTTTTTAGACCATGATTATGTTAATAAAGCCGCTAATGTCTGCAGAGAAAGAGTACATCTCATGGGTCTACAGGGATCACATTTTTCAATACAATCACTAACATAATCAAGAAGATTCTAAACTCTGAAGAGGGAAATGGATGCCACAAGGAAAGAGCAATAATAAATTATATGGTGGGTATCAAGTGAAAACACAGAAAAGAAAAAAAAGTGGTACAGATACATACTACTTCTTAGGAAAAACTAGGAAGTGAATTTAGAATGCAAATTAATTTTCTTATATTTTTATATAACAATACTGAGATTAAAGATGGTAAGATTAACATGAAATCTTAACATGAAGAAGGCAAATAT
Organism: Homo sapiens; assembly: GCF_000001405.40. Classification (NCBI taxonomy): domain Eukaryota; kingdom Metazoa; phylum Chordata; class Mammalia; order Primates; family Hominidae; genus Homo; species Homo sapiens. The sequence goes on from NC_000003.12 coordinate 176,005,476, forward strand.
GAAATGAGGCATAGATCTGAGTTGTTACTGGCATCTAGTGGGTAGAGGCCAGAGATACTGCTAAACATCTTATAATGCACAAGACTGCCCACCACAACAATTATCCAGCATAAAATGTTGATGGAATCCACATTAGGAAACCCTGCTGTAGTTAATAACATACCTCCATGAATATATGAGATTGTAAAACACACACACACACAAATTACTGAGAAAAAAAGAGAACACATTGAAATGAGCTATCATGACTACATGTGAACCTCCCTGTTGAATTTGGAATGTTTGTAGTTTAATGAGAGCCAGACTTCAGCAAGCCTGATACGTAGTTCTGTTTCAGCCACTTTTATACCATTGAAGTGAAAGTAGCTTTAGTAATTATGAGCTGGAGTTTTTTTAATAAGTCTCATTTCATATATATATATATACCTGTAAAATGCAGATAAAATAATATCTGCCTCATAGTACTTTTTGTGAGTAATAAGTACAATAATATAATTAATGTGCTTAATAAAATCCTTGTAATATTAACTGTATGGCAAATATCTTATTTACCATTATTCATTTGCTTGGTTCTCATTTTCCTCACCTATAAATTAAGGGTACTTGAGAGGATCATCGGCAAAATAAGATTTAAGAATTGAACTTCTCTTTGTTTTTTAAATCTTAACAAAATTTAATAAGAAAAATTGAAAAGTAAAGAGAAACCTATAAAAGTGATCTATTAAAAAGATCCTATTCAAAATAGAGACATGAACTACATGAACTGGCAATATACTAAATTATAAAATAAAGTAAGTTCTGGAAATAATTTTTAAAAAGATAAAAAGAGCTTTTATATTTTGCACTCAATGTGAACACAAGAAAACACAAACTTGCCATTTGGGAAAGATAAAAGAGAGGAAAGCGGAATTATGCAATTTCTACTCCAATTTAATTTAAAAAAAAATCAAACAAAGCTTAAGAGGCTTATTGAACTGAGACAAAACTAGAATCAGTGTTCGATTTGCAGAGCTAAAATCTGATGGCCAAGGGCAATTGAAAACCAAAATAGAAGACAAAATGCTAAGCAAGAACTAGGTTGCATTCAAATGCCTTATCTGTAGCCCTAAACAATGAGTGAGTTTGAAGTTACTAAGTAGCATTCCAGAAGTATTTAGAGTGCAATTATGAAAAAAGACTAAAGAAAAAAAGACCTGAAAAGTATTCTGATATTTTTAAAAGAGGAAATTAACAGGTAGATTGCAGAAACTAGACTAGTTTTTCCAAACTGTCAGGATTTCAGTCATTTCTGCATACTGTTAGTATTTGTTTTAAAAAGGACTAATTTAATTACTTCTATAAATGGAAACCAAGTATCACTTACTACGAATAGAACTATTATGATGCATGTAATGAATACAAAATCGTCTTGTAAAATTCTAAATGCTCCTGCTTGCCAAAATTTCGAGTCTGAGACCTTTTTCCACACACACAGACACAAAACTAGGAGTATTAGCAAGTGTTACTAAAAAATGTTAAATGAATACCAATACCAAACTGGACATCTTTCTAGATGAAATTACATTTTATAATTAAAAAGTATGATTTTATATAATTTAACATCATTTAATTATTCAATTAATAATCATTTCAGTCAGTATACCACATAAAATCAATTGAGGTTTAGCTAAATTCAACTTGAGCCACCAGTGGTATAATTTTACTTGGGCAAATGTGTCCTAGAAACTGCCATTATCACCTGTGGAGCTTTACAAATACACCGATGTAGGCTCCACTAGTAGATATTCAGATTCAGTTGATGTGGGGGAAGCACTGACATTGTTATATTTCCAAAACTCCCAGTGATTCTAATGTACAGTCAAGACTGAGAACCCTCATCCAGAACAACAGACTAAATAGAAAAGATTATTTAGCGAATAGTTTAGGGGCATTTAGAAAACTAATTATTTAATATAGAAGATCCATTCAACTTCATTTTATTTTTTGATACAATTTCTAGATTGATAATAATCAAGGCAAGATCACAGATAGGCCAGATACTGCTTTCAGCAAGGCGTTGAACAAATCTTGATTGTATTGCAGAAAGATTTAAAGTAAATGAGTGCTACATCATGATAAAAGTAGTTTGATTTATATCTAATTAAACTAATCTCCAAAGTGTATCTGAAGGTATGTGTGTATCCTATATTGTCCAAACCTCCATTTTGACAGTTGGAGAGAATCCAGAATGTGACTAGGAGGTGACATGATGTTAGGATGAACATATACGTGGAATGACAAAAGTCTACTTTAAAATTGCCCTTAATACTGGTGTGGTAATGTAATGTTTACATGAGAGAAAAAAAAACTGACTTCTGAATTTTGTGTTAAACATTTGTTTATGAAAGTACAAGATAATAGTTTTGTGGCTAGCAATTTATATGCTAAAAGATAGAGGAATTTATTAGTTTGCACGTTCAGTGTGAACCATTAGAATGATGTGGCTATTAAACAAATAAAAACAAAATAAAAACAAAACAGTCCTCTCTAATGTAAGTTTAGCTTCTGTAAAATAAGAGTTGTCGTCATTATAGAATGTGTAATCCTCTTACTCAGAGTCATACTGGTCTTGGAATTCTATATTCTATTATGGATGCCAAGCTTTTTAAAGGTAATGTTAAATAAGAGTTTACCAAAAGAAGAATTAATAGGATAAAGAAGGATTTTGAAGTGTTAAGATCTTTAAAAAAATGATTTAATGAGCTAGATATTTTAAAGTTTAAAAAATAATATATGTGAGGATTCCATGACAGTTTTCAAGGACAATCACCTACAAATGCTTGAAGGGCTCCTGCGCTAGGTGAATTTTTGGTAGATATTTGTGTGGATGAGGTCAACTGAACCTGGAAAAATTATTATTGTCTAAAATCTGACCTCGAGTCAAGCCTCAGATTGTTCACTTTAATGGTCTGTCCTTAAGGAAAGGGTCTCTATTACAACTGGAAGTTTTCAGCCAAAGGAAGAGTGACTTCTTCTGGGAAATAGGATAGGTTTGTTGCTGGCAGTACAGCGAGCATTTGGACAAGTTTCCTATTAGTTTCCTGACAGGTCTAACATTTATTTAACACAAGGTCCAGAGGGACAAGCAATTTGTTTAACATCAGAAATGAAGTGACAAGTAGAGGTTTCTAGTCGTCTTCCAATATGGGCAGTTGTTCTTTCTTGAAGAAAAATTTATATAAGACAACTTATATATTTATTACCAATCTCCTTCTATGTTCTATTTCAAATGGCCATGGAGATTTTGAAGAAGGTAGAACTGTGTTTTCTGGCTTATGATGAAATTTGATATATCATCAATTTTCAAATCATTAGTAATTCAATCTTAACTGCTGAACTTCAACTAGGAGTCATGTACTCACGTATATAAAGAGTAAAATGTACATCTTATAAAACAATCTATATTTAGTAGCTGTGAGAATATTTAAGTCATTCAAATATATTAATTTGTCACAAAATTAGCATTAACAATTATGACTTTAAGCGAGTTTTTCTTTCTTTGAATAATGAAATACAAAATTGTTGAAAATAAGTTCTCAATGACTTCCATTTAGTTTTGAAGTCTGTAAACATGCTGTGAAAGAGAAACAAGCTTTGGCATTTCTCTTCAAAGTATTCTTCGAATTATAGATAACTATGTATAAATATTGCCCTAGTAAACTAAGCAGGTAATAAATGTTCTTTCCATGGCTCAGGACCTCCTGACCATAATCAAATTGAATGAGTGAAAGATCTATATCCCACATCAGATTTTAAATCATCTAGCTCTCATAAAATGTCTGAGATATGATTATAAAATGAATTAACCATAATCCTTACTGTGGTGTCAGTTGCACATATTTAATTTTGCACGTTTTTAAAGGCTAATAAATCAGTGAACAGAAATATATGCCAAAAGCCATGACAATTTTTACTCTCAGTTAGATGAGGTGTGTTTCCTGTTACTTTAATAAATACTTATTCAGCCAAAGTTTCTGCCAGTGAAAGACTAAAGTTCTGCCAAGACCTTAAACAGAATAATAACATTTAAGTATTTAAAATTATTTTACTTCTCAGTAGATGTTCATTATATATTAGTTAAATGAATGAATAAAAAAGCATGAACACTGAGATAAGATACTTGTATATATTCATAAAACAAAGTCCTGTGATTTTCAATCTTATTAGCTGTGTGACCGGGCATGCTACTTTTTTGTTCATATTTTCTCATCTATAAAATTAGAATATTAAATATAATACATACTGCATCAGAGTGTTGTGATAATTAAATAGAATAATGAATGTAAAGTGTTTAAAATAGTCCTGGCACATAGAAAATCCTCCACAAACAGTAACTGCTGCTGTTGTTACTGCTACTGTCATTGCTGCTAATTGTCATCCTTTCTTCTTTCGATGTCTCAAAGTGTGGAGGAATGGTAAAAGAGCCTATAAAAATAGATATATGTTTGGTTAAGGGCCTCTCTTTGCTTTTTTACATTAAAATATAGAACATTTCATTCTGCTATCCATTTATACATACACATTTTTATGCACAAAAACATAGGAATCCAAACGACTTACTAGACCTAGATGAGACTTTGTAAAAATAGCATCAGTTAACACTAGTCAAGTGTTTTCTCTATAGGCAATATAGCCTGATGACTCAAGCTGTGCTCCTAAGGCAGTGCTTCCCAAAGGCAATATCTTAAAACACTACTTTTTAAGAATGTCTCACAAATGCTCCAAAATAAATACAAACAAATAAAACCCCAAAAAGTTTCAATGTCAAATAAATTTAGAAAACTGCACATACAAAAATATTCTTGAGAATCCTGTATTGTAGTGAGTATCATTATATTTCAAGTTATCCAGAATTCCCTTTCTTTGGCAAATAGCACCTTGATCTCTTTCCGGTAGTTACTTATCCACTATATGTGTAGTACTGGCGGAACTGCATATAAGAGGTGCCCTTCATACATAGAAGCAGACATAGGTAACTAAAGCAGTCCAATTGAAGTCTATCTCCTCTGGGTTTGAATTAACCAGAGTGACCCAAGGGCTGAAATAATCAACCAAAGGCATTTGGTGCTCATGCATTTCATGGTGGTTTCCCGAAAGAATTTTTTAAAAATTCTTACTATTCAGACCCTGGCTTCTGTGTTTTCCAAGCTATTCTCTATTTTTCTTGTCAATTCTGTGAGATACTAGATATACTTAAATTATATTCCTCCTTTGCTTAATTTAGGCTGGGTCTTTCCTTTGGTTGCAATCAAGGATAATCTAACCGATAAAGAGAAAAATAAACCAAAAAAAAAACAAATATATCTACAACCCAAAAACCAGTCAAGAAAGAACTACATATATTCTATATATTTCATATTTCTATTTATATCTACCTATAAAATTTTGGTTTTGTTTATGTTTTAGCCACTATTGCTTAACCTGATTTGATCCAAAATTATGCTTTCCTGCTTCACCCTTTTGTCCCCTGAACATTTATTATCTGCAGTTAATATACTTTGAGCAAAGTGTTATGATGTGTTAATTGCAGCCATGAAGAATAAGTTAAATTTGGACATTCGAGTCATTTCATAGCGCAATACTGCTTCTCTTACATTTATTTTCTCCACTTGTGCATATCATCCCCATTGCATCTAAATGATTGAATCGCATCTCTCAAGTATTGCAAACTCCACACCTACACAAGAAAACTCATTTTAAAATGTGTCATTTGGGATTTTGCGTAGGGATATAAAGAAGTGCCATTTTTCATTAAGTTTAAAAAGGAGATGGAAGCTTACCTCGGTTACTAGATTTCCCCCTGCTTTCCTCTCTATTGGCTGAAGACAATTAATCAATAAGCAAGGACAGGGGTGAAAACATATGGTCTTTGATATTTAATAAATGAATTAGTGGAGTCCCTTGTTTAAGCATATAAATTAATAAGCATTAGGTCCTTTACTTAATGAGGAATTTCCCTTTTAAAACCTGAATGAATTATCGAAAAGACCATGGCGTAAATTCAAAGGCATTTTCTGACCTTCTTGTATTCTGGCTGGCATGAATTTTTAACAAGATGCTGTATATCTGGAAGGTCTACTAGAAATTGTTCATATGAAAACTGCACTTCAAAAAAAAGCCAAACTAGTGAAGCAAAGAAAGTACTTCAGAGAGCAAGAGAATATTTAACTTGTGGGAGATTAATGTTTTGAATTACATTTTGCTCTAAAATGTTAACATAGGATGATAAAGACTTTTATCTTTATTGATTTTTTTCACATATTATTTAAAATTTTTCTACACTGTAGGATATAATGAAAATATAACTGCTAGTGTATCTTTTAAGGGTAAAAATTATTGGTAAAAATAAGTTTCCAATGATCTTGCATTGTATAATAGTGCTTTATAAAATTTGTTATCTAAAATATGTTTTTCAAGATTTTTAAAGTCAAAAGAAAATTATTATACTAAAATGTGTTTCAAAATATCATATTTTTATATTAAAATATATTCCAATAAAATAATGTCAAAACTCTTGACACGGTCTCATAACACTTAATTTGAATGCAATACCTTGTATCTCAACAAAGATATTTCAGGCCTTTAATTAACCCTGAGAGAAAAGTGGCTAACAGACAGCTAGCTTTTCTCTATAATCTGAGAACCTTGATTAAGAAAGCAGAATTAGAATCTGTAAAGCAGCTGTGCCTGAGGACTATTTACTCGCACAGTTCCTCAGAAGTCTTTTAGTAGCCAGGTGTATAAATTTTCACCAGTTCCCTCCAAAAGAGAAAAATACAAGCAATACAGCAAATAGCCCAAGAATCTAAGTTTATTCAATATAAAGATCATCCTTTTTTCCAGTATCTTTTCATACTGTTTTTCAGTTAAATAATGGTGATAATTGATGTTGATAGTTTATTTTCTAATGTCCTTACTTAGCAAGTATAAAAGTTGGCATCTCCAAAATTTTTTAACTCATTGGCAAAACCAGGGGTTTAAAATTTTTATCCTGTAAGATTCAGAAGATTTAACATTGTAGAATTTTAACTAAAAGTTTAACTAAGTATAGCTGATATTAAATAAAATTTAAAAATATTTAAAATTAAATATTCTTATTTCTGGGTTCTCTATCATTGCAGCACTGTTCACAACAGAAAAGACATGCAGTTCACCTAAATGCCCATCAGTGATAGACTGGATCAAGAAAAAGTGGTACATATACACCATGGAATACTATGCTGCCATAAAAAGGAATGAGATCATGTGCTTGGCAGGGACATGGATGGAACTGGAGGCTATTATCCTTAGCAAACTAACACAGAAACATAAAAACAAATACCACATGTTCTCACTTATAAGTGGGAGCTAAATGATAACATTTGGACACATAGCAGGGAACAACACTGGGGCCTTTCAGTGGATAGAATGTGGGAGGAGGGAGAGGATCAGGAAAAATAACTATTGGGTACTAGGCTTAATACCTGGGTGATGAAATAATCTGTACAACAAACCTCCACAACACAAGTTTACCTATATAATAAACCTGCATCTGTACCCCTCAACTTAAAATAAAAGTTAAATAAATAAAATTAAATATTAAAACATTTCTTTCAAGCTCTAGACAGAAATAAATGGTAATGATTTTAGAAAAATACAGTCTACTAATATGAAAGATTTCTAATAAATCAATTTTTCAATGGCCTATTTTACTGATTTTCAACAAGGAAACATATCAGATTAATCTTTGATCCTACCTCATTCATCTCTGAGCATCGTGTGTAATAATAAATTTGCCTATTTTTTCTCCCCAATAAATACAAATTATTTGGAAGGAACTTTAAAAATCTCTACCAAAGAATTGCACTGCTATACTTATATGCATACTTAAAGTGGTTAAAAAAATAAGGTCAATGTTATTGAATGAATCAATATCATTCAATCCTCATAGAAGCAATTAGGATAATCTTTCCCAATATCAGGTATTGCAAAATTCTGCTTGGGTCTCCAGTGCACTACTGGGAGTGGGTGATAAAATGGCAAGTAGACGAACATGATGGTTCACTGAAGAAATGCTAACAGGTTAAAGAATTACCTGAGTAATGCTTCTTACACTTAGGAATAAAAGCAGATCTTTGGGATATAACTTCTTAAGGACTCCCACATTTAACATTGATCATTTTATATTAACTTTATTTGAATATATGTAAACCTAAAACTAATTATAAACTCATTCTTAGAGTTTTAAAGAATTTTAAAATCAAAATAAAATTATAAAATAAAATATCTAATATTCAAAATCGAAATACAATTACTATTAGCCTACTATTGCAGATGATATTGTTTTGATGAAACCAAACAGCTGATTACACTGCAATGTGGTGCTGACTACTGTGGACTAGGTTCTTTCACCATTGCAGGATTTAACTGTATATCATTAGGCAAAACTTAATTTCCCATTCCACAACATTGATTGAACTAGTGAAAATTTGTATGAGTAGTAAATTAGTTGTAATCTCCTTTTCTCTCTTTTGGGGAATGAAGGTATCTTCTACTTGTTAAGTCAATCTCAGTTCTTTTTCTATTTGCCCTCCACAGTTGCAGAAGAGCTGCATTTGGTTTGAGCAGGATCTTAAACCTGAATCCAAAGTATGAGAGAAATCCTGTGCAGAACATTGCTTTTTGTTTCCATGATTATGAAGACACTTCCCTTTTAAACCTGAATATATTATGTTAACATAAAAATAAAAGAAAATAATTAAAGAACTCATAGTGCCACAAAAAAATTCAGTGTATCTACCTTGAAAATACATTTGTATGGTTTCTTACATTATGAATTCTGCTTTAAATATAAGTGTCTTTGAACTGAAATTTTCTTACAGACCTAAAGAAAAGTGGGGAACTATGACAAAAAATTTCAGAAGTCACAAAATGACAGCAATGGCTGGGGCTTTGCAGTACCACCTAAGAAAGGTCAATAAAAACAAGAGAGAATAACAGAGAACACTTAAATTGTTTAGAACCTTGGTATTATAATCTATATTTCTCTATATTCAAAAACACACACATATGCAAATAGACACATACATATTCATACTTATACATACATATACAGATATAAATAATATACATGCATATTAAATATAAATAATATGCATGCATATATTTAATTCTTTTAACTCTTATGCTTGCCTGTCATGAATGGTCTAAGTGCTTAACACAAAAAAGAGACCTAGGAACTTATTTTGAAGAGGAGCCAAATAACTGGCAACTGAAGAGACAGTACATATCTGTGACCAGTTTTGGAGGAAAAAATATATTATGTGGTGACAATTGTGAATATGAAAAGTAAAACAACAAAAATGAAAATAAAACGTGCAAGCAAACAAAAACTAACAGCTGAAACCACTGTTGGGGATACAGATACAAGGCATGAAGAGTGAAAAATAAAGACCCTTTTTTCTGTTCCTCCTAATTCCAATTAGCTCACTAAATGCAACGAGTGTGAATAACTTGGTGATTCTTTCTAGTGATGTTGGCATTCATTTACATGGGAGATAATTTCTCACATTATTTTTGTTTTTCAAAAATTTTCAACTTTTTCTTTTTTTTTAATTATACTTTAACTTTTAGGGTACATGTGCACAACATGCAGGATAGTTACATATGTATACATGTGCCATGTTGGTGTGCTGCACCCAGTAATTTGTCATTTAACATCACCTATATCTCCAAATGCTATCCCTCCCCCCTCTCCCCACCCCACAACAGGCCTCGGTGTGTGATGTTCCCCTTCCTGTGTCCATGTGTTCTCATTGTTCAATTCCCACCTATGAGAACATGCGTTGTTTGGTTTCTTGTCCTTGCGATAGTTTGCTGAGAATGATGGTTTCCAGCTTCATCCATGTCCCTACAAAGGACATGAACTCATCATTTTTTATGGCTGCATAGTATTCCATGGTGTATATGTGCCACATTTTCTTTATCCAGTCTATCATTGTTGGACATTTGGGTTGGTTCCAAGTGTTTGCTATTGTGAATAATGCCGCAATAAACATATGTGTGCATGTGTCTTTATAGCAGCATGATTAATAATGCTTCGGGTATGTACCCAGTAATGGGATGGCTGGGTCAAATGGTATTTCTAGTTCTAGATCCCTGAGGAATCGCCACACTGACTTCCACAATGGTTGAACTAGTTTACAGTCCCACCAACAGTGTAAAAGTGTTCCTATTTCTCCACATCCTCTCCAGCACCTGTTGTTTCCTGACTTTTTAATGATTGTCATTCTAACTGGTGTGAGATGGTATCTTGTTGTGGTTTTCATTTGCATTTCTCTGATGGCCAGTGATGATGAGCATTTTTTCATGTGTCTTTTGGCTGCATAAATGTCTTCTTTTGAGAAGTGTCTGTTCATATCCTTTGCCCACTTTTTGATGGGGTTGTTTTTTTCTTGCAAATTTGTTGGAGTTCATTTGTTGGATATTAGCCCTTTGTCAGATGAGTAGATTGCAAAAAAAATTTTCAACTTTTCATACATTCTCTTTCATACATTCTCTTACTTCATAATATAAGAATACTTTCTTCTTCAGTATTTTTTTATTAAGAGAATGTATGAAAAGTTTTTAAGGAGGAGCCAAGATGGCTGAATAGGAACAGCTCCGGTCTACAGCTCCCAGAGTGAGCGACACAGAAGAAGGGGGATTTCTGCATTTCCATCTGAGGTACCGGGTTCATCTCACTAGGGAGTGCCAGACAGTGGACGCAGGTCAGTGGGTGCAGCGCACCATGCGCGAGCCAAAGCAGGGCGAGGCATTGCCTCACTAGGGAAGCGCAGGGGGTCAGGGAGTTCCCTTTCCTAGTCAAAGAAAGGGGTGACAGATGGCACCTGGAAGATCGGGTCACTCCCACCCGAATACCGCTCTTTTCCGATGGGCTTAAAACACGGCGCACCAGGATATTGTGTCCCGCATCTGGCTCGGAGGGTCCTACGCCCACAGAGTCTCGCTGATTGCTAGCACAGCAGTCTGAGATCAAACTGCAAGGCGGCAGCGAGGCTGGGGGAGGGGCGCCAGCCATTGCCCAGGCTTGCTTAGGTAAACAAAGCAGCCGGGAAGCTCCAACTGGGTGGAGCCCACCACAGCTCAAGGAGGCCTGCCTGCCTCTGTAGGCTCCACCTCTGGGGGCAGGGCACAGACAAACAAAAAGACAGCAGTAACCTCTGCAGACTTAAGTGTCCCTGTCTGACAGCTTTGAAGAGAGCAGTGGTTCTCCCAGCACGCAGCTGGAGATCTGAGAACAGGCAGACTGCCTCCTCAAGTGGGTCCCTGACCCCTGACCCCCGAGCAGCCTAACTGGGAGGCACCCCCCAGCAGGGGCAAACTGACACCTCACACGGCTGGGTACTCCAACAGACCTGCAGCTGAGGGTCCTGTCTGTTAGAAGGAAAACTAACAAACAGAAAGGACATCCACACCAAAAACCCATCTGTACATCACCATCATCAAAGACCAAAAGTAGATAAAACCACAAAGATGGGGAAAAAAACAGAGCAGAAAAACTGGAAACTCTAAAAAGCAGAGTGCCTCTCCTCCTCCAAAGGAATGCAGTTCCTCACCAGCAACGGAACAAAGCTGGACGGAGAATGACTTTGACGAGCTGAGAGAAGAAGGCTTCAGAGGATCAAATTACTCCGAGCTACAGGAGGACATTCAAACCAAAGGCAAAGAAGTTGAAAACTTTGAAAAAAATTTAGAAGAATGTATAACTAGACTAACCAATACAGAGAAGTGCTTAAAGGAGCTGATGGAGCTGAAAACCAAGGCTCGAGAACTACGTGAAGAATGCAGAAGCCTCAGGAGCCGATGCGATCAACTGGAAGAAAGGGTAACAGCGATGGAAGATGAAATGAATGAAATGAAGTGAGAAGGGAAGTTTAGAGAAAAAAGAATAAAAAGAAAAGAGCAAAGCATCCAGGAAATATGGGACTATGTGAAAAGACCAAATCTACGTCTGATTGGTGTACCTGAAAGTGACGGGGAGAATGGAACCAAGTTGGAAAACACTCTGCAGGATATTACCCAGGAGAACTTCCCCAATCTAGCAAGGCAGGCCAACATTCAGATTCAGGAAATACAGAGAACACCACAAAGATACTACTTGAGAAGAGTAACTCCAAGACACATAATTGTCAGATTCACCAAAGTTGAAATGAAGGAAAAAATGTTAAGGGCAGCCAGAGAGAAAGGTTGGGTTACCCTCAAAGGGAAGCCCATCAGACTAACAGCGGATCTCTCGGCAGAAACTCTACAAGCCAGAAGAGAGTGGGGGCCAATATTCAACATTCTTAAAGAAAAGAATTTTCAACCCAGAATTTCATATCCAGCCAAACTAAGCTTCATAAGTGAAGGAGAAATAAAATACTTTACAGACAAGCAAATGCTGAGAGATTTTGTCACCACCAGGCCTGGCTAAAAGAGCTCCTGAAGGAAGTGCTAAACATGGAAAGGAACAACCGGTACCAGCCGCTGCAAAATCATGCCAAAATGTAAAGACCATCAAGACTAGGAAGAAACTGCATCAACTAACGAGCAAAATCACCAGCTAACATCATAATGACAGGATCAAATTCACACATAACAATATTAACTTTAAATGTAAATGGACTAAATGCTCCAATTAAAAGACACAGACTGGCAAATTGGATAAAGAGTCAACACCCATCAGGGTGCTGTATTCAGGAAACCCATCTCACGTGCAGAGACACACATAGGCTCAAAATAAAGGGATGGAGGAAGATCTACCAAGTAAATGGAAAACAAAAAAAGGCAGGGGTTGCAATCCTAGTCTCTGATAAAACAGACTTTAAACCAACAAAGATCAAAAGAGACAAAGAAGGCCATTACATAATGGTAAAGGGATCAATTCAACAAGAAGAGCTAACTATCCTAAATATATATGCACCCAATACAGGAGCACCCAGATTCATAAAGCAAGTCCTTAGTGACTTATAAAGTGACTTAGACTCCCACACAATAATAATGGGAGACTTTAACACCCCACTGTCAACATTAGACAGATCAACGAGACAGAAAGTTAACAAGGATATCCAGGAATTGAACTCAGGTCTGCACCAAGCAGACCTAATAGACATCTACAGAACTCTCTACCCCACATCAACAGAATATACATTTTTTTCAGCACCACACAACACCTATTCCAAAATTGACCACATACTTGGAAGTAAAGCTCTCCTCAGCAAATGTAAAAGAACAGAAATTATAACAAACTATCTCTCAGACCACATTACAATCAAACTAGAACTCAGGATTAAGAATCTCACTCAAAACTGCTCAACTACATGGAAACTGAACAACCTGCTCCTGAATGACTACTGGGTACGTAAAGAAATGAGGGCAGAAATGAAGATGTTCTTTGAAACCAATGAGAACAAAGACACAACGTACCAGAATCTCTGGGATGCATTCAAAGCAGTGTGTAGAGGGAAATTTATAGCACTACATGCCCACAAGAGAAAGCAGGAAAGATCCAAAATTGACATTCTAACATCACAATTAAAAGAACTAGAAAAGCAAGAGCAAACACATTCAAAAGCTAGCAGAAGGCAAGAAATAACTAAAATCAGAGCAGAACTGAAGGAAATAGAGACACAAAAAACCCTTCAAAAAATTAATGAATCCAGGAGCTGGTTTTTTGAAAGGATCAACAAAATAGATAGACCACTAGCAAGACTAATAAAGAAAAAAAGAGAGAAGAATCAAATAGATGCAATAAAAAATGATAAAGGGGAAATCATCACCGATCCCACAGAAATACAAACTACCATCAGAGAATACTACAAACATCTCTACGCAAATAAACTAGAAAATCTAGAAGAAATGGATAAATTCATTGACACATACAAACTCCCAAGACTAAACCAGGAAGAAGTTGAATCTCTGAATAGACCAATAACAGGATCTGAAATTGTGGCAATAATTAATAGCTTACCAACCAAAAAGAGTCCAGGACCAAATGGATTCACAGCCGAATTCTACCAGAGGTACAAGGAGAAACTGCTACCATTCCTTCTGAAACTATTCCAATCAATAGAAAAAGAGAGAATCCTCCCTAACTCATTTTATGAGGCCAGCATCATCCTGATACCAAAGCCAGGCAGAGACACAACCAAAAAAGAGAATTTTAGACCAATATCCTTGATGAACATTGATGCAAAAATCCTCAATAAAATACTGGCAAACTGAATCCAGCAGCACATCAAAAAGCTTATCCACCATGATCAAGCAGCTTCATCCCTGGGATGCAAGGCTGGTTCAATATACGCAAATCAATAAATGTAATCCAGCATATAAACAGAGCCAAAGACAAAAACCACATGATTATCTCAATAGATGCAGAAAAGGCCTTTGACAAAAATCAACACCGCTTCATGCTAAAAATTCTCAATAAATTAGGTATTGATGGGACATATTTCAAAATAATAAGAGCTATCTATGACAAACCCACAGCCAATATCATACTGAATGGGCAAAAACTGGAAGCATTCCCTTTGAAAACTGGCACAAGACAGGGATGCCCTCTCTCACCACTCCTATTCAACATAGTGTTGGAAGTTCTGGCCAGGGCAATTAGGCATGAGAAGGAAATAAAGGGTATTCAATTAGGAAAAGAGGAAGTCAAATTGTCCCTGTTTGCAGATGACATGATTGTATATCTAGAAAACCCCATTGTCTCAGCCCAAAATCTCCTTAAGCTGATAAGCAACTTCAGCAAAGTCTCAGGATACAAAATCAGTGTACAAAAATCACAAGCATTCTTATACACCAATAACAGACAAACAGAGAGCCAAATCATGGGTGAACTCCCATTCACAATTGCTTCAAAGAGAATAAAATACCTAGGAATCCAACTTACAAGGGATGGGAAGGACCTCTTCAAGGAGAACTACAAACCACTGCTCAAGGAAATAAAAGAGGATACAAACAAATGGAAGAATATTCCATGCTCATGGGTAGGAAGAATCAATATCGTGAAAATGGCCATACTGCCCAAGGTAATTTACAGATTCAATGCCATCCCCATCAAACTACCAATGACTTTCTTCACAGAATTGGAAAAAACTACTTTAAAGTTCATATGGAACCAAAAAAGAGCCTGCATTGCCAAGTCAATCCTAAGCCAAAAGAACAAAGCTGGAGGCATCACGCTACCTGACTTCAAACTATACTACAAGGCTACAGTAACCAAAACAGCATGGTACTGGTACCAAAACAGAGATATAGATCAATGGAACAGAACAGAGCCCTCAGAAATAATACCACACATCTATAACCATCTCATCTTTGACAAACCTGAGAAAAACAAGCAATGGGGAAAGGATTCCCTATTTAATAAATGGTGCTGGGAAAACTGGCTAGCCATATGTAGAAAGCTGAAACTGGATCCCTTCCTTACACCTTATACAAAAATCAATTCAAGATGGATTAAAGACTTAAACGTTAGACCTAAAACCATAAAAACCCTAGAAGAAAACCTAGGCATTACCATTCAGGACATAGGCATGGGCAAGGACTTCCTGTCTAAAACACCAAAAGCAATGGCAACAAAAGCCAAAATTGACAAATGGGATCTAATTAAACTAAAGAGCTTCTGCACAGCAAAAGAAACTACCATCAGAGTGAACAGGCAACCTACAAAATGGGAGAAAATTTTCACAACCTACTCATCTGACATAGGGCTAATATCCAGAATCTACAATGAACTCAAACAAATTTACAAGGGAAAAACAAACAACCCCATCAAAAAGTGGGCAAAGGACATGAACAGACACTTCTCAAAAGAAGACATTTATGCAGCCAAAAAACACATGAAAAAATGCTCACCATCACTGGCCATCAAAGAAACGCAAATTAGAACCACAATGAGATACCATCTCACACCAGTTAGAATGGCAATCATTAAAAAGTCAGGAAACAACCGGTGCTGGAGAGGATGTGGAGAAATAGGAACACTTTTACACTGTTGGTGGGACTGTAAACTAGTTCAACCATTGTGGAAGTCAGTGTGGCGATTCCTCAGGGATCTAGAACTAGAAATACCATTTGACCCAGCCATCCCATTACTGGGTATATACCCAAAGGACTATAAATCATGCTGCTATAAAGACACATGCACACGTATGTTTATTGCGGCATCATTCACAATAGCAAAGACTTGGAACCAACCCAAATGTCCAACGATAGACTGGATAAAGAAAATGTGGCGTCTCAAAAAAAAAAAAAAAAAAAGAAAATGTGGCACATATACACCATGGAATACTATGTAGCCATAAAAAACGATGAGTTCATGTCCTTTGTAGGGACATGGATGAAATTGGAAATCATCATTCTCAGTAAACTATCGCAAGAACAAAAAACCAAACACCGCATATTCTCACTCATAGGTGGGAATTGAACATGAAAACACATGGACACAGGAAGGGGAACATCACACTCTGGGGACTGTTGTGGTTTGGGGGGAGGGGGGAGGGATAGTATTGGGAGATATACCTAATGCTAGATGACGAGTTAGTGGGTGCAGCGCACCAGCATGTCATATATATACATATGTAACTAACCTGCACATTGTGCACATGTACCCTAAAACTTAAAGTATAATAATAAATAAAAAATAAAAATTAAAAAAAAAGGTTTTAATATCTTTTTACATAGTACTTTTTTATTAAGTAGTCCAGAAGTAGTACTTATGGACCTAACCTAATTCAGTTAATCTATTTGCTTTATTATGGACCATTATTGTAATATTTTAATACTTTAATGAAGAGTAAAAAATGAAGACTCCTTTTTTCTGTTCCTCCCAATTCCAATTAGACTACTAAATGCAACCAGTGTAATTCTGTGATTCTAGTAATGTTAGTATTCATTTACATGTGAGATAATTTCTCACATTATTTTTGTTTTTCAAAAATTTTCAACCTTTTATACATTCTCTTACTGACAATTCTTAGAAATAGCTAAATGTTTGGATTATTTCTGGCCATAATAGAGAATTTTAACATACTTGGTCTTAACCTCCAGGTGACTCTCTACTTTTTCAGACTTTCTTTTTAATTAAAACTTTTTGGCTTTTTATTTTTTCATTATTAGTTTTTGATGCTTCTTATAGGTTTCAGTTATACTTGATAAAATACTATGAAACATTTTCCGACCTTGCCATGTGTCACTGAATATCATGCTATCATAAAACCTATTAATTATTTCATAGTTAAGTTGTCAAATTTTCCTTTTGTATTTTAGGTTTGATATCATTGTTGGAAAACTGTCCTATCCTCAATATTGTAAAAATTGTCTAATTTGAAAATTTAATCACTTTATATGATTTAATTATGTTTACATATTTTATTGATTTAGAATTCACTTTGTACAAAATCTGAGAGGCAGGGATATAATTTTATTTTATTTTCAACATTGCTCTTTTTCTCCAATTGTTCCTAAAGCAATTTAGTAAATAGTGTATTCTTTCACTTTTGATATTAAAATCTACCTTAATAATTTATCAATTTCTGTATTTACTTGGTGCTACTTCTGGACCTAATTAATTCAATTAATCTATTTGCTTTATTGTGGGCCATTATTGTAATATTTTAATATATATAGGTTTTAAATGCAATTTTATATCTAACAAAGCAATGTCTTCTTCAGTATTCTTTTTTATTAATGTCTCAACAATTTTTGCATATGTAGATGTACTAAGAAACCAAGAATCAGATGACTTTGAGTAGACTTGACTGCTTTCTGGAATTTTATAAATAATAAAATCATAAAGCATGTATGGTTTTGCGACTGAAATTTTTTATTCGGCATATTTTTGATATGCATGCATATATAACTGTATGTATCCATAGCTTATTCTTTTTATTGCTGAGAAATATTCTACTGAGTGAATATATTACATTTTTGTACCACTTACCCTTGATGGACAATTGGGTTATATCCAGCTTTTTTGGTTCTTATGGATAAAGCTTCTATAAATATTTATGTATAAGTCTTTATGGGGACATATTTTTAATTTGTTTCTCTTGGGGAAGAATCTAGAGGTGAAATGGGTGGACTGTATGTTTTGGGTGTGTTTAACTTTATATTTCAAGGGGTTTACCAGAGTGACTGTATGATTTTACATTCCCAGCAGTGTGCATGAGAGTCCTAGTGGATGTACATCTTCACCAACACTAGGTGTTGTCAGTTTTTAAAAATGTAGTTACTTTAGTGGGTATGTAGGCATATTTATTATGGTTCAAATTTGCATTGTCTGCTGGCTAATGGTTACGAGAATATTAAAATCTTAAAAGTGCATATCTGCCATCCATATATCTTGCCTTGTAAAGTATTTGTTTATCTATTTACTTTTAAATTTTGTTATTTGTGTTATTATTGAGTTGTAGGAATTCTTTATATATTCTGGATACAAGTATTTGACAGGTATTCATATTCCAATTATTTTTCCCATTCCTTGGTTGCTCTTTTATTTTGTTCACAAATTCTTTCCAAGAGCAAATATTCTTAATTTTGATAAGGTTCAATTCACAAATTATGGATATATGTGTGTTCTGTGTGTATTTTATTTAAGAAATATTTGCCTACACCAAGGTTACAAAGATTTTCTTCTCTGATTCCTTCCAGAAATATTGCTTTAGCTTTTCAAATTAAGTAATTATTCCATCTCAAGTTCATTTTCACTTATGATGTGAGGTAAGGGTAAAACTATATTTTCATATAAATATGAAGATAGTTTTTCCAGCACCAAATATATGAGCCTATTTCTGGACTGACAGTTCTGTTCTATTGATCTATATATCTAACCTTTTGCACTACCACACTGTTGATTACAACTACTATAGATGAGTCACTAAGTCAGTTCAAATCCTCCAACTTTGTTCTTTTAAAATATAATTTTGGCTATTCTAAATTATTTACATGTTCAGTTTTGGGAGATTAATGTCTTAATTTTGAATCTTTCAAACAATGAGCATAATATATCTCTCCATTCATCTGGTCTTCTTTAATTTTCATGTGCAATTTGTTTTTGTTTTTGTTTTTTTTTTTAGTTTCCAGCATCCAAGTATTACAGATATTTTGTTATATTTCCATTCTCCATTTGATTCTCATTTTATACTTTCTATTTCTTTGCTGAAAATTTCAATCTTCCCTTTAATTTTAACAGTGTTTATTTTACCTTATGGAACATAGTTAATAATAGTTGTTTTAAAATTTTTGTTTGATAATTCCAAATTCTGGGACATTTTAGAATTGAAACCTGTTGCTAATCTTTTCTCTTAAGAATTTCCCTGGCTCTTTATCTGTTGGTTGACTTTGAATTGTGTCTCAGATATTTTTAATACAGTTGTCCCTCCATATCCACTGGTTCTGCATCTGTAAATTCAACCACCTGAACATATCAGAAAAAAAGAAAACAACACAACAGTAAACATAATACAAATAAAAAATACAGTATAAACTATTCACATAGCATTAACATTATATTAGGTATTATAAGTAATCTATAGATGATTTAAAGCCTATGGAAAGATGCAAGAGTGTTATATGCAAATACTACTATGCCATTTTATATAGGGAACTTGAGCATCTGCAGATTTTAGCATCTGTGGGTGTCCTTGAACTAATCCCCTGTGGATACCAAGGGATGACAGTATGTTCCACAGACTTTTAGTTTTGTTAAAATGTTCTAAACAATGGTGAGTCTTTTGTTTAAGCAGATCATCTACCTGGTTATGTATAGACTGAGAATTCTGTCTCACCTTTTTGGGCAGTGGTTCTAATGTCAAAGTAGCTATACTCCTTTGGTCTGTCTCATAAATGCACAGGCCAGGAGTAAGCCAAGACTTATGTTTATTCATTTACCGAATTAAAGGATTCTCTTTGCCCACACTTTCTGACGCCCAGAGAATGCTTTTCCTGGTGTTCTGTCTAGAAATAGAGATATCTTTCCATTTCAGCAAACTGCACTTCAACACAATATCATGTGACTGAGGAGATCCTCTAAATAGCACCAAGATAATAATGAAAGAAAAAATATATACTGGGAGTTTCACACATAGAGATCACAGGGCTTTATTTTTTCTATTATTCTGGCCAGAAAGATGTTTTTCTCTCTGGGTTTTAACTGTCTACGCTGCCACCTCTGCAGCACAGCCCAGTGATCAGGACCACCCTTGGCAGGGTCAGGAGAGAAAAAAAGAGAAAAAAATAAAAAGTACATAAATAGGAATCCCACCTCATATTAGCCTAGTAGGGCTGCCATAACAAAACCCCAAAGACTGGGTGACTTAAACAACAGAAATTTATTTTCTCACAGTTCTGGAGGCTGGAAGTCCAAGATCAAGATGCCAATATGGTTGCTTTGTGGTAAGAGCTCATTTTCTGGTTTGCAGAAAGCTGCCTTCACACTGTCTCTTCTCCGTGGAGAGAGAGAGAGAGAGAGAGAGAGAGAGAGAGAGAGAGAGAGAGAGAGAGAGAGAGAGAGAGAGAGAGACCTGGTGTTTCTTCCTCCTCTTATTAAGACACCAGCCCTATCAGATGACAGCCCACCCTTATGACCTAATTTAATCTTAATTAACTCTTAAAGGCTCTGTCTGTAAATACAGTCACATTGGGGGTTAGGGTTTCAATACAAATTTTGGTGGGGGTGCTGGGGTGAGGGAAGAGATACAATTTATTCTATTACACGCTAGCTCTCTTTAGCTGGCAGGGCCTTTCCCCCAATCTTTTGACCATAAATGCCAAAGCTTTCCGTCCTCTGCTGCCTGCATGTTCCTACATGGGAACTACTCTGAGATTATAGCCAGGAAATTAGCAAAACAAAACAAAAAAGTGAGATACTAATCCTATATGAGTAGCTCTGTAATTTTTGTCTTCAGGTCCTAATTTGCTTAATATGGTTAAGTTTTAAGATTTTTTGGGGTAGCTGCTATAAATATTTTATCTCCTGCTCTTAATTGTAAATGTTAAAATGTTCTTTTACATTTAACAACGTAAAAGAGAGAGAGTATCTGCTATGCTCATTCTATGTAGGCTAGTACTGGACTATTTTTAATTAATCTAAAGTATATTTGCAAAAACTTGTACATTCTATTTTCTCATAATTTTAAAATCACAAATTCTCTATATTGCAGTTATGACGTCAATGTAATACACACACGACTGCTAATTTTTGAACATATTGAAATATTCTTTGTGACTCACTCTAATTATATATTAAACTATATAATTTTAAAAATTATGTATTTTTTTCTTCCTAAGAATAAAATTAAACATATAAAAATAGGTTTTTAAAGTTTTTGAGGCTTTGGTTTCAAATTCTGTATATCATTGCTAATTTTATTTGTTATATATTCTGTTCTGAAAGAATGGTTATAATTTTGATATTTCTATTTATCATTTTTATGATTATTTATTTGATACAGTTTTTTTAACACTCATAGAAAATACAATTTTTTGGTAAGCTTATTTTTATTTCTATGAAATATTCCATCTCATTATACACATATTTTAAAACATATAGTTCATCTGAAATAAATACTACTTTAGCATTTGTTTCAGCGTTTTGTTTCAGTGTTATCCAGATCTGTATTTTACTTTTGTTTCATGTTTTATTTTAAGTATGTCTTTTGTAAGTAACACATAGCTGGCTTTTCTTTTTTTACCTAAGCAATAATCGTTTATTCTCATTAACAATGAAGTTAATTCCTTCACATTTTTTGTGAATATTTATATTAACTTATTCATTTTATTTTTCTAGTTTTAATTGTTATTACCCTCTCTCTTTTGCCTTTTGTTGGATTGTCTAGTTTAATTTCTTTCTTTGTTGGTCTTTTTGTCCTAAATGATTTGAACTTCTGCATCCAATTTCTATACTTCTAATAGTACTCTTACTTTTAGAAGTGTGTTTATAGTTTTCAATCAAATTTAAGAATTTCTCATTGCCTATAGCTTTGCCTGAATAATAATTTAGCATCTTATCACACAGTAAATTTCAGCATCCCATCTCAATGATTGTATAATCATATGTATTTTTGCCTGTGTTTGTATACATCAATTTCATGGTTTTTTTGTTTGTTTTATATTAACCCCTTTTTAAATTTTTTTATTTTATTTATTTTTTTTCTTGATGGGGTCTTGCTCTGTCGCACAAGCTGGAATGCAGTGGTGCAATCTGGGCTCACTGCAACCTCCGCCTCCCGGGTTCAGGGTTCAGGAGATTGTCCTGCCTCAGCCCCATGAATAGCTGGGATTACAGGCGCCCAGCACCACGCCCAGTTAATTTCTGTATTTTTAGTAGAGACAGGGGTTTCACCATCTTGGCCAGGCTGTTCTTGAACTCCTGACCTCATGATCCACCCGCCTCAGCCTCCTAAAGTGCTGGGATTACAGGCATGAGCCACTGTGCCCGGCCAACCCTCTATTTTTTAAAATAATACTTACAGTGAGCTTAAGAGTTGGTTATGCAGAATATTGTAAATTTTATCTGTTTCTTTGTATATTATTGCACTCTTTATCCAATTTGCACTCTCTTAGTTTTATTTTTTATTAAATTTGAGAATGTCTTTGGGTATTATTTCAAAAAATATGCAAGAATGATGAACATTCTGAAAATCTTCATATTGGGAGATCCGTTTTTTTAAATTATTAATTAAATGATTGATTTTCTGAGTGTACGATTTTAAATTCAACAACTATGATCTCATGTAAATGTATGGGCATGAACCAGGCATGGGTGGGAAGTTTCAGATTGCTAAAATAAAGACTTCTATGAGCATGATGATTTTTTTTTATTTTTAGTTATGGGGTACATGTGCAGGATGTGCAGGTTTGTTACATAGGTAAACATGTGACATGGTGGTTTGCTGCACCTATCAACGCATCACCTAGGTGTGAAGCCCAGCATGGATTAACTATTTTTCCTAAAGCTCTCCCTTCCCCCAGCCCACCCTGTGACTGGCCCCAGTGTAGGTTGTTCCCCTCCCCGTGTACATGTGTTCTCATTGTTTAGCTCCCACTTACAAGTGAGAACATGCAGTGTTTGGTTTTCTGTTCCTGCGTTAGTTTGCTGAGGATAATTGCTTCCAGCTTCATCCATGTCCCTGCAAAAGACATAATCTTATTCCCTTTTATGGCTGCATAGTATTTCATGATGTACATGTACCATTTTCTTTAGAGTATAATGATTTTATGCAATTCATTCATAGATGAAATTGACTTATCTTTTATCTTTCTTCTTCTTTCTTTCTCCCTAACGAAAAAGTCCATATTTCTTCTTTACTGCTGAATGTTTCATGCCTTCAGAAGAATGCATGTAACCTCTATTTATGAAAATAAACTTTTGTGCATCTACCACTTGAAGAGAGTTGTATGTTTGAAGAATCCGTATTATACCTCATAGACACTTAACACTTTTTTGATAATTTGTCATTAGTTGTTTCTATTTTATTTATTTGCTTTTTGGGTTTTGTGGATGTTTTTCATTCTTGGTTTTTTGCTATTTTAAACAGTACTTGTATTAACATTCTCCTACTTGTCCTCTGCTGGACACATGAAAAACTTTGCCTCATATGTTTTTTTCACCAGTGTCTTTATAATACCCCTGAACAACAAAAGGTCATTAACTCTTCAAATTTAATTACCTCATATTAATGTACATGTTATTGTTGCCTGGCATTCTAGTTTAATCCTTTATCCATTCTAGTTTCATCCCCAAATTAGACATTTTATTATTGCTTTTTATGTTAATATTGTTAATGTTACTGAGATGGATGCTGCGTTATTTGCTTAGTATTCTTTGCATCTTAGGCCTTGGTTCTGAGACTTCATCTGCCTGAGTTTATTATGTAGAAATTCCTTTAGTTGGAATCTCTTGGTGTTGATCTCAAGTTTTCTTTGTCTGAAAGTATTTTTATTTTGCCTTTATGCTTAAAAGATAGATTCATTGGGAGTATGGTTTAGAAATTCCCTCTAATACTTTAGTATATATTTCTTCATTGTTTCTCTTGAAAAATCAGCTAGCAGTCTAAATGCAATTTTCTTATAAACAAACTGTATTTACTTTTTGGTTATTTAAGTCTAAAATTGGTGTATTTGTTTCCTTATTCCTGCTATAAAAATTACCACAAACTTTCTGGCTTAAAAAAATATAAATTATTTTCTTACATTTCTGGAAGTCAGAAATGCAAAATGGGTCTCACTGGACTAAAATCACAGTGCCAGTAGAGCTGCCTTTCTTCCTGGAGGCACTAGAAGAGGAAATGCTTTCTCACGTTTTCCAGATTCTAGTGGCTGCCCACATTTCTTGCCTCCTTTGGCTGGTCCAATCTTTCTCACCTGAGGTTACTCTGACACTGTCATTCTTCCACCTCCCTTTTCCACTGTAAGGATCCATATGATTATATTAAGCCCACCTGGAGAGTACAGGCTAGTCTCCAATATTAAGGTCAGCTAATTAGAAACCTTTATTTTACCTGCTACCTTAATTCCTCTTCACTTGTCATGAAACATATTCACATATTCCAGGAATTAGGGCAGTAGTTCATAATTTTCTGTATTATCTTCTTCTAGCACTCCAAAATAAATGTATGCTAAGATTTCTCACACCATTTTTTCTCTTAATATCTCTTTTCTACTTCCTTTTTCTGAATTATGTTTTTAAAATAACATTGTAATTTTTGAAGCAGTCTAATTTCCTTTTTAAGTTTTTATAATATTCTGTTTCATACATTTAATTACTTTTTAGAATTTTAGTGATGTTTTTAGTTGACAGTTTGCCTAGTTATATTTTAAAGCCTGTTTCTTAATCTCTTTTGATGTCTACTTTCATTCTTATTAATACTTATACATTTATATTATTTTCTGTCTCTGATAATTATAATATTTTGTGTTTGCATATCCCATTCTTTTTGTTTTTTTCTTGATCAATAATTCTTGTGTTTATTAAGTATTAATTTTTTTTAAATCATGGTCTGAAGAATTCTTTGACATCTTTTGGATGATTTATATTTCTTGGTTCTGGTTGCCTAAGGATACTAACAATCCGGGAATACTTTATTGTCAGCTAAAGAATTTCTAGAAGACTTGAATTGTTTAGATTTGGATCACAAACTTATGTGAGGGTAGATTTGTCAAAAAATTATTTCCTATTAATTCTTTCACTAAGGGCTTGCCTTCCAGAAGCCAAGTTTCTCTGTTTTTTTTAGTATCTCTATTCATATTCTCGAACTTGATTGGGGCTCATAAAACAATAGAACCAAATCTTAATATCACTAGTGATTTCCAGATGACTTAGGGGATGCTGGTAGCTTTAATCTTCCCATGCCTTTCTGAATTTTGAAATTCCTTGCCTGTATAAAGATCAAATTATGAGTGTAATATTGTAATAATTCCATTCCATTGTATTATCTGAGTTTTGGCAACTATTAGGTAGGTGTAACCCACAGACACTATGAATACTCTACTTAATCTTTAATGATTGTTTTCTTAATTTTCAAGAAAAGCATCTTGTCTATTAATAAAATGTATCAAATCACATCCTTTGAGCAGGAAAATATATCTTTCCAGGAACAACACAGCAGGCTGACTGTGCAATTAATATCTTCCTTCAATCTTATTTATAAAATGGCCATAGTTATATCTATGTTTTTCTTTGGAGTCCACTCTGAAAAAGGAAAACATGAAGAAGTGAAAAAAAAAATAGAATGAAAAAACAGAATATATGTGTCTTTGCATTTGTATAACTTTCTGTGAAGTGAGATTATAATTTTATATGGTCATATTTAAGATACTTTCATGTACACAATACATGTTAGAGAAATATACAAATAGTTTAATAAGTATTCCAAGATCAAAGGACATGAGATGAGTGCTTCAGGGGACAGAGAATAAAATGAGGGGAGAGCTAAATTTTGATTTACAAAGAGGTTGAAAAAATAAAACATAATGATCTTCAGTTGTATTTCAAAGAGTTTCTTGAAAGTCAAGGTAGATATATTAACTGTCTACTTTCTTTCTTTTTGATATTCTGCTACTGTACAAGGGCCTACCATTTGTTCAAATAAAACAATGTTGATTTCAGCATATACATACATATGCACATATGCACACATATACATATACATAAAGTATAAATATATATAAATATATATTTTTATAGAAAATATAGGTTGAAGCTTGTTTGGAAAGTACAGGAAACACATTAAAGACATCAGGGTACTCGAATATGACTTGGGATAAATTATTTTTTAAAAATCATTTTTTTTCATTTTCTCATAAAAGTTTGGAAACTTACAATATTTATATTTACATAATGTTCTACCATAATCTAGTGCAGTAGACAAGTAATTAAGCCCTACACAATTTAAGTTATCTATTACTTAAAGCAGTGAAATTTCACTGCTTCTGAAAAGACTTCAAGGTCTCCCAGTAATCATTATATAAAGTTGCAAATCAGCAAGATAGTTTAAAATGTCCTTTATGACCTGATCTTTACGGACTTCTCCAGCTTCACCTGTGGTCAATTCTCAGTATACTACAGCAAACCTGAGTTCTTTTACATAACCTTGAACATGACACACTTTCTTCTCTGAGTGCACATGCTGTTTTCTCTAATTCGCTCATAAATCTTATCTATCTATGATCTTTGAAGTCACATGCTTTAGGAAGAAATCACTGGTTTCGTAAGAATGGATTACATGCTCTTCCAGTGTGATCTCATAACCCCCTGTACTTCTCATGGCTTTGTATTTCCTGAACGTTCTCTTTTTTTGTATAGTACTCTAATAATCTGTTTCTATCTCACTCTATATTTTATTCCTGCTATTAGTAATAAGTGTTATTTGAGCTCCCACCAAGTTCCAGGCTCTGTGTTAATTGCTCAACATGGATTACTTTATTTCACAGAATGTAAGACCACCTTTATTCTGTATAGAAAACATTACCAAATGTAATCAGAAAACACCACTGATTATCCATTGCATTCTGTTTTAAAGACAGTGAAAAGTGAGAAAAAAAGGAAGCACCTTGGGATCAGTGGAAAATGTTATTGTGTATAATCTTCACAGCAACCATACAAGGAAGTTGCCAGTAAACACAATTTATGACAGAAGAAAGAAGAAATTTAAAAACCTCCCAAGATAAATGCCAAAGTTTGAATTTCAACATACTAAGTTTGATGTAAAAGATCGGTCTCTTGACAATCTTACTTTTATTGTAAAATATGCAAGAATAAGAGACAAGTTTATCATGCTTAATATTGAAGCTCTAGTGCTCAGCACAAAATAAGAGCTCGATAAATATTGCTGAATTAAATAATGAACATATTAAAAAGGTAATTTATTAATTAGGATACAGCTAAGACAAGAGACTAGGTTTTCTCAGTCAAAATCTAGTACCTGTGCCAAACACTGTGATGGTCAAAGACACTAATTTGATGTTTGCTAGACTGAGAATTAACAAGTTTCTACACTCAATCATTTTATAAAATTAATGAAATAAGACTAATATCCATGGAATAACAATAACTGATCATATAAAAGGAGGTCATCTATGATTAAGTATTAAACTAAGCTGGAATAGTCAGGGAAGAGAATAACAGCAATATAGGATTTGAAGGAAACCAAGTAGGAAGCAGAGTCTGAGCAGTCAGAGCTCCTATAAATGGTATCTTCAGGTTTAGGCAAACTGATAGAGGTCCTGAGGAACAGAGGAAAAAATTAATTCTTAATTTATTAGAAATAAATATTAGAATAGTGAAATATTAGAGTAAAAATAGCTAAGTAAAACAGTCCATAATTCAAAGTTTTTAAAAAAATTATGTCAATTTTTACTGGAGTATAACATACATACAGAAAAATGCAGAAATCATAATCAGAGAGCTTGATGAATTTTTATAAAGTGAACACACCCACATGTAACCAGAATGCAGATCAGGAGACAGAAATTGCTAGCATACCAGAAGCTCCCCTCACACTGTTTTCTAGGTATTATCCTCCATCAAATTAACTGTGATCCTGGCTTCTAATACCACAAACCAAGTTTGCCAATTTTGAACCTTAGACAAAAGAGAATGACATGATATGTACTCTTTTATGACTGCCTTTTCTTACTCAACATTTTATTTGTTACATTCATTCATATGTTGTGTGGTAATAGTATCGTTGTTTTCATTGCTACGTGGTATTCCATTGTATGAATATAATACAGTTTTTACATTCTACGGAAGATGACATTTGGTTTGTTTCCAGTTTGAGGTTATCAAAAATACTGCTGCTATAAACATTGATGAGCATTTGAATGCGTTTCAGTTGGATAGATAAGAGTGGAATTTCTCTGGTGCATAGGTTCAGCTCTAGTAGATTACTGTCAAACAGTTTTCCAAAGTGGTTTTCCTAATTCTGGATGTTCCACATCCTTATGAAAACTTACCATATTTTAAATTTTTGGGCCACTTGGATACCCTCTTCCATGAAATGCGTATTTTAGCCTTTTGCTGGATTTTCTATGAGCTTCTATGTTTTCTTGTTCTTCGTAGTCATATTCTGGATATGAGTCCTTTGTTGGTTATATGTATTGAGAATATCTTTTGCCATTCTGTGGCTCGTTTTTTCACTCTTTTAATAGTATCTTTTGATTAAGATGTTCATCGTTTTGAGGTAGTTCACTTTTTCGGTTGTTTTGTTTTGTTTTTTTTGAGACGGAGTATCGCTCTGTCGCCCATGCTGTAGGTGCAGTGGTAGAATCTCGGCTCACTGCAAAAAGGTAGTTCAGTTTTTCAGATGTTTTCCTTTGTGGCTTATTTATTTTGTGTGTGTCCATTGAGTAAAATCTGTGTGTGTTCCAAAGTCATAAGGGTATTCTTCCATTTTCTTGTGAAACCATTATTGTTTTACTGTTTACATTTAGACTTGCAATTCATGTGGCATTGGCTTTTATGTATGGTGAAAGGTAGAAAATATAGTTTTGAGTCTTCCAATTACTGCAATACTGTGGAATACAGATGGGATATCTATAGAAAGTAGTGAAATTGTATGCAAGAGGCTATAACTAATGACACCACCAGAATAACATCTAACCAAATGAATAGGAGAATGTCTATCAGGATACCATAATGTATTTATGAAAAGAAGAGAAAATTTCAATATGTAGATGGATATGAATATGTGAATGTTGTTAACAATGTTTGAGAAACTTTGGACTCATCTGATGATTTTGGAATCATAAACATGAATTCCAGGTATAAATATGTCAATTTTTCTGTTCAAATCTGAAATCAATAATGATATTATTATTTTTAGTAATATCTGACCATTAAAAATATTCAGTGGGTAGAACTCCTTCACATCTGTTTTTTTGTTGTTGTTATTTTGTTTTTTTGTTTGTTTTTTGAGACGGAGTCTCACTCTGTCACCCAGGCTGGAGTTCAGTGGCTCACTGCAACCCCCACCTCCCAGGTTCAAGCAATTCTCTGCCTCAGCCTCCTGAGTAGCTGGGATTATAGGTGCTCGCCACAACGCCTGGCTAACTTTTGTATTATTAGTAGAGATGGGGTTTCACCATCTTGGACAGCTGGTCTTAAACTCCTGACCTCATGATCCACCCATAATAATTAAGTGACAAATAACTTGAAACAGTATTTAAAATAGTCATTTTATAAAGAGCTTAATTTTAACATTTTTAATAATTTCTTTTATTTTTAATGTGTCCACATCTTTATTAAGGTACGGTTGACAAATAAGATTTGTAGATAGAATGTATTTATGGTGTACTACATAATATTTGGATAAGTATATACACTATGAAGTGATTAAATTAAACTCATTAACATATCTATCATATTTTTTCATGGTGAGAACATTTAAGATCTACTACTCTCTTAGCAATTTTCAAGTATACAATAAATTATTATTGACTATAGTCAACATACCGTACAATGGATCTCCAAAATTTACTCAAGTTATCTAACTGAAACTTTATATTCTTTGACCAATACCTCCCCATTCCCTGCCTACCTGTTCTCATCCCTCAGCAACCATTCGTCTCTTTCCCAGT
The DNA here is from genome assembly GCF_000001405.40 of Homo sapiens. Classification (NCBI taxonomy): domain Eukaryota; kingdom Metazoa; phylum Chordata; class Mammalia; order Primates; family Hominidae; genus Homo; species Homo sapiens. Next base: position 176,035,620 of record NC_000003.12, read on the forward strand.
ATGACTTTGATTTTTTAGATGATTTTATAAATTTTAGATTTTATAAATGAAATCATGTATAAGCCGTGCCAGCTTATTTCACTCAACGTACTGTCCTCCAGGTTCTACCATGTTGTCAGAAATGACAAGATTTTCTTCTTTTTTAAGGCTGAAGAGTGTTCCTCTATCTCTCTCTCTGTGTGTGTGTGTGTGTGTGTGTGTGTGTGTGTGTGTGTGTATTACATTTTCCTTACCCATTTATCAGTCAATGAACACTTAGGTTGATCTGTATCTTGGCTATTGTGAATAATGCTGCCATGAACATGATCGTGCAGATATCCCTCTAACATATTGATTTTGTTTCCTTTTGACAGATGCCAAGAAACGGGATTGCTGGATTATATGGCAGTTCCATTTTTAATTTTATGAGGAATCTTCATACTGTTTTCCATATTGGCTGTACTAATTTACATTCCCATCAACAATGTACAAGTGTTCTCTCTTTCCCAGATCCTTGCCAACACTTGTTATCTTTAGTCTTTTTTTGTTATAGCCATTCTAGCAGTTATGAGGTAATATTTTACTGCATTTTGAATTTGCATTTCTCTGATGTTTGTTAATGTTGAACTTTTCCCTCCCATATATCTGCTGGCCATTTGTATGTCTTTTTTTGAGAAAAAATGTCTATTTAGGTCGTTTGATCATTTTTTTGAATAGGTTATTTCTCAACTCTTCCAAACAGTTGAAGGACAGAGCACACTTAAAACTCATTTTATGAGATCAGAATTATCTTGATGCCAAATCTGGACAGGGATACCACAAGACAATAAAATCACAGGCCAATGTCACTGATGAACATAGAGGCAAAAATCCTTGACAAAATACTAGCAAGGCAAAATCCACAGCACATTAAAAGGATCATACACCATGATCAAGTAGCATTTATCTCTGGGATGCAAGGATGGTTCAACACAAGCAAATAAATCAATGTGATGCACACATTAACAGAAATAAAAATAAAAATATAGTCATCTCAATAGATTCAGAAAAATCATTTGACAAAATTCAACATCCCTTTATGATGAAGATGCTCAACAAATTAAGCACAGAATGTACCTCCATATACTAAAAACCATGTATGACAAGCAGAAAGCAAGCATGATATTCAATGGTGAAAAGCTGAAATCTTTTCCTCCAAGATCAAGAACAAGACAAGGATGCCCACTCTTGCCATTTCAATTCAGTATTGTATTAGTCCGTTTTCATGCTGCTGATAAAGACGTACCCAAGACTAAAAAGAAAAAGAGGTTTACTTGGACTCACAGTTCCACATGGCTGAGGAGGACTCAGAATCATGGCAGTAGGTGAAAGGCACTTCTTACATGGCAGTGGCAAGAGAAAATGAGGAGGAAACAAAAGTGGAAACCCCTGATAAGCTCACTGGATCTCATGAGACTTATTCATTATCATGAGAATAGCATGGGAAAGACCAGCGCCATGATTCAATTACCTCCCCCTGGGTCCATCCTACAACAGGTAGGAATTCTAGGAGATACAATTCAAGTTGATATTTAGCTGGGGACATAGCCAAACCATATCAATATAGTACTAGAAGTTCTAGCCAGAGCAATTAGGAAAGGAAAAGAAATAAACTGCTTCAAGTTGGAAAGAAAGAAATAATATTTTCTCTGTTTGCAGATGACATGATCTTGTTTATACAAAACCCTAAAGACCCCAACACAAAAACTGTTCAAGCTAATAAACAAATTTAGAAAAGTTGCAAGATACAAAATCAACATACAAAATAGTAGTGTTCTTGTACACTAGCAACAGACTATTTTAAATTATTTTAAATGGTTATTTGAGTTTTCTGACCAATAATAGTAAGATAATAATAATGGTAATAATAATGGCTACAAATTGGTCCTTTCTATTTTTACTTATATTTTATTTAAATATCAGACATATTATTCTTATATTGACTTATCATGGTCAAAGGTTACTTCAAGACAATTCGTAACATGGGAAAGAACACAAGGCTAGTACTTCAATAGCACACTCTGCTTTTCCAATATTTTTAACATGTGAGTTTACTAATGTTCATCCTTAAGGTATCTCATAAAGGTCATATCCACAAAAAGAGTCATCCCCATTTTATGGGTGCAGTGCAGATCTAGCCTAAGATCTCTGCTGAAAATTGAGCATGTTCATATGTGGTGCAACACTAAATGATTGTCAAGGAGAAGGAGTAAAGATGAGAGAATTGTTGGCCAACTCCCTAAAGAAACATTTTTGAAGTCTTAACATTCATTTATATTTCTACTGCCTTGTAATAGTTGAAAAAGCTCAGACAAAAACTTTAGCCTTGCAGAATTAAATGCTATAAAAAGGCTTTTATTTTCTTGCAATTGTTTAAATTCCTTATACGTTTTAGATAATAACCCCTTGTTGAGTATATGTTTGCAAATATTTTCTCCCATTTCATAGGTTGTCTCTTCACTCTGTGATATCTGCTGTGCAGAACTTTTTGTTTGTTTCATGCAATCCCATTTGCCTGTTTTTGCTTTTGTTGCTTGTGCTTTTGGATGCGTTTTTAAAAATCATTGCCCAAACCATTGCTGTGGAGCATCTCTCTTCTGTTTCCTGCTAGTAGTTTCACAGTTTTCAGGTCTTAGGTTTCAGTCTTTAGCTTATTTTGAGTTTGTTTGTGTGTTGTGAAATAAGGGTCTAATTTAATTCTTCTGCACGTGGTTATCCAGTTTTCCCAACACCATTTATTAAAGAGACTGTCTTTTCTTCATTACGTGCTGTCAGCAACTCTGTCAAAGATCAATTGACCATAAATATGTGGATTTATTTCTGGGCTCTCTATTCTGTTCCATGGGTCTTTGTGTCAGTTTTTATACCAGTACCATGCTGCTTTGGTTACTATGGCCTGATACTATATTTTGAAATCAGCGTGATGCCTCTTAAAAGTTTTCTTGAGGCATAATAAGCATACAATAAACTTTGCATGTTTAAAGTAGACAATTTGACAAGTTTTGACATATGTAGACAGCTTTGAAAATATCACTATCATCAATATAATAAACACATTCATTACTCCAAATGTTTCATTTTTCTTTGTAATTTCTTCCTCATATTTCTTCCTATGCTCTGCCTTTCCAGCAATCAATTATCTACTTTCTGTCAACATAGATTAGTTCTAGCATTTTCTAGAATTCTATGTAAATGGAATCACACAGTTTGTATTATTTTATCCCTGGCTTATTTTATTTTGCATAATTATTTTGAGATTCTTCTATGTTGTAGTGCAGGGGTCAGCAAATATTTTTATGCAAAGGGCCATACAGTAAATCTCCTAGGGTTGGTGGGTCATAGAAGGTCTCTGTCTCATCTTCTTTGTTTATTTACAACCCTTAAATATTTGAAAAACACTCTTAGCTTGTGGATTATACTAAAAGAGAGCATAGACCGTGTTAGCCCAGGGTCATAGTTTGTCTATTTTGTTGAAGTTCTTTCCTTTTCTTAACAGTTATTATTCCATTTCATGGAGAAACCACCTTTTGTTTATCTATTCATCTATTGGTGAATATTTGGTTTGGTTACAGCTTTCGGTCATTAAAAAATAAAGCTGACATGAAGATCCCTGTATAAGTCTGGGTGTGAACATTTATTTCCCTTTCTCTATGCTAAATACATAGTACTAAAATGCCTAGCGGATATATTTTGGAAACTGCCAAAATATTTTTCAAAGGTGTTCGCACCATTTTTCTTTTGCGCCAACAGTGTATGGAAGTTCTAATAACTTTACATTCCAGTCAACAAATGATAAAATTAGTCATTTAAAATTGTAGAAATTTTAATCAGTGCATAGGAGTAACCCATTGCAATTTTAATTTGTATTTCCCTACTGTCTAATGATGTTGAGCACTTTTAATGTGCTTAGTGGCCGTCTATATATCTTCTTTGGTGAAGTGTGTGTTCTATACTTTTGTTTACTATAAAGAAAAAAACTAGGTTGACTGTTTTATCATCGGCTTTTGAATACTTTTTATGTATTCTAGATTTAAGTTCTTTATCAGATTTGTGATTTGTAAACATTTTCCCCAGTCTACAGCTAGTCTTTTCATTCTCTTACCAGTGTCTTTTGAAGAGAAATATTTAATTTTGATTACCTTCAAATTATTATTTTTTAATGCATTGTAGGTTTAGTGTCTTATCTAAGAAATTATTTTCCAACCTAGTCACAAAGGTTTTCTCCTATGTTCTTCTAAAAGAAGTTATCCTTTTAGGTTTTACATAGTTCATGATCCAATTTTACTTAACATTTTGAGAATGATATATGGTATAGATTGGTTGTAGCACAGACATACTGGTGATGAATTATTTTAGCTTTCAGATGACTGAACAAGTCTGTACTTTGCCATTATTTTTGAAAGATATTTTCACTGACTATAAAATTCTAGATTGCCAAATGTTTTTTCAATAATCTTTTATTTGACTGCTGCTGGCTTACATAATTTCCAACAGATTTCTGCTATCTTTTTTATTTTTTGTCCTTTGTATGTAATTTGTCCTTTTTTTCCACTGGATACTTTTATAATTTTCTCTTTATAAATGATTTTAAGGAATCTGGTTATGATGTGTCTTGGTATAGTTTTCTACACAATTCTTACACTTTGGATTTCTTTAACTTTTACACACATGGGCTTATAATTTTATCAAATTTGGGAAATGTTCAGTCCTATTCTCTGAATTATTTTTTTCTTTCTTTCTCCCACTTCTGTCTCCTATGATTACCTTAATTATTTTTTATCTGGCCACAAACTAAAGTTTTACCTTAAGATTTACCCAAAAATAATTTCTGAGTTTCATAAAGGCCAAGGAAAATGGAGAAGTATGAGCTATTATAAGATATAAAATGTCCATATAAAAAGCACATCATTTCTCACAAAAACTGAGATATTCAAGCAATGGGTACTGTGAGTCCCAGGAGGGCAGTACTCATCACCTATGGAGTTTGTCACATTTTCTATATTTACCATGGAATAAATTAGGATTTTAGAATTTTGGTAATTTTGAAAAATAAAGCTATAGTAGTTCCCCCAAAATGTACCACTTTCTTTAAGAAGAAAATGTTCATTATATCCCATAAAGTTTTATAGACATCACCAATATTCAGGAAGTGTCCTGAGGGGGAAAAAGGGCATATTACAGCACAGAAATTGGTTAAGAGACAAAATCAAACATGGTAAAAAATGTCATCAAAACAATTAATAGAGATGATAAAAATTAAACAAATATTTGTTTATCCTAAATCCTCAGTTATTTATTATTGAGATAAATTATCTTACATACTTCCAACTCTCAAATAGAATGAGAAAAAAAAACTAATGAGGTCCCTTCATATGGAGCAAATTTATAACATGTGAAAGACATTGAATATTAAATGTACCTTTGTAGCTTCACAAAATTTATTTTAGCTTTATATGGAAGACCGCAGCAGTGGCATAATTAGTGAGGTTTTATAAAGAGAAATGCCTTCCATTCCTATTCATTTTTCCAGCATGGTTAATATTAATGGTTGAACGGAAGGACATAGTGCCTGGCACCTAGTACGTACTTTAAAAATGTTTTTAGAAATGAATGTCGCTTCTTCCAGATCTTCAACCATCATTTTTTCAAGATCAATTCTAGGCTGAGCAAGAGTGAAACTGGAAGTGAGAGAAACAGATATTGCCAGGATGGTGAGTGAGAGAGAGGGATTAAAACAGACAGAGAGGGGAGAATAGCAGTAACATGTTCTCCATTGCCCAGGACTGTTTAAGATGTGTATATGCTGATACAAATATCCGCATCCTGGCATTGGAGATAACAAATTTTGACTTCAGTTTGAAAAGTTGTAGCTTACTGACATATTCATATATGCAAATTATTTGCATAAACATTGTATTAAGAGAATGCATGAGACAAGATTCCCTCTGTGGCCACAGAGAGGTGAATGTGCTAGTGGGACTATCGCTATCACTGGCTTTACATGACTCTACTTGGAATGGCTGCTCTTTGTCTGGCCTCAAAATGTACTCCTTGCATCTGTTACCATGACACATACCTTTCCTAACTTCCTCATGCATTTAGGAATATTTCATTTATCCAAGTATAGTAAATAGTGAAAAATGAGCTCATGGTTTGGTCAAAGTCTCTCAAATTGTAAAAACACAATTGAATCACTGAGCATTACTAACATACATCATAAAATCACACGTATCAAATAAGCAAACAAACAAAAAGCCAGAGTCAATTGACAAGCGGAGGTTAAATCCTTGCAACACATAGCAATACAGGTCCTATGTTTGGTATCTGAACTTCTTAAAAACTTTCTGGAATTTCACCAAGTCTGTCTCATCAGAATTCATTTCCCCTGCCAAAGCATTCCATAAGTGTGGATGAGATAAAACTGCAACACAGAAACATATGGGCAGAAGATAAAAGGAGATCAGTGAGCAGGAAAATATGTTTCTTAAAATCTGTGCTGCAGTCATTTTTCTTCTCAGTTTTGTTGTTTGTTATGCCTTTGAATGCCCATAGACAACATTAAGAGTGTTTCTACACAACAGCAAAAGAATAAATCAGTTCAGACCAAAAAGAGTCAATTGCATTAAGAAAATAACAACAAAACCAACATCCACATCAACAAATGATGTCAAGTTGTTTGGTGTTTCATAAGAAATTGGTTGATTTGTTTGTTTTGTATGCACAGCCAGAATGACTAGTGACAAAGGTAGGTTCTTCATTTATAATTTGCTTTACCTGTGATTATAAGTGCTTTAAATATCCATGTTCTATTGTGCTTTATGCAGTGTTTACTGTCACATGTCCTCTGTTTTCCCCAAAGTACTATGTATGAAAACTGAGTGAGTTTTCATAAACAGGAAAATGAAATTTGAGAAACGGTCTCATGTTATAACTAGGCAGGCTTCCTTGAGTTAGTGAGATGGCAAATAGATATTTTTCTGAATATCACTTTTCCTAGAAACATTTATTTTCTGTGGTGTAGGTAATGTTAAAACCATTGATTTAAACTATTTTCTTACTTGATTTTTCTCAGTAATAAATTCTCAATTCTGTTTATTTTGCTCTTTTATTTTGCTACAAATGGTTGAATAAATTCTCCAAGCCACTGATTGGCAGTTGGGGTAGTACTTACTTGTCTCAAGTCCAAGATTTGCTAGGACAAATCTATTATGCTATTTTGTTAAATAGTGCCCATACATTCTGAAGTATTCTAACCATCTAAGTTATGAAATAAAAAATTGAATCCAAAAATTGAATTAAATAAGCAAGAGCTTTAACAAAAATGTGCAGATGAAAATAATTGTTGGTAGTGAAATGAAGAAACTTGTTGAAAAGTTTCATAATTGCTTTAAAGAAAGCAAACATGCTCACCTTTTTATTTTAATTCCATAGCTAAACACATAATTTACATATTAGTTGTGCCTGTCAAATCTCCAAGAAAAAAATACACCTCCTAATGAATAAAGCTTCTTGGACATAACCTTAAGATAAACTATCCTTGAGGGCAACTTTAGCTCCCAGAAATTGAGCCAAAACATGGGTAATCAGAGAAATTAGAAGAAAATAAGGTGCAGTGTTTCAAGAGAGGAAACAAACTAGCAATAACTTCATTTATTCACATTTGGTTTTTAATTTCAAATCCTCAGATTCAACTAGAAACCTGAGAATTTAGAATGACCTGTCTTGCACTGCAAAAGGCAGACTTCCCACAAAGATCTGTTGAATTAATGAATAAATGAGTGAATGGATATGCTTAAAGCTGAGTTCAATAAACTAACTGGAAAGAAAACACACTGTCTCCATTTGTTTGGGCCACTGTAACAAAATATCATAAAATGGGTGGCTTATAAACAACAGAAATTTATTTTTTACAGTTCTGGATGCTGGGAAGCCCAAGATCAAGGTGCTGTCAGATTTGGTATTTGGTGAAGTTCTGCCTTCTGGTTCATAGGAAACTCCTTGCCATGTCGTCATGTGTAGAAAGGGCAAGGCAGCTCTCTGGGGCCTCTTTTTACAAGGGCACTAATTCCATTCAAGAGGGCAGCCCCTTCATGATCTAATCACCTCTGAAAGGCCCCAGTTCCTAATACTATTATATTGGTTATTAGGTATCAAAATGAATTTTTTTGGGCAGCACAAACATTTAGACTATAATTCTGCCTAATGGGTTTTTTGATCTTCAAACTATCTTTGAAATATAGTTATTAATAATAGTTGCTAATTTAATCAATGAATATTTGTTGAGCCTCTGATCCTATTGGTCCTAGAGATACTTTGGTAAAGACAAGGCAAAACAAAATATATGTCTTCTCCCCATCCCTAAAATGGAAATATAGGAGATGACATCAGAAATGATTAATATCTAAGCAGAGAACTAAATCAGGTTCATGTGCTGCAGAATAGGATGGACTCTTCAAGGTGATGGCAATTAAGCTGACATTTGAATGATAAGGAGAAAATAGCCATACAAAAATCGGGAGAATATTATGACAGGCAAAATAAAAAGTTAAGTAAGGAGCCATTAGATTAGAATGTGTTTAATATCTGTGACTGTCATGGTAAAACAAAAGTAGGCCCATGTATCTAGAGGTTAAGGCAATAATCCATAACAGATGGTGGGGTTCAGATCATTTAAGGGCTTTTTAGAAAGGGGATAGGTGGGGTGGTTTTCATGAAACAAGTGGAGGAGTTCAAAAAGAAGATGTCACATACATATATATATGTGCATACATATGCTTATTTGTTTGTTTTATCTCTGAATCTGGAGTAATTTTATCCCTGAATCTGGAAAGAATTCCAGGTTGGAAATAAAGACAGTTGAGCCACTACATATACAATAGATATTTGAGTCATGTGGTTCCAGGTTTTAATCTAAAGTGTGATAAAAAGGAAACTGAAAAAAGAAAGGGACAAAGAAATGAAGTCTTCAGAGGAAGCTGAGAAATTGATCACAAACACAAAGCGCAGAAAATATTTGATGATTTTGATACGTATTTTATTTTTCAATCAGTAATTTTTAAATAAATGACAAAAATTTTTAAAAAGTCATAATGTTATCTAACTTACATAGTGATTGCTTCTATGGAAAAGTGGGTCAGTGGTTTTGACATATATGTAAATTTATAGGAATTAACAGTATTAGTGACTTTTACTGGGCCATGGGGTTTTGCACATTTTTGAGGAGGATATTCAGAATAACTAAATATTCATTATTATTCAGTTCCTCAATATATTCAGTTATTCAATAAATAAATATTATTATTTATTTTGATTTTTAAGTTCCTGCCTAGAAAGAGTCCTTAAAATTAGAAGGCCTTCCTGAAAATTTTAATGTCCATTTATTGCTGAATTGGTTTACTTATTTTGATGCAAGATCAAATAAGTTAAATAAATGTCAGTCATATTTTCTGATTTAATTTTGAAGTTTCTTATATTGATCAAGAAAATTGATTATTTAAGATAACAGAGAGGGGGACAAGACAGTTTTCCCAATTGTTTAGGTTAATTGTTTAGATGGCTATTTAACTCAGACATGCTAAATAAATTTCATCTAGTAAAAGTATTTTAAAATTTAAGCTGATGCTTTAAAAAATCACTTACATGTTAAAATTGGGTAGAAAAAATTAAATAACATTATGGCCAATATTTTCTAATCGAATAATTTTAAACTAAATATCATAATTTTAGTCTTATAATAATAAGACTTGTTGAGTATTCTCCACTGGTAAAACTTCCAAGTTATTTGTGAGTGGAACCATGAAATATGTTTTCATTTGTTTTCTGTGATGCAAATTGCCACATCACTCACATATTCAAAGTGTATTTTCCCTGTGTCCAGTGTTTTAGTGTAGTTAAGAAACTCCCCAATTTAAAGCAAATGTTCACCCTTTATAAATAAATAGACCAATTAGGAAGTCAAATTCATCATTTGAACAATATCTGAGCATGTACTACATGTCAGTTTTGGTCATATTTGATCCTAGTAGTGAGTTCACTGGATATCGTGCAATTAGTAACATCATTGATAGAGTATGAGAGAGTCAATTAAGCATGCAGTATTTGCACACAAGCTATGTACACAAACCATGATCTTTTGGCATTGTAAAGTCTTCCATGGTATGTGGAGATGTAAGAGAACTTTCAAGTCATCTAAATTTATATTTCAAAGCATACAGAGCTCTTTTCTGTATCATCCTTGTTGCAGTTCTGCACAAGTTGTGCAGACATTGAGTGTTAGCAACTGGCAGAAAACTCACTTTTTGATAGAGTAGCCCATTCTATTGTTCAGTACCTGGACATAGCTTATGTTAATTGTATCCTCATTTTTTTGATATGATTGTAAGAGATTTTAGTTTGGTTTTAACTTTTCTTGGTTTATTTTCACATATATTGGAGTTCTCGCCTTCTGAGGAACTTAAAATGTCAATTTTAGCTCGTAACTCTCCAGAAATAGGAACTGTATCTTTCTATTTTAATCACAGTTTTAAAATATATGGAGAAGCACACAAATATTTTTATGCCTTTACAGTGTTCATTTTGTGTATAATTTTAATTTTTCTTTACTTTTTATATTTGTAAAAGGTAAGCACTGTCTTATGTATATATTTAAAAACATATTTGTATCTTTACATTTATGTCTATGTCTGTAAAGTGACTAGATGTCTAATTCCAAGGTCTTGGAAACCAATTGTTTAAATAAAGTCCAATTTTTTTAAAAAACAAGAATTTGTGGAAATTAAAGACCAGTTTTTGCATTGGATTCCAGGCCTTACATTTTGCAAATTTGGAATCGTGCTGATTTTTTAAGTGAGGAAGCTGTACTTCCTGATTTATTGGCTACATCACTGAAGAATAGATGAACTTGTATGTGTAACAGATTATTTTTTATTCTTAATTTTATATTTTTGAGAATTAGACCAGATTTTTAAACTCCCAAGGGTTTATACAATCATATGTCAACAGCCATAAAAGAAACCGCTCTTGCAACTATACATACATGATTTACTTATTTAGCATTCAGAGAATGTGGGGCTATTGTGCACCAAAAAGCTATAACATTTTCACAGAAAATTTAGTGTTTCTTCCTGCTGCCTACTGTAATTGATGTGATAAAAATAGCAGGCCTGAACTTCAGCCTATGTACTCAGAGGGAATTCTTCCATAGAGTTACACTGAATGAGGTTGGAGCCCAGCATATTTATCGCCATGGTAATATGAAGATATGATCATATTCCTGCCTATATTAGATTGCCAAAATGCAAGAGGCAGGACATTTGCTGCATATCCATCTGTCAACCCGTCAAGTGGCTCAGAGGTGAAACAAACATGGATGACCCAGATATTCCAGCAGCTTTTCTACTACCTACTTGGTATATCTTTGGAGAGGACAGGAAGAAGAAATGAATGGGATAATACAATATTTTAAACTGAGAATATCATAATTTATTATCTATACCAACACCTCAGTATTAAAATTAGTAAGATGCATGATTTAGAAATGCTGATGTGGACCATGTTATTTCATGGAATACACTGGAAATTTTAGTTAGGCCTCAACTATGACTTTTCTAAGGATGAATTCAAGATTTTTTTAAAGTTAACAATACCTTAATGTATTTTTACAGTGTAATTTTTGCAGATAAAATTCATGAGCCTATTTGATGTAGAGACTTAAAGTTTCTTATGAATTTTTCCATAGTATTTCCACTCTCTTATCCTATTGTCCACAATATTTCTATTTATCAGTAATATATTCTCTAAAAATACTTATTTTATTATGGTGTTTCCCTGAGGGACTTTGAAAGAATAATGTTTCATATGTTATTCCAACAGCCAAATAAAATGTGAGAGATAGAAACAGTTGTTTTTTTTTTCAGTGATGAAAGATAGTTTAAAACAATGAGTACAAAGAAGCAACTGATATATTCTCAGGATGAAAAAATATCTCTAAATTTTTAAAAAATCAGTTGCATATGAAACCAATTCTATTATCACGATATTAAGATGGCAGGCATCCTTACGGGATAGTACCACATACATTGCCATATATTGCTGTTTTCTAAGTGGCCTCTCTGTTTTGTCAAAAAGCCTTTGAACTTTTATAAGTCATGGCCAAGAATTCAAAATCCTCCCAGAATTACTGGTCTTTTAAACATCTACATATATTCTCTGACAGTTGTCTTTTGCAAGAATGATCTCATCTTCTTACATGAAGTATATTCTAGCTATATGTCTGTTTGACTTGTATTATATAAAGATCATTATTCTCTAACAGAATGTCTATTAAATATTTCTTGTTTGATGACCAATACATTTTGAAATTCATCTACACAGAAATAATATTGACGATTTTGCGTGCTTGTCTATGCCTTTTTGAGAACAGGGCTTTGCAATCAAGCTCATTCTCAGGGTACCATTTATCAAAGTTCTCATGCCATTATGAATTTTTTAAAATTGGTATTCATCTGCCAATCTCAGTCATAGTATTCCAACAACAGACTTAAGAGGGAGTTCTCATTATTCTTCTTGTCTACATATGAGGAAATTGAGTGTAGGTGAGATTAAGTTGAATTCCCATGGGCTCATAGCAAGTCAACGACATATCTGTGATTCAGACCAGGCTATTTAGAAGAAGCATTTCTTTCACTAGGCAAGCTGCACTGGGTATCACTCAAAGTATGAAAGCTGGGCTGTTACTGGGGTCCTGAAATCTGACTGGCTTCTCTAGCTTTAGTTCCCATCAACACATACTTTCTGTTTAAATGACTATTATGTCATAATAAGATTTTATTCCCTTGAGGAGAAAAAAGGACATCAAATTTTGCTATAAAATGATGTGAATAGCTTTAAACAAACAAATCCAAGAAAAGTTAAAAGAACATTTAGAGATTTTTCAATACCCTGCAGTCAAAACATAGATCTATATCTGTAGTTGAAGAAGTTGGATTTATTGCTTGTTGCGGAAGACAAATTCTGATGCAGAGATAGAAAGATTATATATGTTACATAGAAAATTACACAAGGAAAACAATGTGCCACCAAAGTTCAGTTCTTTGGACTCGATTAATTAATTAATTGAAGAGATATATTACAGCCCATATTCTACATACTAAGTCCTGGTTATCTATCTGTTATATAAATATAAATGTATCATTTTGGTTTAAAATATGAGAGAACTTTCTGATAGCTTTTATGTATAAATTTTGGCTTGGTGACTAAGACAATTAGAAAAGTTTCTGTATTTTTCCATGCCATTCTGTAACATAAACACCCTACAACTTTTGCTCCTTCGTGTTTAATCCCTGAAACAGAGAAATCGTTGCATTACAGTCCTGCTTTCACATTAGCAAATTGTTCTCTGAGCATATGAAATGGAAATTTAGTGGAAGACATTGATTTTAAAATGCTAATTGACTTAGAGTATCTATTAAAAAGCCCAATTAGTCAAAGACTAAACAACCTGACAAAGAAAGTAATAAAAACTACAGTAGCTGTGGGGTACTAAAGTATTTGACACTGCGATTAATTTGAACATTCACAACTCACCTCTGAAGGTATGGGTAATTAAGAATAAGCTGGGGGCAGATTTCTTTATCCTCTCACTCTAAATCATTCATGGGGCAGTTCTCATTATTTCTATTATCCCTACTTCCTGGTCCAGTACCCTTATCTTTGTTACTGTAATCTTCACAAAGTTAAACAAATCATCATTCTAGGTTGATAGATCAATTTTTGGATATGGGGGATATGGGGGATTAAAATATCATCTACAATTAGTCTTACAAAAAAGCCATTTTTCAATGATTCTAAAAAGTGAACTAAGAGATTCTAAGAAAACTTCATCTAGAGATGTGACATCTACTATTTCTGAAATCCTGATGTAAATGATCAAAGGGCTACTAAAGTAGAGGAGAACATAAGGGAAAATATTATCCACAAAAGGCAGAACTTAAGAATTTCTTCCATGTATAGTGCATATAGGATCAGATTGAAAGGAACAGACACATTTACCCAAAGCTGCCCTACCAGAGAAGATGGTTTCTTAACCACACGATGTAAACAGAGCAGAATTTGTCCAAGATGTTAAAATCTATAATTTCTTTTTGGCAGGATATATTTGAATAATGACACTAAAGCCATACTAAAGGAAAGACAGGCTTAAGGAAAAATAGGCCACCTTCCTTGGAACAGCACGCTAGCATATAGGTTGCATTAGGCTTTCCAAAAGCAAATGGGACGATCTGTGATAGGAAGCGTCCCAGGTGCAAAGCATTTGGCTCAAAGGCTTTGTACTAATCAATGCTGAAAATGGCCCTATAATGTACCAAGTATGGAAGCTGGACCAAATAGAAAAAATTATTTTAATTGTATAGTAAAAGCTCTCTGCTGGCACAGTGTCTTTCTTAGATGTAAAGAAGAGATTAAGTAGAGAAATTTCAGTTCTGAGACTTATAGAGCCCAACCTCAGCTTCACTGGTGGCTGGATCACAGACCTGGTAATGGACTCATAGTAAGTAATCATCTAGCCATATAGGTCAAGAAGAAAAGGCCACAAACATGGGGAGGAGTTATTGATATAGTGACAAAGTCTGGTTTAATAAATCAGTGAATTTTGAGCTCTACAGTCAGAGGACACAGAATAGTTCCTTTTATTACCCTTGGAACATTACCAAATTTTGATTATATTACTCTTGCACATCTAAAAACTCAATACATATGAATAATCAATCCTACAAGTCACATATTTTGAACAAAATATAATAAAACTGGAAATTAATAACATAAAATATGAAACATAGCAACTCATACACATTAAGAATTCACGTGAAAAAATTATCATAAATGACATCTTATTTAGAGTAATTAAATTCAATAAAAGCATTACATATAATAATGTATGGGATGTAGCTAAATCTATAATCAGAATAAATAATCAGCTCTAAACAGTTGACCTATAAAATGTGAAAGAAGTATTCAACTGAAAAATGTTTGCAATTATAATAAACATAAGTAATGTTAAATAAGAAATTAATAAATATGGCTGGATTGAAAAGGAAAAAAAAAACTAATAGATAAATCCAGGAGCATGATGTATTAGAAAAGATAAAATTAATAAATATATCTAGGAGCTTTAAAATGGCCAATATAAAACACACAAACAAAATGTTATTTGAAGATTGAGAATGAGAAACAGTTTAAAATCTTTAATAAATAAATGATGAAAAAAAATTTAAGAAATATAATTTCTACTTCTGGTACTATGGCAGGCCAGATATCCCTAAAGTTCTTTGCTCAAAATACATCTAGATTCTGTATACATTTTAACACTCTTCTAGACTTTCTGGAAAGTAATGGAAATGACATTAAGTAATGTCATTAATGTTTTACTTAAAAATAAATTAACAAGAAAAATAAGGCAGTGTTCACAAACTGAAAGGGAATAGAAAAAAGGTTCCAAATGTATATCAAAATGATTGAAAATTAGTTTTCTTTACAACATTGACAGAGATTGATTTACTTCTTTCCCAATTTGATTTTCAATCATTTATCAGCAATGTATAATGGTCTTTCCTCCTTCTTGTTTCTTTTGCATTCATTGGTGGTAAATATCTTCATTTTATAAAACTTTCATATGTCTATGAATTTTTTTCTCATTGGCTTTCTCAGACTTTTTGTTTTTCCAGGAATTTTTAATATCCAGATGTTGTATTTCCCTAATACAAAATCATTGACCAAGAAATTATTTCCAAATTCAAAGTCATAAAGTTTTCCCTTAATGTTTTCTTCTAAAATTTGTATAGTTTTGTTATATTTGGGTCTTTGATACATTTTTAGTTAATTTTTGTATACAGTATAAGAAAATGGCCCAACTTCATTTCATTTGTTTATAGATATCAATTTTCCTAGAAAGGGAACTAATTTTTTAAGGAAATGTTTTCATAAACTATTTTGCTTCTCTATTCAACATTCCATTTGCTAGAATTCACATGATAAATTCTCAGACAATAAAGATTTTCTATAATTTTTATTTTATAAGTTAAGAGAAAAGACAAAATATCTTTCCTAAATTTTCATCATTTGTTTAGTCCACCATTCAACAAGAAACTCCGGTCTCCTACTTGTGATTTAGTTATGCAGAGGAGGAGGAAGTAATACAAGTGCTCTAACTGTTTAGCGAGGCTCTCAGTTTAATGTTCATTCCTACACCTCACGTTGTATTTCTCGTTATTATTTCATTGTTTCTGGCTCACATTATTGAAGAATAGAATATTGTCTGAGCTTTGCTCCTGGGAAGTGGTCCAAGAACAGTACTGATTTCAGAAACATGCCGATTTCTAGAGATACAAAGCGTTCAACACTTTATATAGGGTTTGAAAGTTTAATATGGTTAGATAGAAAGAAATTATGAAACTGTACATGCCGGAATTAACTTTCAACTATTATTGGAAGAATTCTCTTCCTTTTCAACATTAAGGCTTTAATTAATTTTATTGATGCATAAAAATATTTTATTAATTATATATAATGCTTAAAAATATTATATTTAGAGATTTTTGCTTTTTTGATGCCTTTGAAATCATTAAACTGTTCCTTTTACTTTCTAAGTAATGACTTTCTATATTATGGCTGTCTTCCTCCCACAAAATTCTAATTAAAAAATAGATTTAGAGAATTACAGTACTTGAAATTCTATCGTCACCTCATTCACTGGAATTCTGTAAGACAGTTGGCTGACAGAATTTGGCCGGTTGCTTAAATATCAGATTAAGTAAATGGAAAATAAAAGCAGTAGAAACGTTTGCTTTCTTCTACATCAACTCTCCAAATGTTATGCCACTAGTGAGACCACTTTAAAAGCCGCATAAGAAATTATGTCTTAAAAATGCAAAACTGATCAAAGGCTAGAGGGATCATTACTGAAAATTCTACCCTGAAGGAAAAGGAATGGGTGGGCTTGAATAAATATATGTGGTCAAAGCCAGAGCTGAAGACTAATGAAAGAAATAATCTTCAAAACCTACACCTTACAAAGAGGTAAGTTATATTGTAGCACATAAAGACCTTGAAAATCTGAAAAAGTAACTTACAAAGAAGTCCATAGAACTGAAGCCCTCCTCAAGTCTCCTATGATGTCCATAAATGGACTCTGCATATTGTAATGTTGTGTGTATTTTCCTTCCACCTGAACTCAATAAGGAAAATCCCAGAGGCAAGAGAGGATGCTTTTCTCCCTTATAATCCAGGATAATACAAGGGGAAAAAACTGAAATGTTTATATACCAATTTTCTATAATAAAGCTAATAATATGTCAGAAAAGTAAACATCCAGAGTTTTTTTCAAAAGGTGATGTGGAAATAATCCTTCATGAATAGCATTAGATACAATTTTTGGTAACATTTTTAAGATAAATTATTGTTCTCAGATGAGTGTCATGCTAAAATGAAATGGGAAATTAAATCTAGTTTTAAAGGAAGGAAAGAACATGGAGTAGGAGGAAATAACTGGTGATATGAAGTGGTTCCTCTCAGCACTGAAAACAATGAATTCTGAAAGAAGATTATACAATTGATGCTGTTGCTTCCACCTTGTGTGCTCCATTTTTTCTTCACAGTTTGATATTTGAGCATCGGGTAGCAGAGAATTATATTTCCCAAATCCTCCTAACACCTGGTCTTCATATGTCTTATTAACTGTTAAAGAAAGATGGACTGCAGCAAAGACTAAATGGTATTTATACAGCAAAGAAAACCTGAAAGGACCAAGTAAGACTTTCATTAGTAGAAATAATGGGAATAATAATAGTGAGCATTTACTTATCATTAAATGTTCTTCAGGCATTTTGCATATAATAAGAAATGTACTTATTCTCTCTGTTCTATAGATGATAAAGCTGAGGATGAGCGAGGGTGTGTAACTTATCACTTCCCACAATTGCAAAACATCAGAGACAGTATTTGAACCTAACTAGTCTGACTCTGGAGTCGAAGAGTTTAACCAGCCTACCACATTAGCTGTCTCCAAACAGAGCTTTTGATTAATACACTCTGGTCCTCACAGATCTTGACATAAGAGATTTTTACACCTACACAAAAACCACTTAAAACAAAATGCACTCAGCAATGTCACTCCTAGGTATATACTCAAGAAAAATGCTATATATATATATATATACGTGTATATATATATATATATATACGTATATATATATATTCCACAAAGACATATAGGCATGCACAACAGCACTATTTTTCCGAAAGCTAGAAATTACCCAAATTGTCATCAACAAAAGAATAGGTAAATAAATTGTGGTTTATTTTCACAGTGGAATACTGTATATTGATGAGAATGAATGAACTACAGCTACATATGACAATAGAGATGAATATCATAAAATGCTGAGCAGAAGAAGGCAGATACAAAAGAATACACCCTGCATGATTGCCTTTTTATGTAGAGATCAGAATAGACAAAATATTGTATAATGTTAGAAATGATGATAGTGGCTATCTTTAGGATAACTAGTACCTAGAAATGAGTGCATAGTTGCTTCTCTGGGGTTCTGGTAATATTCTGTTTATTCATCTAGATGCTGGGTACAAGACATATTTGATATTAGAAAATTCATGAAGCTGTTCTCATGTATGCATTGCATATGTCAATCAAAAGGCTTTTTAAAAGTACAATGCATAATCAAAGAAAAGTGTGATTATGCTTAATTTATAACCTATGAATAGATATTTTATTTGAAATTGGTACCCCCTCAGACCTGCACAGTAAACAGCCCTTATATGTAACTACATTTCCAACATCACACTTAAAAAGATATCTGTATTTGCACCCATTTTTCTCCCTACTTTTTAGAAAAAAACAAAATTTCCTCTTAAAACATTGCCTTCAATAATAAAAATTGGAAACAAATATTCATTATTGTGGGAATGGTCAATAAAAAGACATGCATATTAAAAAGCCATTAAAAAGCAGCCACTAATAAGAATGTGGTACAAATGCACACTCACCTGCAAAGATACCAATGATGTGTCCTTTTTCTAGTCTAAATTGCATAATAATATGTACATAATGATTTATTTTTTGTAAAAACAAAATGTATACATATATGTATACATGCATGTTTGTAAATGCACTATTAAAATATAGAAAATCAAATTAATATATAGCAAACTGTTAGTGGTATGTGGAGGAAGGTAGGCTTGGGGTTGTTTGGGGTAGAATTGGAGGATTCATATTGAGAGATTAAAGTCTAAAGATGTTAACTTACCGTTTTTTAAAACTTTTTAAAATTTAGACTCTTTTTGCTGTTTTGTGTTTTCAACAGTTTAAAAACATTTTAAAATGAAAAATAATTGACTTTTTAATAACCTCTTAGGTTTTCTGGAGATTTTCTTTCTTAATATTTCCTATCCTGCTCCCCCGATATTTTTACTTTTCTTCTCCCCTCGTTTCTTTCCCTCAGTTTAAAAACCACATTCAGGTCTTCTCCCAAATAAAAAGAAAAAAATAAATATCCATCAATTACAAATGACCTCTTAGCAAACTATCTCATATCTTTCCTCCCATTTATAGTCAGGTTTTCTTTTCTCTTCTATGATTTAACCCCTTGAAATTAGGCTTCTACCTCTGACTTTTGATTACACTATCTCTGACAAAGTTCATCAATGACCTCTCACCCTCTTAATTAATCCAGTGGACTATTTCCATATTCACATTATTTAGATTTAATGGCCCTTGACAATAGTGCCCCTTCCATTCTCTGAAAGCCCGTCCTCAGGTTTTGAGTTAGCAATCTCTTCCAATCTTCTTCCTACTTCTCTAATGATTCCTTGTAAGTCATCTTTGTGGACTCACTTCTTCCAGCTCTTTAAATGATGGTGAATCAAAGGACCTTGTTCTCAGCCTATTTGGCTCATACTTTACACAATCTCAGAATACAGAAAAGACACTTTCGACTTCCATCACTATATGCTCATGAAGCCCAAGTCAATGAGTCCAGACATGAAGTGCAAGACCTCTGTGAGGAAGCACTCACTGGATATTGTCATGTGGATTTCTCCTACATAGGTCAGAAAGAACATGTCTCAGGTTACCCTGCTTCTCTCCTTTAATCGCTAGCTCAGTTACTACCACAGGCTCACTGGGTTTCTTAGCAAGGAATCTGGGTGTCTGTCTTAAATTTAGCATTTACTCATTTTACCTCCACGTCTTATTTATTAACAAGTCCCACAGATTCTAATCATAACAAGTTTTGTGTAACGTATTATGTTACACATATGCATTTGTTACTCATATGCATTTGTTACTCATATGCATTTGTTACACACGTGCATTTCCACTGTGGGTGTTTTGATTCAAACTTGCATCACGTCTCATTGAGACTACCGCTCTGACCTCTGACTCACCTTGTCTACTTGTTTTCATCATCCATCTGTACACTGCTGCTGATCTTCCTTATAACGAGATCTGCTCTCATTACTGCCAATAATTGAATACTTACAATGGTTCCCATTGTGTACAGACTATCCCACCAACCATTTTTGCCTTATATTTTGCCATGTCTTTCTTCTTCACATACCTATAACTGGCGGCAAGCCCAGCTAATTACAGCTACTTTAATGTACCATGTACCTCTGTGCATTTGTCCACTGGACAAAGAAAACTCACCTTTTCTATTTACTTAGTTCCCTGGCATCTTTTGAACAGGTTTTCAAAGACTCTACTGGGAAAAATTATATAATTGCTTTGTGTATCCCTGATATCCTAAGACTAACTCCAGAATTCTAAATTCCCAAACAAGCAAATATCATCATCCAAGCACACCAGTTTGCATTTTACACAATCTGCTTCTAAGGCAACTAAATGCTTAAGATGGCAAATCTCATCTCTGCTATGTGGTTGGACATCTTTGTTCATTTATATGCTAATTCAAATGGAAAGCAATACGTTGTAACGATGATGGTTATTCCAGAAGACTGTGTGCCTAATACCTTTTTAACACATAATTTAATATTATAATTCAGGGACCAGCAGTAAAACTTGATTCCTTCTGTTGTTTTGCAAATCTTTTGATTATTTCCTTAAGGAAACAGTGTCAAACAGTGACTTCTCAGTTGAAGGGGCAACAAGGTCTTACAATCTGTTCTGGCTCATTGGGCTTCTTAGCTATACACACAAATGTTGAACAAAGTGAAATGACTATGTAAAACAAGAAAAAAAATGAATGATGGAATATAAAGTGGAATTCTGCTCACACATCATAGAGCATAGTTTTCATAAGTGAAAGAACCACTCTTTAATTATAAGGCTCACTAAAAGAGTAATTATTTTGGCTTCAAAGAATGTTTTAATAAAAATCCATAATCAAAGCATTTAATTAGTAATTCTTCATAGCAACAATGGACTGATATCCTTATGACATTACTTTATAAACATTAAATTGATTTTAAAACCCTGCCTGTGTAGATAGTGACTTTCATTATTGCCATTGACTAAATAGACACTAGATACTAAAAATTTGAAGTGCCTATGAATACCAGTTACTTACAATGGATGAAAGACAAAGATTAACTTATATTTTTTAGTCTGTCTGTGTTTCATAGAGTAGAACTAAATAAATGTAACTTTGTATTTCAGCATTTTTTTACTTTCATGTTTGCCAAAATTTCAGACAGTTTAAGTGGCAGCATTCTAATTTTAAATGATTTCCTGTCCTCTAGTCCACATTCACCATCAACATTATTAGAGATGATCTTTAAAAGTAGCTAGAAGTAATCTATATTGACCAGCCATCACACAGTGATAGCACCACTTAGCCATCTCATTCACAGGGCACCTGTGTTATATTCCCTTGTTCTATAGTTATTAACTGTGATTTATTTCTCCAACATAAGTGTAAATTCCTAAAGGGTATGGATTATGTCTCATATATCTTGATACTCCCAAAGCAACTAGTATAAAACCCTGCACATAGCAGGTACAGTGTAAATGTTTGTTAATTTATCGCCTGGGATACAGAAATAATTAGAGTAATAGGGCTTTTTTTTTTTGAAGAGCTGAACTTTAATTATTACAGAAGAGGAAGAAGATGTTTAAAATGGTTGGGGAATGGAAACAAAAAAATGAAAAGCAAAAGCTACAATCTAGATTGCAGGGCATGTAATCATGTTGCTTTGAGTGAACAAAACTTGTGCTGTGCATATGGTTTAAAAAGACAACACCGCAGAATACAAGAGACTCCATCGTGGAAACTCTTAACTAATCTTTGAAGTTCTATATAGTGATTTTAGAAAGTGCTGCAAAAGAAGAATCAGTAGGCATATACAACTCTAGATATGAGTGAAGGTGAAAGCATTCAAAAATTGCATCCAGATTTTAACTATAAAAGCTGAAGACTCTAGATACATCAGATATAGGACACCTGAGATTATCCCAGCCCAGTTCCTATTCAGGGGCAGACTAGCTGTCTGGAATATTGCTGAGCACAGGGTACCTCAGACAACTAAAGGGATCAAGGCCTCTTCCATATTTGAGAATCCTGATGTATCAGTCAGTTATGTTAGCATCAGTAAGAAAAAAATCTCAGGAGCATACAACAAGAAGCACTGTTTTCTTGCACACATGGCTGTGGATCAGCTAGGGTGGCTCTACTGAGGCTAATCAGTCAACTTTGCTTTAGGCTGTAGATGTATGAGTATGTTGGATGGCTCTGCTCTACATGTCTCATTTTAAGCCTCTAGCTAAAGGGTCAGTGCTTACCCAGTATACTTTCCTGTTTTGGCAAAGGCAGAACAATCAGGCTAGCTCAATTGCACAAGCACATTTCAATCCTCTATTCACAACCAATAACATTCCATTGATCAAAGCAAATCATATGACCAAGTCAAATGGCTGAGTGTGGGGAAATATACACTACTCAATATGAGGCTATGTCAAGGATACAGAAGTATAAGACTACAACAGGGGAGTGAAGAATCAATACCAATAAATCAGTTTCTTATATCTAGTATTTTAAAATTCCAGAAATTCTGGAAGCCTGTTATAGAATGTTAATACACTCTAAAGGTTTATGTTTAATAAATGAATACTTTGAATATACAAACAAATACAATTACTTTTATAAGCTCATTTGGATATTTCAAAATTCAAAATGTGAATTATTAGCATGGTAACATTAAGGGGAAAATTTCATTAAAAAAGTTACAAAAAAGTTGTGTGTGTGTGCCAACAGTGCAAGCCCAGGTCTTCAATATACTCATCATAGCCATGCCTGGTAGATGTATACATAGTCTACAGCTTCTATAGATTTGAATGTCTTATAGCAAGTTCATTTTACCTATCATGTTTTCTGATGATGCAATAGATATATAAGTCATGCAGAGCCATAAAAGTAATTAATGTAAGACCAAAGTTTCCTTGAGGGCAAGAATAGATCTTTCATTTTTGTATAGCCAGTGTGTATAAAATTCCCATAATATAAAAGCAAATGATGGTTGCATAAAGAATGAATGAACAAATGTAGTTTTGCTTTTGCAAATGTGATTTAAAGAAGGACAGTGTTAAATAGTGCATTAATTTTCCTATTAGACTAGATGGTTGTTACCAAGGGCAGAACTGACTTACCTCGGTTCTTGTCAGTATTCAGAGTCTTCTTATAATGTTTTAGGATACTTGAGCATAAGGTAATATAAGTATTTTCTTGTAATATAACCCAAATGTTTTAAGGCCTCATAAACTTGCTTATTTATTCAACAAATATTTTAAAACACCTTGTCTGTTCCAGATAAAATTAGGGCACTTGGATACTATAGTGGAGAAAAGGTCAGAAAAGATCTTTCCTCTTAGAAAGCTCACATTTTTTAGGAGGAAAAAGACAATAAATTTTGGAAAGGAATATAATAAATAAATAAATAATTTAAAGGGATGAATGGTGTAATGATAATTAAAATAATTTGATGTGTTGGAGTGTGGGGGGTATTTAATTTTGACTTCATGATTTTGGAAGGCATCTTGGGAAACTGATATTTAAATTGAGACTTGTGAGAAGAGAGACATGTAAAGATTACAGGAACCCATTTCAAGCAGAGGGGGCACTTTGTGTGAAGGCCTCAAGAAAAAAGTGAGCTTAGCATATTTAAAGAAGAGACAGAAGGCCAGAGTGACTACAGCAGGTTGGGAGAGAGAAAGAGTAGGATGAGATGTATTAGGAGACCAAGAGAATGCTTTGTCATGCCGAGCTTTATAAATCAGGATAAGGAGTTTGCATTTTAGTGTAAATGATGAGAAGACATTTGAAGTGAGTAAAGACTTGATTAGACTTCTATGTTTAAAAGATAATTAAGAGTGCTATTTGAAAAATCAATTTTAGAAGGACAGGGGCAGTCTGGAAAGGCAACAATCAAAACTTTGACTTGAATCCATTAGGAGTAGGAGTGGAAAGAAAATTATAGCTTCAAAAATACGCTCTGTAGGTTGAGTCTGCAAGATTTGCTGTTAAAACTGATATGGGATATTAGTAAAATAAAAAATCAAGATTAATTATTAGATATTTGGCTTTTGTAGTAGGGTGGATGGTGGTGGTATTTACTGAGATAGAGACAACTGGGGAACAAAAAGTTAAAGCAACTTTCCATTGTTAATTTTAAGATTCTTATCAGAAATACATGTGGAGAAATATATTTTATATATGTGATATTAAAAAATCTGTATTTCAGGAAATGGTCAGGGCTAGGAATAAAGTGTCATTAACATATAGATGTTATTAAAATGTCATGAGATTGAATGAGACGATTTAGGGAAATTTTTCACTTAGGGACTAGAACTGGTCCAAGAATGAGCCATAGTGCACTTCAATATCTCAAAGTTGAATAGAAGAAAAGGACCTACTAAAAGGGACTTAGAATAAATCAATGAATTAGGAAGAAAAGAAGCAAAGCATACAGTCACAGTAGCTAAGAGAAGAAAGGGTTCAAGAAGAAAAAATATCAAAAGAAAGCAAGAGAGTAAATAATAAAAATGTGACTGTATTAGGGTCTCAGCAAGAAATAGATGGCATATGCAAATTAAGGTAGTTCAAGAAGATTTAGTAAAAAGAATTTTTACAGAGATATTTACCAATTGTCAGTTCATTTTATGCTGCTATAAGAGACAAGCTTAGATTGGGTGATGTATTAACAGGAATTTATCATCACATGGTTCTGGAGGGTGGGAAGTCCAAAGCACTGCCATCTTGTAAGTGGCAAGTGCTTCTTGCTGGATCATCACATGGTAGAAAGGTGAAAAGAGAGTGTGTGTGTGACAGAGAGAGAGAAAGAGAGAGGTAAAGAGGGGGGCAAACTCATTCCTTATAAGGAAACTACTCCTGCAATAAAGGCATTAATCCATTGATGAGGACAGACTCCTCATGGCATAATCACCACTTAAAGGTCTCACTTCTTAATACTGTCACAATGGCTATTCAATTTCAACATGAGTTTTGGAGGAGACAAACATTTCATCCATAGTACCAGGTGTAAGGGAACTGCAAGGATTAGTAACAACAAAGTTTTACTGTTAGATCCAAAGCAACCAGAGGATATAGTGGTTATAGAATGTGAAGGGAGTTTCCTATAATGAAGTCTATTATTTTTAAAAAGTAGCATTGGTCAAAGAACACAACTTACAAGTCCTTGTGAACAGTGTCAGGCCTCTGAGCCCAAGCTAAGCCATCATATCCCCTGTGACCTGCACGTACACATCCAGATGGCCAGTTCCTGCCTTAACTGATGACATTCCACCACAAAAGAAGTGAAAATGGCCTGTTCCTGCCTTAACTGATGACATTATCTTGTGAAATTCCTTCTCCTGGCTCATCCTGGCTCAAAAGCTCCCCTACTGAGCACCTTGTGACCCCCACTCCTGCCTGCCAGAGAACAACCTCCCTTTTTCCTTTACCTACCCAAATCCTATAAAATGGCCCCACCCCTATCTCCCTTCACTGACTCAGCCTGCCTGAACCCAGGTGAAATAAACAGCTTTATTGCTCACACAAAGCCTGTTTGGTGGTCTCTTCACATGGACGCAAGTGAAATTTGGTGCTGTAACTCGGATCGGGGGACCTCCCTTAGGAGATCAATCCCCTGTCCTGCTCTTTGCTCCGTGAGAAAGATCCACCTACGTTCAGGTCCTCAGACCGACGACCCCAAGAAACATCTCAACAATTTCAAATCCGGTAAGCAGCCTGTTTTTAGTCTCTTCTCCAACCTCCCTCACTATCCCTCAACCTCTTTCTCCTTTCAATCTTGGTGCCACACTTCAATCTCTCCCTTCTCTTCATTTCAATTCTTTTCATTTTCTGGTAGAGACAAAGGAGACACGTTTTATCCGTGGACCCAAAACTCCTGCACCGGTCACAGACTAGGGAAGGCAGCCTTCCCTTGGTGTTTAATCATTGCAGGGACGCCTTTCTGATTGTTCACCCAGGTTTCAGAGGTGTCAGACCACACAGGGACACCTGCCTTGGTCCTTCACCCTTAATGGTAAGTCCTGCTTTTCTGGGGGAAAGGCAAGAAACCTAACCCCTTCTCTCCATGTCTCTACCCCTTCTCTGCTTTTCTGGGGGAGGAGCAAGAACCCCTCAACCCCTTCTCCTTCACCCTTAGCGGCAAGTCCTGCTTTTCTGGGGGAGGGACAGGAACTCTGACCTCTTATCTCTGTGCCCCGATCCCTTATTTCCACCCCCCAACCTCTTATCTCTGTGCCCCGATCCCTGATTTCTGTGCCCCGACCTCTTATCTCTGCACCCCAACCCCTTATTTCCGTGCCTCGACCCCTTCTCTGCTTTTCTGGAGGGCAAGAACCCCCCACCCCTTCTCCGTGTCTCTACTGTCTTTCCTCTGGGCTTGCCTCCTTCACTATGGGCAAGCTTCCACCTTCCATTCCTCCTTCTTCTCCCTTAGCCTGTGTTCTTAAGAACTTAAAACCTCTTCAACTCTCACCTGACCTAAAATCTAAGTGTCTTATTTTCTTCTGCAATGCCACTTGACCCCAATACAAACTCGACAGTAGTTTCAAATAGCTGGAAAACGGCACTTTCAATTTTTCCATCCTACAAGATCTAAATAATTCTTGTCGTAAAATAGGCAAATGGTCTGAGATGCCTGACATCCAGGCATTCTTTTATACATCGGTCCCTCTCTAGTCTCTGTTCCCAATGCAACCCCTCCCAAATCTTCCTTCTTTCCCTCCCACCTGTCCCCTCAGTCCCAACCCCAAGCATTGCTGAGTCTTTCTAATCTTCCTTTTCTACAGACCCATCTGACCTCTCCCCTCCTCACCAGGCCAAGCTAGGTCCCAATTCTTCCTCAGCCTCCGCTCCTCCACTCTATAATCCTTTTATCACCTCTTCTCACACCCAGTCTGGCTTACAGTTTCGTTCCGTGACTAGCCCTCCCCCACCTGCCCAGCAATTTACTCTTAAAAAGGTGGCTGAAGCTAAAGGCATAGTCAAGGTTAATGCTCCTTTTTCTTTATCTCAAATCAGATAGCATTTAGGCTCTTTTTCATCAAATATAAAAATCCAGCCCAGTTCATGGCTCATTTGGCAACAACCCTGAGACGCTTTGCAGCCCTAGACCCTAAAAGGTCAAAAGGCCGTCTTATTCTCAATATACATTTTATTACCCAATCTGCTCCCAACATTAAATAAAACTCGAAAAATTAAATTCCAGCCCTGAAACCCCACAATAGGACTTAATTAACCTCACCTTCAAGGTGTACAATAATAGAGTAAAGGCAGCCAAGTAGCAACATATTTCTGAGTTGCAATTCCTTGCCTCCACTGTGAGACAAACCCCAGCCACATCTCCAGCACACAAGAACTTCCGAACGCCTAAACTGCAGTGGCCAGGCATTCCTCCAGAACCGCCTCCCCCAGGAGCTTGCTACAAGTGCCAGAAATCTGGCCACCATGCCAAGGAATGCCCACAGCCCAGGATTCTTCCTAAGCCATGTCCCATCTGTGCGGGACCCCACTGGAAATAGGACTGTTCAACTCACCTGGCAGCCACTCCCAGAGCCCCTGGAACTCTGGCCCAAAGCTCTCTGACTGACTCCTTCCCAGATCTTCTCGGCTTAGCGGCTGAAGACTGATGCTGCCCGATCACCTCGGAAGCCCCGTAGATCATCACAGACACCGAGCTTTAGGTAACTCTCACAGTGGAGGGTAAGTCCGTCCCCTTCTTAATCAGTATGGAGGCTACCCACTCCACATTACCTTCTTTTCAAGGGCCTGTTTCCCTTGCTTCCATAACTGTTGTGCGTATTGACAGCCAGGCTTCTAAACCTCTTAAAACTCCCCAACTCTGGTGCCAACTTAGACAATACTCTTTTAAGCACTCCTTTTTAATTATCCCCACCTGCCCAGTTCCCTTATTAGGCCGAGACACTTTAACTAAATTATCTGCTTCCCTGACTATTCCTGGACTACAGCTGCATCTCATTGCTGCCCTTCTTCCCAATCCAAAGCCTCCTTTGCGTCCTTCTCTTATATCCCCCAACCTTAACCCACAAGTATAAGATACCTCTACTCCCTCCTTGGCGACCAATCATGCACCCCTTACCATCTCATTAAAACCTAATCACCCTTATCCTGCTCAATGCCAATATCCCATCCCACAGCATGCTTTGAAAGGATTAAAGCCTCTTATCTTTTGCCTGCTACAGCATGGCCTTTTAAAGCTTATAAACTCTCCTTACAATTCCCCCATTTTACCTGTCCTAAAACCAGATGAGCCTTACAAGTTAGTTCAGGATCTGTGCCTTATCAACCAAATTGTTTTGCCTATCCACCCCATGGTGCCAAACCCATATACTCTCCTATCCTCAATACCTCCCTCCACAATCCATTATTCTGTCTGGATCTCAAACATGCTTTCTTTACTATTCCTTTGCACCGTTCATCCCAGCCTCTCTTTGCTTTCACTTGGACTGACCCTAACACCCATCAGGCTCAGCAAATTACCTGGGCTGTACTGCTGCAAAGGTTCACAGACAGCCCCCATTACTTAAGTGAAGCCCAAATTTCTTCCTTATCTGTTACCTATCTCAGCATAATTCTCATAAAAACACACGTGCTCTCCCTGCCGGTCGTGTCCGACTAATCTCTCAAACCCCAACCCCTTCTACAAAACAACTCCTTTCCTTTCTGGGCATGGTTGGATACTTTCGCCTTTGGATACCTGGTTTTGCCATCCTAACAAAACCATTATATAAACTCACAAAAGGAAACCTAGCTGACCCCATAGATCCTAAATCTTTTCCCCATTCCTCTTTCCATTCCTTGAAGACAGCTTTGGAGGCTGCCCCCACCCCAGCTCTCCCTGACTCATCCCAACCCTTTTCATTACACACAGCTGAAGTGCAGGGCTGTGCAGTCAGAATTCTTACACAAGGACCGGGATCGCGTCCTTTTTGTCCAAACAACTTGACCTTACTGTTTTAGGCTGGCCATCATGTCTCTGTGCAGCAGCTGCTGCCACCCTAATACTTTTAGAGGCCCTTAAAATCACAAACTATGCTCAACTCACTCTCTACAGCTCTCATAATTTCCAAAATTGATTTTCTTCCTCACACCTGACACATATACTTTCTGCTTCCCAGCTCCTTCAGCTGTACTCACTCTTTGTTGAGTCTCCCACAATTACCATTGTTCCTGACCCGGACTTCAATCCGGCCTCCCACATTATTCCTGATATCACACCTGACCCTCATGACTGCATCTCTCTGATCCACCTGACGTTCATCTCATTTCCCCGCATTTCCTTCTTCCCTGTTTCTCACCCTGATCACGCTTGGTTTATTGATGGCAGTTCCACCAGGCCTAATCACCACACACCAGCAAAGGCAGCTATGCTATAGTACAAGCCACTAGCCTGCCTCTTAGAACCTCTCATTTCCTTTCCATCATGGAAATCTATCCTCAAGGAAATAAATTCTCAGTGTTCCATCTGCTATTCTACTACTCCTCAGGGATTATTCAGGCCCCCTCCCTTCCCTACACATCAAGCTCAGGGATTTGCCCCCGCCCAGGACTGGCAAATTTGCTATTCTACTACTTCTCAAGGATTATTCAGGCCCCCTCCCTTCCCTACACATCATGCTCAGGGATTTGCCCCTACCCAGGACTAGCAAATTAGCTTTACTCAACATGCCCTGAGTCAGGAAACTAAAATATCTCTTGGTCTAGGTAGACACTTTCACTGGATAGGTAGAGGCCTTTCCCACAGGGTCTAAGAAGGCCACCATGGTCATTTCTTCCCTTCTGTCAGACATAATTCCTCGGTTTGGCCTTCCCACCTCTATACAGTCCAATAGCAGACCGGCCTTTATTAGTCAAATCAGCCAAGCATTTTTTCAGGCTCTTAGTATTCAGTGAAACCTTTATATCCCTTACAGTCCTCAGTCTTCAGGAAAGATAGAACAGACTAATGGTCTTTTAAAAACACACCTCACCAAGCTCAGCCACCAACTTAAAAAGGACTGGACAATACTTTTACCACTTTCCCTTCTCAGAATTCAGGCCTGTCTTTGGAATGCTACAAGGTACAGCCCCTTTAAGCTCCTGTATAGACGCTCCTTTTTATTAGGCCCCAGTCTCATTCCAGACACCAGACCAACTTAGACTGTGCCCCAAAAAACTTGTCATCCCTACTATCTTCTGTCTAGTCATACTCCTATTCACTGTTCTCAACTACTCATGCATGCCCTGCTCTTGTTTACACTGCCAGTTTTCACTGTTTCTCCAAGCCATCACAGCTGATATCTCCTGGTGCTATCCCCAAACCGCCACTCTTAACTCTTAAAGTAAATAAATAATCTTTGCTGGCAGGACTATGCTGAACCTCCTTACGCACTCTCTAATCAGATAGCCCAGGTCCTCCCAATTCTTAGTCCTTTAGTACCTGTTTTTCTCCTTCTCTTATTCCATTTAGTTTTTCAATTCATACAAAACTGTATCCAGGCCTCACCAATAATTCTAAATGACAATTGTTTCTTCTAACAACCCCACAATATCACCCCTTACCACAAAATCTTCCTTCAGCTTAATCTCTCCCACTCTATGTTCCCACGCTGCCCCTAATCCCACTCGAAGCAGCCCTGAGAAACATCGCCCATTCTCTCTCCATACCACCCCCCAAAAATTTTCACCTCCCCAACACTTTACCACTATTTCATTTTATTTTTCTTATTAATATAAGAAGACAGGAATGTCAGGCCTCTGAGCCCAAGCTAAGTCATCATATCCCCTGTGACCTGCACTCAGCAGATCTGGCTGTGAGGTCCTTTCTCCTGCCTCATCTCTTCAGGATGTATATATCTATATCTATATCTATATCTATATCTATATCTATATCTATGTCTATGTCTATGTCTATGTCTATGTCTATATCTATATCCATATCTATCTATCTATCTATCTATCTATCTATCTATCTATCTATCTATATTTTTTGCAGTGGAGCAAGAGAGACGAATACCTGAGTTACCTAACCTGAGATAAATGAAACAAGACTGCAGTGACGAGGAGCAACTGCAATTCTCCTTTACCTCCCACATCCAATGTATGTGCTTCACAGAAAAATGACAAAAATAACAAATCCACAAAATACAACAGCTAGAATTACAAGATCCATTTATCCAAGGGTGGTAGAAGGCAGGAAGGAAAGGTGAGAGGGTAAGTGTCACAAGGAGAAAAACAAAATACTCAAATCAGTCCAGGCATAGAGAAAATAGCTGCAGAAAAACCTTTGGTCGTTTCAGACTCAATGGTGGTGTTAAAATTCCACGCACTGGGCCGGGCGCGGTGGCTCACTCCTGTAATCCCAGCACTTTGGGAGGCCAAGGTGGGTGGATCACCTGAGGTCAGGAGTTCGAGACTAGCCTGGCCAACATGGTGAAACCCTGTCTCTACCAAAAATGCAAAAACTAGCTGGGCATGGTGGCGGGTGCCTATAATCCCAGCTATGCGGGAGGCTTAGGCAGGAGAATCGCCTGAACCTGGGAGGCAGAGGTTGCAATGAGCCAAGATTGCGCCACTGCACTCCAGCCTGAATGACAGAGCAAGACTCCGTCTCAAGAAATAAATAAATAAATAAATAAATAAATAAATAAATCCACACACTGGTGCCAGGAAGATCCTGCCTTACAGGCACCAGAGACAAACATTCCAATTCCTCAGAGAGAAGAGAATAGCAGAGGGCCCTTGGCAGAGTGGGTCCTGCCTTCCCTGGCAGGGGGAGGTGAACAGGGTAAAGAGCTGCCACAGTCTCCTCCAATCCCACCCATCTCCTTTGGATGTCAGGCAGCTCCACGGCCTGCAGCAGCCTTCAGTTTGGCAGGAGATAGATGTGGTGATGGGAACTTCTCTGCAGAATTTGAGCTGCTCAGGACAGACTGCAGGTAGACTGCCTTGTGGAAGAGTCTGTTGCTTAACAAGACCACCGAGGAGAAGAGGCACAACTGGAAGAGGCTGATAATATATGAGGGCTGCAGTGCTGTGAGAAAAGCCAAGGGCAAACCAAATCCAAAGTAGTAAGGCCAATTCCTTTCTATGTTAGACAACCGCTGATGCATTTCAATTCCTTTATTGAACCAAAGATATTTGAAGTGGTACAGTGAGAGAGAAGTGACATATGCAAGAGACTAACCAGCTGACTAACAAGACGGATGGGAAAGAGATTCACAAACATTCCCTGAATCAGGAAAAGAGCCTACAGCAAAAGGGCGAACACCATGTCAGTAAAAGGATGAAGACCATGTCAGTAAAAGGAAGAAGACCATGTCAGCAATTCCCACTAAGGACTGGGTGAGGCTTTCTCCCTGATACCTCAAATGCCAGGTCAACTGTATCCTGGAATCAAATGGCATTCACAACTTTGCAAAGCACAAACCAGTGGAGCACCCAAAGAGCACTGGAAATTGACGTGAGGAAGAATTCCAGCCATGAGCAAACATCTCCATGTAATGATCAACAAATCGGTCACCAATAAATCGGTCACCAATAAATCGGGCTGTTACTGACTGAAGCACAGGAATAAACACCCCATGAAACAAGAGGAGATTGAAGCCCATTCTAAGGGCAACACTGGAAAATTCTGCTAACAATACATGGCTCACTTTCTTGCTTCCACTCTATACTCTGGGCTGTTTTCTGTGCTAGGAGCCTACTTGCCCTTCTGGGCGCAGTGGTCCCGGCCCTGGGAGCACCCTGGTGGGGCTGGCGGCCAGGGGTGGAGGAGCTTATCGGGGCAATGGGTGGGCGAGGGGACTGGCCAGAGACCTGGTGGTGGAGCGAGTCCTTCATGATGAGAGATCTGGGGACACTTCTGTCTTCTCTGTGTAGTTGATAGTGTGGGTGGTGAAGAGATGGTTTACTGACTGTGTCAAACCTTTCTCCAGGACCTGGACAGGAGAATCAAAGACTCCATCTGGGGTGTTTTTACCATCTCAAAACTAGATGCTCAAATCCAGCAATAGGGAGAGGCGCAACGTCGAAGAAAGGCAAGTAGTGTCCTAGCCCAGAGAAGGGCCCAGGGTATGCATTATTTCTTAAGGCAATTGCATAGCAAAGATTTTATTAGGATTTGGAATGTATTCACCTATTTTTGCAACATTACCAAATTTTGCTATTCTGATAGCGATGCCTACCTAGAGGAGTTGTTGGGGTGAAATAAATGGTACATGAGCTGAATTAAAACATATTTCTTAACTAATGATCAGATCTAGATAAACTTAATTTGGTGAGAATTTTTAACTTTGTAGTAATTTACTTCAACTCTTAAGTAATTCATAGAGGTGAGGTGTTTATACAGTAAATTATACAAATGAACATTTGTAAAATGAAATAAAATAGAATCTGATGAAAACTAATCCTTAGATATCAACAAAATATATTTTTATTATTTGCAAAACCAATTTTTAAAAATAAAATACCTGATACAATTTATGCTATGATATGAAAAGAAAATTTGATTCCTTATTTTTTCCTAGAACTATAATCATTATTAAATTCATATAAAATATTTAACAATAAACAAAGAACATAGAAGATTAGAAGCATCATTTTAATCTAATAATTCAATGAGGTTGTAAGAACATAAAATCTTATGTATCGGGAGAAGTCATTTAACTTTCTATGTCTTTTCTTTCCTATTTAACTTAATACTATTGACATATTCACAAGGTTGTTGAAAGGTATGAGTAATACAAAAATTGTAAAGTAGATTAGAAATATAAAGTGCTATGTAAACGCTCAAAGATGGCTATGCTTCTGTGAAGAAAGCCTAAATTTCTATTTATTTTATCAATACAAAATGAAACAGTCTCATATTACTTGAGTGTTATGACAGAGAAATCAAAAGCAAATTCTTTACATAATGAAGAAATAGTTGACTTAAAATGAATGATGACATGAAATTTCCATATTTCAGCTCTTACCTGACCTTTTCATATTATCTAAAATCTTTCCCTACAATAAATGGCTACTTAGTCATCTAGAAAATCAAATTTAGTTGGGCCAAATACTTTGTAATAAAACTGTCCCATAAACTAAACTTTCCTCTGAAGAAACTATTCATGAAAAGAAATATAAGTATGAGTTGAAATATTGTCCTTGAGGGAATAATTTAAACTTATCCAGATAATTATTGTATTGATCTTTGCAAAAAAACCCTTTAGTCTGTTGGCCCCGTGTGTGACCCTAGCTGACTCCGTTAATGCTGAGCCTCAGCTTCCACAATTTCAAAAGCAAGGAGAATGGTAAAACCTGCCTTAAACCTCACAGGGTAATTGGAATGTGATTAGATATGTGGGTGTTTGTTTAACGTATTTCATGTATGTTTACATGCAAAGAATAAAGATGCTGAAAAACTAGGCTCTCACTGCTTTATTATTTTGACTTTGAATCTCTCAGGAAAAGCAAAGTATCAAGTTATTGCATTTACCTTACTTGCTCCCTCTCTCCGGGGACAAAAATTCAAAATAGAGAAATTTAATTAACAAACATATTCTAATTATTCTTTGTTTACTTTTTTAAAGGAAAAAAACAAAGAGTTAACTTGTAGACATAGATTTATATAATAAAACATTAAAGCCTAGTGAGAGCCTACCAACTTGAGGATATGTTGCAAACTGTGCAAACATTATACTTAGTTTTTAACTAGTTTGTCTCTCCTGAGGTTTAGTCAATACATTGGCACCCCCAAGTCCTGTTTGATTTTGCCTCCCTTAACCATACCCGTAAGTGCTAGATGTGGGTCTTTATGAACTGACCAAAGTAAATTTGAATTTTTGGTATATATATATCTCAGTAGATGTAAATTAATAAATGTATATTTATTAAATGTTATTTATTAAATTAATAAACATGTATTTCCTGAGTAAGCATTCTTTAGAAAATTTAATTCAATTTATTCAAATAATATAAAGGGATAGAAAACAAAGAAAAGAATAATCCTAGGACTGTGGATTTAGAAGCAACCACTGTTAAGTTGGTGTAGGGGTGTGTGTGTGTGTGTGTGTGTGTGTGTGTGTGTGTGTGTGCATATACGTGGGTAGTATATAATAAAATAATGTATTATTTTATTTGTACAAAAATTAGATTATCTTATAGATGTTGCTCTGTAACTTACTTTTTTTCATTTAACTGCTCATACATCTGTTTGTCTTTCTATCATCTACCTATTTGTCTTCATGATCATCTTTTACAATTACTCTTCCCATCCAAACTTC
Source organism: Homo sapiens (assembly GCF_000001405.40). Lineage (NCBI taxonomy): Eukaryota > Metazoa > Chordata > Mammalia > Primates > Hominidae > Homo > Homo sapiens. The sequence continues at coordinate 176,071,453 of NC_000003.12, forward strand.
TACAGTGGGGTGTAGTAAGAAAGAGTAGACAGCAAATCTATGAATGTCAATTCTCAATGCCCAGACAAGAAACGGGCATCAGGAAAGTTTGTCATCAGATAGCAAGACCCGAACCAGCAAGCTCAAGGTTGGGGGTACACTGTGGTCCAGTGAAGAGAGTATGGTAAGAATAAGAGCAGCTCAGTGGTAGATGATCAAGAGAGTTGTGTGTGTGTGTATGTCTCTGTGTGTGTGTGTGTGTGTGTTTATTAAACATAGAAAATTGGGTAGAAACCCAATTATCAAAATTCAAATCTGAGGCTGTATGCAAAGCAGAGTGGGGAAGAAAGACATTCAGATTCAGGAACAAGGAAGAACTCTAACAAAGAAAACTGACATTCTCCTATTTCCTCAGATATATTAAGCTCTTCCTCATGCAAAGCTTTCAAATGTGCTTTTTCTTCTGTCTAAATATATTCCTCCTGCCATTTCTTAGTTGACTTTCTCATTCTCCATCAGATACTTTCCTCGGAGGAGCCTTCCAGGTTTCTGTAAGCTAAATTAGGTCCCCCTAACATCCTTTATTACCAGTTAGATTTTGATGCATAACAAAATAACTCAGATTTAGTAGCTTAAATAAAAACTGTTTATTTCACTCACAATTCTGTGTATCAGTATTTTGGCCTGGGTTCAGCTGTATGGTTCTTCTGCCGGTCTCAGCTGGGCTCACTCCTATCTCTATGGTCAGATATAGGTTCTGAGATCATTTGGCAGTTTGGCTTCAGCCTGGCTGGTCCTGAATGGCCTGATTCACATATTTGGGGGTTGGTTGTCTGAAAAATGGAACATTTTAATTCCCCTCTATAGTCTCATGGTGGTTTCAAATTCAACATATGGCAAAAGAGAAATCCTCAATATGCAAATACTTCTCAAGTCTTTGCTAAAGACTTATTGGCCAAAGTAAGGTACATGATTCACCTAAGTGAAAATTAGACTTTATCTCTATATGATATGATCTGCAATGTCCTATTATAAGAGCATGAATACAGAAAGAGGAAGTATTTGTGGCTATTTCTACAATCTACTAAATATTCCCTCATAATATCCTAAAATTTTTCCTCATGGTACTAATATTTATACTTTATTTGCCTAATTATTTTTAACTTATGTTTCTACTACTAGACTATAAGACTATGAATATTATATAAACAGAAACCATTTCTATTTTTCCCCAAACTATTTTAAGTGCCAAGCCAAGGGTCTGCCTGATAGAAAGCCCTTTGTAATTCGTTATTGAATAGATGCATAAATGAATCAGAATTGGGGCATAAAATTAGGGTTTGAATTCTAATATTGATATCCCAGTCATGAGTCTCAGAGTGCTGCATCACAGATGCATAGCAATTTCTTTCTTATTATTATTTAGTTTACATAAGAGAAAAATTCATTCATTCTTGTTTAATCCATTTGTATTTCATTTACAGTGGAATATGAGTCATAACTGATCAGTAAAGGAATATGTAACAAATAGATTTGTAAGAACTATAATCTCAAACATCTTTTTTGTTATATGACTATTTAGGCTATAACACAGTTGTGGGCTACTGGAACAAGAAGTTGGAAATAATCATACAGATATGACACCAATAAAATTAGGTTTTCCGTACTAAAATAGTTGTTTATATTTGCATTTAAAATACTTTATTAATCCCTTTTTATTTTATCATCATCAGATCTAGGAATGAAGTTTCTGCTGCATTAACACTGTAGGTTCCATTTATTAGCCACTAAGATTTTTTGAGACAAAACTTCTAATTTTGAGTATCCTGTCTGGTTTTAATAGCTAGATTACTTTAACAGTGACTTGTTTCCTACCTCATAATATTTTTAATAAGAAATGGATATGTAGATGTTTCTAAGATATTAGTTCCATTTCTTTTTTAAAAAAGTTCTATTTCAAAATAACAGTAGATTCTCCTATAATCTACCCATAAAGGGCATCTACTCAAATGGGTGACTTGTTTATATGCACTAATAGTCCTGTGGTCTCAGTTATTTCTCAAGACAACTGTAATCCATATAACCAACATCACTTTAACTAACACGAAAATAGAATTCAGTTAAAATCTCATTTGTCAGCAGTCTTTTCTGTTACCCTATCTCAAATATATTTTTATAATTTGAAGATGAACCATGATAAGATATATAGTTGCCGGTATTTTTACCAGAGGCCTACCTAATAGATCAAAAATACTGTTTGCTTTTGATAGTCTTAGCACAAGTATATATTTATAAAAACCTCTTGAGTATTTGAGACCCTGAGTTCTCCTTTTCAGTTTCATTTTGAGAAACAATTATTGTCCATAGTCAAACTGCTTTACCTGCAGTTTTATTTTATTTTATTCACACCTGTATTTGGATGTAAATATGACTAATATTAAAATGTTTTTGTAAATTCTGATGAACAGAGATGCAAAAATAAAATACTAGCAAACTAAATCCAATAGCACGTTAAAAAGATAATATACCATGGTCAAGTGGACTTTATGCAAGGGATGCAAAGATGGTTCAATATATGCAAATCAATAAATGTGAAACATCACATAAACAGAATCAAAGACAAATACCCCATGACCATCCCGATAGGTGCAGAAAAAAGCATTTAATGAAGTTCAGCATCCATTTATAATAAAAACCCTCAACAAATCAGGCACAGAAGGAACATATATCAAAATAATGAAGGTCATATGTGGCAAATCCACAGTCGACGTTATACTAAAAAAGGAAAAGCTGAAGGCATGCATTCTAAAAACTGGAACAAGAAAAGGATGCCTGCTTTCACCACTGCATGCAATATAGTACTGGAAATTCTAGCCAAAGCAATCAAGGAAAAAAAAATGAAAGTCATCCAAATTGGAAAAGAGAAAGTAAAATTATTTTTGTTGGCTGATAATATGAGCTAACATCTAGAAAACCCTAAAGACTCCACAAAAAACTCTCAGATTTGATAAATGAATACAGTAAAGTTTCAGAATACAAAATCAATGTAGAAAAATCAGTAGTATTTCTAAAAACAAATCATAATCTTGCTGAGAAAGAAATCAAGAAGGCAATCCCATTTACAACTGCTACAAAATAAAAATAAAATACCTATGAGCATACTTGACTCAGAAGGTAAAAGATCTCTACAAAAGAAACTATAAAACAATGAAAGAAATTGTAGATGACAAAAACAAATGAAAAAACATCCCATGCTCATGGATTGGAAGATTCAAAGTCATTAAAATAACCATACTGCCCTCAAAAATCTACAGATTCAATGCCATCTCCATCAAAATAGGAATGTAGTTTTCACAGAATTAGAAGAAATAATCCTAACATTTATATGGAACCAAAAAAGAGTCTGAATAGACAAAGCTAAAAGAACAAAGCTAGAAGCATCACATTATCTGACTTCATTTATACTACATGGCTATATTAACCCAAACAGCATGGTACTGACATAAAAATAGACACATAGGTCAATGGAATAAAGAAGCCATAACTAAAGCCACATATCTACGGCCAACTCATATTTGACAAAGTCGTCAAGAACATACACGGCAGAAAGCACACTCTTTTCAATAAATAGTGCTGAGAAAATAGGATTGCCATATACAGATGTGTAAAACTGGACTCCTATCTCTCAGCATATGCAAAAATCAACTAAAGATAAAGACTTACTTGTAAGCTTTTGACTAATAAATTTAACTATAAAAACACTAGAAGGGAATCTGGAGAAAACTCTTCTGGACATCAGTCTAGGCAAAGAATTCATGACTAATACTTCAAAAGCACAAGTAACAAAAACAAAAATAAGCAAATGGGTCTTAATCAAACTAAAAAGCTTCTGTACAGCCAAAGAAATAATCAACAGAGTGAACAAAAAATCTGCAGAATGGAAGAAAATATTTGTAAACTGCACATCTGAATAAGGACTGATATCCAGAGTTTACAAGGAACTTGATCAACTCAATAACAACAAAAATAATTCCATTAAAAAGCAGGCAAAGACATTAAGATACATTCAATAAAAGTCATACAGATGACCAACAAGCATATGAAAAAAATGATTAACCTTGCTAATCATCAGAGAAATGCAAATCAAAGCCACAATGAGATATCATCTTACACCAGTCAGAATGGCTATTATTAAAAATACAAAAAGTAAATTTTGGCAAGGATGTTGAGAAAAGGGAACACTTATTCACAGTTGGCAGGAATGTAAATAGTACAACTGCTATGGAAAACAACTGCTATGGAGATTTCTTAAAGGACTAAAAATAGAACTACCATTTTATCCAGCAATTCCACTTTGGGTATCTACCCAAACGAAAAGAAATCATTACATCAAAAAGACACTCATACTCATATGCTTATTGCAGCACTATTCACAACAGCAAAGATACTGGCTAAAGAAAATGCAATATATATATATGCGCACAATAGAATGCTATTGAGCATAAACAAGAATGAAATTATATCTTTTGCAACTACATGGATAGAAATGGAGGCCATTATCTTAAGTGAAACAACTCAGACAAAGAAAGTCAAATACCACATGTTCTTATTTATAAGTGAGAGCTAAATAATGTGGATACGTGGACACACACTAAAAGCCCTGACATCACCACTACACAATATATTCATGTAACAAAATCATACTTGTACCCCATAAATTTACACACATAAAGTAAAATAGAATAGGAAACATCAAAGTACAAATTGCTCATTTTATCCATTCAATTAATGTGCTCCTTTCTAGATGACACCATCTTTTAAGTTGTATAATTATCAAAGCAAATTGAAGTACATTTTGTTCATGCAGGATATTTGATTTTTAATACAATTTACATTGGATGAGAATTATATACACCATATACAATGAAGATAAAAGTTTGTAATATATATTATCCTGACTTTTCAGTTAACCAGAAAACATGCTGATACAACTTAGTATGAAAGGGCTCTAAATAACAGGACCTTACAATAGAATGGAGTCTCTACCCATTGCCCAATTTCTTTGCTCCGGATTTCAAGTCTTTTTACTTGTTTTTACTTGTTTGTGATTCTTCCTTGAATAAGAGGGATAGACAAAAAATGATATGCTTAATAATGGAGGCAGGGCTTAATCTCAGTTTGGAATAAGGAGAACATATAAGAAGGAGAATCCACAAGAAAAAAAAAAGAGAAAGAGAATAGGTTCAGAATTTCTGGAAAAGACATGAACTATTCTAGTCAACATAAATGAATTAGAATACTTTAATACTTTTTCCAAGGACAAGAAAATTAGGAATGAGTTGACTCTGCTGCATACAGGAGTTGACGAGATAGGAGATGGGGAAAGGATAACTTTATTTATCAAAGAGAGGGGAAAAGCAAGCCTAGCAATGGGGTCCCTATCAATGGGGCCAAGTAATTATGGCCAAGAACAAGAGGAAGTGAGATTAGATTGACTTTAGAGAAAGAAGGGAATGAGATCTTGCAGGGCCTCTTCTATCAAGATTCAGACTTCTCTGTGAGCTAGGAAGTCATAGGTGCTGCAAAAGTGATGTGATTTATCTACATTTCTAAAAGAAAAATTCTAACTGTTGGTGTGAGAATAAGTTGTTTAAAAGATAAAATTATAAGACCATGACCCAAGAAACAGAACAGGGTTACAATTATACCAACTAAACTTCTGCCTCCGTTTTTAAATGTTTATGACCATTTTTTTTTCAAGACAGAGTTTTTGCTCTTGTTGCCCAGGCTGGAGTGCAATGGCATGATCTCGGCTCACTGCAACCTCAGCCTCCTGGGTTCAAGAGATTCTCCTGCCTCAGTCTCCTTAGTAGCTGGAATTACAGGTGCCCACCATCACACCCAGCGAATTTTTCTATTTTTAGTAGAGACGGGGTTTCACCATATTAGGCAGGTTGGTCTCAAATGCCTGACCTTAGGTGATCCGCCTGCCTCAGCCTCCCAAAGTGCTGCCTTTGACACACTGCTACAAAGCCATTATCAGAAGGCCACCACTGCTGCTGTTACTGTATTGCCTTGCTTCCCACTCTAAAGCTATCCTCATATGGACTGATAACATGAGCTGTCCTTGGGATGCACCTACAGACATGCTCTAAAGCTATTACTGCTTGCCTAAGGCCTGCTCAATGACTATTAGATTGAATTGGGAAGGGAGGGAAGAAGGAAGGAAGGAAGGAAGAAAGGAAGGAAGGAACTAATGAAGAAAGAAAAAATGACAAAGCGAGGGAAAAAGAAACGGGAACATGTGGTAGTTGCCGATTAGTTCATCAATTACACAGAAAAATATATAAAATATGAGAAAATATAAGAAATATTTATTTTATACCATTTATAATAGTTAAACCCATTTAACCATTTAAATTTTCTTTAAATTTTAGCTCAATATTATTAAATGTTAAAAATAAAGTTTTATTTACATTTAACTCTACTTTGCAAATGGTCAAAAATATTTATTTGATTTTTAGTCAATGGAAGTTATACCTTTTATAGTAGTAGTGAATTAAGACTTGATAATTGAAGTGACTCATTTCCTTAAGAAATGAGGAACAGATGGCGATCTATCAGCTTGTTTCCCCTCCACCCAAGATATAGACATGGCTTCTGTTCAAGAAGAGCTGGCAACAATGTCTCCAAATGTAGGGTGACTGGTCATGAGGCCAGCCAGAGACCCAAGAGTGAACCCTATGTTCTTAGGGAGAGGTGCTGCAACAGACTCTGGGCCAGAGCTGGCGGGAGCATGTTATCTCAGGTGTATCTGTTTCATAGACTCACCACCCATCAAATCAGAATCTGATCTGCCTCAGGAACAAACCCTGTCATTCACCATAGGCTTCCACAGGTTCATTAAGTGGTGTGTGCCCTTCTCCTTCAAAATTGTAGGATGGTACCCCACAGAACCATCTTACCTCACTACATTCATAGGATCATTACTTTCATTCTTGATTCAGGCTCTTCCTTAGCCACAGCAGACCACCTGAAGTCTCTCCAGCTGCAGCTTCACTGGAAAGGTCCCAAGTCTGCACCCAACTAGTAAGCCAGCAGTCCCAGAAACAGCAACAGGAGGAGGCCACAGAGCTTTACTCAGTGTTTTTATCACCATTTTTAAAACAACAGCTGCAGCAACAACTATTGCTTCTGATAGTGATATGAATAATAATTGTACTTACAATGATGATAAATTACAAGAATTATAACTGTTGACATTTAGTTTATATATAGATTTAGTATTTATAATGTTCTACAATTTACTTTCAGTAACATATATATGTTAATTTGCCATAAACATCAGGACCCCAAAACACTTCACCTGATGAATGAATCTCACCTGTGGACCCATGACTACCCAACAGCCAGTGCAACCCTTTTGCCACTCCATCCCCAGGCCTAGGATATGGGCAACCTTCTGAGATGATGTCATAGCCTGACATGCACATGATCTGTTGAGATCTTAGATCTTAGAGCTCTGCTCTGGTAAAATCAAAGGACAACTTGAAGACACTCTCAGCTGTTCAGCTAAACTGCAGAAGGAGGAAATGTTTTTTCAACAGATCTATATTTATGTCACTTGCTTTCAGAGTATGAGGTTGTTTCAGGCACAGTATTTTGATTTAGTCTGTGTTGAAAATCATAAATAGCCTACAAATACCAAAAAGGAATGAAAAGAATTTGCCGACATGTGGAGTGCATTATACATGTTTTCAAATTTCTCCTGTGGTGAGAAATGAAAAATATAATGTTAGGTCTTGATTTTCTAAACTCAGTGCTCTGCCATTTCCCCAGATTATTCCAAGTCCTTGCAAGACACTTCAGAAGCCTTCTCAGGAGGGGATTATTCCCAGTGCTGAAGAGTACTAGATGGACAAGAACCTCACAGGAATCCGGCTTCCATTGTGGAAGTGTCACTCTCCAGGACCTTGCAGGACTAGGGGAGCTGTGTGAGTCATGTGGTCTATGGAGGTACCCAGACTTTGGAGTCAGGGAGATTTAATCCTGAGTCCCAGCCCAGCCACTTAGTGGATGTGGGGCTTTGGACAAATTCCTTGACCTAGAATGGTCATGTAAAGTATCTGAAAGAAAATACATAATGATATTGATTGCAAAAACAGCAGCAGTTCTTCATTCCTCCTTGTATACATACATGTCCTTAGCCACGTAGTTTTATAGCTCCCCCCAGTACAGAATTTGTTTCCCAAAACTTCAATCTCATTGGCCTTATTTGCTCTGGCCAATAGAAAGCTATGAATATGACAGTGTACCAGTTTGGGATCTAGAGACAAAAGTTGTTCAATGTGTCTGCTTTTTCTTTCAGAACTCTGCCATCTCCACAGGAACAAACCAATGTTAACCTGCTGGAGCATTAGATACCATGGGGAGGAAAACCAAAGCACCTCAGTTGACAGCCAGCTCACCACTAGAAGCAGAGCTACCTATTCAACTGGCAGCCAACCACATATGCCTGAAGGAGCCTAGCTGGGACCAGAAGAATGGCCCAGCTGAGCCCAGCCGAAATAGCTGGCCAGCTCAGTCATGAACTAATAAATTTTGGGGTGTTTGTTTATGCAGTAACAGCTAACTAATATGTATACCCAGTGCAGATAGGATGTCAAGATTGAATGACAGACTGATTACTGTTTACCTGGTAAACAGAAGGCACCCTGTAGGTACTGATATTCTTCCCCCTTTTTTAAGGTTGTATCTCTTGTCAGATGTTGTTGAGTTATACAGAAATGCATGTAGACATGTATGCATGGGATGTGCTTAACCTCACATGGTCCCCATGCCACAGAAAGAACCACAGTGTGACCATTAGGACCAGGGTCAAATTACAAAATAACAAGTTTGCCTTTAACCTATTTCCTCCCCATCTAAATTCCAGAGGTCAAGGCTGTGGATAAATCTGAAGACCTGGGCTCCCTTCTCTGGGGCCTTATGTCGTTTGTTCACTGTCTGAACTTTGGAAGGGGGGATAGGTCACCCTGAAGCATTAGGTGGGAGAAAATGTTCTACCTGTGGACACTTCCTGCTTGCATCTCCCTTCTCTTTCTCTCTCTGCCCACTGTCTCTCCCACCCTTGGACCTGAGGATAGATATTGGCTGGAAGAGGGTGTTCCCTTCTTTCCTCTGGCAGAAAAGGGAAATTATGCCCTTCATGTCCCTGAAGTCAGAAGAGTCAGAGCCCCCAGAGCTGCACTTCAGTGTGGCAACCGCTGGCTACATGGGGCTACTGAGCACCTGCAATGTGGCTGGTCTGCATTTGTGAAGTGGTAGAAGCTTCAAATACAGAGTGACGTTGAAAGATTTAGTACCAAAAAACCCTTTATTAATAATATTACATCAATTCCATATTTACATAACATTTCGGATACATTGGGTTAAAGTATTAGAATTTTTTAAAAAAGAAATGAGAAACAAAAGAGTGAGTACTGGTTTTACATAGAGGTATGATCCTTCATATATTGAGCTGGGTTTTGTAGCATAACTGATGGCAAACTGATAAAGCCACACTGCGTTATTCCTGTAGATGCCCTGAGTAATGAAGGATTTAAATCATCAACACTTAGACGGCACTTACAACTCCTTGAAAGATAGCTTGTCCATATATAATTTCATTGGTTGGCAATGTCTTAACTTTTTAAAAAATGCTGCTCAACTGTGACCTGGCTTCATGTGCTCAATTATATTTAGAAGCAAAATCAAGTTGAAATCATGGTAACCAAACCCCACTTGCTCTGAAATTTTCGCCAAAAGTCGTTATCTACTGTCGTCATGATCCCCTGCCTAATCTGACCTTCATAGTTTACTCTTTCAGGGTTCTTAATATCACTTGGTTGTATAAACTTATAAGCTTATTTAAAGATACACTGATGCCTTATGAAAATGTGGTTTTCTGAAAGTACTTCATCTATTTTAATGATAAGAATATAATCTAGGGCCAAAGATAATTAAAGATTAACGAGACTCTTCCTCCATGTCTTTGCTTCAACTCCTTTCATCATGCGAGTTGTTTCCATGGGGATTTTTCTATTTGTCCCTCTTAAACATGCCATGTAGTAATTTTTGCAACCAAATTTTAATGAAAATTGTGCAGTGTAAATTTAGAAAAAAAGGAAGGAGGAAATAGAGGAAAGAAGACGGGGTGAGGAGAGTGAGCTAGAGAATTTGAAGAGAAATTTAAATACTGATAATGTTTTGGTGAGAATGGTATACATTATTATGCTTATTCTCTGAAATATTTATCTGGAAAGTATACTATTTCTTATTCAACTATTAGAGACAAAATGTACAACTTTGTGTGTTTTCTAAAGATATCTGTTTAATATATACAAGACCAACCAAATTCTAACTATTAATAATTGCCTTAAATGCATTTCTAAAATGTGTAAGTATGTATTTGAACCTGTTGGCATTTATTTCAGTAAAAACCTTAAGAAATTTCAGGTGCATCAGCCATTCACCTAAATTTGTAGTTCTGGAATAGCTGTTGGGTTTTCTAACATGTTTTCTTATATTATTCCTAAATAACTTATAATTTTTCCATTGACTATTTCACCATCTATCTATCTTGCAGCAGAGAAATTTTTGTAGACTAAAAGCTTTTAGTAAACGGCCAAAAAAGTTTCACCACTGCTCTGTTGCTATTGAGGCAGGATGTGAATAGGCTTTCTCTTAAAGGTTCGGTTGGAAACCCACAATCTCAAATTCCATTTATTACAGGCAATCAGTGTGTCCTTTGCTGCCACTCTGCATCGTCTGCTCAATCAGGGCATTGGTTGATAGCAGCAGGCAGCAAAGCTGCCCAGGCTTAAGCCGATAGCAAGAAAATGAAATGAAGTGTTCGTGGCAATTATCAGAACAAGCCAGGATTACGGGAAAAAATACAGCCAGAATGAAAAGATAAACATTTCTTTGATTTGAAATACCTAGCCAATTAAAGCTAAAATTGCAGGTAGGTTTTTGTTTGATTGTTTTAGTTTTGCTCTGAAATATTCAGAATATTGACTCAATATTCATGTTCATTTTATTAGTGAAGATTTACATTTGTATAATAATATGATGGGAAATGAAGTTTTGTGCTACATTTGAATTTTAAGGAAGCGTAAAGTGACCAAACAGTGGACAACAACATTCCGTATATAAGAGCATTTGAGTAGTTAAAAAAAAATCATTAAAAGATAGTCTGTATTCACTGCACACCCTAGGGCAGCAATATGACATTGTGCTAAGTATTCAAAGTTGAAGCAAGGAGTCCTGTATTCTGATTCTGGATCTGGCACTTGCAAAACTCATACGATCACTGATAAATCATGATATATATTTTAACCTTAGCTTTTACATCTTGAAAATGAGACTTAAAAATGAATACTACCCTATTTACCTTACACAGTAGTGAGAAGATTGAATGATAAAATGTGAGTGAAAGACACTAATATATTTTAAGATTCCACACACACTATGGTAAACTCTAAGGTATAAATCCTTTTCATATGCCATCTTTACTATCCATAGTAAAACTCATAGAGCAAATCACTACCTACAAACATAATTTTGGAAAGAAACATTGTAACTACCTAACTATAATATAAAGATTAAGTAAAAGTAAAATAATTAAATAATATATGTTTCAGTACATAAATGTTAGAAAACAACATTTCTAGAAGACGTTATAAATGAACCATATATGTATACAACTCTGTGTAAGATTACTGAGAAAGGCTGGGCAGGTTGGCTCATGCCTATGATTCCAGCACTTTGGGAGGCTGAGGCTGGTGGATCACCTGAGGTCAGGAGTTCAAGACCAGACTGGTCAACATGGCGAAACCCCATCTATACTAAAAATTACAAAAATTAGCCGGGCACGATGGCGTGCACCTGTAATCCCAGCTACCCAGGAGGCTGAGGCAGGAGAATCGCTGGAACCCAGGAGGCAGAAGCTGCAAGCTGAGTTCGTGCCACTGCACTCCAGCCTGGGTGACAGAGAAAGACTCTTATCTCAAAAAAAAAAAAAAAAAAGATTACTGAAAAAATTATAGCTACAAATGCAGACTGACACAGCGAGGTTGTATAGGTTATTCCAAAATCACAGGCAGTGCTGTTTGCATTGATGTGATTTTATAAAATGATGAAAGATCCTTGCAAACTTTTAAACCAAGAAAATATAGCCCTCTCTTTATTTGCAAGTGTTCAGCATTCCTAAAAAATTCCACATCCATCAAATGGAATAAAAATAAGTTGAATTTATTTGTAATGTAACATAAGTCTCTAGACTAAAATGTAACATAACAAATGGTATAAAAATAAGTTAACTTTGTTTGTAACGTAACATAAGTCTCTAGGCTAAAATGGTTTTAAACAGGCTTTTCATTACATAAAAATTTGGTGGGACATTCCAAATTTGTTCAGGGTATGACATAATTCAGTATTGTGCAGGTATATTGAAAATATTGTAGGTTGTCTAATATATCTGACCACCACCGAGTGAAGGCCAATATTCAATCATTTGATAATCAAAAACATACTTATTTTGCAAACGCTTCCTCTAGATATAACCACTGTCATTGAAAATTATGGGTCTTTAGAACAATAAAAATATCCAAATTACTGTTTTCCCCAATAATAAGTCTAATATATAGAAACCTATCAATCATGTTTTTATAATGATAGATGGTTCATTTTACTCCACATTTGACTGAAATGCCAATTAAATGCATGTGGAAAATTCATTAAATCTTCTTTTTATTTTTGGCCATCAACCATCATAAACTCCCAGTTTTATAGAATCATCCAACTCTGTAGTACCTCAGATTCTTTAGATTCAATTTGTTCTATATGTAATTCACTATTCTCACAAATTCTTCTTGTATAATTATTATATGATGTATGTCAGTGAATGTACCTTCCCTGACCCTGCATTCTCTGGTATTCCTGTTTCTAATCAACACCTGTTAATTCAGTAACTTTACTACTGTTTATATTAGAACTATCCTCTCCATGTCCATTTAGACTGTACATGTTCAGGTTCTCACCATTCTTCAAATACACTTTTGCAACAGTTTCTTCCTAAATGGTGATTGTTTCAAATATTTGTCTAAGAATGCCATTGTATTCTTTAATCTTTTCCATTTCAGGATAGAGTTAGTTTGTATTGCTAGGCATTCAAATGACTCCAAGATAGGTATTTTGTCCATACACTATATAGATATTTGGCAGGATTCCTCTTGCATTCTAATTCTTTTTGATAAAAGAAGGAAGAAGAGGAGGAGGAGGAGGGAGGAAGGAGGAGGGGGAAGGAGGAGGAGGAGGAAGAGAAAGAGAAGGAGAGGCAGCAGCAGCAGCTTACAATTCCTGACATACTTTTAGTTGGTTTATACTTCTGTACCTTTGCTCAAAATGCTGTTTATGTGAAAATTTCTACCCAAATCTATTTCTACTCTATTTTAGATTTGCCTGTAATGAAGATCAATCCATCTTTCATAGCATAGAGGTCTTAGTCCATTCAGGTTGCCATCAAGAATACCATAGACTAGGTGGCTTATAAACAACAGAAATTTATCTGTCACAGTTATGGAGGCTGGGAAGTCTAAAAACAGGGTGATGATAGTTTCAATATCTTGTGATGGCTGGGCACACTTTTTGGTTCACAGATGGCCATCTTTTTGCTGTGTCCTCACATGGCTGAAGGGAAGAGGCAACTTTATGGGATACTTTTTATAAGGGCACTCATCTCATTCATGAAAACTCAACCTTTATGACCTAGTCACCACCGAAAGGCCTCATCTCCAAACACTGTCACATTGGGAGTAGATTTTAACATACAAATTTGGGGGAGTCACACAAGTCCTTTTGTTTCCCGATGCATATAAGTTATGTTTAAACTATAATGTAGCCTATTAAGTGTGCAATAGCAGTATGTCTAAAAAACAATGTACAGACTTAAATTTATAAATAATTTATTGCTAAAAATGCTAGCAATCATCTGAGCCTCCGATGAGTTATAATCTTTTTGCTGGTAGAGGGTGTTGCCTCTTTGCTGATGCCTGCTCACTGATCAGAGTGGTGGTGGCTGAAGATTGAGGTGACGTAGCAGTTCCTTAAAATAAGACAACAATGAAATTTGCTGCATCAATTGACTCTTCGTTTCACAAAAGATTGCTCGCTAGCATGTGATGCTGTTTGATAGCCTTTTTAAAATTTATTTTATTTATTTATTGGTTTATTTGAGACAGAGTCTCACTCTGTCACCAGGCTGGAGTGCAGTGGTGCAATCTCGGCTCACTGCAACCTCTGCCTCCCAGGTTCAAGCAATTCCCCTGTCTCAGCCTCCTGAGTAGCTAGGATTACAGGCAAACACCATCATGCTTGGCTTTTTTTTTTTTTTTTTTTTTTTTGTATTTTAGTAAAGACGGGGTTTCACCATGTTGGCCATGATGGTCTCAATCTCCTGACATCATGATCCACCTGCCTTGGCCTCCCAAAGTGCTGGGATGACAGGCGTGAGCCACTGTGCCTGGCCTGTTTGACAGCCTTTTACCCATAGTAGAACTTGTCTGAAAATTGGAGTCAATCCTCTCAAACTCTGCCACTGCTTATCAACTAAGTTTATGTAATATTCTATATCCATTATTGTAATTTCAACAATGTTCACAGCATCTTCACCAAGAGTAGTTTCTATCTCATGAAATCAGTTTATTTGCTTATTCGTAAGAAACAATTCCTCATCTATTCCAGTTCTGTCATGAGATTGTAGCAATTCCGTCACTTCAAGTTCCACTAGTTCTCTTGTTATTTCCATGACATCTGCAGTTACTTCTTTCTTGAACATCTAAAAGTCATCCATGAGGGTCAGAATCAACTTCTTTCGAACTCCTGTTAATGTTGATCTTTTGACTTCCTTTCATAAATCATGAATGTTCTTAATGGTATATGGAATGGTGAATCCTCTTCAGAAAGTTTTCAGTTCTTTTTGCCCAGATACATCAGAGGAATCACTATCTATGGCAGCTCTAGTCTTACAAAATGTATTTCTTCAATAATGAGCCTTGAAAGTTGAAATTACTCTTTGATCCATGGGCTATAGAATGGATATTGTGTTAATAGGCATCAAAATAACATCAATTTCCTTGTGTATCTCCTTCAGAGCTCTTGGGTGGCTAGGTGCATTGTCAATGAGCAGTAATATTTTGAAATGAATCTTTTTTCTGAGCAGTAGGTCTCAACAATGTGCTTAAAATATTCAGTAAACCATGCTGTAAACAGGTGTGCTCTCATCCAGGCTTTGTCAGATCCAGGATCTGGGGAATAGTAAATGAGGATGGGCTTCCACTTAAAGTCACTGGATACATTAGCACGGAACACAAGAGTCGGCCTGTCCTTTGAAACTTCAAAGCTAGGCATTGACTTCTCTCTATCTATGAAAGGACTATATGGCACTTTCTTCCAATAAAGTCTATTTATTTTACATTGGAAACCTCTTTAGTGTATCCACCTTCATCAACAATCTTAGCTAAATCTTCTGCATAACTTGCTGCAACTTCTATGTCAGCACTTGCTGCTTCACCTTGGACTTTTAAGTTATGGAAATTCTCTGACACCTTCAAACTTTTCTTCTGCAGCTTCATCAACTCTTTCAGCCTTCATAGAATTGAGGGTTAGGGTCTTGCTCCAGATTATGTTTTGACTTAAGGAAATGCTATGGCTGGTTTTGTCTTCTATTCAGTCCGCTGAAACTTTCTTCATATCAGTAATAAGGTAGTTTTTCTTTCTTATCATTCATGTGTTCACTGGAGTAGCACTTTCAGTTTCCTCCAAGAACCATTTCTTTGCATTCATAACTTAGTGAGGAAAATATGCCAAAAACTGAGAGGATTAAAAACTAGGCCTTTTGTACCAAGAGGCTTATATCTTTCTCACTAAGTTTAACTATTTCTAGCTTTTAATTTAAAGTGAGAAACGTGTGACTTTTTCTTTCACTTGAGCACTTAGAAGACATTGAAGGGTTACTATTTGACCTAGTTTCACTATTGTGTCTCAGGGAATAGACAGGAAGGGAGATGGGGGAAGGGCTGGTTGTTGGAGCAGTCAAAATACACATAAAATGTATATATTAAGTTTGCTGTCTTATTAATAAATTACTGTCTTTTGGGGAGGTTTGTGATGCCCCAAGACAATTATAATAGTATCATAAAAATACCTGATTATAAATCACCATAACAGATACAATAATAATGAAACAGTCTTAAATATTGAGATAATTATTAAATGTGACACACAGACATGAGGTGAGCACGTGCTGTTGGAAAATGGCACTGATAGACTTACTCGATGCAAGATTACCAGAAACCTTCTGTTTATAAAAAATATGATACCTGAAGTGCAATAAAATGAACACAATAAAATGAAATTTGCCTCTGCTTTTTCACTCGTGAATTTTCTCTTTTGGTTTAACTTGTTAAAGACTAATCAATAATTATTTCTTACTCATCTCAATCAATTTTTTTAAATCTATTTTAACAACCTATAAAGTCTAACATAGTATGTAATTAGTAAATAGTTATTAAAATATATAAATGAATTTAAGCTGGTATGATATAAGTTGGTAGGCCTTAAGATCTAGCAAAAGTATTTAGCTTTTTTTAAAAAATTTTTGCTAAAAAGTAAAGCGAGACTCACCAAGAAGCCAGAATGGTTTGCAGAGTATGTGCAGCTTCTCTAGGGTTTAAAATTTGACGGATGTCAATTGTATAATCTTAATATTTCTTAAGAGTGATCTGATGACACTAAAATCTCTAAGAGCAAAAATGAGGTGTCTTTTCAATAAAGGTTGACACTTATTAAATAGCTTGGGTCCTATTTTTTTTTTTTTTTTGCTTAATCTGATTAAGTCATGCCTTGATAGTTCAGCAAAACCATTTTTTTATATTTAGCTTTTTAAAAAATCAAATAATTATTGTATGTGAATACAGCTTCAGGGAAAACACAGCAATACATTTTTGAGACAAAAAGTTATCTTTGTACTATAGCTATTGTGACATAAAATGGGCTGTCAGGGTTTGCCAAGAGCACTGTAGAAGGGTGGTGAGTCTATCAAGTCAAGATTTCCTCAATTCTCACTTAATTAAAGTCACATCTCAAGTTATTTGCTTAATATTCATTGTGGTACTTTATGGAAACCAAAGAACTATTTTAGCTGCAATTTGTAACTATGTCAGATACATTACGTTTTCATGAAAAATAATTAAAATTTTTGTAAATTTGAAATTAACTAATTTAGAGGTGGATAGGCAGTAATCTTTTTATTCTTCATCATAAAGGGTTATGGCTGACATGCCTATAAGAAAAGATAAGTGCATGCAAGAAAAGCATAATAAATTTATTATGTGCACACATGTTCACGGAAGTCATACAAAACATGAAAATTCAAAGAAAGGACCAGATGGTTGATGCCTAAATACCCTCTTTATTGGAAGGGGATTTGAAGAGGGGGCCTGTAAATAAATGGACCTGAAGATTAGGCAATTGCTTGTAAATGATTCTCTTTGGAAATTGAATTGGGACCTGAGAACATGTAATCATTTGGGACAAAGTTCATCTGGGCTTTAGGTTTGGTGTTTAATTTTCAACCTCTTTCTCTTTGATGTAAATTTTAATTTTATCTAGTTTATGAAAGTTCATGGAAGGGATCAAAGACAATTGTGTTTCTCTTTAAAGTTCTGGTTTCTAGGTAGATAAGGGAACTTCAGAGTGGCCTTATCCTGTGTTTTAGGAGAGACAAAGGATTGAGAGACTTGCAGCGTGGTCAAAGAGACTTGAGGCTGTTTCTTTATTTCAGTCGGTCAAAGCGCAACATTGGGTGTATTGTTTTCTGAGTCCCAACACTCTATATATTGTCATCATCTCTGAATGAGAGTGTATTAGGGTCAGTATTTGTTATAAACTTTCTTGAATTTAGACTGATTTTTAAATTCTCTGTAAGAAAATTGGGCCTTTAAAATAACATGTTAGTCTTATTTGATTTGACATATATGTTTAATTATATCCTAGATTATTAAGTATATATATTCATATATATTTATTTATAAGTATACATTTATTTATTATATTATATATATTTATGTACCATATACAGATATTATGTATATTATACATTTATGTAGTTGTGTTTATATATATATATATATATGCAACTATCCAGCTGCCTAGCTAGCTATAATTTTTGAGAATTCCCTGGACTTTAGAGAAAAGGATTACTAATTTGCTTATTATTTTAGTTAGACATATCAGTTTGAATTTTTTGAAACTTAGTACATGCACTAATTTAGTATTATAATTACATGAAAAAGAGGAGGAAGAGTGGGATGCAGAAAATGAGAAGGAGGAGAAAAGAAATAAGAAGGAAGAGAAAACTTTGGGAGGCCAAAGCAGGTGGATCACCTGAGGTCGGGAGTTTGAGACCATCCTGATCAATATGAAGAAACCCCCGTCTCTACTAAAACTACAAAATTAGCTGGGTGTGGTGGCATGTGCCTGTAATCCCATCGGCTTGGGAGGCTGAGGCAGGAGAATCACTTTAACCCTGGAGGTGCAGGTTGTGATGAGCCGAGATTGCGCTATTGCACTCCAGCCTGGGCAACAAGAGCGAAACTCTGTCTCAAAAAATAAATAAATAAATAAGGAAGAGAAAGGGCAAATGCAGAAAAGAAATGTAAGAAAGGGTGGGTGTAAGGATGGAATGAACTTTAAAAGAGAAAGGAATGGAAAATACAAAATACAAGGGAACAGGCTTGACTTGAATTGTTGCTACCTGAGAGTTCACTTTATCATTATTCACAAAACTGTATGTGTGTATTGGGAAAAAAAAAACAAAAAACAAAATACAAAAAAACAGAAAAACAGAAAGTATAAAAGACAAAGGGGAAGAGGAAAGAATTGAGAAAAGATAATCTACTCAATAAGAGTTCTGAGAAAAGATAATCTACTCAATAAGAGTTATAATAATTAGGTCTCCATAGAAGAAATAAAATTAGACTGCTTTTTTACACCTCATATACAACATATAAATTCCAGATGTGTTAAAGATCAAAATGACTAAAAAGAAACTTTCAAACATTTAAAAGCTCCTATAAAAGAATGTTTTACAGCCTTAAAATAGGAAAAAATTATTTAAAAAACAAACACATGTAAGCATTCATAAGAAAAAAGGAAATTATTTCATTAAAGTCAAATAAAAAATGAAAATCTCCATCATAAGAAAATTTAAAACACAAGTGCCAGACTGAGAAAACAGATTTGCCACATATGTAATAGCCAATAAATTTAGATTATTCATTCGCTTTCATACCTTCTTCCTTTAAGAAAGAGATCTCTCCAAACTTTTAGCTGTACACATGGCCTCCCAGCTGGAGATGCTATCTCTCAGGCTTCCAAGCACCCACCTGGGCCTTGTGACCAAGCCCTGGCCAATGGGAAAAAAGCGGGAGGAGTGTTGACTGTGCACTCTGAATAGAATCTTTGACGTGGAAATGACTTACCATCATTTTCCTCCTTACACTTTCTATTGGCTGGAAATGATAAATAGCCTTGATGCCAGAGACAGAAGCCATGTCTTGAAGATTACAAAGCCATCTTGTCTTCAACTCTGGACTGCTTTGTGGGAGAGAATAAACTTCTTGCTTATTTAAGTCATTGTTTTTTTGTATCTCTTTCTGATAGCAGGCCAAATGTAGCTTTTCTCTAACTAAAATTATTAACACTGTATCACAGAAGCATAAACTGATACTTGAAGAAACTTATATCAAGGATATATCAAACAAGAAGTGGCAAAGTGAAATATAGTGGTGTTTCTGACTCCAAAGCCTGTGTTCTTCATACCTTAATCCTAGGCAGGGAAAGTCTGGCCCAAGGGCATAAATTCTCAAATGTGACTGTAAAGGGCAGTCTCAAAGCGACTGCTAATTAAAACCTAGAGCATATGAAAATTCTAATTAGGAAATATTTGGCTCCTTTATATATTTGTTTTAAAAGGTCTCAGACATTGTTCTAGGATCAATGCTAGGGGTACTTTTTGGGATTTAATGTGGCTAGTAGGTGATGTGATTACAAAGTATTCTTCTCAGTCATTCCACCACATCCACCCCAACAGGAAGATAAAATATTTTCTTACCCTGATGGAAAGTTAGCTCTTATAAGTCACAGTTAAATTTCCTCTCTCTCAGCCTATAGCACATAAAGTATTACCAGTGTATTAGGAAAGAGACTGATAGAATCAGTTTAATTTTCTCAGTGTTCTAATGAGGAAAGTATCAGGCAGTGAAAGAGTTTATCAACCAATGTTCCAAACAACAGTGACTGCAAGATTTTTCCACGTGGAAGTAGAAATATAATAAATCTAGGTCAAAAAGAGCTATTTGGTTACCAAGCAGTGATTTGGAACCAAGGCAGCAATTTTCTCTCAATCTGAAAAGGAAAAGTATTTTGTTCTTGTAGCTGATTCAATTAAAACAAGACACATGAAAACATTACATTTTTTTTCCCTTGATGCCAGAGTTGCAGAAAGACTGAAGAGATACTTAACAGGGCAATATTTCAGTCATAAAAACTAATCTGCTTTGTCATTGAGGTGTTTAAGGGAAAATTCAACACCACCAAGCACGTTAGTGTGGCCCAGATGCACAGCAGATTCTAGAAGCACAATGCTAACAGGAGCTTTCATCAGCAGGAGATCCTTTTACTTTCAGAATAACTATCATCAAATAAAGACAAAGTAGTTGAGAGGAAAGCAGACGGTTAAGAAGGAAAATTGAGCACTTTAGTTTGCCAAGGAATGTATTTATAAACATGCTGAGCAAAATAAAAATTAATGTTATGATTTTGAACCTTTCATGTAAATTACATCTGAATACTAATATGTGTATGTATATGTATATGACTATGTATAGATGTAAATATGGAATATTTAACTTCCTTAAATGAATGTATACGTATATGACTATGTATATATTTACATCTATACATAGTCATATACGTATACATTCATTTAAGGAAGTTGAGGTTAGTTGGGAGTATGGATACTTATATCAGAGAACAAATTCATTATATGTTTTATTAAGTGTGCTTTGGTTGAATTCTAAATATTTTTATAAACTATAATTTTGAGATTGAGAAAAATCAATATGCAAGAAATATTATGAAGTCTTCTAATAGCTTTTTGAAGGTGTAACTGAAATAAAACGAACCGTATATATTGAAAATGTGTAACCTGATAAGATGCAATATATGTATGGACCTGTGAGACCATCATTTTTTTTTTTTTTTTTTGAGATGGAGTCTTGCTCTGTCACCCAGACTGGAGTGCAATGGTGCAATCTCGGCTCACTGCAACCTCTGCCACCCGGGTTCAAGCGATTCTTCTACCTCAGCATCCTGAGTAGCTGAGATTACAGATGCTCACCACCCAGCCTGGCTGATTTTTGTATTTTTAGTAGATACAGGGTTTCACCATGTTGGCCAGGCTGGTCTCAAACTCCTGATCTCATGATCCACCCACCTTGGCTTCCCAAAGTGCTGGGATTACAGGCGTGAGTCACCGCACCCAGCCTATTTAATATATTCTTAACTCCGAAAGTCTTCTTGTGCCCCTTTAGTGTTTCTCATTCCTCCCTCTCCCTATTCTAGCCACCCTCAGGCAGCCACTGATTATCTATGTCAATTAATTTATATTTTCTATAATTTTATTTTATTTTATTTATCTATTTATTTATTTATTTATTTTTTGAGACAGAGTCTCGCTCTGTCACCCAGGCTGGATTAAAGACTTAAACGTTAGACCGAAAACCATAAAAACCCTAGAAGAAAACCTAGACAATACCATTCAGGACATAGGCACGGTCAAAGACTTCATGACTAAAACACCAAAAGCAACGGCAACAAAAGCCAAAATTGACAAATAGAATCTAATTAAACTAAAGAGCTTCCGCATAGCAAAAGAAGCTCATCAGAGTGAACAGGAAAACTACAGAAAGTGAGAAAATTTTTGCAATCTATCCATCTGACAAAGGGCTAATATCCAGAATCTACAAAGAGCTTAAACAAATTTACAAGAAAAAAAAAAAACACCATCAAAAAGTTGGTGAAGGATATGAATAGACACTTCTAAAAAGAAGACATTTATGCAGCCAACAAACATATGAAAAAGAATCTCATCATCACTGGTTATTAGAGAAATGCAAATCAAAACCGCAGTGAGATACCATCTCATGCCAGTTAGAATGGCGATCGTTAAAAGTCAAGAAACAACAGATGCTGGAGAAGATGTGTAGAAATAGGAATGTTTTTACATTGTTAGTAGGAGTGTAAATTAGTTCAACCATTGTGTAAAACAGTGTGGTGATTTCTCAAGGATCTAGAACCAGAAATACCATTTGACCCAGCAATTCCATTACTGGGTATATACCCAAAGGATTATAAATCATTCTACCATAAAGACACATGCACAAGTATGTTTATTGTGGCACTGTTCATGATAGCAAAGACTTGGAACCAACCCAAAAGCCCATCAATGATAGACTGGATAAAGAAAACGTGGCACATTTACACCATGGAATACTATGCAGCCATGAAAAAGGATAAGTTCATGTCCTTTGCAGGGACATGGATGAAGCTGGAAACTATTATTCTCAGCAAACTAACACAAGAACAGAAAACCAAACACTGCATGTTCTCACTTATAAGTGGGAACTGAACAATGAGAACTCAGGGGAACAGGGAGGGAAACATGACACACCAGGGCCTGTTGAGGGGTAGGAGACTGGGGAGCAATAGCATTAGGAGAAATACCTAATGTAGATGATGAGTTGATGGGTGCAGCAGACCACCACAGCACGTGTATACCTATGTAACAAACCTGCATGTTGTGTACGTATACCCCAGAAATATTATTTATTTTCATATATTGATCTTTTATCTTACATCCTTACTAAACTCACTGTAATTCTAATTGCTCTTTCGTAGGTGCCACTGTGTTTGTACATAGGCAATTATATCATTTGCAAATAAATAGTTTTGTTTCTTTCTTTCTAATCTGAATGGCTTTCATTCTTGCCTATTGCACTGACTGGAGCTGCAAATGCAATGTTGAATAGTAGTTGTGAGAGCAGAAATGCTTGCATTTTTTATCTTAAGAGAAAAGCATTCATTTTTTTTCACCACTAAGTACAATGTTAGTTATAAGTTTTAACATAGGTGTCTTTTATCAAGATAAGAAAGTTCTATTTCTTCTTTGCCGAAATCTTCTTTCATGTATAGATATTAGACTTTTTAAAATGCTTTTTCTGCATCTATTGAGATTATTATAAGACTTTTATTTTTAATATATTATTTGGCGAATTACATTCATTGATTTTGGAATGTTAAACCATGTATTGCTGGAATAAACCACTTACTCTCATGATGTATCATCTTTCTATATCTTGTTGTGTTTAATTTGTTAACATTTAGTTAAAATTTTTTGGATATATATTCATGAAGATTATTGTTCTATAATTTTCTTTTCTGATAATGCCTTCTGATTTTGTTATCAAAATAATGCTGACCTCATAGAATGATTTAAGAAAATTCCCTTTTGGTCAATTTTCTGGAAGAGCATGCGCAGAGTTGGTATTATTTCTTCCATGGATATTTAGTAGACTGTCCCATTGAAGGCTTCTGGGACTAGTGTTTTCCTTTGTGGAAGGCTTTTAACGGCAAACTCAATTTTTAAAAAAATATGGGGATATTTGGGCTAGCTATTTCTTCTTGAGTCAACATTCTTCTTGAGTCAACATTCTTCTTGAGTCAACATTCTTCTTGAGTGAACACCTTGTGATCTTCAAGGTAATTGCTCATTTAAATCTAAGTTACAGAATATACTTGTACAAAGTTGTTGGCAATATTACCATATTTTTCTGTTAATATTCATGGAATCTGTAGTGATGGTGCCTCCTTCATTCCGTATATCATTTTTTGTGTCTTTCTTTTAAGTTTTACCTGATTAATCTGGCAAGAAATTCATCAACTATGTTAATCTTCTCAAATACTTACTTTTTTATTTTATTGATTTTCCTCTTTCTATGTGTCTGTCTCTGTGTCTAGCTCTCTCCCTCTTTGATCCTTATGATTTTTGTTCTACCGGTTTATATTTTATTTACTGTATTTTTCTGTTTTTCTAGGACTTAATCAATTTGAGAATTTTCTTTTTTAAACCAGGCATTTACTGATATAAATTTCCCTTAAATACTATATTAGATCCATCCTACAAATTTTGATGTACTTTATTTTTATTTTAATTCAGTCCATTGTACTTTCTATTTTTTTGTTTAGATGTGTTCTATTTAGTTTCCAAATACATGTTTGGCAATTTTCAAAATGTGTTTTTCTTATTTATTTCCAATTTCATCCTATTTTTATCAGAGAAAATACATTATATTATGTAATATCTTTTACATTCATTGATACTTCTTCTGCAGCCAAGAATATGTTTTATGTTAGTAAATGTTCATTGTGCACTAGAAAAGAATTTTTAGTCTGTTTTCATTGGGAAAAGCATCCAAGCCTTCTTTATCTGTAGTAAATTTCTATTGACTGTTGCTACCAATTTGTGATAATATCATCACCACCCACTTTCTTGCCATCTGGCTGCTTTTAAGATTATCTCTTTATGACTGGTTTTGAGCAATTTGAGTATAGTGTGGCTTGGGTCTTTTTTTTTTTTCATTTTTCTTGCGCTTTGGGGTCATTGAGTTTTTTTATCTATTGGACTTTATATCAAATTGGACACATTTTGATATATATTTATTTATTTATGTACCATTTCCCACTTTCAGGGTCTTTGGTTGTGTGTATATTAGGTCGTTGAGGTTTTCCTACAATTCATTCATGCTCTTTTCATTTTTAAAAATTATTTTTCTCTATGTTACATTTTGTTTACTTCTGTTGTTATGTCTCCAAGTTTATTAATCTTTTCTTTCTCAGTGTTTAATTTGTCATTTATTCCATCAGTTTATTTTTTTAATTTTAGACAATATAATATTCATTTCCAAGAGTTCACATTGGATCTTTTTTTTTGGAGATCTTATTTGTTTTCTTAACTTTTTGAACATATGGAATACAGTTAATATAATTGCTTTAATATCCTTGTCTGCTAATTTTAGCATGTTTCAGCTCCCTATCAATTCTCAAATTATTGATTAAGGTATTGATTATTATCTCCTTCTGAGCTGTGTTTTTACTGCTTCTTTGCATATAGAGTAATCTTTAATTGCATGCATGACAGGTGGATAAGTTACTTGGATAGAGTTTGACACTTATAAATCTTGTTTTATTTTTTGTTTGACAAATTGGAAGCAATGTTTGACTTAGGATAATTACTTACCACTAGTGAGGAATGGTATTTCTGAGTGTTCTACTTAATGATCCATAAATTATGAGTTTTTCTGGTCTGGCTGGTTCTATTTTTGTCGCTGTGCAATCCTGAGCACTATTCCTTTTGATCTTTTCAGTTGGTTATTTTTCTGTGCTTGGGCAGTTTCCTCATACATATGCCATATGCAGTAATCAATACTCTTCTGAATACTGAATAGAGATGCTCTGTAGATTGCCAGCATTCTTTTTCCTTGTAGCCCTCTTGTCTTGGTTACTTGGTCCTGAAAAATCTAGACACTTTGCTCTCCATGTACTCTCAGCTCTGTCTTAACTCCTGGCATCCACTGGGATCAGCATAGACTCTCTCTCCCAGCACCAAAGCTTGGAACATTCCAGGCAGTAAGCTGAGACTATTGTAGGGCACATTACTGTCAATAGAAGAGTTGAAAGAGCAAAACATTTAGTACAAGATTTGACCTACAGAGACAAATGTCTAGCCCTTTTTACAGATAATAGCATGTTAACTACCCAAAGGCAGGTGTCAGATTCCCAAAGTTTTCACTTATTAAATTATATTTCTGGTTTTCTCAAATATGACTCATTGGAGAGTTTTCAAATAAATTACCATTCTGAACTCTTTTTTGCTAGGTTTTAAGATTTTGTCAAAAGGTTTGTTATTATTTTGTTTGTTTAACATCGATCAAAGAACTCAATATTATATATGTCACAGATAAAGTGATATTGATAAAATTACCAAAGTATAACAAATAGGTCAAATTTGTTCATTTAGTCTTGAATCACTATAAATTTACTAAGAGTATTAACATCAACCATTCTTTAACTGATTTTCTCCAATTACTTAAACTTATAACATGTTTTAGCAATAGTTTACTTTTTAGGTAACTCTTTTTTTTCATTGATACTCTCCAAAAATGGATGCTCCTTGATATGTGAAAAAAATTATCATTCTGTTTTTGACCTAACATATTTAATACTAACTGTAAAAACCTTTTTCATAGGTTTCTACTTGTATTAGTCCACTTTTACACTGCTATGAAGAATGCCTGAGACTGGGTAATTTATTAAAAAAAGAGATTTAATTGACTCACATTTCCAAATGGCTGTGAAGGCCTCAGGAAACATAAAATCATGGTGGAAGATGAAGGAGAAGCAAGGCATGTCTTACATGCTGGCAGGAGAGAGAGAGAAAAGAAAATTGCCACACTTTTAAACCATCAGATATCATGAGAACTCACTCACTATCACAAGAATGGCATAAAGGAAAGCACCTTCATCATCCAGTCACTTCCCACTAGGTCCCTCCCTCAACACATGGGGATTACAAGTCAAGATGAAATTTCGGTGGGGACACAGAGCCAAACCATATGATTAAGCCCCGGCCCCTCCCAAATCTCGTGTCCCTCTGACATTTCAAAACACAATTATGCCTTCCCAATAGTCAAAGTCTTAACTCATTCCAGAATTAACCCAAAAGTCTAAAACTCACAGTTCCACATGGCTGGGGAGGCTCAGAAAACTTACAATCTGGCAGAAGGCAAAGGGGAAGCAAGGCATATCTCACACGGTGGCAGGAGAGAGAAGGGAGAGCACCAGACACTTAGCAAACAACCCGATCTCTTGAGAACTTACTATCATGAGAAGAGCATAAAGGGAACCGCCCCTATTATCCAATCCCACTAGGTCCCTCCCTTGATACTTGAGGAGTACAATTCGACATGAGATTTGGATGGGGACACAGACGCAAACCATATCACTACTATAACACTACATTAGATACAGTTTCTGTGAATTGACAGAAACAGATCTATATTGAGCCTTACATCGTTGTCTAATCAGAGGCATCTTTCTAGTCAAGAGTATGTCAAATTTTAGCAAGAGGGTTTCAGTTTTACTAAAGATGGGTTCTGTGAGACAAATCTGCAGTTCTTACTGAGAATACAGAAAATTCATATTGAACCATTTGGGGTACCTTAGCATGACTTCAGGAAAACTTTTCCATGAAAACCCCGCAGGCTGTGAAAGGAATATGCTCAGATGACAGCCTCATTGAGTTATTTGTGCAGCAACCCAGTATGTCTCTATGTCATGCCATCACTCTTCCTATCAAAAGTGGGGACAGAAAATAGTAGCAACAACAATAACAACAACAAAAAAGTGATTGTGAGAGGGGCTGTAAGTATTCTTTAAAGGTGTTTTATTTGAGAGAAAAAATTAGGAATATTTAGACAATATACAGCAGAGATCAGATCTCAAGGTATTGAAATATACTCTCAGAATTATAATTTATATATGTATTTTATGCCAAATATGGATTTTAAACAAACATTTTATAAGATTCAATAACAATGTTAAGAAGAAAAATTTCAATTGAAGGGATCAAATAAAATGAATATAAAATGGCTTTTTTCTTGACTAGTAAGTGGAGCATTACATAATTCATCAGAAGAGCCAGTTTTATAATCCACATAAATGAGTTTTATGATGATAGCAAATCAGAAGCATGTGAGAAATATTATAATCTGAGTCAAAATAATTTTACCACTAATGTCTCGTTTAGTTTACTGATAACTTAAATTTATTGGACTATTGGCTCACAGAGTCGGGAAACATATGCCAGTCAATAAACATTATGAAGAGTAAAAGAAACTCAGAAATCGCTGGAGAATAGTTCTTTGTTTTCTTGAGGTGAGTATAAAATGCAATATAATAAATCTTCTAAGGGAAGAGAAAGAACACAAATGAAAAGGAATTATATTTTACCAAATAGCCCTTGATAAGTTTCAGAATGAGGCTTTTTAAAGTAATAATATTATTGCTTTGAAAGTTTACCATTTAGAACAGGTCGGATGATACCAGAAGAAAACTGATGAGAAATAGTTAATGAAAGCAGAAAAGTGACCACAGTCATTGTTTTTATTTACGTATTAATTCATTATTATTTAAGTTTTCCTATTGTTTTTATTATTTTTGTGACAATAGTAATTGAGTTGCTGTCATTGGCTATAAAATTAGAAGATGCTTGGAAAGGATAATAAATATATAAATTATGTTTTGGGAGACTCAGGCTGGAAGTTATAATACAGAGAAAGAAAAAAGAAATTGGGGTTGAAATAATCAAAATTGATGAAGTTTATCTGGCATTGTTTTTCTTTGCTATTATCACAAATTTTTAATTTATACCTTAATATTAAAGTTGATGTCAGAGTTGTATTCAGGCCTAATTTATCTATCCTTAGTTCTAGTACCTTCTATTAGTGTCTTGAATAAAAAGGCAGAGAATACATAGCAGATCAACTGAAGGCTCTCCTGTATATATTAAATATTTTAATATTGACAATTTCATTTTGAAAACTAAGACAATGTAAGCACCAGTTATATGTTTGAGCTCAGACTGTTGCAATTTCCTGATTTGTTAAATGAAACAATTGATCATCTTTGTCCCTTACTCTCTTCACCTCTGAAAATGGTTTCAAATTAATACCTACTACTGTTTTTTTCTTTTCTCAAGTAGATAACTCCAAGTAAAACTTACTGCCTGCTCTTGGCATCATTCTTCTATTGCTTACCCACACTTTCCTTCTTGCCTTGCCCTTATCATTTACCACATCATGCGCCACACTATTAGGTTAGGATCACAAAGCAATGCAGTTATTTGATAAGAGACTTAAATTATCAACATTTTAACAGCACATTGTCAACTCACACATCTGTTCTGAACAAATACTGTAATCCACTGGGTACAGGTTGGCTGGGTGAACTGTACATTTGTGAATATCTGAATCACGTATTTGATGAGGAGTATCTATATTAACCTTCCTTTTTTATTCTATATGGGTTCTGAAATTGCAAGCAACTAAGAGTAGAGATAGAAGAATGGCATTGGTCTGTGATTGGGCAACAAATGCTAACTCTTTTTTCTTAAGTTCATGAACAGATGCTTTGAAGAAAATAGTTATCTCAGCCATTTTCTAGGGGAAAGATGACAAATGCAAACAAAAATATACCTTCCTGAGAGAGTCATGCACCATGATTCTTAGAGATAACTACTTCATATTTTGAAGGTAGGAGCCAAGTTCTTCATTAAATTATTCAGTAATATGCATCCTTCTAGTAATAGGAATATAGCAATAGAAACATATAAAGTCCCTGAACTCATGGGGCTTATATTCTACTGTTAGAGACAGATATTAAATAAAATAAATAGTAAAAATATATATAAGAATTTGGGTAATGGTAAGTGCTATGGAGAAAATCAAAGCTGGGGAAAGGAATAGAAATTGTTGATGTGAGAAGATGATATTTTACATTAAAGAAATACAATTAATGAAGACAAACACATGCAGATACCATGGAAGGACATTTCAGAAAAAGATAATAGAAAATACCTTGAGACATTAGAGTGTCTGGCGTGTTTTTGGGACAGAAATGAGGCCAATATAGCTAAAATGGAATAAACAAGGGAGAGAACAGAAGGAAAATTTAATAGGTACTAAAGTGTCAACCACAGAGAGTTTTAAAGGCTATTGTGGACTTAACCCTTTACTGTGAATAATATCAGAAGCCATTAGAGGGTTTTGTGCAGAGGAAAACATGATCAGGCTTAAATGAATGTGGTGGCTCATGCCTGTAGTCCCAGCACTTTAGGGGGCCAAGGTGAGAGGATTGCCTGAAGCCCAGGAGTTCAAGAAAGCCTGGGCAACATGGCAAAACCCCATCTCTACTCCAAAAAATAAAAAAATTAGCTGGGCAGGGTGTCGTGTGCCAGTAGTCCCAGCTACTCAGGAGGCTGAGGTAGGAGGATCGCCTAACCCTAGGAGGCAGAAGTTGTCATGTGCCAAGATGGGGCAACTGGACTCCAGCCTGGGTGACAGAGCGAGACCTGTCACACACATAAAAAAATAAAAAATAAAACAACAACAACAAAATGTGATCAGGCTCACTTTTCCAAAAGGTTACTCTGGCTATTTAACTGAAAGTAGACTGTAGGAAGCATGACAGAATCGGGAATATCAATTAGTAGGCTATTGCAAAAATCTAAGCAAGAGGTAAGAACAGCTTGGATTCATGTAGCAACATGAGAAGCAATGGAAAAGAGATTGGGATTTGTACATATATTAAAGATAGAGCTAACACAATTCTCTGATGGATTGGGCATGGAGCATGTACAAAATACAGCAATCAACAATGGCATTCAATTATTTGGCCTACACATGAAAAGAAAAATTGGGCTGCCATCAACTGAGATTGGAAATATTGAGAAATAAGTAGGTTGTAAGGGAGGAGATAAGGAAATATCGACAAGAAAAATTTTGCAAGATTGAAGCAGATTCAGAAAGAAGGAATGGAGGGAAATTGAAACAGTGGAATAGACTACTTTAAAGAGTTTTGTAGTAAAAGTAAAAGGAGGGATGGGACTACAACTGAAGGTGGAAATGTAGTTGTGGTTTTCTTTTGTTATGTTTCCAGATGGGGGATGTGACTGAATATTTGTTTGCAAATGAGATGTTTAGCAAAGAGTTAGAAATGATGTAGATTAAAATATGGGGAAATTGTTGAAACAACATAGGTTCTTGAGATAATAAAATTGCTATCATATATAGTCGATATGTTTATTTTCATTATTACTGTTGTTGTTATTATTTCAGATGGAGTCTCACTCTGTCACCCAGGCTGGAATGCAGTGGTGCCATCTCAGATCACTGCAACCTCTGCCTCCCAGGTTCAGGCGATTCTTCTACCTCAGCCTCTTGGGTAGTTGGGATTACAGGCATGCACTTCCATGCCTGGCTAATTTTTGTATTTTTAGTAGAAACAGGATTTTGCCATGTTGGCCAGGCTGGTCTCAAACTCCTGACCTCAAGTTATCTGCCCATTTCGGCCTCCCAGAGTGCTGGGATTACGGGCATGAGCCCGTATTTTGACTTATGGGACCTATTTAATGTCAGGCCAGAAATCATTCAGGTTAAGCCTGGTTATGCTGCAGTAACAAAATAAAATTGTAGCGTTTTATCACAAAATTAATTTATGTTTTACTTTGTCCATTGGGAGTTGACAATGGCTATTACTCATTTTAGTTACTCAGGAAACTATGTTATCAGAGGCTCCATCTCAAACATGTTTCCACAGTCAGTTTGAAGAGATTGGTGCAATGTTTCATACTGGCTATTAAGCATCTTCTTCCAGGAAACAATACACATTCAATTGGTTAAACTGAAAGTACAATTCTATCATGAGCCCCAGAAAGAGAGAATTGGAAATATTTAACTATTTTAAATGACTACCATAGTTGGCTAATGTGAAGCAAGTGTGCATTCTTCTACTAAATATGTCAGTGTGAGTTTTGTAAAGTTTAAGAATGAAAAGGAACTATAATAAAAAGTAAAGTCCATATTCTTATCAGGTAGAGGAGTATATTTTGATTAATAGATTGCAATAATCCAGTTAAGCAACAAATTATATCTCTTGATAAATCTTTCCCATTTATCTCCATGTCTCTCAATCAGCAGGTCAGCAGTGATGATTTCAGAGGCATGGAAATTTAATGTAATTTTGGAACCTTTAAGTTTTATGAAAATATTTTAAATTATGTTTGATTCTGTTTATTATCTGACATCTATGCATGGAGTATAGTTGTATTCATTCTATAGAGCTGCATGGTAAACTAGCACAAAACTTAGCAACTTAAAAGAATACAATTTATTATTTCATAATTTCTGAAAGTTGAGTCTGGCATGAGTCATTTGCTTTAGGGTTTCTCACAAGGCTGCAATCAAGGTGCTGCCTGAAGCTGTAGTTTCATCTGAAGACTCAACTGGAGAAGGACCCACTCTTAGGCTCTCTCACATGGTTTTTGGTATAATTTAGTCCCTCAAGGGTTGTTGAATTGAATGCCTCAACTCCCCTTTGGCAATTGGCCAGAGACTTCCCTCAGTTCCTTAACACTTAGGTCACACCAGATTGTTTCATCAGAGCAAAAGAAAGAGAAGAGAGAGAGGAATACAAAACTCTCAGTCTTTTATAAATAAATCTTGAAAGTTATACCTACTTACTTTTGCTCTATTCTATTTGATAGAAGCAGGTTACTAGGTCCAGCCCACACTCAAAGGGAAAGGATTATACAAGGGCATAGATGCTAGGAGAGAGAAATCATCAAGAGCCATTTTAGAAGGTTATCTACCACAATGACCAATACAATTTTCAAAGATTTTATTATTCAAAGGTTTTCTCATAATTTAAAGTACTCCAGTGAGCCAAAACAACAGGGGAGGGAGATTTTGAGTAATTAAAAGATAAAAAGCCAGAAACAAACAAACAAAAAACTTATAAACAAAAATAATTGATTTTTCAACATTACTCAGTGTATTAATTAGAAAGCCATTTTTTTGACCTGGTATAAAGACAAAATTCGATATCATATTGCATCTAAAAACTAAAATTTTCTAACACAAATATTTTTTTGAGACACAGTCTCACTCTGTTGTCCAGGCTGGAGTGCAGTGGCACAATCTCTGCTCACTGCAACCTCCACCTCCCAGGTTCAAGCGATTCTCCTGCCTCAGCCTCCCAAGTGGCTGGGATTACAGGCACGTGCCACCACGCGGGGCTAATTTTTGTATTTTTGTATTTTGTATTTTTGGCCAGGCTGGTCTTGAACTCCTGACCTCATGAGATCCACCCACCTAGGCCTCCCAAAGTGGTGGGATTACAGGCGTAAGCCACGCACCTGGCCTAAAAGAAAATTTTAAGTTAATAGTTAATAAGTGTAAAAAGCTCCTTTCCTGATTTCCTTACACTTTAATGAGATAATATGGTGATTTCATTCCAAGGCAAATTTATTGCTGATCTAAGAAAATGAAGCATGAATACCCATTATGCTTCTACACTATCAGTTACTGTGTGTTCCTTTAATGACAGTGCATGACCTTTGTAGATTTTCTAAAAAGGTATTTTTTTAAAAAGTAAAATGTTACCTGAGGCAAGACCAGGTTTTAATAAATAGATACACAAAAAAATAGTTCGCTGAACAATGATGACGTCCTCTTTAGTAACTATTGTGTTATTTATTGGTATATTATTTCATCTAGAAAATATTTATTGAACACTTGCTATGGGATAATAGCAATAAGACTACTCTTAGATTGGGATAATAGTAGCAAGGATAGGCTTTCATTAATAGGGACTATGCTTTTTCAGAAAAGAAAATAAGTAAACAATGGTGGTGAAATTTGATGAATGCCCTGATACTGAAAATCCATATGCTATAGGAACAAAGAGCAGAATCACCTCATTTCTCAACCTAATTACAGGGTCAATATAGTTCAAAGGGCTGGATCAGAGATTATATAGCCAAGGGGTATTATAGAGGATGCTAACAAAATAGACATTGCCCAACCCAGCAGCCCACTTTAATCTATATTTAGTCTTAATTATCTTTCATCAAAATGAAATACTACATTTTACTCATCATAAAGGTGTTTCTTTGGACAACAGTGACTAATACTCAGGAATACTATATAATGACTTTTGTTAATCTCTGCTCATGTGTTTGAAATTAAACAGCAATAACAGTGGGGCATCGGGTAATTTTTTAAAGTTATGGTATAATAAAGCATAGGCAAGCATTTAAACTTGTGAGCTTTAACTAACATTCTAACTCCAAACATTTTTGAATTTATGTGTTGCCAGTACTAAAAGTATTAATACTTGATTCCTCTGAACTTTAGTCACTTCAGTGATCATTTCTCCTTTCTTAGAAAAATACCCATAGAAGCATAATTAGAAGTTGGCAATTGATCCCTTGCTGTTCTCAATGAGAACATGGGTCAACAGTTCATTTCCTGTGAAGTATAACATTTTCTTTCAAGCAGTGGTCCGTAGCTGTTTCTGCTATTTCTTTAGCATCAGCATATTGTTTAACCTTGAGGTTAGCTGTTATGAGAGACTGCATCAATGTGTAAATGCTCTGTTTTGCAATGCAGAGGTGATATAAAAATATCTTTCTCTAAAGATTACATTAAGTTTCAGTAAAAATGATAATACCGTTTTGTACCTCTCCTTTGAGCTCTGTGAAGGATCTTATTGGATTTTATAATTTATTGCTAAAATCAGGCAATCATGAATGCAGATGCTATGGTGTTTAATCAAAGAATCATAATACAATAAAAAAACTGACCAGCATGTATGGTTTTTTATGTCATGTGTAGATGGGGGTAAGAAGGAGTATCTCTGAAGTGTCTGGCACAAAGTAGAGATTGATAAATATTGAGAGAATATTTAGTTAAATGAAATGATTCACATAATTAATATCAGAGGCACTGTTCTTCATTCTGGAAAAGGGCATTACATACTTTATAGAAGGTAAAAATCATGATTACATTACACAAGATGTAGGAACATGTACAATCTGAAAACCCAATCTGTCTCAAGGGAAATTTTCTGAACGTCTCACTAGGAATTCCTTATTTCTTCTGATGAAGAACAACAGAGATAAATATAAACGTAGCAGAAAAAATTCTAGCTGTAAAAAACCAACTCTCGATAAATGACCCAAAGATGTTGTGGACACAGTTAAGGAAATCTAAGAGAAATAGGAGTTGCTATTAAGCAAGTGGCCTAGGTAAAATTCAAAAGTTGTATTTATCAGACATGTGGAAACTTGGTATGGCATCTATGCTATCCAGGGTGCTGAGAGTTGTGAAAGAAAGTGCAGTTAGATGATGGGGACCTCTGGAATTAGGGAAAAAGTTATTGTAGAAGTCTTGGAAAAAAAGCTTACTTTTCTCTTTGACAATCTCTCCATCTTATTGGCTCTCTCTCTTTAAATCTGGCTTTCTTTGTATGTCTGTTTTTTTTCTATCAACTTTCTTCTTCTTACACATTGTCTCATCCCTCTTTCAAACCTTTTTTTCAATCTGTTTTTCATTTTTTCTATTTCTCCAACCAGAAGTTGGCTCAAAATGGACATTAGTTACATTTACTGAATAAAAATTCACATTAATGTCTCTAAATTCCAAAACCAAACAGTTGCATTTCTTTCATTTAAAAACTCTCTTCCTAAAATTACATTTATTTTTGTTTGTGTTTGTGGTTTTCCAGTGATTTTCTTCTGAAAGTCAGCAGACCCTAAACACATACAACAGAGTTTTTTTATATTTTTCTCTCAGAAGCTAAGAGTAAGGCATAAAATCAAACCTTTTAGATAATCTTTGCATCTTGGCTTTAGAGGTTATTACTGTCGCTAGACACATAATCTCCCCTCCTTTCTTTAGGAAAAAATATATATATAGTCAAAGAAAAAAAAGTGAATTAAAAAGGTCTTGGTTTACCTCCTAGCTGACTCATTGGCTTACAGAGGTCTTTTCTACTTCAATTATTATCTACTTATATAGGTATGATTGGGAGGATACCCTGCGTGTACACAGGGAGATGGGCTGAAATGTGTATAGTAATTTGAATGGTGTGCCCCCAAATTATTGTCTACCCAGAACCCCAGAAACTGATCTTATTTGGAAATAGGGTCTTTGCAGATGTAATTTAAGCGGAAGTGAGGTTATACTGGATTGGGCAATACCAAAGTCCAAAGACTGGTGTCTTTATAAAAAGAAGAAGGAGCACACAGAATAGAAATCCATATAAAGACAAAGGCAAAGAATGGAGTCGTGCATCTACAAGCCAAGGAATGGCAAGGATTGCCAGGAGTGAGGAAGAGGCAAGAAGGGATTCTTTCCTAGAGTTTTCTTGGGGAAAATAGGCCTGCTGACTATTGCTTTCTAGCCTTCAGAAGTGTAAGAAAATAAATTTCTGTTTTTTTTAAGCCATGAGGCTTGTGATATTTTGCTGTGACAGCCCTAGGAATCTAATTCAATGTGTTCTGCAAGCTAATGTTATGCTTTGGAATCTATAGAAATTGCTCATTATAACCCTGCTGCCTAGAAAATATAAATTTATGAGGTAGTTTTTTTTCACTTCTCAAGTTTACACAGATGAGTAAACTGAAATTTAATCAGTCAATAATATTTACTACATATTTCAGTGAGTTATAAATATTCCTTTACACATTGTTGCTGCCAACTAAACTATGACTTCTCCATGAAATGAATTATATTACTCTATATACCCAGGGCCAATCAATATGTGTTTAAAGATAAGTAAGAGGGGCTGGGCACGGTGACTTAAGCCTGTAATCCCAGCACTTTGGGAGGCCGAGGCAGATCACGAGGTCAGGAGATCGAGAACATCCTGGCTAACACGGTGAAACGCCGTCTCTACTAAAATTACAAAAAAAATTAGCTGGGCATGGTGGCGGGTGCCTGTAGTCCCAGCTACTCGGAAGGCTGAGGCAGGAGAATGGTATGAACCCGGGAGGCAGAGGTTGCAGTGAGCTGAGATCGCGCCACTGCACTCCAGCCTGGGCGACAGAGCGAGACTCCGTCTCAAAAAAAAAAGATAAATAAGAGGGCAAATGAAGAGCAACCAGGGAGGCAGAACAAGCAGGAAACAGATAGGAGAGTAAAGGGGACAAAAAAGGGGAAAAAAAAGAAATAAAAAATTTATGATAAGAACTTCAGTGTTGGCATTATTTGACTTGAGGATTGTCAAAACCCAAAACCACTTGGAAACTTTAAGGCATGTAGAGGAAACTCTTCCCACAAATGATGAACTAGACTAAAGACCAGCAGTGAGTAGAGACATGGAATTGTATTGACAAGAATAAATATTACTAACCACTCATCATGTGCAAGGTACTGTTAAGTATTCACCAGAAATAACTATGCTTAAACCTTGCAACAAACTTTTGAGGCAAGGGTAGATGCTGTTACTACTGTACTCACAGTGTGTCAGCGTGTGTCCAAAATCTCGATTGTAGAAAATGGCAAGATGATTTAAACCCAGGACAATGGTGACTCACAGCATTTTTTATCCCTTCCATTAAGTCTCTGATTATTTATTTATTTGTTTTTATTTTTAGAGATGGGGCCTCACTCTGTCACTCAGGCTGGAGGGCAGCAGCACAATCACAGCTCACTGCAGTGTCTATTTCCTGGGTTCAATAGATTCTCCCACCTCAGCCTCCCAAGTTGCTGGGACTACAGGTATGTACTAGCACACCTGCCTTCTATTACATCTCTTGATGTACCCTTAAGAAGGACTCCGTATTTTATTTATATGTTCCTCTTACTGATCTCTTGCTTTTGGCCTCCTTTGGTGCTCCCATGCCTTATTCTAGGAAGCCTTTTTAATTGTAAAATTTTTCTCCCAACTTTTCAATTCATTGGTTTCTCATTCTCACTGCCAGCAGGAGAGCTTTCCTCCTCATTGGCATCAAATGTGAACAGGGATATGACTGTAGCCTAAGTCAGCCCATGTCTGCAGACACAGCATGTCATTTCCTTCCCAATTCTGATGCTTGCAACTGACAAGGACACCAATATTAAAACAGTAGCAGCAATACCAGCCACTCAACAACACCAAAAAATTATCATAATAATAGGAATCAATTTTTTCATTCTAACATTAGTTTTCTGTGAAGAAATCTTTTAACAAGTATAAACACTTCAGGGTTTTTTTTTTTCTCACACTTAACTCTTCTGAAGACTATAGACAATTTATCTACCTCAAAAAGCGTTAAATGATAAGTTCAGAAATGAAAGTTAATTTTAAATATGGTTAACAAAACACTATATATTTTTGATGATACTTAAATTGTATATTAACTACATCATCTTGGAAAATAATATGACCACTCTATTCAGACTGAAACCATATTAGAATAAAAGATTCTTCAAGGTTAAAGCACCACAGTCCATGAACTAAAGAGTGTAATATAAAAATGTGCAGCATTTCTTTCTAAAAAAATAGATTATACTCAACCTTATTTACTTGAGCAAATTGTTTTTAATCTATTATGTAGTGTTTTAAGCTCAAGTGGTATAATGAGATACTGGCTGTAAGTCAAAGTAGTCACTACTATCTCTGAGTGTGTTTTTCAGCAACAACTTTAAATTTTCCAAGCGTAAGTGTAAAACCAATTTAAGTTTTGAAAATGACTGAACACTTTGGAAGCAGAGATGTTACTTTTCAGCACGATTGGATCCAAGTCAAACAGTTTCCAGGAAGTTTATGATGATCATCCTTTCTTTTAAGCAGCTCCTATGGTTAATCGGTATATCAACAGAGATTATATTTCTACTTAAAAATTTAGTTATGTAAACAGGCATAATGGACAGAGCTCAGACAATCAAACTATCATATGAAAATTTTAAATAGAAGTAAATTAGAAGAAAAAGTTTATTGCTTATTTGCATTTTCAGAGGGCATATAGTATAGTTTTTGATGCATCACTTATTATGAGGCTTAATAAATTAGCTTCAGTATAATTAACTCTTAAATCAAGAAAATGTACCCAGTTTTGCTGATGAGAAGTCTAAATAGTGCTGCGTTCTCAAGTATAAAACATATCCTTTCCTTAAAATTAACCAATACTCTACTTTTCTTCATTCTTAATTTCAGGAATGCCTATTTTTTTCAAAAATGATATCTTTCAATTAATTAAGGCTCTTGAAAAGTGTTGAGTATTAATGACAATATCTCTATGGAATAATATATTTTTATTGTTAAATATTTTTAGAGATAAAACTTTTTATTGATGAATCTTTAAGATTAGATATTTTGCGGGAACACTTTCAAAACAGTAGTATTTGTTGGTAAAATTAAAATGTGAGACATGGTTTGTCTTCTAGATACAAAATACTACTCAAAAAATAACTTAGACTACATTAAAATTAAAGACATTTGTTTATCAAAAGATGTCATTAATATATGAAAAATGAAGCCAAAGAGTGGGAAAAAATTGCATGTAATATGAATACACATCAAAGCACTTGTACTTGAGTGTAAGAAGGATTCTTCCAAGACAATAAGAGAAAGGATGACACAATAAGAATAAGAGACAGAAAATTTGAAAAGGCACTTCTTAAAAGACGACGTCTAAATGGGTAATAAACATAAGAAAATATAGTCATCAGCTATGAGGAAAATAAAAGTTAAAAGCACAATATCATACATAAACACCAGAAAGACAGACAATTTCAAATTCTGGTAAGTTGAGAGAACACATACAATGCCGGTGGGAACATAAATTAGTACAAGATTGGAGAAGTGATTTTCAGTTTCTACTAAAGCATACCAAATGATTCAGCAATTCTACTCTTAAGTATATATGGGTAAAATAAATGTATTCATATATGCAAGAAAATTCAAGATTGTTCTTCATGATAGTCCAAAATTTCTGGCAACTCAAATGCCCTTCAAGAGTATAATAGGTAAACTGTGTTTCATTTCAATAATGAAATATTATATAGTCACAAGTATGAACAAAGCTATTGCTACACATAAAATATGGATGAACTTTACAAACAAATTATTGAGTGAAAGAATCCAGGCACAAAAATAACCTACTATATATATATGTGTACTAGTAATGTTCCATATTTTGATCTGATGCTGGTTACATGAGTGTGTTTGCATTGTTACAAATAAAGGAGCTTAGGATTTATATACTTATTTAATGTAAAAATAAAAGCAAATGGAAAGAAGGAAATATTTCCTGCAACAAAAATGAAGT
This sequence comes from Homo sapiens, assembly GCF_000001405.40. Classification (NCBI taxonomy): domain Eukaryota; kingdom Metazoa; phylum Chordata; class Mammalia; order Primates; family Hominidae; genus Homo; species Homo sapiens. Next base: position 176,111,525 of record NC_000003.12, read on the forward strand.
AGCAATGGTTTTACAGGGAGAATAATAAGTGTAGTAAAAAAATTATTTTAGGGTAGATGTTAAGAAATATTGGCATTATTCACAATAATAAGGTCAATCCCACTCTTGGGATAATGCATAACTTTATTTTTATGTATTATTTAGTGTGACGGGCAGTAAAGATGCAGAATATCTTCATGGAAGGTCATACCTCGGGAGCCAAGCATATCTAAGAAGGAATTCTAATTCTAAACTTACTATATTATTTTAAACAAAGAAACATTTAGACATTAATGAATTAAGAACAATAATATCTACCCTAAAGACTGTGGTGAGGGTGACAGATAATATAAGAAAAATCTGGCTTTCAATGCCTGTCACATAATATGTACTAAATGTATGACAGCTTAAATATAGATACCTTAGACATATCATCTTACATGTATTCAAATCAAAGTCCATGATCAAAAACAAAAATATACAGATGGATCTACAGAAGCAGGTAGTTTTTTAAAAAATAAAGAAATGATGGATGGTTTATCATTGAACTATAATATCAAATGAAAACTTTTTTTGTAGTTGTCAGAAAATTTTGGCTACCTAGGTATCAGTGAATTACGAGAAAAAGTCTTATAAATAATAATATAATAAGTCATTTTGTTTATTTATCTAGTTTACCATGAATATAAACTATTTTTTATAGATTTCAAATCACTACAGAAAAACATATTACTAAAATAACTACTAAAATATCATTGAATCAATTTTATTGTGTCTTGCAATGTTGACCATTTCATATAAACACATTTTTCAAACCAAGCACTAAAAAGCTACTTATTTTATTCACATTGAGGGAGAGGTAGTGATTTATTGTGGACACTTGCAATATGTTATGAATGAATTTCTGAAAATTCATGTGTAATGTAACCCCACGCAAAGCAAAGAAAAGTGGTTTTTTTTTTCTTTTTTTGTTTGCTTTTTATTTTGCCAGTGAGAAACCAGATTTAATGTTATCATTCATTCACATGGACAATGGTAAGAGGTTTTGGTTTCTCTGTTTCTTGTTGGTTAGCTGGTTACTATCAAATGCCCAAGGACAATTCTCAGTAGAGCCAAACCTTTTCACATGGGAGTAACTAGTTTTCATTTAAAATAAAATTAGTGACATATGTAGATGTACATTAAAATATAACTATATGTAAACTAGTAAGAGATATTAAACTAGAAAATTGAAAAACCAGCACCTAGAAAGAAAACATAGGTGGAAATTTTAAAATTGAGATAGCATTTTTTGTTAAATCGTTAGGATAACTACCACTATATATTCAGACCAACTAAGATCAGAAAGAAGAACATGTGAAATGCTGAGAGGAATCTCTCTTAACACTTAAATGAGTTTCAAGGAGAGAGAGAAAAAAATAAGCTAAGCTTCTAAAATGAAATTACAAGACATGGGATTAGCAATTTATTAAAAATTATACCCTTGATTTTCCTCTGAGGAAAAAAAACCAGTAGTTTTATAAACAAGGGCATGAGATAGATTTCAGATTGAGATTTATACTACCGTTCTGTTCTCACTGAAAAGTATTGATAGACAAAAATTAAATAAAATTTTAAGACTTTTCCATTTAATCTGGGCAAAAGTACAGTGTTTATTATCTGAAATAAAATTTATCAATTTATTTTTATTTATAATATAAAGTGTTTTCAAAAAATTTGCTCTTTTGAGTGTTCAAAATAATACAGGAATTGTTCTCTATGCCTAGGAATTATGGCAAAGCAAAGCAAAAGCTTAATTCTGCTGAACTAAAGAGCCAACTGATTTTTTAATGTATAAAAATACCTAATTTTTTCAAGTTTGTAATTTTTGTTACTTTGCAATGGTAGATTTACTTTTTCTAACTTTTTTTTAAAACTAGCCTTCTTTTATCAATGTAAAACTATTCAAAGAAGTACAACAGATTTTTTTTAACATCAGAAAAATGAATTCATATGATACACTCAAAACACTCAAAATTTACAATCCAGAAAGGAGTAGTCTCCCTGAAATAGAAAAAAAAGGTGTCTTTCTTTCTGTCATCTTCACTCCTTATATATAATATGTATTTTGTATTATTTACATAAAATATAATCACAGTCTGAGAGACTATTATTATTATCATTATTTTGCCTCCCAGAGATCATCAAGTAAATTTACTCAGTCTTCTTACTACATTTCTTTTTAACATTATGTGAAGCATCAGCTATAAGATTTGAGGCCAATGAACCACGGTCATTGAAAGGTAATTTTGTTTTGCTTTTCTTTTCCAATGAAAACTATTGTTGCCAGCCAAACAGTATCCATCTCAATGTACCCTCAAAAGAAACAAATGTCATCCTAGAAGTCTCTGTAATCATTATGGCTATCTTTGTGACCACAATAAAGATGTTATAAAGGAATATCAGATTATGCTTTGATATTGCCAGATGCTTGGTGTGCTGGGATATGAGGATAACTGACCCCAGCATGGTTATCTAGGAAGGGTAAGACATCTTCAACCATCCATTACCTTCTGTTTCCTTTTACGAACTACTCAAAATTCGTGATAATGGTAGGACCCGCACCTCATGCCCATCCAATAGCTATCATGAGAATCCAGCCTCATTTTTCATATTTTCTATTAGCACGTTTGACTTTAACTGCTATTTTCCAAATTCTAGTCACTTTCTTCATTCTCTCAGCTAGGAGTTCAACAGGTAGAAATGAATAACCTTGGGCAAAATAATATATGTCAGGTGGAAGATGGCAGTAATATATTAGTGTTGTTTGTAAGAAATCTCAATGGATGCTCTGTAAGCAGTACATAGACTAAAATTCCCCCACCAAAGCAGTAATCCAGCTTGAAATAGGATTCTTCCATGCCACTGCCCCTGCTGCTGTGCTGGCTTATGCTTTAGTGTCATCACTGACACTAGATAGTGGGCGATGTCAAAAAGAGCGACTGAGATATGTGGGAGAAGGCCAGAACTAGGTCATCCCACTGAGAACTCATGACGATGACCGAGAATGCTGGTGTCCCAAGCAGTGGTGATAGGTTCTTCTCATGCACAGTAAAGCAAGTTTTTCAATAAGAAAATAAAATGAGTATGTTAGGAGGTGTCACTCGTGGTGGTAGGGAGGATATCTCATATTCCCATAGTCTAAATTGACTTAAAAATTATGGAATACAATAAATTTTAAAAGTAAGTGGTTGTAAAATCTCAAAATTTTAAATACTAAGAAATTAAAAAGGAAAAATGAACCGTGAACCGTGTAGCAATTATGTCAACAATGACAGGTCTGCTTTCTTGGTGGAAAAGTGGCTATGGGCAATAGGTAAACACATGGATGTGCCTCTGTTTCAATAAAATTTTATATTCAAAAACAGGAGATGAAATATATGTGACCCATGGACCATAGTTTACTGACTCCTGCCTTACAGCATTATGGTCATACAGCTGAAGCTGAATAGCTGCCATTTTTGGGTACTGGTCAATTGGAAGGAAGGATAGAAAATGAAAAAGAAGATATTGTCCACTATCTTAAGGATGATTACCAAAGGTAGCACATATTACTTCCACACATATTTCATTGGTAAGAATTTAGCCACATCTAGCTGTAATGAAAGCTAGGAAATGTAAGGTCTTGGGCAGATTTGTGCCTGCTACAATTCTATTAATGTTTAAAGAAAGAACAGAATGAATTTTGGTGGAACTATAACAGCATTTTCCACTAGAGGAAAGCCTGATTTTCTACACTATGTCTAAGTTCCAGTATGATAGTTTTGTGCTTTACTTAATGTAATATTTTACAAAACTTAACCTCTTAGTTCCTTGATATCCTCTTCCATAAATTAGGGATGATAATGGAACCTATCTCATAGATTTATGGCAAACAATAAATGTTAACACATTTAAGTGCTTCGAGTGCTTTAGGACAATACCTCAAAATTGCTTTGATCTCTTTAGAGGTAACATTAATTCCATTTAATAGATTAATAAATTGAGGCTCAAAGATTTGATTGCCTTCATGAAGATAATATAGCTAAAAGGTGGAAAACCAGAAATTAAATCAGGCTTTATTAATTTCATGCTTTCACTATACCACACACTGAGCACTGCGCACAGAAAAGGATGTCAGTCAGACAAAAATGTGTGTGGAGATGCCAAATGGAATTCTTAACAGGCAGAAGATATTGCACTATATTTGCATGTTGATTGGATTGATCAGATAGGAAGACAACTTTTTGTGATAGAAAGATAAGGAGAGGATAATTGCAGAGGCAAAATCTTGCATAGACAAGATGGGTTAGAGTTTAGTGCATAAGTAGAAGGCTTGACCATCGTTAGGAGAACAAATGTCCAAAGTAACAATCACATGGCATCTATGACTTCTTTCAGCAATGTTTTGTATTTCTCTTTGTAGAGATCTTTCACCTCTTTAGTTAGATGCTTTTGTAGTTATTTTTGTGGCTATTTTAAATGAGATTGTGTTCTTGACAGCTGTCAGCTTGAACATTATTGAGGTATAGTATAGAAATGCTACTGATTTCTTTTTCTTTTCTTTTTTTTTTTTTTTTTGAGAAGTAGTCTCACTTTGTCATCTAGGCTGGAATGCAGTGGCACGATCTCGGCTCACTGCAACCTCCACCTCTGGGGTTCAAGCAATTCTTCTGCCTCAGCCTCCTGAGTAGCTGGGACTATAGGCATGAGCCACCACACCCAGCTAATATTTGTATTTACCCCTAGTAGAGACAGGGTTTCACTATATTGACCAGGCTGGTCTCCAACTCTTGACTCATGATCCACCCCCCTCAGCTTCTCAAAGTGCTGGGATTACAGGCATAAGCCACTGCACTTGGCCACTGATTTTTATACATTGACTGTATTCAGAATGTTTACCAAATTCAAGCCCCCGATGGAATCTTTAGAGTTTTCTAAATATAGAATCATATCATCAGTGAAGAGAGAGAGTTTTACTTCTTCTTTTCCTATTTGGATACATTTTATTTTGTAGTCTTGCCTGATTGCTCTGGCTAGGACTTCCACTACTACATTGAATAGGAGTGGTGATAGTGGGCATTCTTGTCTTATGCCAGTTCTCAAGGGGAATTAATTGTTCAAGCTTTTGCCCATTCAATATGATGTTGCCTGTGGGTTTGTCATAAATTGCTCTTTTTAGTCTGAAGTATGCTCCTTTGATACCTAGTTTGTTAAGGGTTTTTATCGTGAAAGGTTTTTAGATTTTACTGAAAGCTTTTTCCACATCTCAGACAAATGGAAAAACATTCCATGCTCATGAATTGAAAGAATAAATACCATTAAGATAGCCATAATACCCAAACAGAGAGAGAGTATTCATATTTGTATAGGAATAGAATTGAATCTGTAGACTGCAATTGGAAAGCAATCTATAAATTTAATGTTATTCTTATCAAACTATGTACATCATATTTTCATAGAATTAGAAAACATTATTCTAAAATTTATATGGAACCAAAAAGCAAATAACCCCATTAAAAGGTGGGCAAAATATATGAACAGACACTTCTCAAGAGAAGACATACAGGCAGCAACCAAAAATGAGCCTGAATAGCCAAAGCAATCCCAGTCAAAATGAACACAGCCAGAGACATCACATTCCCTGACTTCAAACTATACTGTAAAGCTACAGTAATCAAAATAGCATGATACTGGTACAAAAACACACACACGTAACAATGTAGCAGAAATTAATCTTCACCCAAAGCCATCTCATCTTTGACAAAGTTGACAAAAAGAGGCAATAGGAAAAGGACTCCATATTCAATAAATGGTGCTGGGTTAGCTGGCTACTCATATGTAAAATAATGAAACTGAACACTTACTTTTCACCATATACAAAAATTAACTCAAGATTGATTAAAGATTTGAATGTAAGACCTTAAATTATATGCATCCCAGGAGAAAATCTAGGAAACTCCATTCTGGATATTGGCTTTGGAAATAAATTTATGGCTAAGTCCTCAAAAGCAATTGTAACAACAACAACAAAATGACGAGTGAGACCTAATTACACTAAAGACCTTCTGCACAATAAAAGAAACTAAACACATTAAACAGACAATCTACAGAATGAAAGAAAATATTTGCAAACTGTGTATCTGACAAAGGTCTGATATTCAGAATAGTTTAAGGAACTTAAACTATTCAACAGCAAGAAACAAATAACACCATTAAAAAGTGGGAAAAGACAGAACAGACCCTTCTCAAAAGAAGATGTGGGTGCAGTGGCTCACACTTGTAATCCCAGTACTTTGGGAGGTGAAGGCGGGGGAATCACCTGAGGTCGGGACTTCAAAACCAGCCTTACTAACATGGAGAAACCCCATCTCTACTAAAAATACAAAATTAGCCAGGTGTGGTGGCGAATGCCTGTAATCCCGGCTACTTGGGAGGCTGAGGCAGGAGAATCACTTTAACCAGGGAGATGGAGGTTGCATTGAGCCAAGACTGCAACATTGCACTCCAGCCTGGGCAACAAGAGCAAAATTCTGTCTCAAAAATAAAAAAAATACAAGCAGCCAAAAAACATATGAAAAAGTGCTGAACATCACTAATCATCAGAGAAATGTAAATCACAACCACAATGAGATACCATTTCATACCAGTGAGAATAGCTAATATTGAAAAGTTAAAAAAAAACATGGTGGTGAGGCTGCAGAGAAAAATGGAATGCTTATAAGAATGTGAATTAATTCAATTCAGCCACTGTAAGAATGGGAATTAATTCAGCTGCTGTGAAAAGCAGTTTGGAGATTTCTCAGATAACTTAAAATATTAAATGGGTGTGATGACATGTGCCTGTAGTCCTAGCTGCTTGGGAGGCTGAGGCAGGAGGATCACTTGAGTCCTAGATTTAAAGGCTGCAGTGAGCTATGATTGCCCAACCTGGGCAACGGAGTAAGACCTCCATCTCTAATTTTTTTTTTTTTTTTTAAAGAACTTAAAACAAAACTACCATTCAACCCTGCAATCCCATTACTGGGTATATATCCAAAAGGAAATCAATTGCTCTACCAAAAAGACACATGCACTCATATGTTTATCACAGCACTATCTACAATAGCAAAGGCATTGAATCAACTTAGGTGCCCATCAATAATGGATTGGATAAAGGAAATGTGGTACATATGCCCCATGGAACATGCAGCCATAAAAAAGAATGAAATTATGTTCTTTGTAGTAACATGAATGCAGCTGGAGGACATTATCCTTAGTGAATTAACACAGGAATAGAAAACCAAATACCTCATGTTCTCACTTATAAGAGGGATTTAAACATTGGATACTCAGGAACATAAACATGGCAACAATAGACACTGGGGACTAGTAAAGCAGGGAGGGAGTTGGGAGGCAACGGTTGAAAAACTCACTGTTGGGTACTAGCTCACTACCTGGATGAAGGGATCATTTGTACCCCAAACCTCAGTATCACACAATATCCCCAGGTAACAAACCTGCACATGCAGCCTTGAATCCAAAATAAAAGCAGAAATTATTTTTAAAAAAACCAAGCACGTGGCTATAGATACAAGTGGGTTAATACAGTGTGATTTGTAGTGGAAGAAACATGAGAAAGCTTTCTTCTGATGGCTTTTGTTTTCTTAATGAACTACAAGACAGGGTGATCATGGAGGAAAAAGATGGAATGTTAGAAGTGTGACGGAAAGGCATAAAATAGTTTTCTTTAAGTGTGGGAACATTTTTAGAGAAGTGAAATGTAGATGGATTTCTAAGCACCTTTAAATGCAAGGTAAACGGTAACATTCTTTTAGAAGCATAGGATCAGTAAAGCTTTGTGTTTTTCCCACCCAAGTCAGATGTCAAAATACGGGCATGTAATAGACAGATAATTTGACTTAACCAGGCTTGTGGGTTAACCAGGTATATATACATAGGAGAGAGCAGCAAAGGGAGCTGAGAATACATCCAAGGGAATTAGTCGACTACAGGCTGGACTACAGAAACTAAGCTGGTTAGGAAGGGATTGAAAGATACAGAGGAGAGAGGAACAGCTACAGGCTTGTAGAATCCAAGGACATTTAATTTATGTAGTGATGAGGTCAAAGAATTGTGGTAGTTTGGGCAGAAGAGGGAGTATACTGTAATGGTTTTCAGAGGGTAGATTGTTGAGATGAAGATGATGAAAAAGGTGTACCACTGATATTCACAGTGTCTGTGGTTTCTCCATAGTACTGGAGACTAAAGAAGTGTGGCAAATGGGATCAGGTGGAAAGAGCATCAAGAAACCAGTTGCAGTGAGCTGAGATCGCGCCATTGCATTCGCCTGGGTGACAGAGCAAGACTCCGTCTCAATTTTTAAAAAAAAAAGAAAAGAAAAGAAGAAAACCAGGATGTGATCAAAAAACGATTGGATATTGAAATAAACAAGAATTGTAACCAGAGTAACATTAAGAGAATAAAGTAAATAAGGTACTAAAATGCTGAGGGAATTAGAAGCAGTGATCAGGGAATTTGCAGATGTCTGCAATGAGGAAGCATTGCAACAACAAACTGATGGCAAACGCTACAATATAGTTCTAATTGTGTCCCTTGGAATTTCATTTTTTTTCTTTCTCAAGTATTCAGTGAATACAAATAATTTAATATGAATAACAATAATTTTCCTAATTTAAAACAATAGGCAAGAAGCTCTTTAGAGTTCTGGATTTCCTGTAGTTTAACAAAAGTCACAATAGGAGTAATTAAATCTATCTAATGAAAGAAGATATATTTGTAATTAAGGTAACCAGTTTACTTTCCTTTCAGAAACACTTTGATAATTACAATGAAATTGCTTAAAAATTGTATTGGTCTTAACTAAATTTTAGTTACTATAAAATAAGCATACAATCCCTGCAGATGCATAGAAATGAAAACAAAAGACTATCTGCAAGGAAGTAAGATCATATGCAAACATATTGGCAATTAGACCTTGCCTCTCCAAACGCCAGTTCTTTGTCCCCATAGCTAAGAAATCTACAACATTTAATGGTTGTGGAGCCTAGTGCAAATTCAGCTGGCAAAAGTGCATAAACAAGATGCAGCATTATACAAAGAATTAATGTGACTGTCAGCAAAATCATACAGGAGTTAGAAAACATTAAGCTATCATTTAGGGAAAATAGATTCTGATTTACGATGCCTATGTTCAGTGTTTCAACACACTTAGACTCTGTTTATATATCACTAAGACATTAGGTGATTTTAATTGACCAAGCAGCTGGTTTGACTAAATTTTGAACTGAAATGACTGAGTTTCTAAATTTGCTTAGTCACAGACTTCACAAAACCATAAATGGAAAAAGGATTATTTCTATCTCTATGTATTTAAGCAGCAGAAAGCCTTATGAAATCATATTAATATGATAAAGCAAGCAGAAGAGGCAAATCTGAGGCTTCTTGACATTTTTTGTGTCATGCAAAGACAGAAAAATAAGAATAGAACCTGGAAGCTTCAGGTCATGAGCACAGTAAAGCCTAGTTGACATAATTGAGACAGAATGGGATGTATTACCCCAGCCATGTAAATTGGTGCAAGGTCATGGTCAAACATGGATCATGTAGAGTCAAAGGATATCAAGGATCTGGCTTTGCTGTTCCATTACATACCATGAAGCTGAAGTGTAATGCATTATTAAAAGTAAATATTATTTTATCAAGCTGGAAAGACTTTAGGATGAGAGCTTTTAGAGTATCCTTTCAAACTGTGGCTTTTTCAGGCTCCTTGACATTCTTGTGTTAACCTCTTTCATAGATTGCTTCTCTTAATAAAGAGTAGAGTAGCAATTCAGAGAAAAGTGATTAAACTCTGCTTTTAACTTACATATTTTAAACAGTTTTGTTGATACATAATTCTTATATCACATGGTTCATCTATTTAAAGGTACAGTTAAATGATTTTTAGTATACTCAGAGTTGTGTTATAATCATAACAAATTAATTTCAAAATGTCACCCCCAAAACAAACTAGGTACCCATTAGCAGTCTCTCACTATTCCTCCCAACCCTCAGCCCTAGACAACTACCAATCTACATTCTTTCTCTATAAGTTTGTATATTCTGGCCATTTCATAGAAATTCAGTCATAAATATGTGATTTTTTGTGTGTGTCAGGTTTCTTTAATATAGAATGATGTTTTCAAGTTTCATTCATGTTTTAGCATATATTAAAATTTCATTCTGTTTTTTATTTTGTTTTGTTTTGGTTTGGTTTGGTTCTGTTTTTTTCCTTAATAATATTTTCTTGTATAGAGATTCCACATTTTATTCATTCCTTCATCAGTTCCTAGATATTTGTATTGTCTTCCACTGTTGCTTAACATGAACAATGCAGCTGTAAACATTTATCTAAAAGTTTTTGTTTGGAAATATGTTTTCATTTCACTTGAGTTTATATACCTAGCACTGGAATTGCTTTGTCCTGTGGTATCTTAGTTCATTCGGGGTGCTATAACAAAATATCATTCACCGAGTAGTTTATAAACAAGAGAAATTTATTTCTCACAGTTCAGGAGTCTAGGAAGTCCAATATCAAAGTGCTGGCACATTAGGTATCTGGTGAAAGCCTGTTTCCTGGTTGATAGACAGTGATTTTTCTATGAGTCCTCGCATGGTGAAAGGGGCAAGAACCCTGGGGCTTCTTATATAAGGTCAGTAATCCCATTTATGAGTACTGAGCCCTCATGACCAGCCAAAATCCCCTCCTCAACTCCCTGCTAATGCCATCATGGTGGTGATTAGATTACAACACATGCATTTTGAAGGACATAACATTCAGAACATTGCCTATGATAACTCTAAGTTTAACATTTTGAAGAATTGCAACAAGGTTTTTCAAATGGTTGCAACATTGAGTATTCTCACAGCTAACGTATGAGGGTTCAGATACCATTACATCCTTGCCAGTACTTATCATTGTACAATATATTGCTTACAGGTACACTAAAAACTGTAAAGTGGTATTTCATTGTCATCTTGACTGAATTTCTCTAACAAGCGATAATGTTGATCATCTTCTCATGTGCTTATTGACCATTTGTATATCTTGTTTGAAGAAATGTCTGTTCAATTTCTTTGCCTATTTCTTAATTGGATTATTTGTCTTTTTATTGTGGAGTTGTAAGAATTTGTTATATATTCTGGATACTACACTTATAGTCACAGTTATGTCCCACATAATGACTTTTTGGTCAACAATGGGTTGTACATATGATGGTGGTCCTATAAGACTGTAATGGAACTGAAAAATTCGTATCACCTAGTGACATAGCAACCATTGTAACATCATAGATGGATGCATTGCTCACCAGTTTGTGATGATGCTGTTCACTGCCAATTATATAAAACAGGGGTCCCCAAGCCATGGGCTGCAGACTGGTATAGATTCGTGGCCTGTTAGAAACTAGGCTGCACAGCAGGAGGTGAGCAGCGGGGTGAGCATTACCACCTGAGCTCCCTTCTTCCATCAGATCAGCAGTGGCATTAGATTCTCATGGAAGCATGAATGCTATTGTGAACTGCGCATATGAGGGAACTGGGTTGTGCACTCCTTATGAGAATGTAACTAATACCTGGTGATCTGAGGTGGAACAGTTTCATCCTGAAATCATCCCCACCCCAATCCCCACCTCCACCTCCATCCATGGAAAAATTTTCTTCCACTAAATTGGTCCCTGGTGCCAAAAAGTTTGGGGACTGCTGGTATAAATGTATAGCACATGAAATTATATATAGTGCATAATACTTGATAGTGATAACAAATGACTGTGTTACTGGTTTATGTATTTACTATACTATACATTTTATCATTATTTTAGAGAGTATTTCTTCTATTTATTAAAAAAAAGTTTACTGTAAAAGAACTCCAGGAGTATCCTTCAGGAGATATCCCAGAAGAAGGCATTATCATCATAGAAGATGACAACTTCATGTGTGTTATTGCCCTGTATATCTTCTAGTGGGACAAGATGTAGAGGTAGAAGACAATAATATTGATCATCCTGACCTTGTGTAGGCCTAAACTAAAGTGTGTATTACTGTCTTAGTTTCTAACAAAATTGTTTAAATATAAAAATAAATAATAATTTTTAAAATAACAAAATAAAAAATAAATATACAAGGAAGAAAATTGTTTCATACAGCTATACAATACATTTGTGTTTTAAGATAAGTGTTATTACAAAAGTCAAAAAGTTTTAAAAATTAAAAATTTTGTAATATGAAAAATTATAGTAACCTCAGGTTAATCTATTGTTGAAGAAATAAAGTAGTTTAATAAACTTGGTATAGTCTGTGTAGAGTGCTTATCAAGTCTACAGTAACATATAGGAATGTCCTAGGCCTTCCTATTCACTCCCCACTCACTGACTCACTAGAGCAATTTCCAGTCCAGTAACCTCCATTCATGGTAAGTGTCGTATACTGGTGTACCATTTTTTAATGTTTTATATCTTATTTTTACTATACCATTCTTGCATTTAGATATGTTTAGTTACATAAATACTTATCATTGCATTACAATTGCCTACAGCATTCAGCACAGTAGCATGCTGTACAGGTTTGTAGCCTAGGAGCAATAGGCTATACCATATAGCCTAAGTGTGTAGTATGCTATACCATCAAGATTTGTGTAAGTACATTCTATTGTGTTTGCATGACAAAATCACCTAATTACACATTTCTCAGACTGTATTCTCCTCATTCAATGAAGCAAAACTGTATTTGATTTGAAAATATTTTATCCCGTTCTGTGAGTTGTTTTTACATTTTCTTTATAGTGTTCTTTAAATTACGAAAGTTTTTATTTTAATTTTGATGAAGTCCAATTTATCTATTTGTTCTTTTGCTACTTATACTTTCTGTTTCATATCTAAGTAATTATTGCCTGATTCAAAGTCCCAATAATTAACTTTTGTGTTTCCATCTAAGAATTGTATACTTTAGTGTAAACTCATACACTTAGGTTTCGGATCCATTTGGAGTGAATTTTTACATATGAGGTGAGGCAGAAACCTGATATTGTTTGGCTATGTCCCTACCCAAATCTCATCTTGAATTGTATTTCAAATTCTAATCCCCACGTGTCGAGGGAGGAACCTGGTGGGAAGTGTTTGGATCATGGGGGAGGTTTTCACATGCTCTTCTCATGATAGTGAATGAGTTCTCACGAGATCTGGTTGTTTGATAACCGTCTGGTGCTTCCTCGTTCTCTCTCTCTCTCCTACCGCCTTTTAGATGTGCCTTGCTTCCACCTTGCCTTCTGCTATAACTGTAAGTTACCTGAGGCCTCCCTAGTCATGTGGACCTGTGAGTCAATTAAACTTTCTTTCTTTATAAATCACCCAGTCTCAGGTCATATCTTTACAGCAGTGCAGGAGTGGACTAGTACAAAATCTAAGTTTAAAATTCTGCATGTGAATTTCCAATTGTCTCAGTACAATTTGTTGAAAAGCCAATTTAATTGTTTTATGAACATTTTTTATTGAAAAACAATTCAATTCATCATAAAATGGATTTTTAAAATAGTATAAAATAGACTCTCAATTCTATGTCATTGATCTATAGATCTTTGAAATAATAAAGTGTGAGTTCTTCAAATTTGTTCATATTCAAAATTGTTTTGGCTATTCTGGGATTTTGATTTTCCATAAGAATTTTAGGATCAGCTGATTAATTTCTCTATGCCAGTCATATAGTAATTTAATAAGATTTTCAATTAATTTATAGACTAATTTGGAAACTATTGTCATCTTAACAAAATTAAGTATTTCCATCTATGAACATGTGATGTCTTTCCATTTGTTTAGGTGTTATTGAATCTCTTTCAAAAATGTTTTATAGTTTTCAGTGTACAAGTCTTACACTTCTTTGGTAAATTTATTCTTAGGTATTTTATTCTATTTTATGCAAATAAAACAGAATTGTTTTCTTAATTTTATTTTCAAATTTTTTATTGTTGGTATATAAAAATACAACTAATTTTTTAGATATTTACTTTGAGGCAGCGATCTTTCTGAACCCATTTATTAGCTGTAATATTTTTAGTGGGTTGATTAGTATTTTCTATATACATCATTATGCCATCTGTAAAGAGAGATCGTTTTACTTCTTCCTTTCCAATCTGATGGCTTTTTTTTACTTTTCTTGCTTAATTGCTGAGGCTGGAAGCTCTAATACAATGTTGAATACAATGGCAAGAACAGAAATCACTATCTTTTTTCAAATCTTAGGTGAAAACATCCAATCTTTTTTTTTTTTGTAAATGGCCTTTATTAGGTAGAGAAATTTATCTCTCTTCTAGTTTATTGGGTCCTTTTTTGTTTTTTAATTATAAAAAGTGTTAGAATCTGTCACTTGCTTTTTGTGTATCTGTCTATACAATCATATTGTTTTTGTTCCTTTGTTTATATAGTGTACAACATTGATGAGTGTTGGATGTTAAATTAATCCTGCATTCCTGGGATAAATTCAATTTGATCATTATATATGATTCTTTTTAATGTGTAGTTTCTGTTTTGAAGGAGTTAAGAACATGCCATTCAAAATACACTACTTTGTCAGATTGACTATTTTGAGTTAAAGGCAGCTTGGAAAACAGCAGGTACAAGAAAATTACTCTGACCTTTCTTCAGTTTCTTAACCGCAAAATATGGAATTTTCGTGTGAAAGATGACTTTCCTATACTAGAAGGAAGGTAGCATTTTTATCATCAAGGACAGAAAGTTAAGACTGACAGAATTCTATACAGACCTTGTTAAAATAAGTCTTACCTTCATTTAGCCTCACTACATAATTTAGTTATGTTCTCACAACTTAATACTCTGTCCAATTCAGTATGTATGTGTTCAACTCTGTGTCTTGAATCTTCATTTCTTTATGTAGGTTTCCATGCCACATAAAATTTATCTTAAATAAATTTGTATGTTTTTCTTCTGTTTATTTGTCTCATGGTAATTTAATTCTCAAGCCCAGCTGAAAAAACCCCAAAAGAGTAGAGATGAATTTTCATTCCCCTAATTCTATCTATGTACCATTTTAATGGAAGAAGACCTGAAACCTAGAGCTTCTATTCCAACAAACAACAATCTAGGAAATGTTAAAAATGTTTCCCTCTTGGCTACAAACACGAAGTAAGGATACCTTAGAAGATAAAATAAGTAGACTCAGGGGAAGGTTAGATAGGCCTGAAGAGATTAGTAGGGAAGACAAATAGAAAAAGAGAAGAAGACCTAAAGAAACTCTGTGTTAAGAGAGAAACTAAATAGGTTTAGTTTTATTAAGTAAATCACATGTAATTGCTGACATTTGACCCTTTGACCTACAAAAACAATAATTCCATTTAGTTCAACCTATACTTTCCTTCCAAAGTTCTGAAAAAAATGGATCAATCCCTTTTATAACTTATTAGTAAATAAAGATAGAACAAATGAAATTGCCCTACTAAGAGTGATACAATTTTATATCTTGTTGCCCACATTTATTTAACCCTGAGGATAATAATCAACATAACCTAATTTTAAAAATATAAGTTTTTTTTAAAGCACATTTTGTCCTAAAGTTTTATTTCAAATGGCATTTTTGTTTTTTCATTTCTTTGGATGAAAGTTTTTGAATTTCCTCAAATTTTTATAATTATGATAATCCTTTGTTCTGATTACTATTATCATTAGGATTATCATTGTTAGCAGTTCAAGTAGTGATCATCATTTTTCTCATCACTGTCAGTGTCATCATGGTCATAATAGTAGTATTTTCCCTTTTGCAAGGAAGGCATCCAACAGGTATAACAGTAAAACAAAGAGATTCATCTTAACTATGCCTACTAAGTTGTTATATGCACTTTACGCTATGACTTTAACCTCTCAGTTGCTTTGCTTCTTTAACTACAAAGCGTGGATTGTGGCAGTTTTACAAGGTTACCAGAAAGGTTAATGTCTGCAACTTTTAAAGCTTCTTTTGTTAGAGGTTCAGAGAAGGAAAAGTATTATTCTACGTTGTTTGGTACCTTCTGTCACAAGGCTAAGCTATGAATATAGAATATGATTAAAACATATCGTTTTTCTCTTTATTTGTCAAATGCCATCTTATTGAATAAATACATTGAATACCTAAGTAGGCATTTACTTAAAAATTCCATCAGATTCAGCCTCTTTCTGACTGTTCCGATTTCATTTGTTAAAAAAAAAATGCATTTTTAGTATGTCTGGGCTGCAAAATACTGAATAAAATTACCATGAAAAATAAGTACTGTCTGCATTAGATTGATGAAGTAATTGATTGATTGCAGTGAGATTAAAATATCTTCTGATGAGCATATACTTACGGTAATCATAAAAACAAAATTTGAAAAAGAAATTTGGAGCTGACATTAAATTTTAATTAAAAAAAATTAGAAATGTAACAAACAGCTATTTCTACCACTAGAATAGAGCAAGTGACACTTTGACTTACTCTCTAGGTAACTTAAAAAGAATGTTTAACTGAACCCAAGCCAGTTTCATGTTACAACAAACATTTTCTTGGCGGGGAGTTGAAAGTATCTTTGGTTCTTTGATGATTCTGAAGAGTTTTCAAAAGGAGTTGTGAATCTCCTCAGGTACTAAAACCAGATTTTTCTTTCTATAAAATGGAAACTTGTAAAGTTCACTTCAATATTTTTTTTTCACCTAAATGTCCACATACTTGAGAATGTTTAAAGGCATTATGGTGTATTCATCTAATTAAACATAAGCATTAAAAATCACATTTTTATGAAAGCATGTAAAGTTTCAATAGAAACTATCATTATAGAATAAGTGGGAAGAGAAACGTATGTGTATTATAAGATTCAAATTCTGTTATTAGGTTGTATATACTGAAATCTATATCTATCTATAATCAGAAAAGATACAATGATCTGTTAATTGTGTTTATCATCTGGTAGTATAAATGGAGGTTCTTTAATTTATATATTTTATTTGCCATATTTTATACACTAAAAATTTAAAATTATAACTACTAATAACTGGTAAATTACATATGGATGTATATAATTTTATAAAATTACTAACATGTGAGTATAATTATCTACACTAAACTCCTGTAGAATTCGACCAGAGGGAGGGAGATAGGTTAATTCTAGTGAGAAAATCAGTAAGCATGGAAGGTAGAGTTCACTCCTTCCAGAACTGAGCAGCTGGGAGCTTCATGGGTTAGCACTATGGTTGCTGTGAGTACACGGTGTGGCCATAATTAGAAGTTCTGGTAGAGACAAAGGTCATTAAGAAAATAAAATTATCTGGGAAAAATCAGCAATGGCAAGAATGTGAAGGTTTCTGTGGAATGAGATGCTCCAGTGAGTTTAGGGAACAACTAAAAAATTAAGGAAAAAGTAGTAAAGAACTGGGGTATGTCTCTTTATTCCATTTTAATGTTCTTTAGGAATGAAAGCAAAGGATTTGACTGACTTTAATATTGCCTTGAAGACAGGCCTATGTTTTTGTAAATGTAACCCTGCTCTGAAACTGTAACACCCAGATCTTCAAGTTCCATGGGTGTGATGAAGAGATGGATGTAGATACATACATGCAAATTTTTTTTCTTTTTCTTTCTTTTTTTCTTTTTTTTTTTTGAGACGAAGTCTCACTCTTTTGCCCAGGCTGAGGGGCAGTGGCATGATCTTGGCTCACTGCAACCTCCGCTTCCCAGGTTCAAGTGATTCTCCTCCCTCAGCCTCCCCAGTAGCTGGGATTACAGATGCACACCACCATGCCCAGCTAATTTTTCTATTTTTAGTAGAGACAAGGTTTCATCATTTTGACCAGGCTGGTCTCAAGCTCCTAACCTCAGGTCATCCACCCTCCTTGACCTCCCAAAGTGCTGGGATTACAGACGTGAGCCACCATGCCCAGCCCATCCATGCACATTTCTCTATTCTACAATTATAAAATACATTTTAAACACTTTGTGTAGTGAAGAGATCTTACAAAGATTTTTCCTAAGTCAAACAGTTCATCAAATGCTTCATTTCAAGGCTACCTTTATCCCTGAAAGCCACGGCCATTTCCCAGTTCCCTACCACAGACTCCAAGTCCCCTTTTGGTCCTAATGAATGGCATCCCCCTCCACACTCTCTGGTAGGTGGGTAAGCAATAGAGGATATCTCAGAAAAAGAGACTTGTAAGAGCACATTTCCAGCCCAAAGGAAGTATGATATATTTTGGTGGGAAAAAAAAATAATCAGAGATTTTTAACACACAATTCTGGAAGAAGAAAATGGTATCCACGATGATCTTGCAATAAAAATACATGTTCAGTCCGGGTGTGGTGGCTCACGCCTGTAATCCAAGCACTTTGGGAGGCCAAGGTGGGTGGATTGCCTGAGGTCAGGAGTTCTGGATCAACCTGACCAATATGGTGAAACCCCGCCTCTACTAAATATGCAAAAATTAGATGGGCGTGGTGGCGGGCGCCTATAGTCCCAGGTACTCGGGAGGCTGAAGCAGGAGAATTCCTTGAACCTGGGAGGCAGAGGTTGCAGTGAGCCGAGATCGAGCCATCCACTCCAGCCTGGGCGACACTCTGTCTCAAAAACAACAACAACAACAACAACAACAACAAAAACATGTTCAGTGAGCAGTTTACCATGTGAAAAACACAATTATGTGTTTTAGGAAATTTAATAATATGTAAGAGATGGTTGTCAAGGTTTTCAAAAACCACTGGGAGAGCAAACAAATAATCTTAAAAAAAAAGGAGTACAGTACATTAAGTGCTTTTTTGCTGAATAAGGAGCATGACGTAGTGGGTGCTAGAGGATTCTGATGATCATCCAAATTTGTGAAACACGAATGTAGGTGAAGAAGAGCTAGAAAAGCATTTTAAAAGAGAAACATCACGTTCAAATGTACATATTAAAAGATGAATTACAGTAATCTGGAGAATAATCTGGAAAGAAATGAAATTTTGATCATTCTCTTTAACCTATATTATAGTCTCATATTTTAAACACTTAAACATCCTTTAACATGCATCAAACAAGGTTGGCTTAAAAAAAAAAACAAAACCTTGTGGCTTTAATTTTCATCTGCCAACTTTGGTGAGTCTTTTACTCTCTCTAAGCCTTCAGAACCTCATTTATAAAATAAGATGGGTAATCTTAGCAACCATTAAAATATGTTTCAGGCTTCAAGTTCTCTGAAATAACAAAACTAAATGGTTATGTGAAGTACTAAAGGTATGTTTTCATAGGCTGTCTGCCTCTTCATTTAGGAGAAGAAAAAAAGCATTTGCCATTTCTGTTTAGACATACACTAAACATATATTCAAAAATCTGAAGGATGTATTTTGGTTTCTTCTCATTTTTTTTTCTGATCTGCAGCAATATGAGATTGTATGCAATGAATTGAGGGGAAATGGAATAATAAAAATTTTGAGACTTCTCTTCAGTCTGAGGATGCTCAATACCTTAGTTGCCATAAAGGTTAATGAGGATGTCAAGTTACTCTGAGGTTCAACCCCCAAAGGACATCCTCGGTTCTGCCAAAAAGCAAAAGGTATGCATGATAATAAGCATCTCTGAGGAAAATAAAACACTGATGATGGCATGACTCAATTATGTGCAGAATAATGATAAGCCTTGCATCCTCTATACTTTCCTAATTGGATAACAGTGCAATCCTGTGTACTACAAATAGTGTAGAGCACTCATTAAGAAGGAGAGAAAAACACAAGTGATCTTGTCTTAGTTATCACTCAAATGTGAATTCAGAAAGAAGAGGCTATGTCAAATACAAATTGCTTTACATATTTTTTTCATAAAGGTTTCTCTCATTTGGATTAGCTGCTGGAACTGAAATAAGTTTAATTAATTCAATGTATCATACTAAATTGTAAAAACGAGTAAAACTACGGGAAAAAAAGGAACAAGTATCTTTCTTAACCATAGACATCTATGTGTAAGGTGGGACTTTGAAATGCAGGAACAACAGTGATTTTTAACTTTTTCCAGAAACCTAGAATTCTATCTATACATGAAATTTCTGGTAAAGGGGTCACCCAAATTTTCATTCATATATGTTTTTCTACCTTACTTCATTTGCTGGCAACTCTTCTGACAATAATAGCCTTTCTAGTCAACAAAATGATTGTTAAGAGGAATCACTTGCTCATGTGTTTTTTGCCTATGAGAGAACAGGGGGTACAGGAGAATTAGAATAATAAACCATCATTGTTTGTAAACCTTAGGAAATTATCAAGCATTGTCTGGAAATAAAAACAAAAAATAGAAAGGAAAAGGAAGAAAAAGAAAAGAAAGAAAAGGAAAGGAGAGAACAGAAAAGGAAGGGGCAAGGGAAGGAGTTATGACCCACTAAGGAGAGACAAAAACTGCTGGGTCTAGACATGTGACCAAAAGATAAATAATTAAAAGTTTTGAAGCAATTGTATTGATCATAAAACTAGGTCTTCCTGAAAGAAATCTTAGAGGAATAGCAATAGCAATAGCTAATGCTCAACTTGATCTACCAAAGAATTTTTTTTCTAGTGGAAATATACTCTTATTAGCATTCAAGTTCTAGGAAATAGATCCTATTTTTCATTGATCTATTTATTTTCAAAGATTGATAAAATAGCATTGAAAATGAGAAATGTTTATTCTCCGTCTTTGGTAAACCCTACTCTACACATATCCTAATCGTAAGCCACATGGTGTAGACAGCAAAGTGTCTCTAGATTCAGGTCTGCCCTGGCATTTGTTTTCAAGGCGAGAAGGTTCCAGAGAGAAGAGATACATTCTTATTTATTCTTAAGTCTCTGACTTGAATTTTATCAGGTCTTTGTTATCAAATTTTCCAAAAATAGAATAAGCATTACTCACAGAGTCCTCCTGCCCTGTAGTAAAAGCCCCAACTAGTTTTATTGGTTTATTATTCCTCAAAAGTCTGAAAATTATTCATGACAAAAACTTACTTGGTATTATCAAAGTCATATGTGTAGAGAAGAGTCCGTAAGTTTCTAGGTAAAGTTGTTCCCTCACCCTAATATGTAAGTGGATATAATGATGACTTAATTACTTTTAGAAGTAAGTTTACAACAAAGCCTTAACCTAGACTCTATTGTTTGGGTGCGGGATGAGATTTCATACACTACTAAGTAACTTCAGAATAGTTTTCACTACCCTGACACAGTATAGTATAAAGTGTGTGATCCTAAACTGAATATCACCATTATAGTTACTCTTTTGCTGAGAATAATTTCATTTTCTTATCCAAACACACTACTACCTATCTCCATAACATATTCTTCTGTGTCATTAGTCTCCTTTTAACCCATTCCATTCTAGAAGCAGAATATCAGGGAGAGGTAGGCTTTAATTGATTTCCTTTGGCCGGGCGCGGTGGCTCACGCCTGTAATCCCAGCACTTTGGGAGGCCGAGGCGGGCGGATCACGAGGTCAGGAGATCGAGACCATCCCGGCTAAAACGGTGAAACCCCGTCTCTACTAAAAATACAAAAAAAAATTAGCCGGGCGTAGTGGCGGGCGCCTGTAGTCCCAGCTACTCGGGAGGCTGAGGCAGGAGAATGGCGTGAACCCGGGAGGCGGAGCTTGCAGTGAGCCGAGATCCCGCCACTGCACTCCAGCCTGGGCGACAGAGCGAGACTCCGTCTCAAAAAAAAAAAAAAAAAAAAAAAAAAAAAAAAAGAAGCAGGGGAAGGACAGAAGACTTATGGTGGCTGGCTCCCCATTTTTTTTAAACTATCATTAGTTCATCCATAATGCTTAAGTTTCCATCTTGTTTGTAGAATTATTTGGCATCGTGACTAGAATTTGCAAGGCATTCTGGGGATGTAGTTTTTCTGGACTACTTGTGACTCTCAAAGAATTTAATATTTAGTTCCTTTTAGAAGATGGGGAGAATGAATATTGGGGAGGTAAGCAGCACTATCTGCTATCATAGGTACAATAAAACAAAAATATTTAACATTTACATAGGCACAAACCCACACACATATGTATAATTAATTGTTGAAGTTCTTTTTTTTAATTTTTCTCCTCTTGGCCCCATAACTGAGGCTGCAAAAAGCACTTCTTCAAGAAAAATCAAAAAACTTTTAAATATGAATATGTAGTATTCAGTTTGCATTTGTGAAAGTATAAACTAAACAAAAAGCTTGTTTCCTTTTAATTAAACCAATATTTTTCTAAAAATTACTGTGTAAAACATGGTGCTAAGGACGATTAGGAATCATGAGATTAATTAGATAACATGCCTGCCCTTTAGGGGCTCATAATCTAGAGATGGGATCAGACTCAAAGTATTTGTTCGATTTGTGATCTTTATAGAATTCCAACTTCTAAAACTGATTTCTAAAATTAATTTATCTCATATCTCTTAAGATTTTATTTTTTATTTTTATAGATACATAATAGTTGCACATATTTGTAGAGTACATGTGATATTTTGATACCAGCATACAATATGTGATGGTTAAATCAGGGGAATCGGTATATCCATTACCTAAAATATTTATTATTTCTTTGTATTAGCAAGATTAGAATTCCACTTTTCTAGTAATTTTGAAATACACAATAAATTAGTGTTACTGTGGTTACCATATTGTGCTACTGAGTACTAGATCTTATTCCTTCTGTGTAACTGTACTTTTATACCCACTAACAAACTTCTCTTTTTCCCCCCTCTCCACTATCCTTCCAATCCTTTAGTAACTATCATTCCACTCTCTATGTTTATGAAATCAATTTTTTAGCTCTCACATAAAAGTGAGAACATGTAATATTTTTCTTACTGTGCCTGGCTTATTTCACTTAACATAATGTCCTCTAGTTCCATCCAAATTGTTGCAAATGACAGGATGTAATACTTCCTTATGGCTGAGTAATAATCAATTGTGTAAATGTACATTTTCTTTATCCATTCATTTATTGATGAGCACTTAGGTTGATTTCATATCTTGGCTATTGTGAATAGGGACACAATAAACATGAGATATCCAGTTTTCCTAGCACCATTTATTGAATAGGCTGTCCTTTCTCTAATGTATTTTCTTGGTACCTTTTGTTGAAAATCAATTGACTGCAAATGCGTAGATATATTTCTGTGTAGTTTATACAACATCTTAAGAGATGTTTCCCCAAAAAATGTTTCAAATGCTTATAGGCTTCTGTAATCCTCAGAACATTTCAAATGACTGTCCTGAAAATGATATAAATATTTTATTTCTTAAAAAATTATGACAGTCTGAACCACTGAAAATTATAAGATTTTCCCCCTACCTTCTCCCTTCTTTACATATACCTTTATTCTTCTCTGAGCGAATTGAATGATATGACTATATCATTCCTACAAACACATCAGTCAGCTTCACTTTGAGTGAATATGTGGAAGATGTGCACACCCTACAGACACTGATGAAAAGGTATCTTGCTAGTATTTGTGGTTATTGTGACACACATTAAAGTGTGTTAGTCCTACGCCATCTCTTATTAGTAAATCTATTTTACTTTTCCTTCTATTGCATTCCATCAACTGTTTATCATGATAATTTTGTATTACAGTTATTTGTATAGCTTTCTCAAATTCATTTTAGAATGATGCAAGAAAGGGCATGAAACAGAAAGAATGAACAAAGGAGATAAAGTGATAGAATATTTTGTGGGTTTTAACATCCTACATGTCACTAAGAGAAGTGCTCATCATTGATGTTATTCCTCATCATTAGTGTTATTCTGTCTTACTTTTAACTACAGGTAATATGTTTTGGCTGTGTCTCCACCCAACTCTCATCTTGAATTTTAGTTCCCATAATCCATGTGTCATGAGAGGGACCTGGTGGGAGATAATTGAATCATGGGGGCAGTTTGCCCCCTGATAATTCTCATAAGTTCTCATGAGCTCTGACTCTTTTATAAGGCGTTTCACCCTTTACTGGGTTCTCATTCTTCTCCTTCCTGCTGCTTTGTGAAGAAGGACATGTTTGCTTCCCCTCCACCATGATTGTAAGTTTCCTGAGGCCACCCTGTCCATGCTAAACTGTGAGTCAATTAAACCTCTTTTTTTTTAAATAAATTATTCTGTCTCCTGTATATCCTTATAGCAGCATGAGAATGGACTAATATAATAGGGGATCTTAATCTTGGCATCAAATAATAATGAGTTTTACATTGGCATCCTTGTACTTTTAAGAGAGGCTATTGAATTTCCAAATAGGTTAGGGCAAGCAAATTTCAAGTGTGAACATAAATATTGCTCCCACATACCTAAGATATGCCTAACTCTGACTGCTATCTGAAATATTAAGACACTGGAAATATTTTTATGCAGAGTGAAAAAGTGGACAAAATAGAAATCGGAAATAATTTACATAATTATCATATTTTAACTTTCAGTTAGTAAAACAAATACATCTTTCTGGGTTTTATCATCTAATTCTTACCTGTTGGTAAAATTCTCTAGATCTACCTTATTTTCTACTTCAGGGAGGTGTTCATTATTTCAAATTGTACATTATCTCCTTCAATTTCATCAAACATGTAAGATTGATAGAAATGGAAGCCACATTCTGCACATTAAACCCATTCCATCAGAAGGAGATCAACAACAACAAAAATACTTAAAAAATAATCTTGACTCAAAAATTGCAAAATCATCTAGTCTTGGAATATTTTTAAAAATATGTATGATTAGTAATTGTCTTTAAAAAGTCAAATACATACAATATTGAATATTATATTCTTCTTTTGTCTTCAAAGCTCTCTTTGATTATAAAGTTCATATCAGTTAATTTGAATATCAAGAATTTTTTGCTCCATTGTCTTGGACTCACTACATTTATTTATTTATTTTTTTCAACTTACATTTTAGGTTTTGGGGATACATGGGCAGGTTTGCTATATGGTAAACTGCATGTCACTGGGGTCTGGTGTAAAAATGATTTCATCACCCAGGTAGTAAGCACAATTCCCTATAGGTAGTGTTTTGATCCTCACCACCTTCCCACCCTCCACCCCCAAGTCGGCACCAATGTCTACTCTTCCCCACTTTGTGTCCATGTGCATTTGATGTTTAACTCCCACTTATAAGTAAGAACATGTGGTGTTTGATTTTTTGTTCTTGCGTTAATTCACTTTGGATAATGACCTCCAGCCCTATTCATGTTGCCACAAAGGACATTATCTCATTCATTTTTATGGCCGCATAGTATTTCATGTTGTATATGTACCACATTTTCTTTATCCAGTCCACTGTTGATAAGCACCTAAGTTGATTTCATATCTTTGCTATTGTAAATAGTGTTGCGATGAATACACAAGTGCTTGTGTTTTTTGGTAGAAAGATTTATTTTCCTTTAAGTCTCTACCTAGTTACGAAATTACTGGGTTGAATGGTAGTTCTGTATTAAGTTATTTAAGATATCTCCAAACTGTTTTTCACAGTGGCTGAATTAATTTACATTTCTACCATCAGTTTGTCATCATTTCTCTTTCTCCACAACCTCACCAAGCTCTCCTGTTGTTTTTTTTTTTCACTTTTTAATAATAGCCATTCTGAGTGGTGTGAGATGCTATCTCACTGTGGTTTTGATTTGCATTGTTCTAATCATCAGTGATATTGAACATTTTTTCATGTTTGTTGGCTGGGTGGATGCCTTCTTTTGAGATGTGTCTGTTCATGACCTTTCCTCATTTTTTTTAATGGAGTTTGTTTTTTGCTTGTTGACTTGTTTAAGTTTCTTACAGATTCTGGATATTAGATCTTTGTTAGATGTGTACTTTGCAAACATTTTCTCTCATTCTGTAGACTGTCTATTTACTCTGTTGATAGTTTCTTTTGCTGTACAGAAGCTCCATAGTTTAATTAGGTCCTACTTGTCTATTTTTGTTTCTGTTGAAATTGCTATTGAAGATGTAGTCATTAATTCATTTTCAAGACCAATTTCCAGAATATTTCCTAGGTTTTCTTCTAGAGTTTTTATTGTTTTAGGTCTTACATTTAAGCCTTCAACCCATGTTGAGTTGAAATTTGTGTATTGTGAAAAAGAAGGGGTCCAGTTTCAATATTCTGCATGGCTGACTAGCCAGTTACCCCAGCACTATTTGTTGAATAGGGAGGTCTTTCCCCATTGCTTGACATTGTTGACTGTCAAGCATCAGATAGTTGTGTTTGTGTGACTTTATTTCTGGGTTCTCGAACCTGTTCCATTGGTCTATGTGTCTGTTTTTGGACCAGTACCATGCTGTTTGGTTACCGTAGCCTTGCAGTATAGTTTGACATAGGGTAATGTGATGACTCTGGCTTTGTTCTTTTTGCTTAGAATTGCTCCCGCTATGCAGACTCTTTTTGGTTTTATATGTATTTTAGAATAGTTTTTTTTCTAATTCTATGAAAAAATGACATTGATAACTTGATAGTAATAGTATTGAATGTATAAATTGTTTTGGGCAGCATGGCCATTTTAATGTCTTCCAATCCATGAGCGTGGAATGCGTTTCCATTTGTTTGTGTTATCTCTGATTTCTTTCAGCAGTGTTTTGTAATTCTTACTGTAGAGATCCTTCACCTCCCTGGTTAGCTGTACTCCTAGGTATTCTATTCTTTTTGTGGCTATTTTAAATGGTATTGCATTCTTAATTTCATACATTCAATTTTAGTTCTTTAAAAATATAATGGTGTGTTAACAGGATCCTTCACTAACTGCCTGTTTTAATTCACTAATTTTACTTCTATAATCACTTTGTTTCTATACTTCACAAGTGATTATACTGTTATAGCTGTAATATTAGCAGTAACATTTAATTAACACTCACACTGTGAGCTAAAATTATACTCCACTAACGCCTAACTTCTTACCTTTGACTCTCTTGCTAAATGGTCACTAATGTAACAGTTAACCTCTTCTTCTTTACACTTCATAATATTCCTAAATTGAAAGAAAATTTACATCTGTAAAAATAAGTGTGGAATATTTTTGTGAGATTCATAGTATGAAGAAAATTAATCTACCAAGTATAAAATACGTGTTGAGTATCAGTGTATTATATCAGACAGGACAATGGAAGAAGAAAGATGTAAATAAGTTTCCGTATCCTCAGGAAACACACAAACTAAAAGACATGGTGAACACATTGAAACACTTTGGAAGGAAAAGCACAAAAATGTGATTTGTGAAACTATTGTGCATGTGATTTATTCTTGAAATTTTATAATTTTACATTTTACCTTTAGGTTGATGTCCATTTCCAGTTAATTTTTGAATAAAATATTAACTGTCTATTGAGGTTTACTTTCTGTTTTGCATTTATAGGACCATTTGTTTTGGTGTCATTTGTATAAAAGACTATCTTTTTATCTTTGAATTACTTTTGCAGCTTTGTCAAGTCAGTTTTCTCTGAACTCTTTTTTGTTTCATTGATATATGTCTATATGTTCCTCTCACCAACAACACAGTGTCTCATTACCGTAGTTTTGGGTACATCTTAGAATCAAGTAGTGTGAGTCTGCAACTTGGTTCTTATTTTTACAAATTGTTTGAGTTATTCTAACTCCTTTGCATTTCTATTTAAACGTTAGAATCAGCTTGCTGATGCATCAAAAAAAAATCTGCTGGGATTTTCACTAAGATGGTGTCTTATCTATAGATCAATTTTAGAAGAAAATTACATCTTAACAGTATTAATTCTTACATACCATGAACATAGTTTACCTCTCCATTAAAACAATTAATATCCCTTCTCTTGAACTTATTTTATCAATGTTTTGTAGCTTTTGAAAATATTTGATATTTTTGGTGGTATTGAAAGTGCTACTTTAAAAATTTTGAATCTCAACATGTCATAACTGATATATATAAATAAAATTGACTTTTGAATATTTACCTTTTATTTTGTGATCTTGTTAAATTTCTTTATTGGTTTTGGAAGTTTTATGTAGTCTCTGGAGCATCTATATAGACAATCATGTTTTCTCTGACTGAAGATAGATTTTTTTTTCCCTTCCAATCTGAATGCCTTTTTTTTTAAAAAAAAAAAAACAACCAATTGACTTTATTGCACTGACTAGGACTTCCATTATGATTTTCTATATGAGTGTTGAGAGAGGAAATCTTTGTCTAGTTTCTGATCTTAGATGAAAAATATATGGCCACATGTAAGTTTCTGTAAATTAAATTTGTCAAGTTAAATAATTTTCCTTTTCTTCTTAGTGATTTTCCTTTTATTCATCTGTTACTGTGGTGAATTATGGTGATTGGGCTTTAAATGTTAAACCAGTCTTGCATTCCTGGTATAAACCACACTTGATTATAGTATATTATCCTTTTTAAAGATACGATTTACTAATATATCTTACATATTTTGTTTACTATGTCTATGTTTATGAGGAATTGTGGTTTATAGTTTTTGTTACTTGTAATGTTTTTCTTGTTTCTGTTGTTTCCTGTTACTTATAATACTATTTTTATGAGGAATTTGAGTTTGTAGTTTTTGTTATTGGTAAGGTTTTTTTTCTTGTTACTTGTAACTTATTTTATTATAACTTTGTTAGTTGTAACATTTTTCTTTTCACTTGGTTTTGGTATTAGGGTATGGCTAGCTTCATAATATGCATTGAGTGGTGCTGATCTTGTTTCATTTTGTGAAGAGTTTGTACAGACTTAGTATTATTTCTTCCTGAAATATTTATTAGAATTTACTATTAAAATGATTTGGGCCTGAAGTTGTCTTTGTTGGAAGGCTTTTTAACTATGAATCCAATTTCTTTAATAGATAAATCTTTATTTATGTTAATCTATTAGATTAAAATATGCTTGGTTAGTTTGTGTCCTTCAAGGAATTGCATATCTTCTGAATTGTTGAATTCAGAGGCATAGTATTTTTTGTAATTTTTTATTTCAATTTTTATTATTTTTTTTTTACTGTCTATGAAGCTTTAATGTTGTTCCCAGTATTGAAAAATTCATATTTTCTTTATTTTCTTGGTCAGTCTGCTGAAAGGCTTGTCATTTTTATTGACATTTTCCAAAAACTAGGTTTTCATTTTATTGATTTTCTGATTTTGTGTGTGTGTGTGTGCATTGAATTTTATTGTTTCATACTCATATTATTTCATTACTTCTGCTTATTTGGGTTTTGTTTATTTTTAATGTTTGTTTCTTAATGCCAAAGCTTAGATTTCTACTTTAATTCCTTTTTATTTTCTAATATAAAATTCAATGCTATAAATTTTGATACTTATTTTCAAAATTTTTCTTGAGATTTTCTCTTTCACTAATTATTTATTTAGAACTATATTGTAAAACTTCCACATATTTATAAAATTTCTAAATACCTTTATGTTAATGCTTTCTAGTTTGAATTAGTTATGATTCAAGAACATGCTTAATATGAGTTATATTATTTTAAAGTGATTAAAGTGATCATTTTAAAGTGATTTAAGGTGATTTGTCATTTCACTCAGGTTATGGTATTTTAAAAAATATTTTATGTACACTGAAAAACAACGTATATTCTCTTTTTGTTGAGGAGAGTGTTCTAAAAGTGTTGATCAGGCCAATTTGATTGATGGTGTTCAAGTTTTCTCTATTATTATCTGTTTTTTTTCTATCCATTATTGGATAGTTGTAGTAAAGCCTTCAAATATAATTGCGAACTTGTCCTTCTATTCTGTTCTGTTTTGCCATGTATACCTTGAAGCACTCTTGTTCAGTGTATACATGTTTGAGATTTGTAAGTCTTCTAAGAACGTTGACCTAATTGTTATGATGAAATGGTCATATTTCCTTTAATATTCTCTGCTTTGATGGCCACTTTCTCTGATTTAAACATAGCTTATTCAGCTTGCTTTTGGCTAGTTCTAGTAAAATGTGTCCTCTTTTACTTCAGAACATTGGGAATTATAGTCTTAAATTATCATGTTCAATATTAATTCTCTTTGGTTATTTTTAGTTTTTTTAGAGTCTAAATATATGTGTGTAGAATTTTTTTTTTTTTTTGCCTATCTTCTCTACTTATGTTCTCTTTGATTCGTTTTCTCATTTTGCATATTTTACTTTATTGGCATTAAATTTCACAAATGTTTTAGCTTTTTCTCTTTTCTTTAAATAACTTTGTTGAGGGATGGGAGAACTTACCATAGCTATGTTTTCAAACATTTTACCATTATGGTATATAGGAGTTAAGTCTTTATCTTCTATAGTGAGAAATAAGTATAATCTCCAATGTAAAAAAATCAGCAAATCAGAATGAAATTTATAAATATGGTAAATAAAACAAACAGCTGAAGAGTTTAAAGTGGATGACACTGAGGAAGGAATCGGGGCAAAGAGAGGTAGGATAGGTAACTGCTGTTCTTCATTAGAAACAGTATAGAACTGTTTGACTTTTAAAACCATGAAATGTGACTACTTTGAAAAGCAAAATAAAAGTGAAAGTTTGGCTGTATTAGTAATTCCACTTCTGGGTATGTACCCAAAAGAACTGAAAGCAGGGACTCAAACAGATACAGTAATGTTCACAGTAGCCTCATGAATACTAGCCAAAAGTGGTAACAGCCCAAGTGTTCTGTTCTTCATTTTGGAGAGGTATTCCTGACATGGCCCAGACCATTCTAAAAATTTTAGGGCCTTGAAAGTTTACAGGTTTTATAACTCTGTTCTGGAATATATGTGTCTTATGAAGGCCTCCAATATATTTGCCATGTCTTGCTCATCTGGTTTAATTAAGTTAATGTCATCAAAATAGTGGACCAATTTTATCTTCTGTGATATGTCCAGATGGTCCAGGTGCCTTCTGATTTTACTGAGGCAGAAGGCGGAAGAATTAGCATAGCCTTGGAGCACAATGTTAAATGTGTTCTTATGTTTGTCCCACATAAATGAGAACTGGTTTTGATCTTTTCTCTTAAAAGGGATACAAATAGAAATGCTTTCACCTGATCATGGATGTATGCCTGAGACTGAGTTAAGCTGCTCTCACAAAGACACCATAATTGGCAGAGCAGCTACAATTAAGGTTACTACTTGGTCGGGTTTGTGATATTCCTCTGTCATCTGCCAGGATCCATCTTCTTTGTTAGAAGCTAGATTTTGAAATAAATGGGGATATAATGAGGACCAAACCCCTGAATCCCGTAGATAATTTAGAACAGAGCTAATCTCTTCTATTTTCTCTGGAAGTTGATACTGCTTTTGTGCTATCTTTCCCAGGAGAGGAACAGTTTCGGAAGTTTCTTCTTGGCCCAACACACTATGACAGGTCATATAGGCTAGTGAAGTATTTTGGGGATTTCTTTCAACTACCAATTATTTCCACTGAGTTATACAGGTGAAGACCAGCAAAATGACCTGTATATACATTCAGAGATACAGAACACTCACTGAGAGCCAGGCATGGTCAGGACTTGATTTATTACCTGTGTCCCAACTACCCCCATTCAAATGGTAGGGGTGAGAGGTAGGTCATCATGATGCCTCAAATCCCCAGTATTATTGCCAACTTAAATCCTGCAAACATTAATTTTGACCCCTATTGTGGTTATCTGCATAAATGGTCATAGATCCTTTTGCAGAAGGTCTAGAAGAGTTATTTCTCCATAACCTTGTTGTGGTATTTTCAGGTCCTTTCTCAATGGGACTCTGCCTCTCCTTCAGATAGAAGTTTCTGATTTACAAAACTGTATCAGGTCAAGAAATGGGAAAAGATATTGTGGATTCCTATTAGAGTGGCTGCTCTCAGTGTTGATCATCTGATACCCTTGTTGACTGCCCAACTTATGTTGCTCTAAGAATACCACACTCTATTAATTATCTCCAAAGCTTTCCACAAATCAGCTTGCCCTCCCAATATCACTATGCCATCCATTACAGACTGCCTTGCCTGTAATGATTAAACACCACAATATGGTCTCTATTTATTCTAGAGCCTATCACCCCCACTGCTATCAGGGAGCCCGTTCTGCAACAGCATCTCCCACAAGCAACCCTATTCTAGAGCAGAGAGTTGTCTCAACAATGCCAGTACCCTGATCACCAGTGTACTTCTTATCACTTTGGTAAATGAAGTGTCCTTTAGGTCCTTCAAGAGACTAGAGACCAATGATGAGTTTTCCAGCCTTAATAATGTATCCACTCCAGGCTGAATACTTCTCTGAGCCTTTTATTCTCTTCTTCCCTATCTGACTTAACAATACAGCATTTCTACTTTACTTTATTTGGACCACACCCTTTGTCAAGCTTCCAAGAGCCATCCTTAGTAGCATGCTAGCACCATTTTCCAATCTCCCTTGAAACTAAAGTTATTAATTCTTGTATCAGGAGGCACTGCTCATTTGAACAATCTCTCTTTCCTATCCAACTTTATGCTTCACATCCGTCAATATGGAACTTTCATAATCCAGCCCCATTCTTTCTTCCTGGCTCTTGTCATATATGTTTCCTAGGACATTTAGCAAATTTGGCATGTATTTCACTTCCTTCCTTGGATGACCAATACTTCTCCTCCAGGTTATGTTGTAATTGGACCCCAGTTATTGGTTTTGTCCCTAAGAGAGGAAGTAAGGATAGGAGGGGTCTATACCACAAGGAAAGAGAACAGAAAGCTAAGGAAGCATCGGCATTGTCTTCAAGCCAGGGAAGGCACTGGCCTTTAGCAGAGAGTACTGAGACATTTCTACTGGTCCAGAGATCTGAGATATCTGGGATTACGAGATTCTTGAGTCCATCTATCTAGGTACCTCCATTCCAAGACTCAGCCTATGAGGGGCCAGGCCTTGGGATAGAAGACTTGATACACTTGAAAATTCAAGTGTCCTTGGGTTTCCTTTACTCTTAGATATTTAATTTCTGAGCCTAGTTCTCAGATTTTCTGTTCTCCCTTTCCAAGAGATAGAAAAACTTTTCACATGCAGCTAATGAGAACCTCTTATTTTCAAATGTCTCTTTAAATCTGCCAGCAGTTGCCCTCAGCTTTTTATTTTCTGTCACTAGCACACTGATAATACCCAATGAATGTCACTAATAATCTCATAATCCTCATAATTTCTATTTTTCCCAAACTTCCTAAAAGTGTGATATATTGCAGGCACCATTGCATTCCTTTCTATAGGTATTCTATCCTAGTTCTACACAGAGGAAAGCTTTAACAATTGTGGCACTGTAGCATACTTAGGGGCTAGTAATTTTCTACCTTGTTAGCAATGAGGAGATCATTGCTAACTGCTGATGATCCAGCTCCAATTCCTTTCAAAGGTGTGTATCTTAAGACAACTTCTGCTATCAACTCTCTTTGGTGTGGTTTGTGGGAGAACAGTCTCTGTGAAAGAGTTCTGCATGTAAAAGGTATATTTATGAGTGCTTTTGAGGAAAATACCTGTAAAGGAGTATGGAAATCAGGATTATGTAGGGGGAGAATCTGAACTGAGATGGAGATGCAACCACAGCCTTGGCCTGCTCAGGAGCTCAGGAGTTGAGAGAGTGCTTCAGAGTTGTCCAGGATTAAAGCAAGGTGGCAGGTCTTTGTCCCTCTGCATTGAACAATTATCAGATTTTGGCTGCCCTATAGGGCATGGGACATAACTGTCAGTGAGGCAACTCCTTTTAGCCAAAGAAAAGTCCCAAGGACTTAGTTGCAAGCTATCTATAGCCAATGCTCCTACCAGCTGGGGAAATGTGTAAGTGTCTCTGGGACCCGAAAGGAGCACAAGCAGTGTACCATTGCAGCCACCACATATATTTTCACCCCATTGTGGTGACTGATTTTACAGCACCAAAACCTACTCTACACTTTTGCTTACCTTAGTTCCAAATCCTACTTTACATTGTTATACTGAATCCTCTGGTGCAAAGACCCTTACCTACTGACCTCCAGCACCTGTTCTCCTCCTCAAAACACTTCCATTTTATTTTTGCTGAACACCTCATTACCTGGAATAAAGACTATATTTCTAGTTTGCCTTTCTATAGATGTTGTCATCTGATCAAATTCATGAAAATTAGATATAGGAAGTGCTACCAGGCAGATTTCAGAAAATGTTCTTTTCTTTTATCTTGCTGGATATAACTGGAACTTTGTAATGGATCATGCACTGAAGGCTATACCCTAGTAATGGAGTATAGAAAGCTAGAAGCTCTTTTGGCCCCGGAAAATTTACAGCTATCACTTCATTTCAGGATTGCATTTATCTATATACTTATGAGTGAAAGAAATACACAATGAGACTATTTAAGTACCTACATTTCAGGTCTCTGTTACTCTCAACCCATATTATTTATAACTACCTTATTCATGTATGGTCATATTCAGGAGTTATTTAGGTAACAGGCAGTATGCCTCTGCAGAATATTGTATCCTATGGAATGCCTAAGGAGAGACAGAAGGATGCAAACCCCTGCAAAATCCTAGGAGCAAACTAATTACAAAGATTGAAATTTCAAAGGGGGAACAGATGTTCATGCTCCAGAAATGTGGAAAGTGCTATGTCTCTGGTACAGAAAGGGCATAGAGTCACCACATGAAAGCAATGTGCAGAACTGGGCTTTGCCCAGAAAGATATTCTGTCTGAGTAGTTTATACAGTCTCTTTCATCTGGAAACAGACCCTGCCTTTCTCATTTGACAGTGTAATTCATTTTAGATACTCCAAATAATCTAACTTTGTTTTGAGGGATTTTAAAAAAAAACAGAAAATGGTCTTTCTGTATATCACCATTCTGCTAAGGGAAGCTTGGCAATGGCAATTAGAAGTGGTAATTCTGAAATTTAAAACAACAACCAGCAACTAAATAAGCAGAAGCACAGGAGTTTAGAGCAATATGGAGAGCAGCTGAGATGTGGATGAACTTAGGAAAAGATTCTCCTCTTTAGCAGTGACTCTACATCCATGCTACCCATCATTAAGGGTGGAGGGAGGGTACTTAAAAAGGTCAATGCCTAGGCCCTATGGCAGATCTATTAGAGTTGTTAGGGGTACAGACAGCCCTGATTGTTTTCTTTTGTGTGTGTGTTTTGTTTTTAACCTCCAAGTCAATTCTAATACACAGCTAGGGTTGAAAACTGCTGCATTAACACTTAAAGTGAGTCTTGGAGATATCAAATGAACAGTCATTTGAGTTTTGTGACCTAAGCACACCTTTTGTATTAGTCCATTTTCATACTGCTTTGAAGAAATACCTGAGCCTGTATAATTTATAAAGGAAAAGAGGTTTAATGGAATCACAGTTCCACATGGCTGGGGAGGCCTCACAATCACAGAAGAAGGCAAAGGAGGAACAAAGCCATGTCTTACATGATGGCAGGCAAGAGAGCATGTGCAGGGAAATTGCCCTTTATAAAACCATCAGATCTCATGAGACTTATTCAGTATCATGAGAACAGCATGGAAAGAATACACCCTCATTATTCAGTTACCTACCACCAGGTCCTTTCCACGACACATGGGGATTATGGGAGCTACAATTCAAGATGCAATTTGGGTTAGGACACAGCCAAACCATATCACCTTTTGAGAATGTATACCTTAAAAAACCTCAGCTACTTTATTTCCATATTTAATATAAATTATGTAGTCATTTTTATTATGTATAAATTTATTCACCTAAAGAATAAAAATTCAAAATAGTAAATATTAAAGCAATTTAGACCATAGAAGAAGTTAAATTTCTTTAAATAATCATTTGAAATTCTCTATAAATTTTATTTCAAGCCTTAACCTGGAGACACCAGAGTAAGCCTCAACAGTTTTTGAGATAGAATATCTCATTTCAAAAACAAACAGAACACTCATTCAGGTTGGGCTAGGTTTTATTTTCACTCTCAATGTCATTTTTGCTTTGGATGGTTTCATTGTCAGTGTCTGGGGTTGAGGACAAAGTCTCTCATTGTTTGTTTTTCTTCCATCAGTTCACATTTAAGACAATTACTGCACAGCTGGGCAAATATGCTGGCATGCAAGTGCCTTTCCGTTTTGAAGCTCTCATTGTGAAGAAGAAGCCTGGAGAGTCAACAGAAAAATTAATTACAATTGAGCAGAGCAAACTCCATCATATTCAAACAATATTTACCTACCAAACAAAAATAAGATATTGATGGTTAATTATTTATTATTGTCAGGTTTATTTTGAACATTTTTCTTGTATAAAAGGACTCTGGCCCTGTAGGTCCATAATTCTAAGAGAAATATCCTCAGTGTGGGGCTGAACTTCAAACTAAGGAGAACTGAATCTTAATAAAATCATAGCAGTCATGTTCTGTTTGTGTGTGTGTGTGTGTGTGTGTGTGTGTGTTTGCATAAACATACTGATTTGTTCTGCACTTCTGCGAAGTTCTATAGAAGACTGTTCCAGGTAAATAATTTGGTAATTCCTTTTACAATACATGGAAAGAACTAGTATTCACAGAATCAGGAAAGAGGCTCCTCATGGAATATGACTCAGTTCCCTTTACATGTGATCTGAAGCCTGGGACTGATTATTCCCGCTATGTGGGGAATTGCATTCTATAGTGAAAATCAGTGATACATAGGTTTGAATAAAGCATGATGATTATAGGTTGACTTCCTAATTGAAGGTAAAGAATTCTTAATGATGGCTTCCAAGGCACTGACTGACTAGGAGGGGTGACCATAATCCCATTCCCATCTGCAGTGTGAAAGTGAGTGCTAAGTAGGTAAGTGAATGGGACAAAGGTAGTAAGGAGAAAGATGAGAGCAAAGGGACTCATTCACCGAGCATCGTTCTTATGATAAAGTTGGAGTTTTTTTGGCATAGTACAAAAGAAGGTTGTTTCTCCAGAAAGGAACACAAACCTGCTGACGCTTTGATTCCAACCCAAAAGATTCATATCAGACTGACTTCAGACTTACAGAATTATGAAATAATACCTTTGTATTGTTTTAAGCCACTAGTTTTGTGTCCATTTGTTACAGCAGCAATAGAAAACTAATACAATTCTTAAATAATCAGCATGTTGAATTCAATATTATAAATATTAAACATTATAAAT
Organism: Homo sapiens; assembly: GCF_000001405.40. Taxonomy (NCBI): domain Eukaryota; kingdom Metazoa; phylum Chordata; class Mammalia; order Primates; family Hominidae; genus Homo; species Homo sapiens. The sequence continues at coordinate 176,148,554 of NC_000003.12, forward strand.
TCAACATTATGGCTCATAATGTATTCATTAGTATATTTAAAGGAATCAAAATAAGATGTGTATCTACTTATATATTTAGAAGTGCCATAGGCAATTTATATATTAAATAAAGATTAAAGTCACTTATTAAAATATCCCCAAAATGGAAAGAATGCTGATATGCTGGAAGTTTGATGGGTGTGGAAGAGACTGGCATAACATACGATCAGAAAAATAAGGGAGGGACATACATACTATGTAGGATTTATAAACCATGCTGAAGAATTCAGATTTTCTTCTCAATGTGAAGGGGAAAAGTCCGTCAACAATAGAAAATTATAAAAAAAATTGATGAAACGCTCTATAAAATGATATGAGTAGAGCTCCATATGAAACTGCTGAGTAGGTGAAAGCCATCACAATAGAGTATATATAGTATGCTAATTTTGTATGGAAGAACCCAAGGGAAATAAGAATATATACTTGTATTTACTTTACTTGCATTCTCGATAAAGAAACACCGCAAAGATATACAGGGGAAGAAAGTAATTTTCCATAGTGGGAGGAGAAATGTGATAAATGAGATATGAGTGGGACCAGATTTTTCAAAGTTTATTTTACATTGTTTTGATTATGGAAACTTGGAAAAGTACTATTCTTTGTTTTAAATAAAGAAATTTATTTAAACAAATTAACAGAGTATTTAAAATAAAAGCAGAAAATTTTCCCTACTAGATATAAAATATTTTAATATGCAAAGATAACATGTTCCTAGATGTAAATGCATCCTTTATGTCAGTTTTATGACTGGCTTATTCAATGTGATCCTTACATTCTAGATTTAGATTACAAAGTAGTACTTGTTACTGCCCTAGCTAATCAAATAAACACATTTTGTATTTGGCAATTACTCTAGTAAGTAATTCTCAATGTTCAAGATAAATATGTTACAATTGCCTATAATTGATATGATTAGGTCATGGCAATACAGCACTTCATTTACATCCAAAGTCTTTATAGCTGGTCTACAGTGTACTAGTAAAATTATCAAGCAAGTCTATGTTCCAAAGGTATTTATAGACAATTGATTAGTGTTCTCTCAGTGTTTTGGAGAAAATCAAAGTAGATATATGTGTTAATTTTTTGGAAAGTTAATAATATTGTGTCTAAGCTACTGGAAGTGGGGTACAAAATTGCAAGCTATGCAATTAACATAAATGTGTTTCTTATTCAGTTTCACAAGTAAAATAATATTATTTGGTGAAATAAAGCAATTTCACAATTTTTCTCTTGATGAATATTTATTCCATATCAGCATTATTATTTGAGTATAGAGTGAATTTTCAAAAGAAAACAAATACCTTTTCCAAGAAGTAAAATTGTTCTTTTAAAAATGTTTTTACATAAGATTTTATTTTACTTTTTTGTCTTTGTATATTTTCCATAAATAACGTTTTGTCACTTTTTTATTTTGTGGAATATACAAGAATAATTTTTAACTACTTTCATTTTGATGTCTTTTCCGGTTCTGCTCTAAACTATGTATAAGCTTTTGTTTGAACACTATAATCAACACTTGAAATTAGATATATTTAATAGTTTTATTAGAGACAAAGTTAAGATTTTAGTGGTGTCTGAAAAAACCAGCTGTGGTCAAACATACTTGCCATAGAGGTAATCCGAGTAATCAATGAAAGGATTGTTAATATTTATATATGATGTTTAAAATTCATTCAACTATTTTCTGATTTATCCACCATTTAGTCTTTTGACACCTCCATTGCACCCTCCCAGAACACTTTAACTTTGTTCATTTTTCAAGCTTAAGTATTTTTGAATGTCTAAACTTTTATAGATCATAGGCCTAACACTAGACAAAAGAGAGAAGACATTTTCTCTGTTGCTTTTGTAACACTCAAAAAAATTCTCTCTTAAAATTGTATAGAATTAGTCAATGAGAAATATGATACTTTTGTATTATGGAAATTTAGAAATATAAACCAATATAAACAGAAATCGAAAAATTAGCAGAAAAAATATATTAAAATATATTAATCCCCAGGTATCCTCAGCTGTCTTTACAAATTGTCAATATTTTATTTTACCATTCTTGTTTAATCAGCACTCTCACTCTTATCCTTAACTCATTTTTGAGCTTTATAAAGTAAATTACAGACCAACTGGTGAAATTTTGTTTGGACTGTTACCAAAATCAATGACAGAGAAAGCAGCCACAAATATTCTGGTAGCCAGTAATTTTTTTTTTTTTTTTTGGTTATTTAGAATTACATAATTTTATTGTGAAATCTTTTTTAGCAATTACTTCAGTATTATTCGTGGTATATAAAAATAAGTATGCATAAATGCACAAACACATACATTCAGTCTATATGTGTTAGCAATACAATACAATAATTAGCAGTACCATAATTGCTAATAGGTTAGCAATACAATAATTTGTACCATAGAGTGTTCACAGTGTTATACAAGGTTGTCTTTAGGGGTCTTAAAATGTTATAACTACATTTGAACAAAAATGTACATTGACTTCAAAATTCTTCCTTTTTGTTTATAAATCTAAATAAATATCCTGTTATGAGCCTATGGAGAAAAACCTTAGGATATTTACTCAACTAAAGATTGGTCAGAAAAAGTACTCCAGGATCTTTGGGGGAAAAAAATGTAATAGAAAAATCCTGAAAGAAAAGTAAGCAGAGTTCACCCTTGGTGTTGAGGGTTGACAGGTTAACCACCTCTGACTGGGCAGCAAGGACTTTGTGGAGATAATTAAAGCAACTCAGCAAAGTTTCTTGGTGAATGGCATGACCACTGTGCATATCTTTTAGAATGTGGCTCAAAGCTCTACCAGCTACTCTCACCTGCTATTCTCACAGCTTTCCAACAGTTATGGTACAATAGGCATTAGCTCTTTAATATAAATTTATACCAAATCACAACTTCTATTCAGCAAGGAGAGTTGCCCTACTAAAACAAAAGAAAGGGAACATAAAATTTCTAACCAATTATATTAATCAAATGCCACTATTTGTGCCACATATTTGTATATTTATTTGCTTTCCAAAACAATGAAGGTCTAGGAGAGCAAAACAACTATTGAAAACAGCCTATGGCTTTCTTAGTTGATTGATGTCAGTCTTTGATAATATACAGTTGAACAATATGCTGCTGTTTGCCGATGTATCTGCTATCATGATAAAGATAAAAATTTATTTCAAAATTGATAAATTCATTGTGGAGTTTCCATTGGCTATATCTCAAGCAAGAAGTACTTAAGTAGTTTTATTATTAGTTAGTACAGGCATTCATACAATAAAAGAAAAAGCTGCTGAGACAATCAAGCAAATACATGAAGATCAGAGACTCTAAAAGAGCTGATTGACCAGGCATGGTGACTCACACCTGTAATCTCAGCATTTGGGGAGGCCGAGGTAGGGGGATCACTTGAGCCCAGGAGTTTGAGACCAGTCTGGGCAACATGGTGAAACCTCATCTCTACAAAAAAATACAAAAATTAGCCAGGTGTTGAGGTGTGTGCCTGTAGTCTTAGCTACTGGGGAAGCTGAGGCAGGAGGATCATCTGAGCCCAGGAGGTCGAGGCTGCAGTGAACTGTGATGGTGCTACTGCCCTCCAGCCTGGGTGATAGAGTAAGACCCTGTCTCAAAGACAAACGAACAACCACCAACAACAAAAACAGAAACTGATTGAGCAAAGAAATGTCACCTATATATGTTTTTAAATCTTAGGACAAATATCTGTAGTTAATGTAATTACTTTCTATTAAAACATAAGCACTCATGCATATATATACAGTAAATGCTTGGCATGCATGAAGGTTATATTTCTGATTACAGTCTCAAATCTATGAAGACCATTGTTAAAAATTATATTATTTTCAGTATGACATAAAGTTTAACTGAACATTTTAAGTGATTCTTTTAGATAATTAAATGTTACATAGATGTAGAACTAAAATTATAAATATCATGCAAGCATTCTTTCTTCTTTTCAAATTTCGTTTGTTTTTTTAATTAACTAAAAAAATAGTGATTTTTGAAGTAAAAGGCAGTCTTACAAATTTCAGTCTTTTTCTCACTCTCTCTCTCTTTTGTTGGTATATAAAATGTATGAAAAATTTGTCATTTCCATATCAGAGCAATGGTAAATTCAATATTCTTTTTTATATTCCTAAAACTTCTCTCATCTAAATAAAAACTCTTTTTATTTCTTTAAGATTTCTTCACTTTTAAATACAGGAAAAGTGGTGTTTTCTTTTGGGGGGTCCATATTCCCACAAAATCATAAGATTTTACCACTACACGTTACTATACACAGAACAAGTGAAATAAAAGAGCCAGGCTGAGCTGCATATGCTAGAAAAGTCAGCTAGGATTACTCACCACAAACTTATTCTCATAAATAAGCCCATAATGGGGGAGACTAAGTTTTTTCCAGGACGATTACAAACTATCACGGGTCACGGAGGTTCAGCCTGCATCTTGGGGAGCCAAATGTTTCATTAAGCCCGATCAAAGGATCTACTATATCTATAATAATGAGGAACAGAGCTACCAGGGGTAGTTGAAAGGCAATTGCTATCTCAGCAGTTCACTTTTACAATGGGTAGTAACTGTATTCCCAGGGAGAGAGAAGAAATATAAGATTCCATATGATATACCAACTTTCTAACCATCCTGACTCTTCTCGGTTTTTGTGTTTGCTTTCTAGTATTAAATCGCTTTTGTATAATGGTAGTTTTCACACAGCTTTTCAGAATTAGGCTTCCAACACAAATATAAAAGTTAAAAAAAAAATAAATGTATTTAATTGCTGGTGAAAATCCCAAGTTATTATTCAGGAGGAGCAGGAAAAACAAGCCTTGATTTAAATTGTTTTTTTGTTTTCTTCAATATAGAAATATATTTTCTTCTGTCTCCTGACCCATTTCTAAGTATAGCATTTTAAAATTTCCTGTCTCAATATTATCCTAATCAGCCCACTGAAAACTAATTCTAATAGGCTTCACAGAGTGCCTCTGATTATCAAGGTGAAACAAGGATCAGATTCTTTATCTTTAATTAATAGTTAAATTGCCACCTTCTGAAGAGGAGGGCTGGAGGAATTACTGCAATCTGGTCTGCCAATCAAAATTTAAGAAAATGGGGAAGGTTGATGCTCAGCAGTTGAATTTTGCAAACAAAGCAAAGCTTAGATGCATTAGTTTCCTCTCTCATTAAATGAACAAACAAACAAAAGGATTGGATTAAATAAAAGAGTTAGGATTACTGGGTATAAATTAGAGAAGGAAAACTAAGAAATGAAGATGCACATTTAGTCTAGAACACTAATATCTAATTATTGGTTCATTGTAACAATTTAGACGAATGAATTTTGAGGATTTCTCCAATTGGAATTCACTGTAGAATTTTCCAGAAGTTTATCCATTCTTTTCCAGTTATTTCTAAACATTTTGGGTGAAGTTAATATTGCTTCTAAAGCAGAGTTCAAATCTCTAAATGTAGTTATTCCATTAACTGAGACGTGTTTATGCAACAAAATATATGTATAGGCTATACATAAAAAAGAGTTCAGAGGTAGCTTAAGAGTCATTTCTTCTACTTCATGAAATATTTCTTCAGCTCCTGATGAGAAAAGGCCACCCTGTGTTAATTGCTAGCAGAGCTTTTCCTTCTTCACTCTTTTCCTCCTTGGTCTTTCTTTTCAGCACAGCCTTCCCCATACTCCTTTCTTGCTGCCTTTCACCTCTCCAAACAGTTTTCTGATTGCAACCACACTCGATTTAAGAAAAACTGAAAAAAAACACTAAAACCTTCAGGTCTAATTCTGCACAGAAGATACAACTTAACAAGGAGACAGATGAAAGGAAACCAGAAAAAGCTGGGAAATAAAGCAAGGCACAACACAGGAGCAGGTCGGGACTTAGACACAGAAAAAAATGCAGTTCACATGAACTTGGGAAAAAACCTTCTACTTTCAAAAATAAATTTTCCTTTGAAAAAATTCTATATAAAACTTTTTTTGTTTCTTTTATCTCATAGCTCTTCAGTGAATCTGAAATATTCCCTCGAGAGAGATGGAAAAAAAATTCATGTTTTATTCCACATTAGGAGTTAAACTGAAAAATATAATTCTTCCTACTCTTCAAACTGTAGTGTAGCTGAAAATTATTTTCTTACTAAATCTCACTAGGTGATGAGGAGCACATTTATTGTTTAATTGCACATGTTTTCATGTTTGTAAGCAATACTAGCAAAATTGTATGTATAGGATGTTGATTTAGGTGAAGTTTTAGACCACTGAAACAAACTGTTTAAATAAAATTTTTATACTTTCACAAAAGCAAAGCATTTGGAACCTGGCATAAAGATACTGAAGTCAGTTCCTCTAATTAAAATACTTTTACTAACCTGTATGCAAGGTCATTCCTGATTTGGCCATTCATCATCTTATCATTTGCTACCTTACTCCTTTCCAATACAACTCACTCTTTTCTTTTTATTAGATTGACCTATTTGCCTTAGTGTAACTATGAGTGTACCCTTTCGATTATCAACTTGTTCCTTTGTTATTTGTTCCTTGAGTGACTTTGTCAGCATACTTGCATTTTGTATACATTGTCTTGCCAGTGGGTTAAGAGCTGGCTGAAAAGAAATGACTAAGACATGATTTCTACCTAAGTAAATGATTGTTTAATGACAGTGCTAAACATGAAGTCGGGCACGGTGGCTCACGCCTGTAATCTCAGCACTTTGAGAGGCCCAGGCAGGCGGATCACCTGAGTTCAGGAGTTTGAGACCCGCCTGGCCAACCATGACCTACATGGTGAAACCTTGTCTCTACTAAAAATACAAAAATTGGCCAGGCATGGTGGCTCATGCCTGTAATCCCAGCACTTTGGGAGGCCGAGGTGGGCGGATCACGAGGTCAGGAGATCAAGACCATCCTGGCTAACATGGTGAAACCCCGTCTCTACTAAAAACACAAAAAATTTGCAAGGCGTGGTGGCGGGTGCCTGTAGTCCCAGCTACTTGGGAGGCTGACGCAGGAGAATGGCATGAACCCGGGAGGAGGAGTTTGCAGTGAGCTGAGATCATCATCACTCCAGCCTGGGCAACAGAGTGAGACTATGTCTCAAAAAAAAAAAAAAAATACAAAAATCAGCTGGGCGTGGTGGCACATACCTGTTATCACAGTTATTAGGAAGGCTGAGGTAGGAGAATCACTTGAACCTAGGAGGCGGAGGTTGCAGTGAGCTGAGATCAAGCCACTGCACTCCAGCCTGGGCAACAGAGTAACACTCCATCTCAAAAAAAAAAAAAAGAACAAAATTTACTATACAATAAAAAAGTAAGTAAAATACTATCAGATTGCAATAAGAGTGAAATTAACTTTTTCTGGAGTACAGGTGGCTAGGAATAAAGCAAGACTCAGAGCAGGTTATATTTAAATGGCTCCTGAAGATGAGGAAAGGCATGCTAGATGGAGCCTTTAACAAGACTGAGGCATGAACTGGGTATGAGTAGAAGAAATTAGAACACGGCATCACAGACTTCATCATTTTGCTGGATGTTCCTTAATGTTATTCTGGAAAATCTATGGGCTCATGGATAGTGTCCTGCAAATGTTGGAAGCCTGTGACATGGCTCAGATATCCACATAGTCTGAAAGTGATTGTTAAACTGTAATTGTCCAATAGCTTAAAAGTCATGACTCTAAGGCAAATAATATAAACACATGTCAAAATTTTATTTAACTTATTAATTAATAAGGGTTTCATTAACATTATATATTAATGATAGTATTATTGATTCAAAGAGCATCTGAGAAGCTAGGCTATGTATAGGAGGACAGGGTCATTGAGCAGTTTAGTAAATTAATTAATGTCCACCATAGCCATGAAATACCATCTCTAGGGTTATGTGTTTCACAGGACAAATTATTTGTATCTGTATGAGACAAAAGTTTACTAGCTAACCTGTAACTTTTCTACATCTGCGAGTTTAATCAGAGGTAATAGAGAATAAAACTAAGCTTATTAGGTTGATTTAGGTTATTTCCCAAAATGATTTTCAGTAGTCTTTGCCCTTATATAACACTGAAAACATGTATCATCCATTTTTTTACCTTACTTCCCAGTTTTAGATAATTTTTCAGACACTGTACATAGGATTCTGATTTACAGCCAGTATTGGAAATACCTGAACTAAGAGTTTCTATGACTACCAAGCACCAATACAATTCAAATTTCTCATTTTGTTATGGGATGTGGGTGATATTAGGTGCAGCTTGCTGAGGATGGTTGATGCTGGGATTGCAGTTATGGAGTCATTAAAGTCATGGGCTTCAAGACTGGCAGAAGTGAGAAAATGCCTGTGTGGCAAGTACACAAATAGCTAATCCCACTTCTGTCAATTTGCTTTATATAGGATGACAATATATTTTTCTTTTGTTGTTGTTTCCCAGTGCATACAAAAGTTATGTTTACATTATACTGTAGTCTATTAAGTGTGCAATAGCATTGTGTCTTAAGAAAACAATGTGCATACCTTATTTTGTTGCTAAAAAATGCTAATGATCATCTGAGCAGAAAAATCTTATGATTTTTAAATTGATTCGAATAACAAATTATATTGAAATCAGGTTTAAAAGATCGCCTTTTCTGAGATGATGAAATTACTTAAAAATTCCTTTCATTTACTAATTTGAAAGGATATTGCTATAAATTACACACACACACACATACACACAAATATGTATCCACCATGGGATATAAGTATATATAATTTATAAATGAGGAATTCAACAACATAATTACAGGAGCAAAAACTGATGAAAAGGTCATGTACTTAGCAGTGTGAACCATGGGCATTTGAAATTTCCCCTGGCAAATTATCAGACAACTTATTTTAAAGCCCCCAAGGTGACCTTGGATCCTTTGCATCTCTTTCCAAAAGTAACATTGCCAATTTGTAGGAAGCAATATCTTTCTGAGACATTAAAGAAGAAAAAATGAGACTTAACAAACTACACATCTCCAAATCAGAGCTGCTTCTTATGGCAAAGTTCTGGTTGAAGGGTAATATAAATTCAAATGTGAACTAATAATCAGAATCTCGAAAATAACTTGGCAGGCACCCAGAATGAACTTTAAAATATATGTAGTTAGGAAGCTGGAAAACTGATGGCTATATCTTTTCAACTAATGTAAAGTGCAGATTTGTGAAAATCATAGCAATGATTTATACCAGAGAAATGTAATGATCTATTAAAGAAATCGAAAATAACTTTAGTGTAATTATAGATTACATGAATGAAGAACAAAGCTGGATATACACTGATTCCTTAAGCATTTATAACATGGTGCGGCTGGGCACAGTGGCTCACACCTGTAATCCCAGCACTTTGGGAGGCCAAGGTAGGTGGATCACCTGAGGTCAGGAGTTTGAGACCAGCCTGACCAACATGGAGACACTCCATCTCTACTAAAAAAAAAAAAAAAATTAGCTGGGCGTGGTGGCGCATCCCTATAATCCCAGCTACTCAGAAGGCTGAGGCAGGAGAATCGCTTGAACCTAAGAGGCAGAGGTTGCAGTGAGCCAAGATAGCACCATTGCACTCCAGCCTGGGGAACAAGAGTGAAACTCAGTCTAAAAAAAAAGTTACCAAAATGCTTTTCTTTCTTTACATTCTCTGCCGTCTAATTGTTGCAGCCTTCCAATAAGAACAACAGAAGCAGTATTTCATTAAACTTGAAAAATGGGGTTGTATCCAACCTATTTGTGATGAAATGGTATCATAGAATGCTCAGTGAAACAGGTTACTCTTCTTGATAGTCGAGATGCGCTGTCTAACCTACTTCCCACTCAGGAACACACAGCTGAATCCTTTGACTATACAAGAGGGAACATAGAGGCAGTTGAAGAAGGAACTTTGATTTGCCCTGATGTTCATTTAGCCACATGTGGGCACTGAACCTGGGAAGGTGACGTGACATGGAGGAGGAGTACTGGCAGGGGATGGAGGGAGAAGAGTCTGTCCTGTGCAGGACCTTACAAACTGATGAAGTCAAACTGGATGTTGCCCAAGAAAACTTCAAAGGCCAGATAGGCAAATATCACTTGTTTTTTTGTACCAAATGGAAGAAGACAAGTCCCCTTCTTCAATGGCACCGAATACCAGGAGTAGAAAATATGTTTACGTAAATAGTGGTTGAGAGCAGGAAGAAAAAGAAACAAGAAATGACAAGCTTCACAACTTCCCCTTTCTTGAGACTGGCCACGACTCAAAAATGCAGAGGCCCTCCTAAGAGGTGGAGTTGAAACAAAAAGGAAAATAGTCATTAGGAAAGAAAATTCTGAGACTGAGATTACAAATTAGACAGTATCGATGATTTTTACTAAAAGAATTAGAGCGTACAATTGCTAGGCTGAATTTACTGACATAAGAAAATAATCCATTTGTAGCAGAAGGAAGATGGCAAATATGCAGTTCCCACTTGACTCCTCCTCCAAACACACATCTCCACTGGAGAACTCAAAAATCCAGATTACGAGAGAAGGATTTAACCTTAAACCCTATCGAGAGCTGAAATGAATTTAGTGTGAAATATAAAGGTAGAAGCAGCAGTGGGAAGAGCCTTCTAGGCACTTGCATTCGCCAGCTGGAGCTCAGGGAAGCCATCCCTGACTATATCATACAGAGGGACTCTTGGAGAAGGCCACTGTCAGAATTTGGGAGGGGTCACAAGGTGAAAGGAGCTTCCAAATGAACTTTGTAATGATTTTCACTGGGTGTAAACTTTCGGGCAGAATAGAGAGACGAACAGGAACTGCTGCAGAAAGGAGAGCAGGAGCCCCAGAAAGTGTGGGAAGACAGGAAGGGGCATGGCCTGGAAGCCATGCTTGCTTGTTTCTTAAGGAAACGTATAGCCTGGGGCTAGGTCGGAGTCCAAGGCACAAGCTGCCTGGAGATAAGCTCTACGCATGGCTAGAGCTAGACCAGCCTCACCAACTATGTGGGAGCTGGATGAGGCCTATCACTACTGCTTTCCCCCACTTTCTTGACAACAAACGCACCACAAAACCCTATGGAACATAACCCAGTTGGCCCCAGAACTATGCTCACATCCCCAACAGTGGCTGCAGCAAATACCGTCAAAGGACAGTCTGAGCCCAGACTCACCTAACACTTCCCCGACTTGTTGGTATTTCTCTCCCCACCCCAGTAGCCATTCACAAAAGACATAAACTCTTGGGGATTTAATGATACCACCCTTGCCTGAGAAACCCAACACTTATCCTGGCCAACTTAGGGCAAACTTATATCCTGCTTCTACTATTGCAGCTACTGCTCTCTTGAAAGCACCACCTCCTGGCAGAAGGCCAACCAACTCAAGATATTATAGCAGTTCGTGACAGAATAACCATGCTCCAAGGAAGGAGGAAACAGCTAGTTCCACTGCTTCCAACATCCTGGCTAACAAGTGGTCATGAATCTGTCCACGTGACAACTTCATTGCTAGCATAACCAGCATTCCAGAAAGCCAGCACACTAAACATAGCTACAACCAAGGATTCTACCAGAGTCTACTTCACTCCCTTACCATCTCCACCACAGCAGGTGCTGGTATCCATGGCTGGGAGACCTGAAGACAGATCACATCACAGGACTCTTTGCAGACACGTCCCAGCATTATCCCAGAGCCCAGTAGCTTCACTGGTTGGATAGACCCAAAAGAGCAATAACAATCATTGCAGTCTGGCTCACAGGAAGCCCCATCCCTAGGGAAAGGGAGAGTGCACCACATCAAGGGACCACCCTGTGGAACAAAAGAGTCTAAACAGCAGCTCTTGAGTTCCAGGTTTTTCCACTGAAATAGTTTACTTAAATGACAGGAAACCAGAAAAGTAATTCTTGTAATATGACAAAACAGGGTAGTCTAACACCCCCAAAAGATCACACTAGGTCCAAAGCAGTGGATCCAAACCAAGAAGAAATCTCTGAATTGCCAGATAAAGAATTCAAAGGTTGATTATTAAGTTACTCAAGGAGATACCAGAGAAAGGTCAAAACTAACTTAAAGAAATTTTAAGAACAATAGAAGATGTGGATTAAAAATAATCCAGAGAAATAGATATCATAAAGAAAAACAATCACAACTTCTGGAAGTGAAAGACACATTTAGAGAAACATAAAATGCACTGGAAGGTTTCAACAAAAGAATCAAATGAGTAGAAGAAAGAACACAGAGCTCAAAGACAAGGCTTTCAAATTAACCTAATCCAACAAAGATAAATAAAAAAGTATTAAAAAATAAAAAGAACAAAGGCTCCAAGAAATTTGGGATTGTGTTAAATAGCCAAATCAAAAAATAATTGGTGTTCCTGAGGAATAAGAGAAATCAAAAAGTTTGGAAAACATATCTGAGGGAATAATCAAACTTCCCTGGCCTCACTAGAGATCTAGGCATCCAAATACAAGAAGCTCAAAGAACATCTGGGAGATTCATAGCAAAAACTTCATAAGCCAGGCACATAGTCAGGAGGAAGGAAAGAATCTTAAGAGCTGTTTGGCAAAAGCATCAGGTAACCTATGAAAGAAAATGTATGAGAATGATTGCAGATTTCTCAGCAGAAACTATGTAAGCCAGAAGGGATTGGGGTCCTATCTTTAGCCTCCTCAAACAAAATAATTGCCAGCCAAAAAAATTTTTATCCAGCAAAACTAAGCTTTATAGATGAGGGGGAGATAAAGTCTTTTTCAGACAAACAAATGCTGAGAGAATTTACCACTACCAAGCCAGCACTACAAGAAATGCCAAAAGAAGTCCTAAATCTTGAAACAAAACCTCAAATGTACAGCAAGATAAAACTTCCTTAAACATATATCTCACAGGACCTATAAAACAATAACACAATGAAACATAATCAAGGTATTCAGGCAACAACTAGCACAATGAATAAAGCATTACCTCACATCTCAATAATAATGTTGAATGCAAATGGCCTAAATGCCCCACTTAAAAGATAGAAAATGGCAGAATGGATAAACATTCACCAACCAAGTATCTGCTGTCTTCAAGACACTCACCTAACACATAAAGACTCACATAAAGTTAAGGTAAAGGGATGGAAAGGGATATTCCAGGCAAAATGAAAACCAAAAGTGAGCAGGAGTAGCTATTCTTATATCAGACAATAAAGACTTTAAAACATCAACAGTTTAAAAAGACAAAGAGTGACATTATATTATGATAAAAAGATAAGTCCAACAGGAAAATATCACAATCCTAAATATATATGGACCTAACATGGGAGCTCCCAAATTTATAAAACAATTATTACTAGACATAAATAATGAGACAAATGGCAACTCAATAATAGTGGGTTCTACAGTACTCCACTGACAGCACTAGACACGTCATCAAGACAAAGTAAACAAAGAAACAATGAGCTTAAACTATACCCTACAACAAATGGGCTTAATAGATATTTACAAAACAATTGCAGAATACACATTCTTTTCATCAGCACAGGGAACACTTTCCAAGATAGATCATATGATAGACCACAAAACAAGTGTCAATAAATACAAGAAAATCAAAATTATATCAAGTACCATCTCAGTCCATAGTGGAATGAAATAGGAAGTTAACTCCACAAAGAACCCTTGAAACTACAGAAAACATGAAAAATAATCTGCTTCTGCATGATCTTTGGGTCAACAATGGAATCAAGATGGAAATTAAAAAATTCTTTGAACTGAAGGATAATAGTGACAAAACTTATGAAAACCCCTGGGATAGAGACAAAGAGGTGCTAAGAGGAAAGTTCATAGCATTAAATGCCTACATCAAAAAGTCTAAAAGAGCACAAATAGACAATCTAAGGTAATGCCTCAAGGAACTAGAGAAACAAGAACAAACCAAACCCAAATCCAGCAGAAGAAAACACATAACAAAGATCAAAGCATAACTAACTGAAATTGAAACAAAAGAAAAACAATACAAAAGATAAATGAAACAAAAAGCTGGTTTTTTGAAAAGATAAACAATATTGATAGACCATTAGCAAGATTAACCAAGGAAAGAAGAGAGAAGATCCAAATAGCTCAATTAGAAACAAAATGGGAGATATTACAACAAATACCACAGAAATACAAAAGATCATTCAAGGCTTTTATGAACACCTTTACATGCACAAACTAGAAAATCTAGAGAAGATGGATAAATTCCTGGACATATACAACCCTTTCAAGATTAAGGAAGAAATAGAAACTTTGAATAGACCAACAACAAGCAGCGAGATTGAAACAGAAATTTAAAAATTGCCAACAAATAAAAAAGTCCAGGACCAAGTGGATTCACAGATGAATTCTATCAGGCCTTCAAAGAATTGGTATGAATCTTACTGAAACTATTCCAAAAGATAGAGAAGTAGGGAATTCTCCCCAAATCATTCTATGAAGCCAGTATCACTGTATTACCAAAACCAGGAAAGGACATAACAATAAAAGAAAATTACAGACCAATATGCCTGATGAACATAGATGCAAAAATCCTCAGCATAATACTAGCTAACTGAATCAAACAGCATATCAAAAAGATAATTCACCGTGATCAAGTGGGTTTTATACCAGGGATGCAGAGATGGTTTAACACATGCAAGTCAATAAATGTGATATACTACATAAAGAGAATTAAAAATTTTATGATCATCCAAATAGTTGCAGAAAAGCATTTGACAAAATTCAGCATCCCTTTATGATTAAAACTCTCAGCAAAATCAGCATAGAAGAGACATACCTCAAGGTAATAAAAGTCATCTATGAAAAACCCACAGTCAGCATTGTACTAAATGGAGAAAAGTTGAAAGTTGAATTGGAACAAGACAAGGATGTCCACTTTCACCATTTCTATTCAAGATAGTATGGGAAATCCTAGCCAGAGAAATCAGACAAGAGAAAGAAATAAAATGCATCCAAATCCAAAGAGAAAGTCAAACTGTTGCTGTTTGCCAATGATTAATCGTATACCTGGAAAACCCTACTTGTCCAAAAAAACTCCTAGATCTGATAAACAAATTCAGTAAAGTTTCAGAAAACAAAATCAATGTACACAAATCAGTAGCACTACTATACACCAATAGCAACCAGGCTGAGAATAAAATTAAAAACTCAACCCTTTTTACAACAGCTGCAAAAAATAAAACAAAATACTTAGGAATATACCCAGTCAGCCCCCCAAACTTTCAGGGACATGTATGAAGCTGGAAACCATCATTCTCAGCAAACTAACACAAGAACAGAAAACCAAACACCACATGTTCTCACTCATAAGTGGGAGTTGAACAATGAGAACACATGGACACAGGGAGGGGAAAAACATACACCAGGACCTGTCAGGGGGTGGGGAGGTAGGGGAGGGATAGCATTAGGAGAAATACCTAATGTAGATGATGAGTTGATGGTTGCAGCAAACCACCATGGCACGTGTATACCTACGTAACAAAACTGCACGTTCTGCACATGTAACCCATAACTTCAAGTATATATTTTTTTTTAAAAAGGAATATACCTAACCAGGAGGTGAAAGATCCCTGCAAGGAAAACTAAAAAACACTACTGAAAGAAATCATAATGATGCAAACAAATGGAAACACATCCCATGCTCATGGATGGGTAGAATCAATAGTGTGAAAATAACCATACTGCCCACAGCATTCTATAAATTCAATGCATTTCCCATCAAAATATGGTCATCATTATTCACAGAAGTAGAAAAAACAATCTTAAAATTCATATGGAACAAAAAAGAGCCCTCATAGCCAAAGAAAGACTAAGCCAAAAGAACAAATATGGAGGCATCATGTTACCCCACTTCCAACTATAGGACAAGCCTATAGTTATCAAAACATCATAGTACTGGCATAAAAATAGGCATGTAAACCAATGGAACAGAATAGAGAACCCAGAAATAAATCCAAATACTTATAGCCAACTGATCTTTAACAAGGCATACAAAAACGTAAAGTGGGGAAAAGATACCCGATTCAACAAATGGTGCTGAGATAATTGGCAAGCCACATGTAGAAGAATGAAGCTGCATCCTCATCTCTCACCTTATGCAAAAATCTACTCAAGATGGATCAAAAACTTAAATTTAAGACCTGAAACCTAAAAAATCTAGAAGATAACTTTGGAAAAACTCTTCTAGACATTGGCTTAGGCAAAGAGTTTATGACGAAGAACCCAAAAGCAAATGCAACAAAATCAAAGATAAATAGATGAGATTTAATTAAACTAAAATGCTTCTGTACAGCAAAAGAAATAATCAGCACAGTAAACAGACAACCCACAGAGTGGGAGAAAATATTCACAAACTGTGCATCCGACATAGAACTGATATACAGAATCTATAAGGAACTCAAGCAAATCAGCAAGTAAAAACAAATAATCCCATCAAAAATTACGCTAAGGTCATGAATAGACAATTCTCAAAGGAAGATATACAAATGGCCAACAAACATATGAAAAAATGTGCAACATCACTAATGATCAGGGAAATGCAAATCAGAACCACAATGTGATGCTACTTTACTCCTGCAAGAATGACCAAAATCAAAAAATAATAGATGTTGGCATGGATGTGGTGAAAAGGGAGCACTTGGACACTGCTGGTGGGAATGTAAACTTGTACAACCACTATGAAAAACAGTATGAAGATTCCTTATAGAACTAAAAGTAGAACTACCATTTGATTCAGCAATCCTACTACTGGGTATCTACCCAGAGGAAAAGAAGTCATTATATGAAAAACAGACTTGCACATGCATGTTTATAGCAGCACAATTCACAATTGCAAAAATAAAAAAATCAGCCTAAATGCCCATCAACCAATGAATGAGGAGATAAAAAAAGTTATATATATATATATATATATATATATATATATATATATATATTTTCACACACACATCATGGAATACTACTCAGCCATAAAAAGGAACAAAATAATGGCATTTGCAGCAACCTGGATGGAGTTGGAGACCATTATTCTAAGAAGTGAAGTAACTCAGGAATGGCAAACCAAACATCATATGTTCTCACTTATAAGCAGGAGCTAAGCTATGAGAATGCAGTCATAACAATGATATAATGGACTTTGGGGACTTCAGGGTTAGGGTTGGGTAGGTGAATGATAAAAGACAACACATTGGGTACAGTGTACACTGCTCACATGGTGGGTGCACCAAAATCTCAGATCACCACTAGTGAACTTTTCCATGCAACCAACCACCACCTGTTTCCTAGTTTTGAAATAAAAATTTAAAAAAAGAAAATAATCCATGTATCCATTTTAGGAATGTGACATAGTTAGCCTAGAGTCGTAGAACATAAAAAGAACACTTACAATTACAAGACCAAAACAAACTATATGATTGCGTATAATGTGCAAGTATTAAACATGTCTGATCTTTAAACCTAGTAAATTATTTCACTTTTCCTGGTTGTCACAAGCCATATGGTAGTTAAATCCAAAAGAGAAAACAAAGGCACAGAGGGTGTATAGTCAATCTGTACTTCCAGTCATATTAAGGATAAATTTGCATTGTCACTTAAATGACTAGGTTGATCGTCACATAATTAATAATTAATATATAAAAATGTTCCACTTACATTGCACAGTTATAGGCTCTGTCTTAAAATTAAGATTGAAGAAAATAAAATAATATAAATTATTTTGTGAAAGTAATGTATGATAAGTTGGTGGTAGCTCATTCTGTCTTCATGGTTTATTCATTTTATGTAATTGAAAAATTTTCTTCAGGGTATCATGTATTTAATTTTTATTCAACCATAAACTGAAGCAGTCAGGAGCAGCAGCTGTTTTACTAAGCAGGGAGATATTTTATGGGTATTTTTTTCCTCCTTTTTTAACCTGTAAGAAGTTTTACCTTCCCAGAGAGAGTGGAAGTGGAAGTAGTCATAATAACAATTATAAATGCAATTAAGGAAGTTTATTTACTTTTGACCAGACATTTTAACATATAGCCCCTACCATGTCTTTTACAATGTAAATATATACTTAGTGTTGTTAACAAATTACTAATGAAGTAAAAGAAATAAACATCAAATAGGAAAGACTCTCTCATGCTGAAATAAATCTCTCTGTCTTTCATTTTATCTATCATCTATCTATCTGAAGGTTTTTTCCCAAGTTCATGTGAACTGACGTTGGAAAACAAGAAAACAGATTCTGTCTTGATATTTTCCAGTCCTAGACTTTGAGAATTCATTCATTCCTTTAAGAGATGATTGATCTATTATCACTTAGTTCCTTATAGTTGCCTTTAATCTTAATGAGTTGGTAACACAGTGATTGGGATGGTGTGATGCCCCATGATTAAGGCCATGGTTTGTTACTGATGATAGACGTTATTTATCTCTGACTCTTCTCTCTCATAGATACTATCATTTGCTAAGTGCCTTTTACAGAAACCCTACAATGACTTTCATAGCAGCCCCTCCTATTTACTCTCAGGAACATTACCTTATTTGAAAAGCTTTCTTTCTCATCCGACTTACTGTAATAGAACTCTGATAATTTTATCTCCACATTTCCATAAATAATTAAAATTAAAGCATTTCTATTCATTTTGGTGAACTAGTTTTAGGAAGAGCTCTCATTTTATTCCACTCTAAAGCAAAAACTACACAAATGTTAATGATTTTCCATAACCAACTCAAAAGTACCCATAAATCCTAACAACAATTCAGATATTTCATGATTTGTTTCCCAACCAACCTGTTTATTCTTAGGTCATGTAATTTCACCTTAATTCCCCTGGAGTCCAGCCAAACTGAAAGGTAGGAAGAATTATGTTACCTAAACTCACCAGACTTGCTAGACGAAGCAACTTGCTCCAGAAACTCTGTAAATCTTAATGACTAATGCCCATACCAGTCGAGTTGAATACTTACCATGAGTCAATTGTGTTTGTTCCCAAACCTGTTTGTCATTTTTACTTATTATTGTAAATAATAAATTGAGATATATAATGCTTTATTGTTGAGGAGAGCAGAGGGGAAAAGGCCTGCCACTGAAAGCCATCCCTTACATGGGTTTCCAACTCAATTTTATACCATCTGTGTGCTCCAGAAAACCTCAAAGTATCCATTTAAATTAATATGTCCTTTAGTTAGATATGCTCCAAAATATCTGGTAAAAGCAACATTAATCCCTTCCAGGGAAACCTACCATAATATTAGGCCAAAAATAATTTCCCTAAATAATTTTCTAATAAAATTGAATAGCTAATAGTTAAAAATTTTAGCACCAAGGAAACCAGTCACCACAAGTGAGAATATCACCCCCCAAAAAAGGCAACAGAATTAGAGAGAAGACACTAAAAATGTGTATTTTATAAAAATTTATGCTTACTACTATTTAGAGAAATAAAAGACAAACTTGAAAATACAGGAAGAAAACGAATAACTATAAAGTTTTGTTGCACAGATTTGCAAACTAACCAAATGGAGTTTTAAAATGTAAAAGAGAGTAACTTAAAAGCTCAATGGAATAGTAAGGCTGCAGACTAGAATATCTCTAGCTAAAGAGAGATTTAGTGAACTGGAATTTTCATTTTTATAGACTCAACAGTTGTAGAAAAGAGGAAGGAGAAAAAAGCAGAAAAGAAAAGAACACACATTACTTAATAACTTCAAAATTATACCATTTATCAAACTGGAATCCTATTATAAGTCTTCCATATCCCATGCTGATAATTAAAAGAAATACTGCCTATCTTGAATTTCTGTGTTGAATAGAATGTGTGAGGCAGGTCCAACCAACTTATAACAAGTTAATTCTTACATGAATCTATAACCCAAATTTCTGATAAACAATTGACTGCACCACTTCAAATAAACTTTTCTCCTTGTCTTATTAGATAGGAAATCTTTGCTCCAAAATTAATTTCCCATCAGTTCCATAGGTATGCCATTCTAATCACAACCCCATTCTCTGGCTTGATCAATGTCTGTGGTGCAAGATTTGTGGCTGTGGCTACACGAAATGGTTTAAGAGTAGTTTCCAGCAATGATCCCTCAATATTTTACCAAGTCGATTGCCTTACATACTTGTATAGTTTCCATTGTACTCTGCAGATATCTACTTGGATTTCAATTTATGAAATAAAAATTGAATGGTTGAAATACATTATAATGAAGGAAATTTGAGCCTATATTTAGCAACCAGCATAAAAACAATCATATAATATTATACATATTACAATTTAAAGTGTCTCTGTATATGTAATATTTACAAAAATCATGAGAGGTAGACCGGGCTGAAAATAACATCTCAATTTTACAGAATGTTAAGTGGTTTGGCTAAAATCACAGAGATAATAATGGTGGAGACAAAAGAACAAAAGTCTTCTTAATCTGAACTAAATTTTCTTTCTGTAATTTTCATGTTGCCAAGACTGAGATAAATCTTTTAGTTTTCTTTTTTTACTCTGGAAAGTGCCAGAAACCTCATCTCTAAGAGTCATTAAATCTCATTAATGTATTATTCATTTATTTTAATTTGAAATTTGTCTAAAGTAAAATATTATAAAACCAAAAAACTGATTAAACATGATAGTATAGTTGAAGTTGTTGAATTTTTTAAGTTGTAAGAATTTTATACCTTAACTAAAGCAATTCAGAGACAGTTAAATTAATGAATTATGTTATAATTTATCATCTTGAATGAGGAAATAATAAACATGTCATCATCATTTTCTTGTTCCAAAATAATTATTTAGGAAAATAATTCAACTTAACATTCTTTGTGTGTGTGTGTGTGTGTGTGTGTATGTGTGTTTTAATAAGAACTAGAATTAAACTGATAGTTATCTTCTGTATCTCTTTTCCTTCAGAAGTTTTTTTTGTTTTGTTTTGTTTTTTTAAAAAAAAAATGCAGAAGACCGCACACTTCTGGTGTTAGCTTGTTATGCTTTGATGTTAAACAAAGAGTTCCTGGCAAACAATTGCCACTTCTGGGTCACTAGTTCAAATGAGAATTGTACTCTCAGTGTCAATTGTGCAGCATTTGGTGATTCTTTGTTGTTCCTGATATAGTCTGTTTTCTACAAAACATCACAAGTTTAGTAGAAAGATACAGACCAGGGAATAAAGAGCAATATAACCTAAAGAATTTCTTGTTTCAACTTAGTTTCTGGTTATCAGAGCTACAAGTTGACCACATTGCAACCCAGTTAAAGTCTTACAAACATCCTCAAAACAGTCAAAAAAATTTAGGGAAAGAAGAGTATGTTTCCAGGATTCATTCCAACAGTCTCAAAAGATAGATAGGAGCAGAGATAGAAGAGAAGATGGGTCAACCCTTAGGCTTCATAGAAAATGTGGGAGCAAGGTCACCCTGAACATTTGAGGCCAGGCTCTTTATAAACCTTGAATTTTTAATAGTAAATCCAAATCCTAATGTAGTTACTCTCAAAAATCTAATATATAAAAAAGAGAGAAAGAACAAATATATCTGAAGTATTTTACTGTATACCAGAATGTGTTAGGCTTATTTGATGTCCAAAATAAGATATTAGGTGTCTATTTGTAGCCGTAGTACAACAAGTTGTCGTTATTGTTTTTCACATGAGGAGGCTGAAGTTTAGAGAACTTTAATGCTTGCCAAGGATGATACATCTAGCAAGTTACAGGGCTCAAAATGCATGTTTAGACTGAAGCTTCACATTGATAGGAGTCTCTATATTCATTCCAGAATTAAAACAGAGACAAAATTCCCCTCAGAAGAGGAGCAAATATTTTAGTTTTCCACTTCTGCAAAGGTTATAGTGGTTAATTGGAGCTATTGGGCTTCCAACAAATTCTGGGGAAATGTATCACTGAAAATTTAGAGAGTGGAGAGCAATATTCTGGGAGGTTCTTGCCATACCTCATGTTGTTCATTATTTACAATTTTTAATTTAGGATTGGCCCAGATATTCAAGTCATGTACTGATCACACCATTCTTTTGTTTCACTTCCAGTGAAAAACTTCTTAAACCTAGGAGAGATCAACACCTGCAGTTCAAAGATTTTAGCCTTTAGTTTTTATGATTTTGAGAATCGTATCTCTAATATACTGCTGGGATTACCTCCTCCTCCATAGATTCTACTTTCACTTCCTGCAATGAATCTATCATACACTATTATATTGTCAGGTCATTCTAGGGGTTATCTACTCAACCCCAAAGTACTTTGGTAGCTAGTCTATTGCAGAATGCTGAGTTGTGCTACTTACTGGAAGTGAGCTTTTCATTTCTTTGGATTGATTCTCTATGTATTACTTTCTTTCAAAAACATAATTACATGCATTCTTCTATCAGATTCTTAGTTGGATCACTTTCTCCTGCATCCCAATGTTATGATTCTATGTATTTATTCAACCCTCCTCTAAGCATCATATAATTACGAAGTAGAATTGCTAGCCCTTAATGTTATCAGCAAAACCCATTAGGTAATTTCTTGTTGCCTGAATTGCCCCTATCTCATTAAAGCAGCCTACAGCCTTTAATGATTCTTTGCCAGAATAGATAATGTGGTTAAAAAATGTAAGCAATTATACACAGAATACTCATTTTAAAATGCCTATGATGTGCCAAACAATAAAACTCTCTACCTTTAGGAATATCGATTCAGTTTGATTCAATTTAACAAACATTTATTGGATGCCAGATGTATGTCAAAGCACTAGTCCAGGTTCTGGGGATCTACGGATAAATAATATACAGTGCCCAGTCTCAGGGAACTCACACTATAACAGGAAAAACATAAAAATTAATGTGGAAATAACATGATAAGTACCATAGGAGAGCTACACAGGAAATATTATGAGACCACAAAAAAGAATCAATCAAGTTGACCTTTAGGGGGCATTGAGTAGCAAGTACTTTTATAGGCAGCCTAGAGGTGGTTATTATATTTGACTTCTAAGGGTAAATGGTTGCTCACTAGGAAGGTAAGAAGGAAGAAAGAAAGGAAGCAAGGAAGGAAGGAAGGAAAGGAGAGAAGGAGGGAGGGAGAAAGAAAGGAAATTCTAAACAGAGAAAATAACAGGAGCAAGAGAATGAGAATGTAAATGTAGCCAGGATGTTTTGTAGGTGATTGGGTCACTGCACTGGCAAGAGAGGAAATTAGAAAAAAAAAAAAAAAATAGAACCAACCATTAAGGGCTTTGAATGCCACAATAAAGCATTGGAAATTTATTTCAAAGGTGACCGTATTAGTTTTCTATACTGCATAAAGATTTACCACAAACTTAGCAGCTTAAAGCAAAATTCATTTGCTATCTCACAGGTCAGAAGTATAGGCATTATTTAGCTGGATCTTCTGTTAAGGACCTGAAAAGCCTGCAATTGACATGTTAGCTAGGGTTTGATTCTCATCCAGAGGCTCAACTAGGTAGGCATCTTCCTCCCCACTTGGGTGACTGTTTCTTGCTTTTTCAAAGTCTGCAAGGAGAGAGAGACTCAAGCAAGTCTGATAATAAGACAGAGTTTTATATAACATAATGGAAACGCAGGAAGAACATCCCATCATTTTTGCTATATTCTATTTGTTAAAAGCAAGTCACAGTCCCACTGACCTCAAGGGGATGGAATTATATGAAATTGTAAACTCCAGGAAGTAGGGATCATGAGGGTCATCTTAAAGTTTGTCCACCACGGACAATGAGTGTTTTTTTAAGCAGTGACATATAATACCTATGCATAAGAAATAAGCTAGTGTGGAATTGTGAATAGTGATTTGAAGGTACAGAGAGACAAAAACAGATACACTTATCTCTTTCATATTTTCTACCTGGTGAAGTAACTTTTTCTATGAAGAATAGTTGTGTTATTTTTCTTCCAAAGAACAAAAAGACCATAAGCTTCCTGAGATTTACTGAAAACACTGTCCCCTTAGAAAAGAAGAAAAGAACAGTGCCTTGGAATGACTAACAGTAGCCTTCCTTAGAAAAGGAAGGAGCAGAGTAGAGGACCCATTGTCCTGATGAATGGGACAAAATTAGATTCTTTTATGTTTCAAGGGTTTGAAATAGATTCCCTGGAAAGAAGCAAAGAAAGACTATGATAACAAGTCTTTGAGGAAACAGGCACCAAAACCAATTCTGACCTGGTTGCCCTTCCTTAGTCTACAGCCTAGGGAGGTGGTAGCGGGCATTTATTGAACAAAGAACTGCTGTGAAAGGGCATTATTCCTGGCTGAGGGAAAAGAGGGTGATGGGATAGTTAGCAGAAAACCCTGGTTTTACCTCTGCTGTTTAAGCATGACCTCTGGACCAGTTTCTAATAGCCACTTGTTTTGCTCCATGCTTACTTTGTGGGAGGTAGAATATATCTTCTCCTAGCAGCAGAAGATAACTTACTCACGCAACACCCAGTTTTCCTGTAAGTTCGTGTGCAGTTTCTCAGCCTTGGTTGCACAATTACAATCATCTTGAAAATACACATATTTTAAAAATATAAGGCCGGTGTGGTGGCTCATGCCTGTAATCCCAGCATTTTGGGAGGCTGAGTCGGGTAGATCACCTGAGGTCAGGAGTTCGAGACCAGTCTGGCCAACATGGTGAAACCCCGTCTGTACTAAAAGAATTGGCTTTGGTCCCTGTTTCCTCAAAAATACAAAAATTAGCTGGGCATTGTGGCAGGCACCTGTAATCTCAGCTACTTGGGAGGCTGAGGCAGGAGAATCACTTCAACTGGGATGGGGAGGTTGCAGTGAGCTGAGATCGTGCCACTGCACTCCAGCCTGGGTGACAGAGTGAGACTCTGTCTCAAAAAAATATAGATAGATAGATAGATGATAGATAGATAGATAGATAGATAGATAGATAGATAGACAGATAGATAGATGATGGATGCCCAGTTTTCACTGGCAGGTGATCTGATTCAAATTGTCTGGGATAGACCCAGGCATTGGAATTTTATTGTTTTTTAAACCCTTTAGATGATTCCAATGTATATCCAGGGTTGAGAACCATTGTTCCAGAAAACTCTGATTACATGGTATGCTGGATAACAGGGTTTATCCTAGACTTGCTTATATTACCAACAGGGAGATTAGAGCTTGAGCTTCTAATTTGTGATGGTCGGTTGGGGTACTGATAAATTCCAACTGAGGCTGGGAAGGACACATGATAATACACTTCATATTGCTATTTTATGAATGAGCAGAGGTGGGCTGATAAATGTTTAATAATCAGACCTAATATACAGATTTTCCAATTTCCATGACATAAATCTTCCTACTATGGTAATTTTAAGCTATCAAACTGACATCACTGAATATGAATTTGGGAGAAGATGCATAGCAAGTGGCATATGATTATATAGCATTTCCGTAATACAGATACAATCAACAATAACTTCAAGACTGTAGATAATAGAAAATGTAGAAGAAATAATTAGTTGTGATTATTTTCTTTCTTTTTATATAACTTACTTAATTTTAAGTTTATAGTATTTAACTTTTAATACCAGTTGTGTTTAACAACTAACGATTCATGTAATTCTTAAAAATCCACCATGATGTTGTCTGAGTACGCTTCAGCACACTCTTGTATAAGCCAACTTATATACAAGCATGACTCATATTTAAAATATTTAACAACCAGTTTTGCATGGGCACCAACCTATTAGAATGGATATTAGCCAACATGCCATAGCTGTGCCTACAAGAATTCACGTGTCCAGAGGAGACATGCGATTCACGATTAACCTTCATATCTTTTAAGGTTCCTAGCCCACTGCCTTGAACATAGTAAGTGAACTCCAGTAGTTTGGAAAGACTAAACGCTGAATGAATAAATTATGCATTGGCAGAAGTGACTTCATAGTGCAAATATATACGTATATAGAAGTCTATTACAGAAGACTTAGGTTTTAAAAAAGTCCCTCCCTCCTTTTATAGAGAATTTGTGTTTGGCTGAGAATTTTCTTTTTTTTTTTTTGGTGATTTTCTTTATATATATATATATATTTTATTATACTTTAAGTTCTAGGGTACATGTGCACAACGTACCATACATATGGTACATGTGCACAACATACCATACATACATACATACATATGTAACAAACATATGTCTACATGTGCCATGCTGGTATACCCAAAGGATTATAAATCATGCTGCTATAAAGACACAGGCACACGTATGTTTATTGCGGCGCTATTCACAATAGCAAAGACTTGGAACCAACCCAAATGTCCAACAATGATAGACTGGATTAAGAAAATGTGGCACATATACACCATGGCCGAGAATTTTCATGCAGGACAAGTAAACAGTATTTCACCTATTCCTTTACCTTAGTGATCCTTTTTTCCTTATGTTGAAATTCTACATTGGAATAGATGTCCATCCCACTCTCCATGCTCCAGAAAGTTGTTCATGCTACTCTCAGTCTGCCAGGCCATTTCATGCTCTATCAGACTTTTGTTTATTTCTTCTTAGTACTCGCTTCTCTTGATTTTTTTCCCTTTGATGTGCCCTTACCCTCTCAGTCACCTAGGGATCACCTACTTTCAAACTTTTATACTCTTCTTGACACCTGTGATTAGACTGGTTACATTCTCCCCTGTGCCTCCACTGAGTGCTACAGAACACTAACACATTATCTAACACTTTATTAGGTTTAATTATTTATATGTCTGCATTTGTTCACATGTCCTTCCCTGCCCTTGGGGAGAATATGAGCTTTGGGAAGGCAATATTGCTTTTTCACATTTCCTTTTCCTATTCTTCTTCAGTATTCCTTGAGAATTTCTAAATCCCACTTATCCCTTTCTAGGGCTTAGACTCTTTGAAAGCTGAGGAAATACCCCTATCTATCCCTATACCAAAAAGTATAGTGGACTTCAGAGCCAGACTGCCTGGATGAGAATTGAAGCTCCACCATTCACTACACATGTAATTTAAAATCAATTATTTCCATCTGCCTCAGTGTTCTCATCTGAAAAAATGGTGTTAAAAATGTACCAATCTCATAGATTGTTAAGAAGACTGAATATGTCAGTTTGTATATATGTTTATTACAATGTCTGGACCATCATAAGCATACAATTAATATTAGCTATTATTATACTTACAGGAAACACTTGATAGATAATTGCTAAATGAATGAAGAATAAAACATATAATAACACACCAATGAGAGTTAACTTTATTAATGCCATACTTATTCTACTGCCCCATTCCTCACTATTTCCCAGGAAATATTTTTTTTAAATTAAAATACATACCTACCATTTTAACTCTATGCAATAACAGAAATTAATATCCTATTTATTGTTACTCAAAGGAAGTGTTGATTTTAAGAACATCTTTTTGTTGCCCTATTTCTCAACTTAAATTCAGGGACATTTCAATATGTTTATGCCATTAGTATCCTCTATACCAGAGATTGTGTTAAAATTCATGCTGGAGGTCTCACCTTTTCTTCTGTCATATCACTTGCCTCCTGAGATGGATCTCACCCCACCCAGAGGTGGGAAGTCGTTAGTTCTGATGTAGCCTGAGACCAAAAAAGATGTGTCATTTTCCTTTAAAGAATAAATTGAAATGTGAAAGTTAGTAAGAGATGAAGTTTCAGCATTTTAGCTCTTGGCATTAGCAAAATTTTTATATCTGAGAGCACAGAAAACAGATCATTTAGTCAGGCCTAGAAGAATGAAATTATGAAACCTCAGAACACAGTAGCTTTGTCTAGAAGAGTAGAATACATGAATTTATCTTTCCTCTGAAAATACACTTAAAATAGTTGAATCAAGACTAACCATGTCCTTAGTTTGAGTTTCCCATCTTTGGCCTGCTGTAACTCATCTTTCAAAAAATATTTTCTGAACATCTTTACTATTAATTCATTGCTTGTATAATTGGCTACAAAAATTTCCTTCAAAACACTTGATTTTTAATTAAACAGTTTTTTTTTAAATTGGAGATCTATTTTTTTTTTCCTTTGGCACCACCATACAGATACTTGCCTTGACATATGGGAAGAGATTGCTGCCTTTGGAGGTACCTAATTTTCCTATAAGTCACCAGTAGAAAAATCAAAGTTACCCTAAGAAATCTCATTAAGCCCAGTGATAAACTCCCATTTTTCTAGTTAATCTTTTCCAAAGTCAAAATCACCACAATAAAAAATGCAAAATGAAGCAAATTATGGAAGATGAATATGAAATAGCTACTTATACTAAAATATAGATTAAAAATCAAGAATTCAGAAGTGTTTCTTCTGATTGACACAATGTTGCTCTCATATCTGTCCACCAATAAGTCTTAAAAAAGGAACAGCTAAATATTGAGGTAAATTGAGTGGTCTAGGCAATTTCCCAAGCATTTAATGAGAATCAAAGCCTTTTGATCCTACATGTGAAAATTATTAATACATTGAGATAGCTTCAAATTCCTTGAGAATTCTTATTACTTAAAAAAACTGTATTTAAAATACATTATTTCTTTGGATTCAGATTGAATAAGCAGTGCTATAAGGGAATTTTTAGATAATAAGTGGAAAATGTATCAGGGAAGGCATATAATTTGAAATGTACATCTTATCATCAAAGCTATCTTACAACTGAGGAATATTTTCTTCCTTTGCTTTTTCATTCAAAGCCAAATAATTTCTCTTGGTAATAACTACTGTATAAAAATTATGGTGTGAAAACAAAGAAGGTAAAAGCAACCCTAGAATGAACCTAGGAATATTTTTTCTATTTTTCTGAGTTTCTCTTTATTTCCTTGTGATTTACTATAACCCATATTAAAAATATACATAATTCTTGCTTTTTCTTTAATCTTGAGAGGGAAAAAAATAATGCAAATATTCTGATTTATTTATTTTTTGTTACTTTATTATTTTTTTATCTCCTAAGTACTTTATTCTTGTCTTCCTTTCAAACAATTTAGTCAAAATAATTGTTTCTGTACATGCTACAGTATTGAAGATTTGACATTAATGTGACAAATTATCCCTGGGGGAGCCTACCTGTCTTCGGTACATTGTTCTAGGATCTTACATTTACCTTTATGACTTTTGCAGTATTTTATTTTAAATCCCCCTTTCCCTCACTAGTATACTGGTGAGGCAATAAGGAGCAAAGTACTATTTACATTTAAAAGAGAGAAAATTGAGACTGAAAAACTTTCCAAGGTCACTCAGGTAAGGCCTGAGAGACACTGGAGAGTTGCAGCAAATACCTGGTAGAGAACACTTGGATTCATAGCACACTCATCATTAGAAAGTGAATGCACTGCCTTTGAGTGTGGAAAAGCAAGGAGACTTGTTAGAAAACATGCAGTTTCACAAATGAGCCAGCAACACGCCTTTGCCCAAAGAGACACCTGGAATTAATTGCTGCTCTCTTAGGAGATCAATAGAACACATGTCAGAGGGTTGGATCCTGTAGAAGTCACCCAGGCACAAGACTTTCATGTTGGCAAAAGCAGCACCTCACAGATAGATCTTTTAATTACCTAAACATCAGGAGCAAGCTGTCACCTTGTTGATGAAAGCTGTTATTTGGTGTCTGAGTACTTAGTGTTTGTACCTTCAGTGGACTTAAAATAAATCAAAGGTTTGAAAATATGAGGAAGAAAACTCGGTGCTTAGCTAAACTCCTCACATCAAAGCCTTCCTGTCTCAAAATTAACTAGGAGTAATTTCTTTCTCTTTTATTTCCTTTTATCCTTCCTTTCTTCATTCCTTTCTTGTTTTTATTTTTCCTACCAATGGATAATTTATATTCATAATATCTCATGAACATTTAAAGAGAACAAATTTAGTTGCTGTTATTAACAAACTTTGAAACCCAAATGATAGTGTCTATTATTGGCATTTAGGAGCAACAAAAAAGTAAAGCTCAGATTCTTCCCTTGAGGAGTTTGCAAGCTACTGTGAGATGGAAGACAAATCTTGCATGATCAACTCTGCCACAGTATGAAATGGGGGCAACTTGTACTCTAGAAAGGTAAAAACTAATTGCCAGTGGAATTCAAAGAGACTGATTCCACTCAGGGATAGTGAGGCAAAGCAAAGCTTGAAGGGGGATATGCCATAAAGGGGAATATTGGGAGATATGTAATTTATCTTCTTTCTTCTCCCTGGTTGGTCAGAATTTGTGTCATACTACAAACCTATTTGTTTGAAAATTCCTTAAAGCAATATAGCAGTTCCTGAATAACCAGGCCAAATGAAAGTCATCTTTAGACACTAACCCAATTTTCGTTCTGCCTCATTCTGTCATTTAAGGCTTTTTGTCAGAGAAGTAAAACACTTTAACTTCAAAAATCTCCCTAAGTTTAATCCTGGAATCTGGTCTGTATGCTTCCACATGGATTATAATAGATTTATTTTTCCCATGTCTTCTATACATGAAATAGAACATAAAAATTAATATGCCAGTTATTAAAAAATTTTAATAAGTGTGGTTGCTGGGAAAGAATCTTGGAAGGCCTAATAAAAAGTGTTTATTATAGGGAAAAAATCTAATCATTCAATTAAAAATGGGCAAAGATCTGAATAGACATTTCCCAAAATAATACATACAATGGCAAACAGGCATATGAAAATGTGCTCAACATCATTGATCATCAGAGAAATGCAAACCAAAATCACATGAAATGTTATCTCACCCCAGTTAAGATGGCTTTTATTCAGAAGTCAGGCAATAACAAATGCTGGTGAGGATGAAGAGAAAAGGGAACCCACATACAATGTTGGTGGGAATGTAAATTAATACAACAACTACTAAGAACAGTCCACAGCTTCCTCAGAAAACTAAAAATAGAGATATCATACAATCCAACAATTCTGATCCTAGGTATATAATCAAAAGAAAGGAAATCAGTATATTGAAGAGATACCTTCACTCTCTGTTTTTTTTGCAGCACTATTCACAATAGCCAAGATTTGGAAACAACCTAAGTGTCCATCAACAGATGAATGGATACAGAAAATGTGGTACATATACACAATAAAGTACTAGTCAGCCATAAAAAAGAATGAGATCCTATCACTTGCCACAACATGGATGGAACTGGATGTCATTATGTTAAATGAAATAAGGCAGGCACAGAAAGACAAACTTCGCATGTTCTCACTAATTTTGGAGAGCTTAAAAATTAAAGTAATTGAACTAATGGAAATAGAGTAGAAGCATGGTTACCAGAGGCTGGAAACGGTAGTGGGGGTGAAGGGGGAAGTGGAGACGGTACCAAAAAAAAAATTGAAAGAATGAATACCACCTAGTATTTGCTAGCACAACAGGGTGACTATAGTCAAAAATAATTTAATTGTACATTTTAAAATAACTAAAAGAATATAATTGGATTGTTTGTATCAAAAGATATGCTTGAGAGGATGGATAGCCCATTCATCCTGATGTTTTTATTATGCATTGCATACCAGTACCAAAATATTTCATGTACCCCATCAATATATACACCTACTATGTACCCACAAAATTAAAAACAAAAACAAAACCCAAAACCCCGTTTAGATTTCGTTTATTATTCATGAATCTTTATAACATCTCTTTATCATCCATTCTTTAATTTAACAAATATTCATTAAGCACAGGTTTGCACCAGGCAGTGTTCTAGGAACTCAGCAGTATGGCAGCAAATAAGACATAAAAGGTCTTTATTGTTATAAACTATATAGTATTTTATAACCAAATAATATATTCAATTGAAAAAATGTATAACCCAATATCATTAAGTGTTATGAATGAAACAAAGTGATGCTATCAGAAATGGCCCCAGGTAAGCCTCACATTTGATGTAGTCATGGAGGAAGATGTCACTAAAGAGATTAAATGTAGTTGAGACCCACAGTGTGAGAAGGAACCTGTTCTGTGAAGAGCTGGAGATGGGAGAGTGTTCAAATAATAGAGTAGCAAGTGCCAAATTAGAAACGCAACAGCTCCCTCTGAAACTCTGTGGCTGGAATATAGTAAGGGTAAAATTAAGCAAAGACCATGTCATGCAGAGCCTAATAGGGCACACTCAATGGTTTGGATTTTTCTTCTTGCGATGGGAAACCAGCAGAATGAGATCATTTACTTTATTGTTCTTTAAATTTCATTTTTCCATATGTTATTGGAGTACAGGCGGTGTTTGGTTACATGAATATGTTCTTTAGTGGAGATTTGTGAGATCCTGGTGCACCCATCACCCGAGCAGTGTACACTGAACCGTATTTGTAGTCTTTTATCCCTCTCCCTCCTCCCACTCTTTTCCCCAAGTCCCCAAAGTCAGTTGTATCATTCTTATGCCTTTGCGTCCTCATAGCTTAGCTCCCACATATCAATGAGAATATACAATGGTTAGTTTTCCATTCCTGAGTTACTTCACTTAGAATAATAATCTCTAATCTCATCCAGATCATTGCAAATGCTGTTAATTCATTCACTTTTATGGCTGAGTAGTATTCCATCATATATATATGATATATATATGATATATATACTAGATATACTGGATATATATACATATATATGATATATACTGGATATATATACATATATATGATATATACTGATATATATACATATACATGATATATACTGGATATATATCCATATATATGATATATATACATATATGATATACTGGATATATATGGATCATATATATATCATATATATGATATATATACTGGATATATATGATATATATCATATATATGATATATATACTGGATATATATGATATATATCATATATATGATATATATACTGGATATATATGATATATATCATATATATGATATATATACTGGATATATATGATATATATCATATATATGATATATATACTGGATATATATGATATATATCATATATATGATATATATACTGGATATATATGATATATATCATATATATGATATATATACTGGATATATATGATATATATCATATATATGACATATATACTGGATAAATATATCATATATATCATATATATGGATATATCATATATATCATATATAGATATATCATATATATCATATATACATATATATGGATATATATGATATATATATATCCAGTATATATATATGGATATATATATCCAGTATATATCATATACTGAATATATATGATATATATCATATATATGATATATATACTGGATATATATATGATATATATACTGGATATATATATATGATATATATATACTGGATATATATATGATATATATATATACTGGATATATATATGATATATATATACTGGATATATATATGTTATATGATATATATGATATATGATATATATAATATACATGATATATATCATACATATCATATATATGATAGATATATGATATATATATATCCAGTATATATAGAGATATATATATATCATATATATATATCATATATATATATCCAGTATATATAGAGATATATATATATCATATATATATATCATATATATATAGATAGATAGATAGATAGATAGATATCCAGTAGTGGGATTGCTGGATCAAATAGCAGTTCTTTTAGTTCTTTAAGGAATCTCCACACTGTTTTCCATAGTGGCTGTACTAGTTTACATCCCTACCTACCCCTAGAAGGAAGGTTGCAGTGAGTTGAGATCACACCACTGCACTCCAGCCTGGGTGACAGAGCGAGACACTGTCTCAAAAATAAATAGACGAATATGATAAAAATAAAATAAAAATTATTTAAGAAATTAGAAAGAAATTGGTTCGTATTGGCATTAAATATATGTTAAATATAAAGTTACATACTCATATTCACTAATATTCACTAATTCATCAGGGTGATATCATAATCCCATTTTAGTATCAGTAAAATGAGGTTCAGAGGGATTTCCTGTTTGGCTGTAACCAATAGAATTGAAGTTCAAATCCTATACCTCAAAGTTTATTTTTTTTAGAGGCCCAGGCTCCATATCATTGAGGATCTTACAACCCAATTGAGAGGCCAACATGTACAAGAAAATTAAATAATATTTCAAAAAAGTACATAATTAACTGTATTTGGAATAAGGAATGTTATACAAAGAGTTAGGTTTTAAAGCCAGGCAGACACAGATTTGATAATAGATTTGTTACTTAATGACTTTGTGAATTTAGGCAAATCATATACTCTTTTTAAAGCTCATGTTTATCTTATGTGTAAAACAACAAGTACTTCCCAAAGTTGTTTTAGGAGACTAAAAAACAGGTATGAGCACCTGGCAAACAACAGGTATATTAGCTTGCTTCCCTTATTCTGCAGTCCACAGTATTAGTGATAATTAAATCCTCTAGCATTCTGTGTACAGTGAGAAGGGTCAATTAAGCTCAATAATGTTTAATATAACCTCATTTTTACTAAATGGTTTGGGAAGAATCAATAGTGGCTGTGCATAAAGTGAAAAATTGGAATTTAAGGCAAAAAATTGTATCCTGTTCTGTTGTTGTAATGGAATGTAATGAAAAATTGGAATTTAAGGTAAAGATTTGTATCCTGTTTTATTGTTGTAATGAGTCAGGAGAGATAAAGTTTCAATGTTCAATTCCATAAAGCCTTTTATGCTTTATTCAAACTGTCTCCTATAAGTCATTTTTAATATTCACTAACCTAAAATAACCTTTAAGAAGCATTATTTGAAAGAGATATTTTCTATTTGAATAACTAGATTGTTTATAGTTATTAAAATAAAATATAAAATGATTAAAATTAATATAGACATTAATATTAAATTTAATTAGTAATTAATCTTAATATAAAATATTCAATATATTTGACTAAATATATACACAGCCTTCCCTTAGTATCCATAGGGGATTGGTTCTAGGACGACTCACAGACACCAAAGTCCAAGAATGCTCAAATCTTTTATATAAAATGGCATAATATTTACATATATTAATAAGTTATGCATACCCTTTCATATACTTGAAATCATCTCTAGATTACTTATACCTATATGCTGTGTAAATAGTTGCTATACTGCCTTTTTAAAATTTGTATAATTCTTATTGATTCATTGTTATTTTAATTTTTTTTTCCCAAACATTTTCTATCTGTAGTTGGTTGAATCCACAGATGCAGAACTCATGGGTATGAAAAGCCAACTGTATTCCACT
Source organism: Homo sapiens (assembly GCF_000001405.40). NCBI lineage: Eukaryota > Metazoa > Chordata > Mammalia > Primates > Hominidae > Homo > Homo sapiens. The sequence goes on from NC_000003.12 coordinate 176,183,755, forward strand.
TTGCATGAAGACATGACCTTAAGCAGATACTAAGTCTATGTTTGATCAACAGCAGTTTACATTGGTAAATGAAACTATAAAATGGAAGAGTATTAGGTTAAAGATCGGTCTTTTTGTTTATTAATTTATTTGTTCATTATTCGTTAGCTTTTTGTTGTTTGTTTAGTAACAACTAGTCCCCCCTGTATTATCAATTCATATTCAGGTACAATTATAAAATTTCAAAATTAAATTTTATTTGTAATTACATCTTTTTTAAAGATGGCGACCTATACCGTTTTAGAGGTACATTTTTAATAGGTTAGGGGAAGAGGCATTAAATAAAAAAAGGAGTTACAGATTCTATGTCATATAATAGCGGCACATGGACACAGGGAGGGGAACATCACACACCGGGTCTTGTCGGGGGTAGGGGGGATTGGGGAAGGATAGCATTAGGAGAAATACCTAATTTAGATGATGGGTTGATGGGTGCAATAAACCACCATGGCACGTGTATATCTATGTAACAAACTTACACATTCTGCACATATACCCCAGAACTTAAATTATAATAATAAAAAAATGGCAGCACAAATGTAGATAAAGCTTGCCTCCCTCCCCCACCCTCAAGACACTAACTCTGAACCTGGTGATATTCCAAAATGAAATCATTCACACATTTTCTCTTTGGATATGTAGTAGGCAGTTCTGTGAAGTCATATGCAACATCGAAAAGATACAGCAGAAAGGCAACTTCTATTGGGGAATTAGGCACCATTTCCACAAGTTAAAATGCTGCCTGTCTACTCAGAGGAGTAGAGGGGTAATAAGGCTGAGGACATTATTACAATGCTGCTGCATGTTGTAAAATACAGGTGAAGGTGGGATACAGAGGTACTTAGATGGTGGGGAGGTGGAAACACACAATCTGCCAGGGTAAATTATTATCTTTATCATTTCTATCGGAACAACTATAAAACTCAGTTTTGATACTGCAGAAGAATAAAGACAACTTGCCATATTTCAAATTTTATACAGTGGTCTTTTCCTGTGTATTATAAAATGTGTTTTATCATATTTCTGAGAGTTAAAAGTATATTTTGTTTTATATTGTTTCTCTCCCTTTTGAGATTCTGGCAAGTAATATGTATTTGTGCATATGTGGGTATGTCAAGGAAATTACTATATGTGATAAATGAGAAAGGGAGGCACTTGTACCCTCCCCATTTCAACTTTACCTACTTTGGAAAAGGGCAATAGTAGAAGAGAAAAAAGATAAATTAAAGCTCACATCTACTATTAGCAGTAGTTGAAAGCAAGAGAAAGAAAATATAGTTTCTGTAGATTACCCAGCATGAAAAAAGAACTCCTATCTGCCTGCCTTCCCCCTCTTTTTTAATACCGGGTCTCTACTTCTTTCATTAGAGATTTTGGCGCAACCTGTAACCATAACCATGACAGTTATTAAGAATCAGCGACCTCAGTCAACTGAACTGCTATTATTTTTCAAGGAACATAGTGTACTATTAATAATTATATATATATATATATATATATATATATATATATCTACAAACATGAGTCAGCTCAATGAAAAGTGACCCCTTTTATCTTATAATTTTAAATTATTATTATCAAAGCCCATTAGTAAACACAAATGAATTAGTAGAATTTAATAGTAGTGGCATTTGAAAGCATCCTTAATTCCTTCAGCCTTTACAGTTCCTTATTAGGTTTATATCCTGAACTATGAACCAACCGGTACTCAGTAGGTGGGTCAGTTAATATCTTTAAGTATAACTTGCTAGAGACATCTACAGTAATAAAAGAATTATTTTCTCTATACTTCTAGAAATTTATACCCTCTTGAATATGAATTTAGGAGGGAAAATACCAGAGAGGTTTTGTGCCACGTGGACCTAAAAAACATTTTTGCCTGCCTGTACAACTATATACTGTCATTATATTTGGTTACTTAGCCATTTACCCAGATATTCAAAAACAGTCAGTTTTGCAGGAAAACAATTTCTGATAACTACCAAACAATTTAAATAATATGTAGATGCATACATTTAATTGTTTTGAATAAGGACTTATCAAATCTGTCTTGTCTATGTGACTCATTTGGCCACTAAAATAATACAGCTTAGTATATATTATGCTATTACCTCAGATTGTGTTTCATTCAACTTTCTTATTTCAGTCTACAAAGTTATCTGAATATTGAAGGGAAAACTACTTGCATTTTTCTCCTTAGATCCTTTTACAGATGTTAAAAATTTCCTCAAGTTTAAATGATTTTTTTTTTTTTAGCTCAGGGGTAGTTTTATTAGAAATCTCAAAATAGTCTTGTCATACACATACTTGAAAACATTATTGTTCAATATACAGATAGAAAAGAGAAACCCTGCTGCTACTCCTACTTCCTCAATTCCTACTTCCATAGCCCCCAGCAGGACTCAATGGCATATTCTGTATATGCAATCAAAAACCATTTAAGAAAGAGAGACAGCTATATGCTGTCTATCTGCAGCAAATTTTCCAAATATCCTAAACACAGGAAAGTCTCATGTGTTGAGATAAATTCAGAATTAAACACAAACCTAAAGGCTAAGAACTTAAAAAAAAAAAATCAGAGACACTTGTAAACCTCATCTCTACCCTGTGAAAGCCCCATAAACCAAACCTTATCTTAAATACAAAACTCAAGAGGAGTATTGGAAAGGGTACAGGCTCCAAAGAAATTTAAACAACAACAACAAACTAGACTGGAATTAGGGAACTACCACATATTGCTTGGGGTGACAAATGGGGACCCATTATTTAATTTTTTTTTTTTTTTTTGAGACAGAGTTTCACTCTGTCGCCCAGGCTGGAGTGCAGTGGGGCTATCTCGACTCACTGCAAGCTCCGCCTCCCGGGTTCACGCCATTCTCCTGCCTCAGCCTCCCGTGTAGCTGGGACTACAGGCGCGCGCCACCATGCCCGGCTAATTTTTTGTATTTTTAGTAGAGACGGGGTTTCACCGTGTTAGCCAGGATGGTCTCGATCTCCTGACCTCGTGATCCGCCCGTCTCGGCCTCCCAAAGTGCTGGGATTACAGGCGTGAGCCACCGCGCCCGGCCTATTTAATATTTTTGCCTTTCAGTTTTCTCATGTGTAAAATGGGAATAATAATATTTATCCATAGTATTTAAATACATCAGGTTAATAATAAATGTAAAAGAATACATATACATACTTGTTGTGTCTTGCCTCTCCTTTTGTCTCTAGTTGCAGATTCTAATGCAAATTAGGCTTTTTCCTGAAAATATTATAGACCATGACATCTTCTCAGATGAATGTCTGATCCCGTTTTTCTACCCCCTGGCAGCAAGGATATGCCTGCTGCTTGCTCACAAATACAACTTTCTGACCGACACTTAACCCATCTTCAAATCTCTTCATTTCAATTCTGATTCTTACATGTGTCTTCTTCCGATAAATTAATTTTTTAAAATTCCAAGGTCTTCATATTTGACTCAAGTCTTTCATCTACCATCATATAGATAACAACAACCACAGTAATAATAAAAATGATCTAACACTTTTAATTTGTGTAGTGCTTCAGTATTAATAAAACATTTTAACATGTAATGTCTTACTTAATCCTCAGAAAACTCATGTTATAACAGCACATATCAGTATCTCCTTCAAGAGCTGAAGAAATAAATGAACTTTGGAATGTTTTCCCAAATGGCAAAGCCAGAATTAAACCCAGGTCCTTCTAATCCCAGAACTCTTCTGCTATGTCCTATTGCCTTTTTGCAACAACAATTTTCATGTTGATGTCCATTTACTAACTTTATCTCTTAGATTTTTAGACTTACTTACATTCTAGTAGCTCCTCAAAACCTTTTATGCCTCTATATACTTCATATGCACCACATTTTCCCATTAACATTTTTAAAAAACATATAAAATAGCTTTTCATTTGGAGCACACACCATTTTCAGGAACATTATATAGAAACTCTGGGAGCTATGGGGAGCTGGAAGAAATGTTTCTGAGATACCAACCTGTTTCCTTAAGTGGGAAGAGCTCTGTCTCTGCTGAGAATCACGTGCTTCCTGATACTGATGCATTTCTGACATCCTTATCCTCACCTGTTTTTTCTCTCCAAATATCTCTATCAAGTGTCCACCTACTTATTGCTTGTACTGAGAGCTTCGGTTGTTTCTACCCTCCCTACACATACACATACCCTCCCATACACATGACACAAACACTCTTTAATTAAATAAACTCCCCTCCTCTGCACACAGATTTTCCTTTCTCAGGTTCCTAAACCAGTTTTTCTTTACTTTGACCCATTCTAGTGTTATTCATCCCGTATTCCTTGGATTTTTTGGTGAGTCTTCAATCACTAATCCTCTTCTGCAGTGAAACTTCTTTTTTAAAATGAAATCTTTCTAACCAAATAAAACGGATTGATACTCAGTCCTCATCTTCCTTGAATTCTGTTAGCCGACTCTGCTGACTATTTAAAAACATTTCTTTCTCCTTAATATTGCATTTCTTGTTTTGGTTTTATTTTTGCCATTCTCAATATCCTTTCGTGTCTTCAAAGTATTCTTCTTTCTCTTCCTTCAAATTCTGTGCACATGAAGTACAAATTATCTTCACTTAGATGGCTTGCTCGCAATGAACTTTTAATATGTTTAAACTAGAGCACATCTTATTTGGAATTGAATCTTCTGATTTTTACCACAATAACTGATTCCCTCTTCTACAACACAATGTTTTTCAATAGCAGTATTATTCTGGAATCCTAAATGTGAAAAGAGCTAGTTTTGATGCTTTCTTTCCTCCTAATGCCATAAGGTTACCAAGTCCTACCATTATATCTAATGCTTCCCTGGACGTCAGTTAAAGGGAGTGGCATAGCTTTCGACTGACAGGTTTTCACAGCTGCAGATCACTAAGCCCATGTGCTCCTGGGAGAAGCTCTACTTGAGCAAAACCCTGAAAGAAATGGAAAGAAGCTACAAGTTATACAACACGAAAAAGAAAAAAAAATAGATACATTTTCTGATCCAAGCATTTCTTTTTTTGTTTTTTTGAGACGGAGTCTCACTCTGTCACCCAGGCTGGAGGCAGTGGCACAATCTGGGCTCACTGCAACCTCCACCTCCCGGGTTCAAACAGTTCTCTGCCTCAGCCTCCCAAATACCTAGGATTACAGGCGCCTGCACCACACCCAGCTAATTTTTGTATTTTTAGTAGAGATAGGGTTTCACTATCTTGGCCAGGCTGGTCTTGAACTCCTGACCTTGTGATCCACCTGCCTTGGCCTCCCAAAGTGCTGGGATTACAGGCATGAGCCACTACGCCCCCCAGCTCTGACCCAAGCATTTCTATTGCATGTCATCTCCACTGTCCAGATCCTTATCACATTATAGCTATACTTTCAGTGTTTTAATGGAAAAGTAACATATAAAATGAATATTGTTATAATTTTATGAGATATTTTATCGTATCCTTTTATTTGAATATTATACCATACAGAGGTGGGATTATATGACTGCCCAAATCTGACAGAAGAGAATATTGAGACTTAGAGGGATTAAGTATATTTCTTATGACAACTTCAAATAAAATCCTCAAATTCAAAATTTTGTCCTATGTCTACTTTGCTCTTCTGGCTCCTAAGTTGTATATCTGAATTTGTACAATCTCTGGAAGATGAGTCTCATGGTAAAAATATTTTGATCATGAAATAGCAATGATCATATAATATTTATCTTGTAAAACTGAAACTCAAGTTTTGAAGGTCTTTTAAATGCTAACCCTGTTTCACCTCTCTAACTTTATTTCTTGTTTTTCCTCCTACTACCCTTGCTCTTTCTAGACTAGTCTTTTCACCATCCTCCAAACTCAGAGAAGGTTTTCCAACTCTTTGAATTCATTCATACAGTTTTTGTTCTTAAAAAGCTCTTTATTCTCTCCTTTTTACTTTAATCATCTTGATCACTTAAAATGTGTTTCAAATTTTGCTTTCTCTACAAAGTCATTTATATATGAGTATGTTTATAACTATGGTTTTCTGCATGTGTGAGTATGTGTAAACAAGTTCTAAAATGGAATAGCCAATCACACGTTCAGATTTTTACCCCTGGTTTTTATGGAAAGTATCGTGAAGACATAGACATTGAATTCTATATATAATATGCCTCCTTTATGAAAACAAAACAATCTCATAAAGTGGGGATTATCTCAAAAAACCTTATACATTCCTGTGAAAATAATACTGCTCACTGTGATCATTTTCTTTCAGAAAATTCTTAGTTTTTATAATTTGTTAATATTTGGCATCTTATCTCTCCAACTATCTTTTTAGCTCTGTGAAAGTACTCATAGGCATCTTTGTTTCCTGTAATGCCAAGATCATTGCCGAGCTGATAGTACACTTGAGACTAAAAACAACGGAAAAGGGTATAAGCAGACCATAACTTCCAAAGGATAAAGCAACCACATCCTGTACTGATCTATGTTTTACTGCTAACCTGCTCCAGAAATAAGGCCAGCTAAGCCAGAAGTACTGAATAATTGGTAAAAATATTTGCACTTAATAAAATCACATGTTAAATATTATACTTTTCCCCAATATATTTGTTACCAATTTCTCACAAGGCCATTTATTTATTTCACCAAAGAACTTTATGTGAATCTTCTGTCTCTTTTTTGATAGTTCTTAAAAGTTAATAGGGGCCGGGCACAGTGGCTCACGCCTGTAATCCCAGCACTTTGGGAGGCCCAGGCGGGAGGATCACCAGGTCAGGAGATCAAGACCATCCTGGCTAACACGGTGAAACCCCGTATCTTACTAAAAATACAAAAAATTAGCCGGGCCTGGGGGGCGGGTGCCTGTAGTTCCAGCTACTCGGGAGGCTGAGGCAGGAGAATGGCTTGAACCCGGGAGGCGGAGCTTGCAGTGAGCAGGGATCACGCCACTGCACTCCAGCCTGGGTGACAGAGCCAGACTCCTTCTCAAAAAAAAAAAAAAAAAGTTAATAGGAAAAAGATAAATCTAAGCAAATTCTCACTGGTTGCTTTACAGGCCAAATCCTTACTTTATCTGAGTACATCCAGCCTATGATTCTCCCAGGAACTGTCCTGGGAGCAGACAGATGAAGCAGGGCCATCTGTCAACTTGGAAAAGATCCCACACCAGAGACAGACAGGTAGCATTTTGCTCTAGGCACTGATTGAGCCATTTACAGGGGATCTGCACATGGTAAAGGAACATAATCTGACTTAACAGTTCAGGCTGTGTATTTAAAGGATCATGCAAAGAAATCTGTGACACACATAAAGACATACTGGCAGTTAAAAATATTTCACAGCATAATATATCCAAGTATTGGCTAGGAAAAAGATAAGAGATACCCAGCGAACTTTCAACAAGGAGCAGAACTTTCCCAGAAAGCCAAGGTGAAAACAAACAATAGTGCCTACTCTCTTTCTAGATTACGTAGATGTAAAATACCTTAAAAGGGCTCATTGCTAAAATGTGAGGCACTACCTAAAATGAATATTTACACAGATGAAAAAATAAACAGGTGAACTCTAATGATGAATATAATTCTAAAATTCTAAAAATTTTGTCTCATGTATAAATTGAGCCATGAAATATACTAAATAAAAAATGTTCCTATAAAATATATAGATGTGAATTTGTTGGAGGAGGGAAGGGAAAGAATTATTTGTAATATGTCATCTTTCCTATTAAAAGGGAAATAAAATAGAATTGTATTTTTTCAAAGCCATGCAATGAATTAGAAGTATTATCATCTGCATTGTTATGAAAGATAAAATAAGAGACAGCTTTGTTCATGGACTTATTCCCAGAGATTCAGAAAGTAAGAAGCAGGGCATAGAGACCTCTTATCCCTACTATGAAGATTATATCTAAAGAAATAAAAAATACAATTCCCTAATGTTTTATTTCACTCAGTATTTCAGAATGAAATCTTTTAGCTTAAAAAATTCTTATTTATAGAATATAAGAAATGAGACCATCTTTAGAAATTATTAAAATCTAACTCTCTAATTTTACAAAGTGTTAGACCCAGAAATTTTACCTGAGATAAATTAAACATTGTGACCCAGATATTTGTGTTTATTTATTCAATGATACATAGATGATAGAAAAAGGAAGATGGTAATTCCGGTCTCCTAAATACCAATGCAGGGTTCTTGCTACTCTATCTTGTACTCATGTCTGACAATCAGAAAAAAAAAAAAAAAAAAAAAAAAGCAGCTTCTGGCATTTGGAAAGTGGCCTGACACGACTAGGCTTTGATTTTCTTCTATTGAACATAAACAATTTAACAGAAATATCAACATCAGAAAAGGCCATGCTGTGCTATCAATGAGAATTAAGACAAAAACAAGACTATTCCATAATCATGGCTCAACACAAATAGTATGATCATTGTCTCAGCCATAAAAAAGACCAAACATCTCAATCCTGACTAATATGCTTGACTGCTGCTTCTTTACCAATTACATCTTTAGCCCCAATGTTTTCCTCCTGCCTTATAGACACTATTTATTATGAATCCAATCATAGAATTGTTCCTGCTTCCTGACAACATCCAATCTGGAGCAAATCCATGCTTCTGTGAATCTTTCCTAACACAAGCTCAATTCCTGTAAATATTTTCTAACAACTTCTTACTGAGATACTTTTTTATTATGAATTTTCTCCCTTTTTCAAAGAGCAATAAAACCATTGTATTCAACTACAGTCTACTTTCCCAGTGTTCTTTGGTGAATGGGTAATGACAATAAAAAGCAGCCATTTATTAGAAGAAAAAAAGATAATCTATGATGAACTATCTTAAAGGTAGTTCATTATTGGATTAAAATTAAAATAGCTTGCTTATATTACATAATCAATGCTAATAGTTGGAGTTTTCTTCATTTAATTAAACTCACCCAAGATTACCTACATATAAACACCCTCTTATTTCTCCAAATTATTAAATGTCTTTCTGTGACTTACATATTGCAAAATTTCTTATTCACAATTTGTAAAAAGTGGGAAGAATTTAGAAATTATTAATTCTGAGCTTCTCATTTTAGAATGAGTTAGATCCAGACATTTTACCTATGATAAATTAAACATTAAGACCCATATGTTTTTGTTTATTTATCCTAGAACTTGAGAAAAAAATTTAAATCTTGGACTGCCACTTCTGGACAAGATTAGGAAACACCTAGAATAAAGGACAAAATATGGAAACAATGATTCTCAGAAAATTGAGCATCAGACAAGAAAAGACAGTGATCCCTGAGAGATGGAAAATGAAAAGGTCAGTTTCATTTGCCCAGGTTTTCTGTCTAGAGAATAATTCTGGGCCACAGTGCTGAGATGGAAAAATCAAAGAGTTCAGTGGTGTTCCTGAGCTGAGCAGAAAGAACTGGGAGTTCAGACAAACCAAGGTGGCTAGAATTTGCATGACAAAAGTCTCCTGTAGGAGAGAGCTATGCAGAAAGAGAACTCAGAGAGTTGCAGAGGGTTCCCCTCCTGTATTCATTTGAGTACTGATTATTACATATATACAAACTATCTGGAGCCAGAGAAAGAAAAATATAAGGCCAGATAATGGCTGTTCTCAAAAGACAGAGTGGAAACCTCATTAACTTATGAGGTATCCATTGGGAGAGCAACTGGCAAACATTTCCTTAAAGGGTCAGGCTTTGTGGACCACATAGTTTTTGTTACAGCTGTCATTGTAGCACAAAAGCAGCCAGAGAAAATAGAAAAATGGAAAAACACAACCATGGTTCTGTTTCAATATACTTTATTTATCAAAACAATCCCCAGTCTTCCAGCTGGAGTTTGCCATTTTTGGCTAAGAAAGATCTTGCCTTGGTATTGAAAAAACATTAAGTCTGGATTAAATGCTTTTTCTGGCCCCACATACAAAGCATAAATCAAGACCTGAAAGGAACAAACTGTTCTCATTTAACTAAACTGCATCCCAGAAAAAAGCTCAAAAATATTTTTATATATATTTAAAAATCCAGTATGCAAACAGATAAAATTTATGTCATTTATTAGATCTAATATTGCCAGGTATGCAAAGATGTAGAAAAATATGACACTTAATGAGAAAAATCTTAGTTAACTGAAACATCCAAAGATAACACAAATAACTAAATTAGCAGAAAATGACATTAAAACAACTATTAAAATTGTATGGCATATACTCAATAAATTGGATAAAACATTTAACAATTAAAACACAGAAGGAAGATTCAAATTGAACTTCTAAAGATGAAAGCTAAAATGTCTGCAATGAAAAAATATTCTGGTAATGAATAACTTCTGATTAGACATTGTATGAAAAAGGATTAATTAACTTGAAGACATAGCAATAGAAAACACAAAACACCATAACACCAAAGTGAAACACAAGTTAAAGAAACATGAGAAAAATGAACAAAATGTTACTGAACTGGCAGACAACTCAAGTAGCATAATATAAAATGTAATTGAAGTCCCTGAAGGAATAAAGAAAGAAATAGATAGAATACCTAAAGATACAATGACTAAGTTTTTTTCCAAATTTCTTAAAACCTGTAAGCCCACAAATCCAAGAAACTCAAGAAAACTCAAACACAAGAAACTATACCAAGGCATACAGTAACCAAATTGCTTTATACCAGTGAAAGAAAATTTTAAAAGCAGCTAGAGAGTAACCCATTGTACACAAATGATCTCTTCTTGAAATAGTGCAAGTTAGAAGAGAGAAACATCATTTGAGTACTGAAAACAACAGCAACAACAACCAAAAAAAAGAAATGAAGAAGAAAGAAAATCGTCAATCCCATCAACATAAAATTCTTTATCAATTAAAAAAATCTATTAAAAATAAAAGCATGTTTCTAAAGAAAAAGCCTTTAAAAACCTGCGGGGGAAAAAAAAGGATTTTGAAGACATTCAAAATGTAAAAGAATTAACCACCAACAGATATACAATATGAAGAATTATAAAGACAGTTATTTGAGCACAAGGAAAATAATACAAGATGGGAATTTGGCTATAAACAAAGAAATGGAGACAATCAAAACTGGATATTTTATGGGTATACAAAAGGAATTATTTACGTCTACTTAAGTGTTAACTGTTTAATGGCAAAAAATGAAGTCTTATGAGTCTTATCACTTTTACAGAAATAAAATGTATGACAACAGTGGTACAAAGGCTGGGAAGAAATAAACAGAAGCATACTGTTGTAAAGTTCTTTTACATGATACCTGTATATCACTTAAAAGTAGATAGACTTTGATATGTTAAAGACATATACCATAAACCTTAAAGCAATCAATGGCTGGGAAGGATGTGGAGAAGTTGTATCACTTATACAATACTGGTGGGAGGGTAAATTGGTATAGCCACTCTGGAAAACAGTTGTATATGATTACATACACACAAGTGAGTGTATGCAAATCTGGAGAAATTTAATTAAGGTAGGTGGGTTTTATCAAAGTATATGTTATGGCTATGATATTGTATTATAGGTATACAAGATGTTATTTTTCAGGAAAACTGAGTGAAGCTATGCAACATTTCTTTGTATTATTTCTTACAATTTCATGTGAATATACAATTCTATAGAATTATCTCAAAGTAAAAGGAAACAAAAAAAGGATCAAAAGAGATATAAGTGTATTTCAAAGCAAATGATATTAACAAAAAGAGATGATAAAGGGAGCAATTCATCAACATAATAAACCTAAATTTAGTGTACCTAAAAATAGAGCTTTAAACTACACAAAGCAGAAACTAACAGAAATTTTACAGAGGAGTAGAAAAACCCACAATTAGAGTTGGAGATTTCAATGGCTTTCTTTCAATCGGTAGAACAAGTAGACAGAAAATCAGAGACTTGTGCAACCTTTTTGTAATTGACATTTGTAAAACACTTTGCTAGACAAGAGCAGAACATATTTTTTGAAAGCAGTGATTGGCAAACTTTTTTCTGTCAAGGTTCAGAAATAAAATAATTTAGACTTTGCAGGCCATATGCCCGGTGTCATGACTACCCAAGTTTGTCTTTGAAACAGAGAAGCAGCCATAAACAATACATAAATGAATGAAAGTGGCTATGTCCCAAAAAAAAAAAAAAACACATTGTAAGATAGATAGGGCCATGGGCTGTGGTTAGCCAACTATTTTTTCAATGTGTACGTGAAACATTTAACAGGTTAGATTACCTTATAATTATGATTATATTATTGTAAATATGAATATAATTTATAATATTATTAACATAATTATAATTGTATTATAATATACCCTGAGTATCACAATATAAAACTAAATAAATGGATGAAAATCACACTGAAATCTGATAGTTTCCTTGACCTCTTCAAAGGACTCACAAGCGGGTTGGCTTTTTACTCAGCCCAAAGCTCTCAACCCCTCACGGGAGGGGGAACATGCAGGTGGGCAGGTGCAGAGGCCAGGATGAGCGCTTCTGGGTAACCAACAAGAGCAGAACTCCGTGTGAACCTGCAGCATCATCTAGGGGTTGCCCATGACCCCCAGAGCCTCAGAGGGAATGTGTTACAGTGTCCTCTTTTACTTTCACTGTCTGTGGGTGGCTTAAGTGTTAGACAGCTCAGTGGAGGGTCGTGTGACAGCCCCTTGCACCCACACCCAGGTCATTGTCTGGCATCCAGGAGGAATCAGGTCACACAAATGAATTGAAGGGTGGTGGATGTGGAGGATTCTATTGAGTGGTGGAAGTGGTTCTCATCAGGATGGGGAGCTGGAAAGGGGATGATGTGGGAAGGTGGTCTTCTCCCTTCAGAGAGACAGCTTGACAGTGGGACCTCAGAGAAGAGTTCAGTCATCCCCCGCCAAACTCTTCTCTGAGGACCCACTGTTAAGCGTCAAGCCATCCCTCTGAAGTCAAGCTGCTTTTCTCCAATGTCTGGCTGTTTCTTCTCTTCTCTCCTTCTCTGCTGCTCTGCCACTCTGCCACTTTTGCCAGTGGAGCCTGGGGTTTTTATGGGTACAGGATTGGGAGCAGGGCAGGCCAGAGTGGTTTTGAAAAAGGCAACATTCGGGTGGGAAAACAGGAATGCATGTCTCACTTTGGGCCATGGATTCAGGCTTGAAGGTGAGGTTTTGCTGGGGACAGCCCTATTCTACCCAGTATTTTTCCCTGTCTCCTGTCTGTATTAATACAAAATACATTCTCTAACCAACTACTATGAGATTAAGCTATAAATCACTAAAGGAAGTAATAAGATAAATTTCCAAATACTTGGAAATTAAACCATACATTTCTCAATAATTTATGAGTTAAGGAAAGCATCAGAAAGAAAATTAAAGATATCTTGAATCAAGTGAAAATCAAACATAGCACATATAAATTTGAGAAAGGCAGGTAAAATAGTGATGAAATGGAAATATATAGCTTTAAATTTTTATATCAGAAATGAAGAAAAATCCCAAAACAGTCATTCAGCCAATAGTCAAAAAACTTTTTCTTAAAGATTCAGAGAGTATTATTTTAGGCTTCTAGGCCTTATATTCTCTGTCACAATCACTCAACTCTGAGGCTGCAGTGAGAAAGCAATCACAGACAATATCTAAACAAATGAGTGTGGCTGCATTCCAATAAAAATTTATTTACAAAAACAGGTTCTGACCCATGGGCTGTAGTTTGCAGACTCATGTTTAGGCTTTACCCTTACAAAACCAGGAAAGAAGAACAATCAAAACAAAGAAAGGAGCAATTAATAAAAGATAATGGCAAATATCAATGTAATTCTTAACAGGAAAACAATAGAGAGAATGAATGAAATCAAGTGTTTCTTTGAACAGATCAATAAAATTGATAAATTTCTAGCCATATAGTTTAAATGATAAAACAGAGGGCAAATAAATTACCAACATGAGGAATGAAAGATGAGACATGATTAAAGAACCTATGGGTATTACAATGAGAAGGAAATATTACAAATAATTTATGTTAAGAAATGTAATAATTTAGATAGAATGGAAAAATTATTTGGAAGACCCAAATTGCCACAATCTTACTGTCTATCTATCACAATCTTACCACAAAGAAAACTGAAAGACCTGATAGCTCCACTTATGTATTCTACCAAACATTTAAGGAGTAAATGTTACAAATTTTATATGAAAGATTTCATAATTTTCCAGATCATTTCTCAATTCATTTTATGGGGCTAGAATTGCCATCATGTCAAAACCATGCAAGCAAAACAAACTATAATATTTCTCATGTACACAGATGAAATGTTCCTAACAAAATTTTAGGAAATTAAATGAAGTAATATATTAAAATATAAACAAGTGAAATTTATTTATGGAATGCAAGGTTGGTTTAACATTCAAAGTAATCAGTCTAGTTCACCATATTAACAAATTTATAAAGTCATATGATCAACATTCATAGATGTATAAAAGCATTTGAAGCAATTTGATATCTTTTTGTGTTTAGAAAAATAATCTCTTGGAAAACCGTATCAAAAGTGAACATCTTCAGCCTGGAAACATTTACATGTGATAAAAAACTATAATTGATCTCATATTTTAATGGTAAATAGAGAATACATGTCTCCTAAAATAAGAATTAGGGCAAAATAATGATTCTTCCCTCATCTATCTATTTTGTAATGAAAATACTAGCTTGTGTGATAGGGTAAGAAATAGAAATAAAATACATAATGTAGGAATGAAGAAGTAAGACACTTTTTAGTCACAGATGACATGATTATCTTTCTAAACTCCTAATTAAAAATTGTTACTACAAAAACAATCCTTCTAGATCCAATAGGTGTGTTGAGCAAGTTTACAGGATATATTTTTAATATACAAAAATCAATTTCATATATAAATATTATCAGCAAACAATCAGAAAATTACTTACATGTCCATATAAAATGTAAAATATTTAGAATTAAATTTTAAAAAATTTTCAAGTCCTCTACATTGAAAAATATAAAACATTGCTGAGATAAATTAACAAACATTCCCCCAAATACAAAGTTATACTATGCTTATGAATCAGAAGATTAAATATTCTTAAGATATTTGTTCTCTGTAGATTCAGTCAACTTCTTGCCAAAATCTCAAAATGTTTTGAGGTGGAAACTAAAAAGCCAATTTTATAATTTATCTGAAAACGTAAAGGATCTAGAATATTCAAAACAAATTTGAAAAAATGGAGAAATGAGGGAGGACTTACACTACCTAACTTCAATATTTACTATAAAGCAGTAAGCATTAAAGTGTGATATTGCTGCAAATAATGACACGCAGATCATTAGAAATAATAAAATTTAGAAATAGACACACATATCTGTAGTCAATTGACCTTAAGTAGAGAAGAATGGTAAATTAATAAAGAGATGATAATTTATATAAAACATCTAACACAATGTTTGTCACATAAGTGATAGGTGCTGTTTTTATTATAATTCTAATTGTAATTAATATTTTTATAGTGTTCATAGTTTGAGCTTTTGAACCAAAATGCTTGTGTTTGAATTCTGAATCCACTGCTCGTTGGCTATGAGACCTTACCTCAGTTTTCTTCTGTTCAATGAGAGTAACAATAGTAGTAAATATTGCATAAAGTTGTCTTTAAGATTAAATACATTAATACACATAAAGTACATAGTATCTATGAGTATCTTTTTTTGATAGAAATGCTTGCTTGATACCACCAGTTTATATAAAGGCTGAAAAAAAACCAGAACACATTTCTCATGGATTAGGTAAAATACATACTCATAAAGTAAGAGATGCCATTATATTTTAAGACTGCATAAAACTTTGTTAGAATCAATGATTTTTAAAAAGAAAATCTTTGAAAACATGACATAGTTGGAAAAAATTTTTTAAAATAATAAATTCAAAAAATATATAAACATAGAATGCCTTTCAAATTATTTTTATCTAGTTTTTCATGCATAGCTGGACCTGACCGTACTAATTAAAATACATCTCAGTTTCTTCTTATAACTAAGCTACTCACAATTCATCTATAACCTAGAATAACTGAAACAGATTATTTACATAAATAAAATTATTCTTCTCAACTTTACAAGCCACCAATTAATTATTGCTGGAGGCAAGATCATTGCTCATCTCTATCTGAAGAAATAAACATTATTTATGTCTGTTTAAGAAATCATATTGTGAGAAGGAGGTGAAGTAGATGTATATAGTATTGCCTATCAATGATAATAAACACGGAACTGGAACGCAATTAATTTTTATTGAAGTAAACCATCTCATTTTCTTTTAAGACAAAGCTAGTGGCTTTGATTTGTGACCAAAGATAATATCAAGGGTCTTAAATCACAAAATATGTCATTACATACCTTGAGTAAATGTGCAAATGTGTGTATTCATTTTTCTTCATAGCTTCTACATTTTGAATACGGTATCAGTAATTCATACTTATCTAAAGTTCATGTGTTATTTCTACATTTGGTAAGGATTATTTTTCTGTTTTGTTTTGCAATATATTTTTTAACATTTAAAATTATTTTTAACAGTTGATATAATATTATGATTTATTACTTCATGATTAAGAAGGACAAATCCTTTCTTTGAACAAGGGTCTCCCAAGTAGGTGGAATATTCTGCAAACACCATCTCTTCTGTCATAATAAAGAGCTTGGAACCAATAGCCACTGAATAAAGCTATTCAAAATCCTTGATCACAGATTATTTATTTATTAATTCATTTATTTAAAAAATACTTGTTGATTGCTTACTATGGCAGAAACTCTTCTAGGTTCTGGGAAAAGAGCAATGAACAAAAAAATCAGAAATTTTTATCCTCATGGGGCTTCTTTCTACTTGAGGAGATATCTATTTTTTTAAATACAATAAATACTGTGATATGTTAGAGAGTGATAAGTGCTAAGGTGAAAAAAATAGAAAAACATGGGGGTGGCTGACAGCAACAGTAGTGTGAGAGAGAGATGACATTCTTAAGTCACTTTACAGTTCTAGACAGCAATGAGGGGCAGCAGGTGGCAGGACACAATAGAGACTGTAAGCTCATGTGAAATAACTTGGGGAGCTTCCAAGATATCCTTGTCTCAGAATGAGAATTTCCTAAAAGTTCTTTTAGAAAATTGTTACATTAAGTTCTCCAATGTTATTGTAAACTACGCAATCTCATTAAATTTAATTTTCCTAGCCAAAAACAGAGCTAATATAATCAATTTGATAACCTTTGAAGAATGAGTAAGAATACCCTAAAAACACCTGATATAATAGTTGGACTTAACAGACAACCATTAAGTGAAAACTGACACTATTTGGATCCCATAGTGAATATTTTATAATTTATTATATTTTAGATACAATTAGTTTTACATCCATGAGACATCTATAACCTCTCTTATAGTTTGATTTCAAAAGTGACAAGTTTGAATATATACCCAATATTTGGTATTAGCTAGATCTACTTATTTGCAGAGAGAATGCATTTGATACATCAACTGCTCACCAATGGCCTTCAGAGTCTCCTGGAAAGTTGTAAACAAAAGTAATGGATACAGCCCGTATTTCTCTAGGTTTACCTGCCTGCTGGTTCAAGTCAAACGTTATGAATTATAAAATTAAATTAATGTTATAAGTGTTATACATGTTATATGTGCATGTATGTGTTAATGTGGCATTATTTATGCCTAAATTACATGCATATAATCATACTCTAATACCACAAAAAAACTCTCCTGATTCTGAGACAAGGATATCTTGGGAGCTCCCCAAGGTATTTCACATGAGCTTACAAACAGTCCCTATTGTGTCCTGCCACCTGCTGCCCCTCATTGCTGTCTAGAACTGTAAAGTGACTTAAGAATGTCATCTCTCTCTCACACTACTGTTGCTGTCAGCCACCCCCATAAGAATGGGTATCCCAGAACAAAAATGGCTACACCAGCTTTCTTGTGTTGAGTGTTTACTTAATTTCCTTTTCCCAAACTTTCACTCTTTACTTTTATCAGTTTTTATATTTTAGGTGTGTTTTATTAAAAAGCAAGTAATTGAGTTTTTTACACAGTGTCTAAATATATGTTGCTATATTTACATTTACTTCTACCACCTTATTCTTGCTTCCTATTTGTGGGTATTTTCCATTTTTTTTTCCTCTGCTTCATGTCTTATTTTGTGCTAACATAATTTCTTTTTCTAATTCTATTTTAATCTTCTTCTGTTTTCGAAAAATAACTATTTGTATTTGGTAAGCCTTGAAATTATTATGCACATACCTAATTTAATGGTTTAATTTTCTAAAGTTTTTACCCTCCTTCTATACAGTTTAAGGACCCCAAGTTTTGTTTTTGTTTTTTTGTTTGTTTTTTTTCCTGAGACGGAGTCTGGCTCTATCGCCCAGGCTGGAGTGCAGCGGCCTGATCTCGGCTCACTGTAAGCTCCGCCTCCCAGGTTCACGCCATTTTCCTGCCTCAGCCTCCCAAGTAGCTGGGACTATAGGCGCCCACCACCAGGCCCAGCTAATTTTTTGTATTTTTAGTAGAGACGGGGTTTCACCGTGTTGGGCAGGATGGTCTCGATCTCCTGACCTCGTGATTCGCCCACCTCGGCCTCTCAAGATGTTTAACCTCTCCTAGCTTATATGCTATTATTATCCTATGTTTTAATTGTGACATTTTCAAAGTGTCTTCAATTTAGAAATTATTCATGATACTACTTTTGCTATGTAGTCAATATATTAGATTTTCCCATATCTTACTTTTTTAGCTCACCATTTTTTAGTGTTTTCCTTTCGTAACTTCTTGTGGTGTTTGGGGATCCCTTTCTGAGAGGTTTTATATTTGCTTTGGCAAGATTCACAAGGCAATTACAGATGTAATTACCGTTAAAATTTTGTAGGTACAGACTTTTAGAAAACATGTATAGTGTAACTCAGGCCCACAGACATATAAGCATTTTTATTTATTGCATTTTAATCTCCAACGGAGCCAGAATTCAGACAAACAATTTTCCTTTATTGTTGGCTTAATAGGTTAGTGCCAGCTCATCATTTTCTCAGTTTCAGTTTTAGGTGGATGATTTCTAAACTGACTCTCTTCCCAGTATAGACTTAAGACTCAGTCAACAATCTCCACCTCTCCATTAGCTACAAAAATCCTTCTGGAGTAGGCATGGTCAGTGATGTGGTCCCACTTTTTTCCTGGCCTTACTGAAATGTCTTTTTACAGGAGCAGCCATTAATTGATTAAAATTTCATACATTTTCTCTAGAATTTTTTGTGTCTGTGGCCAGAGGAGTGGAGGATCGTTAATCAGCCCTTTACAAAATCTGTGAAATACAGACATACCTCATTTTATTGCTCTTTGCTTTGTTGCATTTCAAAGATATTGGGTTTTTCACAAGTTAAATGTTTCTGGCAACCCTGCATTAAGAAAATCTATGTATACTGTTTTCAAACAGCATGTGCTCATTTCATGTCTCTGTGTCACATTTTGGTAATTCTCCCAATATTTCAAACTTTTTCATCATTATTCTATTATGATGATCTATTTCACCAATATTTGATGTTACCGTTGTGTTTCATGAACTGCACCCATAAAAGATGACAAACTTAATCCATAAATGTTGTGTGTTCTGACTGCTCCACCAACAGGCTGTTTCCCATCTGCCTTTCTCTCCTTAGGCCTCCCCATTCCCTGAGACACAACAATATTAAAATTAGGCCAATTACTAATCCTGCAATAGCCTCTAAGTGTTCCCAAGAAACAGAGACTCACATATCTTTCACTTTAAATCAAAACCTAGAAATGATTGAGCTCAGTAAGAAAGGCATACCAAAGCTGACACAGGCTGAAACTAGGCCACTTGCACTAAACAGCAAGCCAAATTGTGAATACAGAGGAAAAATTCTTTAAGAAAATTTAAAGTGCTACTCCAGTGGACACACAAATGATAAAACAAAACAGCATTATTGCTGATATGGAGAAGGTTTGAGTGGTTTGATAGAAGATCAAATCAGCCACAGCATTCTTTAAGCTAAAGCCTAATCCAGAGCAAGGGTCTGTCTTCAATTCTGTGAAGACTGAGAAGGGTGAGGAATCTAGAAAAGAAAATCTGGGGGCTGGGCATGGTGGCTTATGTCTGTAAACCCAGCACTTTGGGAGCCTGAGGCGGATGGATCACCTGAGATCAGGAGTTCGAGACCAGCCTGGCCAATATGGTGAAAACCTGTCTCAACTAAAAATACAAAATTAGTCAGGCGTAGTGGTGCACACCTGTAATCCCAGCTACTTGGGAGGCTGAGGCAAGAGAATCACTTGAACCTGGGATGTGAAAGTTGCAGCGAGTCGAGATCGCGTCATTGCACTCCAACCTGGGCGAAAAGAGCGAAACTCTGTCTCAAAAAAAAAAAAAGAAAAGCTGGAAGCTAGCAGAGTTTGGCTTGTGAGGTTTAAGGAAAAAATCCATCTTCATAACAAAAGAATGCAAGGTGAAACAGCAAGTGTTGATGGAGAAGCTGCTGCAAGTTAACCAGAAGACCTAGTTAAGATAATTGGTGAAGGTGACTACACTAAACAACAGATATTTAATGTAGACAAACATTGGAAGAAGATGCCATATAGAACTTCCATAGCTAGACAAAAGTCGATGGCTGGCATCAAAGCTTCAAAAGACAGGCTGACTCTCTTGTTAGGGGCTAATACAAGCTGGTGACTTCAAGTGGAAGCCAATGCTCATTTACCATTCTGAAAATGCTAGGGCCCTTCAGAATTCTGCTAAATTTACTCTGTCTGTGCTTTATAAATGGAACAACAAAGCTGGATGACAGCATATCTGTTTACAGCATGGTTTACTGAATATTTTGCACCCACTGTTGAAACCTACTTTCCAGAAAAAAGATTCCCTTCAAAATATTACTGCTCATTGGCCAGAGCACCTGGTCACCCAAGAGCTCTGATGGAGATGTACGCAGAGATTCATGTTGTTTTCATACCTGCTAACACTATATCCATTCTTCAGTGTGTGGATTAAACAGTAATATTGGCTTTTAACTCTTATTATTTAAGAAATACATTTCATGAGGCTACAGCTGCCATAGATAGTGATTCCAATGATGAATCTGAGTGAAGTAAACTGAAAGCATTCTGAAAAAGGTTCACCATTCTTGAGGCCATTAAGAACACTTGTGACTCATGAGAGGAGGTCAAAATATCAACATTAACAGGAGTTTGGATGAAGGGGATTCCAAACCCCATGGATGATTTTGAGAGATTCAATACTTTAGTGAAAGAAGTAATAGCAGATGTGGTGGAAATAGCAAGATAACTTGAATTAAAATTGGAGCTTGAAGATGTGACTGAATTGCTGCAATCTCATGATAAAACTTGGACGGATGAGGAGTTGTTCTTAGAGATGAGTGAAGAAGGTGGTTTCTTGAGATGGAATCTACTCCTGGTGAAGATGCTGTGAATGTTGTTGAAATAATAGCAAAGGACTTAAATATCACATACCCTTAGCAGATAAATCAGCAGCAGGGTTTCAGAGGATTGACTCCAATTTTGAAATAAGTTCTACTGTGGCTAAAATGCTATCAAACAGCATTGTGTGCTACAGAGAAATCTTTCATGAAAGGCAGACCAAATCATTGCAACAAACTTCATTGTTGTCTTATTTTAAGAAACTGCCACAGCCACCCCAACCCTCAGCAACCGCTACCCTAATCAGTCAACATCAAAGCAGTACTCTCCATGGGCAAAAAGATAAGGATTAACTGAAGGCTCAGAT